>NC_000012.12:59960128-61210128 GCF_000001405.40 Homo sapiens | reverse complement strand
GATAGAAAGGATACCTAAGCAATATAAATAAGAATAAATATGTGCTATGCATCAATCAGTCTAGTAGCAAAATAGAAACTCCATGATGTTTTTCAATACAGATAATTTACTTTAGGGAGCTGCGGCATTCGTGTTGCAAGACTGAGAAGGCAAAATGGAAATTTGAAGTAACAAAGAAATAATAACTATGAGAAGGAGCTACAACTTCTAGGGCTGAAGAATCAAAAGGGAAAGGTGGGTGCTTTGCAGATGATGCTTCTTGTGAAGCTGCCACTCAGGCTTTTAAGGAGGGCATGTCGTCCAGTTTCTGCTGGTACCATGAAGGAGTGACCCCACAGAGCTGGAGCTCACACTTCTGAGAAGAGGAGCCTGCTTAGCAGCTGCTGATACCTCTGAGAAATGCTATGAAGCTAGCTCTGATAGTGCCAAAATAAGCTGGAGAGTGGACCAAGAGTGAAAGGCCATTTCCTAGGACAGCTAGCCACCAAAATGGGAGGTAACTGTTTCCTTCTTCCTTCATCTACCTTCCAAACTTCCTATAGTGTTACTTGCTGGCAGAATCTATCTAGAAGGTAGCTGAGACAGGAGAAATGTAATTTGCAGTGTACCGGTCATAGCATCACTAAGGTATAGAAAAGTAGATCTGGAGTTGACAGACAATAGCTTAATAACTGATACAGCTCCTACCCGCAAAAGGTTTGCCATTTATAAGAAAATATAGTTACTGAAATAGAGGTGTTCAGGATATTATATTACTTGAAACAACAAGGCAGTTGGGAATTTAACTCATATAACTTACACATTGTGCAAAGTTTTGCTATTCCTAATATATAAAAAATATTAATTTTGGAGAAGCCAATATGGCTGAATAGGAACAGCTCGGGTCTACAGCTCCCAGCGTGAGCAACGCAGAAGATGGGTGATCTCTGTAGGCTCCACCTCTGGGGGCAGGGCGCAGACAAACAAAAAGACAGCAGTAACGTCTGCAGACTTAAATGTCCCTCTCTGACAGCTTTGAAGAGAGTAGCGGTTCTCCCAGCATGCAGCTTGATATCTGAGAGTGGGCAGACTGTCTCCTCAAGTGGGTCCCTGACCCCCGAGTAGCCTAACTGGGAGCACCCCTCAGTAGGGGCGGACTGACACCTCACACAGCCGGGTACTCCTCTGAGACAAAACTTCCAGAGGAACGATCGGCCAGCAGCATTTGTGGTTCACCAATATCCGCTGTTCTGCAGCTGCTGCTGCTGATACCCAGGAAAACAGGGTCTGGAGTGGACATCTAGCAAACTCCAACAGACCTGCAGCTGAGGGTCCTGTCTGTTAGAAGGAAAACTAACAAAGAGAAAGGATATCCGCACCAAAAACCCATCTGTACATCACTATCATCAAAGACCAAAGGTAGATAAAACCACAAAGATGGGGAAAAAACAGAGCAGAAAAACTGGAAACTCTAAAAATCAGAGTGCCTCTCCTCCTCCAAAGGAATGCAGCTCCTCACCAGCAACGGAACAAAGCTGGATGGAGAATGACTGACGAGTTGAGAGAAGAAGGCTTCAGACTATCCAACTACAGTAGGAAATTCGAGCTACAGGAGGAAATTTGAACCAATGGCAAAAAAGTTAAAAGCTTTGAAAAAAAATTAGATGAATGGATAACTAGAATAACCAATGCATAGAAGTCCTTAAAGGACCTGATGGAGCTGAAAACCACAGCACGAGAACTATGTGATGAATGCCACAAAGATACTCCTCGAGAAGAACAACTCCAAGACACATAATTGTCAGATTCACCAAAGTTGAAATGAAGGAAAAATGTTAAGGGTAGCCAGAGAAAAAGGTCGGGTTACCCACAAAGGGAAGCCCATCAGACTAACAGCTGATCTCTCGGCAGAAACTCTACAAGCCAGAAGAGAGTGGGGGCCAATATTCAACATTCTTAAAGAAAAGAATTTTCAACCCAGAATTTCATATCCAGCCAAACTAAGCTTCATAAGTGAAGGAGAAATAAAATCCTTTACAGACAAGCAAATGCTGAGAGATTTTGTCACCACCAGGCCTGCCCTACAAGAGCTCCTGAAGGAAGCACTAAACATGGAAAGGAACAACCAGTACCAGCCACTGCAAAAACATGCCAAATTGTAAAGACCATCAAGGCTAGGAAGAAACTGCATCAACTAACGAGCAAAATAACCAGCTAACATCATAATGATGGGATCAAATTCACACATAACAATATTAACTTTAAATGTTAATGGGCTAAATGCTCCAATTAAAAGACACAGACTGGCAAATTGGATAAAGACTCAAGACCCATCAGTGCGCTGTATTCAGGAAACCCATATCACGTGCAGAGACACACATAGGCTCAAAACAAAGGGATGGAGGAAGAGCTACCAAGCAAATGGAAAGCAAAAAAAAGGCAGGGGTTGCAATCCTAGTCTCTGATAAAACAGACTTTAAACCAACAAAGATCAGAAGAGACAAAGAAGGCCATTACATAATGGTAAAGGGATCAATTCAACAAGAAGAGCTAACTATCCTAAATATATATGCACCCAATACAGGAGCACCCAGAGTAATAAAGCAAGTCCTTAGTGACCTACAAAGAGACTTGGACTCCCACACAATAATAATGGGAGACTTTAACACCCCACTGTCAACACTAGACAGATCCACGAGACAGAAAGTTAACAAGGATACCCAGGAATTGAACTCAGCTCTGCACCAAGCAGACCTAATAGACATCTACAGAACTCTCCACCCAAAATCAACAGAATATACATTCTTTTCAGCACCACACAACACCTACTCCAAAATTGACCACATAGTTGGAAGTAAAGCACTCCTCAGCAAATGTAAAAGAACAGAAATTTTAACAAACTGTCTCTCAGACCACAGTGCAATCAAACTAGAACTCAGGATTAAGAAACTCACTCAAAACCACTCAACTACATGGAAACTGAACAACCTGCTCCTGAATGACTACTGGGTACATAATGAAATGAAGGCAGAAACAAAGATGTTCTTTGAAACCAACGAGAACAAAGACACAACATACCAGAATCTCTGGGACACATTCAAAGCAGTGTGTAGAGGGAAATTTATAGCACTAAATGCCCACAAGAGAAAGCAGGAAAGATCTAAAATGGACACCCTAACATCACAATTAAAAGAACTAGAGAAGCAAGAGCAAACACATTCAAAAGCTAGCAGAAGGCAAGAAATAACTCAGGTGAGAGCAGAACTGAAGGAAATAGAGACACAAAAAACCCTTCAAAAAATTAATGAATGCAGGAGCTGGTTTTTTGAAAACATCAACAAAATTGATAGACTGCTAGCAAGACTAATAAAGAAGAAAAAAGAGAAGAATCAAATAGACACAATAAAAAATGATAAAGGGGATATCACCACTGATCCCACAGAAATACAAACTACCATCAGAGAATATTACAAACACCTCTACGCAAATAAACTAGAAAATCTAGAAGAAATGGATAAGTTACTCGACACATACACTCTCCAAAGACTAAACCAGGAAGAAGTTGAATCTCTGAATAGACCAATAACAGGATCTGAAATTGAGGCAATCATCAATAGCTTGCCAACCAAAAAGAGTCCAGGACCAGATGGATTCACAGCTGAATTCTACCAGAGGTACAAGGAGGAACTGGTACCATTCCTTCTGAAACCATTCCAATCAATAGAAAAAGAGGGCATCCTCCCTAACTCATTTTAGGAGGCCAGCATCATCCTGATACCAAAGCCGGGCAGAGACACAACCAAAAAAGACAATTTTAGACCAATATCCTTGATGAACATTGATGCAAAAATCCTCAATAAAATACTGGCAAACCGAATCCAGCAGCACATCAAAAAGCTTATCCACCATGATCAAGTGGGCTTCATCCCTGGGATGCAAGGCTGGTTCAACATATGCAAAGCAATAAATGTAATCCAGCATACAAACAGAACCAAAGACAAAAACCACATGATTATCTCAATAGATGCAGAAAAGGCCATTGACAAAATTCAACAACGCTTCATGCTAAAAACTCTCAATAAATTAGGTATTGATGGGACATATCTCAAAATAATAAGAGCTACCTATGACAAACCCACAGCCAATTTCATACTGAATGGGCAAAAACTGGAAGCATTCCCTTTGAAAACTGGCACAAGATAGGGATGCCCTCTCTCACCACTCCTATTCAACGTAGTGTTGGAAGTTCTGGCCAGGGCAATCAGGCAGGAGAAGGAAACAAAGGGTATTCAATTAGGAAAAGAGGAAGTCAAATTGTCCCTGTTTGTAGATGACATGATTGTATATCTAGAAAACCCCATTGTCTCAGCCCAAAATCTCCTTAAGCTGATAAGCAACTTCAGCAAAGTCTCAGGATACAAAATCAATGTACAAAAATCACAAGCATTCTTATACACCAATAACAGACAAACAGAGAGCCAAATCATGAGTGAACTCCCATTCACAATTGCTACAAAGAGAATAAAATACCTAGGAATCCAACTGACAAGGGATGTGAAGGACCTCTTCAAGGAGAACTGCAAACCACTCCTCAAGGAAATAAAAGAGGATACAAACAAATGGAAGAACATTCCATGCTCGTGGATAGGAAGAATCAATATCGTGAAAATGGCCATACTGCCCAAGGTAATTTATAGATTCAATGCCGTCCCCATCAAGCTACCAATGACTTTCTTCACAGATTTGGAAAAAACTACTTTAAAGTTCATATGGAACCAAAAAAGAGCCTGCATTGCCAAGTCAATCCTAAGCCAGAAGTACAAAGCTGGAGGCATCAGGCTACCTGACTTCAAACTATACTACAAGGCTACGGTAACCAAAACAGCATGGTACTGGTACCAAAACAGAGATATAGATCAATGGAACAGAACAGAGCCCTCAGAAATAATGCTGCATATCTACAACTATGTGATCTTTGACAAACCTGAGAAAAACAAGCAATGGGGAAAGGATTCCCTATTTAATAAATGGTGCTGGGAAAACTGGCTAGCCATGTGTAGAAAGCTGAAACTGGATCACTTCCTTACACCCTATACAAAAATTAATTCAAATGAATTAAAGACTTAAACATTAGACCTAAAACCTTAAAAGCCCTAGAAGAAAACCTAGGTATTACCATTCAGGACACAGGCATGGGCAAGGACTTCATGTCTAAAACACCAAAAGTAATGGCAACAAAAGCCAAAATTGACAAATGGGATCTAATTAAACTAAAGAGCTTCTGCACAGCAAAAGAAACTACCATCAGAGTGAACAGACAACCTACAGAATGGGAGAAAATTTTTGCAACCTACTCATCTGACAAAGGGCTAATATCCAGAATCTACAATGAACTCAAACAAATTTACAAGAAAAAAACAAACAACCCCATCAAAAAGTGGGCAAAGGATATGAACAGATACTTCTCAAAAGAAGACATTTATGCAGCCAAAAAACACATGAAAAAATGCTCACCATCACTGGCCATCAGAGAAATGCAAATCAAAACCACAGTGTACCATCTCACACCAGTTAGAATGGCAATCATTAAAAAGTCAGGAAACAACAGGTGCTGGAGAAGATGTGGAGAAATAGGAACACTTTTACACTGTTGGTGGGACTGTAAACTAGTTCAACCATTGTGGAAGTCAGTGTGGCAATCCCTCAGGGATCTGGAACTAGAAATACCATTTGACCCGGCCATCCCATTACTGGGTATATACCCAAAGGATTATAAATCATCCTGCTATAAAGACACATGCACACGTATGTTTATAGTGGCACTATTCACAACAGCAAAGACTTGGAACCAACCTCAATGTCCAACAACGATAGACTGGATTAAGAAAATGTGTCACATATACACCAGGGCATACTATGCAGCCATAAAAATGATGATTTCATGTCCTTTGTAGGGACATGGATGAAACTGGAAACCATCATTCTCAGCAAACTATCGCAAGGACAAAAAACCAAACACCGCATGTTCTTACTCATAGGTGGGAATTGAAGAATGAGAACACATGGACACAGGAAGGGGAACATCACACACCGGGGACTGTTGTGGGGTGGGTGGAGGGGGGGAGGAATAGCATTAGGAGATATACCTAATGCTAAATGACGAGTTAATGGGTGCAGCACACCAACATGACACATGTATACATATGTAACAAACCTGCACGTTGAGCACATGTTCCCTAAAACTTAAAGTATAATAATGATAAAATTAAAAAAAAAGAAAAGAATATTAATTTTTAAAGTTTAATATATAAACAAATTTTATATTTGGTAATACCATTTTTCTATGTTTCAAATCCAGTTAATTGCATTTGCCTATTCATCAGTGAAATTCAACAGTAAATTCAAAGACTGAAAACTGATTTTTGAGTTTTGGTTAAATTTTGGTTGCAGATAAAATTTTAATAATTACTTTCAAAAATTAACTTTAAGTCAAAACCTCTTACTTCTTACTTAGAAATATCAATCAACCTAAAATCAATCTCCTTAACATTGGTTGTCTACAAATCATTACTGCGTAATGTTCCCACGAATTGTTGAGAATAAACAAAAAATCAAAGATGGCTGCATTTTTGTTATACTAACAATTTGTAGTATCTAGCTAAAAATATGACTTCCCTCTTGACTTTACATATATTGATTCAGCTTTCAAATTACCGTATTTTGACAAATATTACCTTAATATTTAAAACATATTACTTTGATTCTGTAATGAAAATGTAAAAACAAACCTCAATACATAAGGTTGACACATTTCAAAGCCAGTAAAATTGTACATTAATTTTAGTATGTACTGTCAAATTTAATTAGGTTATACATTCCCATGTTATTGAATTTGATTATGTAATATATAAAAAATAAGAATACCTAAGAGTACATAGCTTTCTTGGTAAATTATTTCTTGCAATATTTCACAATTTAGCTACTGAATAATGAATGCAAAGTGTAAATGGGCCAGTGACTACATGAACATAAAAAGAATGACATTTGACAATAAACTTATTCACTAAACTTCCTTTAACAACATACCCTTTTTGAAAGTCTGTGGTTCATCTTCCTGCAGAGGAGAGTGTTCTCTGCCTCTGTAACCCATTCTAATTACTAACACAGATTTCTGAGTGATTACCACAGTGGCAATCCTATCCAGAGAGAAAAAAAATTGTTACGAGGACAATTACAAAAGATTTTGTTGTGGATGTTCCAGCCTCCGTTCTTCTGATATGTTAATGATATTTAAGTTTCTTTCTACAAAAGGATAGAAACAATTATGTTATAATTCAAGCCTCAAGGAAAACACTTTAAAAATCAATTACATGTGTATTTTTTAATGTTATTTTTTAGACTTAATTTGAATTTTATTTTTAAAAATTTCACCTTGGTTATGAAAGTGATGTGCACCAAATCAACCTCAATGAAAGGCAATTTAGTTTTATAACACAGTTGAAAAGTTTACAACAGAACCATGGATGAAACGGCTGAGTGGCCAATCTGATCTGGTTAAGTTGGCTGCTGACCAGAGGATTGTTTTGGTTCTCCTAGGAAATCTACTGCCCAGAAAAGACATTTACTATTCTGATCAATCAGTCACCCCTCAACCTGGAAAAGTGTCCAGTCAGTTAAGTGCCAAGGTGCAGCTTTATGAAGGCTTAAGCCTCAGCTAATTCAAACATAGCAAGCAGGAAAATTCTCCCAAGACCGGATCATTTGTAGAATGACAAGTCATGGCTACACGCTTTGAAAAGTACAGCATTAATTTATTAGGCACATCACAGAGAAAAAATCTAATGGCTGTCTTTATTAGTTCACTTATGACATTTATGCTCATATATAGTGTGTCAAAGAGTATTTTGATGAGAGATTCACATGCCTATTTAAAGTGCATGCAAATTTGCAAAAAAATTAATAATTTCAAAGTTACATAAATGTGTCTTGTTAATTATCTAGAGCACTGAAGCAAAAGCAGAAACATATGGTGGGACTATTTTATTAATTTATTTACTTTTTTGTCAGAGTTATCCAGAAAATTTTTCAATTGATCACTCTGTGCTTGTAATATGTTAGATGCATCATGCGTCTATTAAATATTAGCAAATCTTCATAAAATGTTAATCTGATTTTTCACACAAATCTGTTTTATACATAATGGGTTCATCTGAAAATACTTATATGATATTTCATAAACACAAATTATTCTATGTTAAGATATATATAATAGGTTTATTTTTTCTATTTTGGGATGAAGCCTAATATATTTCTACAATTAAAAATGCCTCCTAAATTTGTAACTATTTGATCTCCATTTTTATTGCTAAAACAGTGGGGTTCTGGTTTTAAAATACCTGAGTCCCAATTTCAGCTCTGTCACTTTCTATTTATTTAATCTTATTAAGTTCTTTGTACCGCTCTTTAAACCTTATATGTAATATGGAAATCATAATAAAAATACCTCATGAATTTGCTGCATAGCTAAAGTGAGGTAAAGCATGTAAAGTATTTATAATAATGCAATTAATAAGGGATAAATAAATAATGATTTTTTTTATCTTAATCATTTATTACTAAGCAGAGAATTGCTAGAACCCAGGAGGTGGAGCTTGTAGTGAGCCAAGATCGCGCCACTGCACTCCGGCCTGTGTGACAGAGCGAGACTCGTCTAAAAAAAAAAAAAACAAACAAAACTCAAATATTAAATTTTTCTATAATGTTTTACATATATTTTTATCTGATTTTTTCTCATATATGAATACATGTGAATTATGCTTTACAAGATAAGCAACCAGACACTTTTACAAATATAATCTTAATCTTCAGAAACACTTCTATAACATAGGACAACTATTGTTAGATCTCTTTCATAAATAAAATATAAACCTAACAAATCAGAATTAGAGTTATGTTTAGAGTTAAGAAACTTGTAAAAATTAAGTGACTTTCTCAAGTTCTTATAAAAAAGCAAATTTGAGATACAAATTTATGTTTTGTAAATTCACACTCATTACATATTATTTCTGTGTCTATAATTACATATTATTTATGTGTCTAACTGGGATTTGATTTTTAAAAGTGACTCCATTTGCAGTTTATTATTATAATTCTTTATCCATTTCAGTTGGATAGATGATATTTACCTGTCTCTATTATCTTGAGGAACCATCTCAAACTCTTGCCTATTGTTAATCACAATATCCTATTCCTCCCTGTGTTTTACACACCAAGATATACCTAGTTTATCAACTATAAACTAAACTATAAACATATGACCCAGGACTCAAGTATGACCTTGCCTGGTTTTTAATAAATACTCCTGTATTTGTCCACTCATATCTGAAAAACAATGAAAAGTTTTAACATTTCTGAATTTTTAGTTCCCTTAGTACTTCAATTCCACAGGTTGCTAATATGATTTCAAAATATAATATTTAATATTTACCCATTTATTGTCTAGCTGATGCAGTGGAGGCATTAATTCACCATATACTACTGTATTCTGCCAAGAAGCAGAATTCCATGTATTTTTTATATTATCAAATATAATGTTTAAATTGAGTAAGAGAGAGCTGTCACAACATGACCTATTTTCATTTAAAACTAACTAAACATCACTGGAGACAGTGAGCAAAATGAGTTGTAATGTCCTGTGGAGAGGGTCAGTGTTTGTGGGCTTTTTTTATCATCTAGCTGACTAGCTAAATATAGATGAGACTGCAAGATATATGGCAGAACAAAGAGAAGAAGGGGCCAAAAACCAGTCATTGGTGTAACCAGAGAGCCTGAATTTTCCATGGATTAAAGTGGATTGTCTTTCCAATATGTACCCAAGGTCATGGCCCACTAGTCCAGTGTGACAGAAAGCAATATGAGAATTATAATCAGATACAAATAAAGTTATGTCATTTTTATCCTCATTCTTTTTTCCCATAATAGATATTTTATTTTTATGGTATTGCCAATGACATCTTTCAATTTAATTTTCCAGTTTTTAAAAGAACAATCATTTCGACTTTTCAACATATTTATAAATATAATTATTTATATATATATCCATTAATGCACTGAAATAATTGTTATATTCAGTATCCATTAATTTGAGGTGGTCATATCACCTAAGAATATCTAGCTTATCCAACCAATGAAAGTGCAAGTATCTGTAACTTTCTTTCAACTCTGGGTTAATAAGCATCTCTTGGTTCCTAGCTATGGACTCTAGTTGAAAATTCTGGAATATCAGTAAAAATTGCACTTGACATCCTGTTACATTTGGAAATAGAGTTTTCTTCTGAGAGTTCAACTATTCATTTCACTGGGATATCAGAATTTTAACCTGAATAAGCATAGCTATCTCTTATTTTACATCTATACCAATGCATTAAAATATTCCCAAGAATATGAAACCACCCAGTCAGTTTGGTGTTACTCTACATTGATTGTCTTCAACTTCAAATCTTCAATCAAGTAATGCACATTAGCTGATAAACTTTTTATTTATTTATTAAGCTTGTTCTTTCACTTTCTGTATTGATTACTCAACTTTTCTTTGGCTTCCACTCTCTGCTATTCAAGATCCTTTATTTCAAACAAGAGAAATACGCAATACTCAATATAAACACTAGAAAAGGGGAGCTTGGGTTCCGGGAGGGGGATCTTCATGATCCTGCAGATTTGGAAATCAGTCAGGAACTGTGGTAGACATACCAGTGCTCCCTCACCCTCCTGCCCCAGCCCTGAACCCAACATAATCCCAAGAATCTGTGAATATGTAAGTTTCAATGGCAAAACAGACTTGGCAGGTATGATTAGTTAAGGATCTTAAAATGAGGAGATTATCCTAGATTATCTGGATGGGCCCACTATAAGAAGAGTCCTTTCAAGAGGGAAGCAAGAGGATCAAAGTCAGAAAAGGAGATGTGATGAGAAGCATAGGTGGGAGAGGGAAGGAAGAGAAAGAATGAGGGAGAGAGAGAGAAAGAGAGAAAAATGGGGCGTGGGAGGCGTGGGAATTAGGAGAAAGAAAAAAATTGATTTGAGATACTATATTGGTAGCTTTGAAGATGGAAGAAAGGCCCATGAGCCATGGAAGGCGTATGGCCTCTAGAAGCTGGAAAAGGCAAGTAAATAGGTTCTCCCCTCAAGCTTTCAGAAGGAACACAGTCCTTGCTGATACCTTGAATTTAGAATTCAAAACCTCCATAACAGTAAGATGATAAATTGTGAGTTCTTTTAAGCTACTAAACTTAGGATAAGTTGTTAAATAGAAACAAGAAACTAATACAAGAACCAATAGAGGCTTCATAGAGCCATGATCTCCTCACAGCAAATATTTACTTAGTATGCTACAGCTGGCTCAACTAATTATTGCTAATTCCTCAGCCAGAATTTATCTCCCTCACACTTTCCCAGGTGATATCATTCTCAACCTTCACTGTATTTTTTCAGGATGATGTTGTTTGATCACCCCAATCTTAATAAGGTAACCCCTATTGTTGTCACTTATTATACCTAAGTTTTCACTTCAAAGTACTTATCACAATTTGTAATCATAGGTATTTGCATCTTCTTTATTGTAAGCCCCATAATCATATAAACTATGTCTAGTTTTCCTATTTCTAGCTCTTAGCTTTATGTCTGGAAATCAGATAGAACTAAGCAAATAATTTAATGAATGAATGTATTCATTTATTAGGGCTGTCATAAAAAGGCCCCAAAACTAGATGGTTTAAAAATAACAGAAACTTATTGTCTCACAGTTCCAGAATCTGGAAGTCTGAAAGAAGGTGTCAGCAGGGCCCTGCTCTCTTGAAGTCTCTAGGGTAGAATATTCCCTTGCCTCTTGATAGCTTCTGGTAGCACGAGCAATCCTTGGCATTCCTTGGTTTATAGATGCATCACTCCAATCTCTGCCTCTGTTTCATGTGGCTGCTTTCCCTGTGTCTTCACATCATTTCTTATTGGCACACTGGTCATATGGGATTAAGGGTCCTCACTATTCCAGTATGACCTCGTTTTAAATCAACTAATTATATCAACTATGATTCTATTTCAAATAAAATTACATTCTTACATACTGGGGGTTAGGACTTCAACATATTTTTTGGGGGGAACAATTTAACCAATAACACTGGGTAATAGCAGAAATATGCAAAGATATCCTGTATTGGTTGTTTCAAAAGCAGAGTAATATTATCTTTCTTTGGAGTGAATTATTCAAACAAGAGGGCTGGATAGCAATAAAAAGTAGAGAACAGGGAGAAGTAACAGAGGCATGATTTTCACTATGTAAATTTCTCCACTAAAACTAGGAAATTCTGTCCAAATGACATGGATGTTTCACTTCCTTAGGCAAAATTGCTTAAAAATTAGAATTGATAAACCTGAGTGTCATGCATTCAAGTGTGTGCTATATTACTTTTTGTATTCTATTCTTTTCTTTGCCTGATATATTCTATAATAAAATAAAATTGTGAAAAAATGATAGCTGTGCTAAGTGCATATACATGATAAAAGCATAGGGTTTTTGAGGGGAACAAATAGGTCAAGAAGAAGATCCTTAAATCAGAATTGGGGAAGAATCAGGAAAATATGACATACTTGTGACACTGTTTATTATAAATCTATTAGTTGATGTGTGTATGTGATGGTTAATACTATCAACTTGATTCGATTGAAGGATACAAAGTATTGATCCCGGGTATGTCTGTGAGAGTGTTGCCAAAGGAGATTAACATTTGAGTCAGTGGGCTGGGAAAGGCAGACCCACACTTGATCTGGGTGGGCACAATCTAATCAGCTGCCTGTGAGGCTAGAATATAAAAAGCAGGCAGAAAAATGTGAAAAGATGAGACTGGCCTAGACTCCCAGCCTACATCTTTCTCCCATGCTGGATGCTTCCTGCTCTTGAACATCGGACTACAAGTTCTTCAGTTTTGATACTTGGACTGGCTATCCTTACTCCTCGGCTTGCAGACGGCCTATTGTGGGACCTTGTGACCATGTGAGTTAATACTTAATAAACTATCTTTTATATATAAATATATCTATCCTATTCTATCCCTCTAGAGAACCCTAATACAGTGTGTGTGTGTGTATATATATATATATATATATATATATATATATATATACACACATATATAAAATATGTGTGTATATGTGTGTGTGTGTGTGTGTATATATATATATATATATATAAACATTCATATATATACCAACCTATTAGGAGTTTGAATAGCAGAATTTAGCCTTACTCAATCTAAAATCTATTTCCCAATTTAAAAAGAGGCTGATTATCAACCCATTGACTATGACAGATTTACCCAGTATATACTTCTGTGGACCCTTGGAGAAAATGAACTCTTCTCTGGTGGTACCTCTAACCTACAACTTGTGTTTTTTTTTTTTTTAATTTTAAAAACATATAGCTTAAAAGAAAATTATACACTTATTTTACTACTTTAATTCTTAATATTGCCTGAAAGCTGAATATCCATTGTTTCATTAAAATTGTTTTTGTTACAATCATTACCAATCTTTCAATATTTACACTAGTCAGTAGAGATGATTCAATATTCACTGTGTCTATACTTCTTGGGGAACACTCTTCTCCTTTGGATTGTAGGATACCTTCTATTTTCTAGTTTCTCTCCTATCTCTATGACTACTTCTCTTCACTGGACTTCTTTGATGATTTAAAAATCATCAGAGTAAACACTGTGTTTTCTAGTGTTTCTAGTCTTGACTCCTCTTCATCTATCAGCTATTGGTTGAAAAAAGCTTATATTCTCTCATGGCTTCAAGTCCTGCCTACATACTGATTCTCAAAATTTGTTCTTAATCCAGACCTGTCTCTCAAGCTCCAGCTCCACATAACCAGACTTTAATTACACTTGGCTTTATCATCAGTATAAACTAATACCTAAATTATACTTCATCATTTTTCCTGTAAACTTGGTCATCCTGTAATATATCCCATTTCAAGGAAAAGCACAACCAACCAAATGAGAAAATGTGAAATGATCTTCTGCATCACATTTGCAATCAAATTGTTGATTTTTTTTACAATTTTACTTATAGATATCTCTTGAATAGATCTATTCCTCTCTGTTTTCATTACTTCTCTCCTGGTTATGATTCTTTTTATCCTGAATTATCTCAAGAGGCTTTTGATTTTTGTTCTATGACTCTTGGTGGATTTCTTCCAATTAATCTGTCTATCCTATGAAATATTCTCAGAGTAAATTTTAAAAAACACAAGTATGATAGTTTCTCTTTTCAGCTACATAAACTTTTATATCCATCCATGGTTTACTAGTAACATTTTAAGTTTTCTATTAGGCCATACCTGTATTTCATTATTTGACCTCTGTTTAGGCATTACTTCTTGCTGTTTATATATGAAAAAAACTAATTAGTTTTGCAACACAAACTACTTCTAGTTTCTTGCAACACTTTTTTTCTATCATTTGTATTTCCATACGTTTGCATGTGGCATTATATTTCCTTAAGCAACCCTTAACTCCCATTTCTTATTAACCTAGAAATCCTATATTAATGACTCAAGCATCTGCTGATATATCCCTTTCCATTATTCTCCCCAGACTCATTTGCATTTTTTATTTTGTCTCTAAATCATCCTGAGCCTATCTTCATCATAGTTTTTAGCATTCATTATAATCTGCCTTCTGCATTAGATTATGAGAACTTGTGTGGTAAGACCTGTGTATTTTTTTTTGTCCTAAGCAATTTTCTCTTCCCTGGTATTTTTCAGAAGTCAATATTTATTGAATTGAATAGTTCAACAAGTCTAACTTTTAAATATAATCATTTTATTGTGTGTCTGATATATAAGGTCATCTTTAGACAAATTTCTATTGAAGTTACAGTTAAAAACATCAGTCTTGCTAATAATAACATTTTTCCTGTTTTGTATGTCTGAAAATTATGTTATATAAGAAATGTTTGAACATGAGAAAATTGTTTGACAAAGGAATGACTAAACGGTTACTTGATAGCTGTCTCAAGTATTTGAAGAGCTGTCATGGGGAAGAGCTATTTTTTAGTGTGTTGATTTTAATGTTCACAAAAAGGAACCAGCATTTGTAGATGAAAATAACCTTACTTTACTTCAACGGAGGATATAACTTTCTTAAAACAAAGATTATGTAACAAGAGGATGAATAACTTAATGAAGAAGATGGATGTTTAAAAATTGAATTTTGAAAGTTGTATACCAGGAATGCTGTAGAATATATTTCTACTATAACTTGTAATTTGGATTAAATGACCCTTAAGTATTCTTATGTGTATCCTTTTTATGACTTATATCTTGGAAAGTTAAAATATGAGGTAGTTGTAATATTTTTCAAGGTTAACGCTCTCTCTCACACACACACATACACACGTATACCAGAGCAATTGATATTAGAATTCCTCTTAATTCTCTATATTGTTTCCAAAGTATAGTGAAATATTTTCTAGACATTGTCAATGTACACACACACACACACACACACACACATACACACACACACATTCTGGGAGAGATGCTGGCAAATTAACAAAAATGAATATTTTCTAAGTAACAGAAATGGTAGAGGGACCACTTTGTCTTATGTTGTAATAGAAAGGGCACGTATTTTGGTTCAATAAGATATAGGATAATTAGAAAAGTAACTAGAAAGATGGTGATAAGGATTAGATAAGTTAAGTTTTAGATGTGTTGATTTTGAGGACATTTGATATTGAGGCATCAGTGTTGATTGACTTTTAGACAGAAAGAATATGTCTTTGTGGGTGGAAATCATCAAGTTACCAAAGGTTATTAAAGTCATAAGATGAACAGAAGAGAGCAAATTGGATTTTCTAAGTGTGAAGTGGTGTGGGATAAAAATAATGAAATTGGTACTGTTGTATTTGCCTTTATGAGACTACATTAAAAATTAACATTTTAATGCCGACATGGATTTAAAGATAGGAGATATATTGTGTTTGAATGTGTGTGTATATCTATGTGTGTGTATAACTATATATAATATACATACATATAATTATATATACACATGTATAATTTGTACACATTATATATCCATAATATGTATAATATATACATATTATATGTGTTATATATAATACCTACATATAATATATAAATATATGTGTGTATAATTTTTTACTTTGACAAGCTCTTCATTGCAAACCCACAATAACTCTAAATTTGAATATTTCAGTCTTCCATAAAGTAGTTGTTTAAAAGTGAATTTTTTCTTCTAAATGTAAAAATGTTCTGAATTATTATAGAGCTTGATTATAATCTCACAAAAGGCAGTGATTACTCTGTGTGTATGTCCTATACCACAGAATACTGACTTTTTCATATAAAACATATTCAATGAATGTGCTCTTTAGAGTTCAATTTCGAAGGATGTCTTCATTTAATATTTTGGTTGTTTCATAATTATTTTACTCATTTGTTATTCTCTTCTCTTTGAAAAGGAACCTTTTGAATTTGTATCTTTTGATTTGCCTCCTTGTTGAGATATCAATAATGCCTTGATTCTGTATCAAGCATGTTCACTAACAATGAATAATGTACTTTCCAGAGAGCTCATATTAACTTTCTCCCAAGCATACTCTTGTTAAATTGACGACTAGTCGTTTCAACCTAGATGGCATGATATTTTCACCCATAGTACAAATCTGTGCTATATATTTATAATTTCTAATTCATAAAATGTTTCTGTAGATTTTTGGTTTGTCCTTAAGTGTTTTATGGGGAATGCTATTTCTTATTTCACACTTGACTTTACATTTTCCCTATTTGTAGAATTTTTTTATTTTTTGATACTTATTGTCTAAGAAACTTTTTTTGACACACAGACTATACTTACAGCTTGCACAGTATAAGTGTTATTTACTGATAATATATGTTTTTAATTGATTCTATGGGCTTGTTCAGCACAATTCCTTTTTTATCTTTTTGTTTTTACTAAAAATTATTTAATCTGTGATCAAATATATGTGAATATGTTTTATATTTTGACAAAATTATTCTATTATTTGAAAATTAATGGAGCTTGTCTTAATAATAGAACCATGTCCTTACTGTAAACCCCGTCCTCCCTGCAAAACCTAGACCAATAAGTGACATGAATAGGGCAGGTATGTACTCTGTAAATGTGGCACAAGCTCCTTCCTACTGTCAAGAGAGAAGATTACTCATAGAGAAAAAGCATATGGCTACATAGGGATTCTAAAGAGTGCTCTATTAAATTGAATTAGGTACATTATACAAATTTGAATTTGAATAATAAAACAAATTGCTGAAAATTCTGAAAATATTTCTGTGGAGATTTCAAAAATGATAGTTTCAATTTGAAGATTATGTGAATTATTTTTAGATGTCTTCTATTCTTTTATAATTTGGCCTTGATAGAGACTAGGATGATACAGAACACAAGCTCTAATTAAAGGTTAATATTAAAAGTGCAAGTAAAGAATTCTAAGGGTTTAATTTTTTACAAATACTATTTTAAATAGCACTTTAGACAAAATGAAAAGTAGTCCACAAGCTGTATGTTATGCCCTGGGACATTGTCAGTATCCATTATCTGACCCTCACTTTAGAATGGGTCGTTGGAGAAGATTCCATCATTATATCCTTACAGATTTTGTAGTCTACATTCAGAGGTTGCTGGCTTTTTTCAAGCTGGAAATTTTTGATGGATTTATTTATTTATTTATTAGCTAATCTGAGTTCATGCTTTTCAGTTGTCAATTTTATTTTATTAGATGGTGAAGTGAATAGAGGGCTCTGCTTTGTATAAAATATGGCAGCATTATTGACTATTTAGGATATTCTATGAATTCTCTTTCTTGCCACACTAAATAGGGAAAGTGTGTTGAAACATAATGCTGGGGTCTTCTCTATCCCAACTGGTCAAAATAGCCTTTACTTCAAGGCTTAGGTGAGAGAAAAGTGCTGTTTGTATTAGCATTATCAAATTCCTGAGAAGGAATCCATTTTGCTGTGGTTAAAAGTGAAGACTCTAGGGCTGTATTCCTGGGTTTAGTACTTTGTTCTGCCAGTTCCTAGCTATTGGCAACTGACTTAGCCTCTCTGTGATAAAACAGAATGAAAGGAATACCTACTTACTATTTAGTATTGGTCTTAGTATTCATTCAAAAATGAATGTTATGATTATTTAAAAAGCTTACCTTGAGGTTTAGGTGTGTGACTTAATTATTGTATTTGAACACATCAAATTAGGACATACACCTAGACCAATAAATAACATGAATAGGGCAGCTATGTATGCTACAAATGTGACACAAGCTCCTTACTACTGTCAGAAAGAGGCTTATCCATAGAGAAAAAGCATGTGGCTACACAGGTATTCCAATGAGTGCTCTGTAAAATTAAATCAGACAAATTACGTAGAATGATAGACACTTGGCTTCATTTTATTTCTTTGTTACTTATAACTTTTAGAAATAGTTTCAGAAAATATGCACAAACTGCCCAACCAGGAGGTTGGAAACAAATATAAAATATTGAAAAGTATTATACCTGTTACAAGAAAATTGTACTTCTAGTGATGACCCATTTGTTCCTGAGCTGGGCACATAAGAAAAATACCAAACCTCAAACAATCTGCTTTCTCTTATTAAAACTAGTTAGACTCTTTCTGGCTCCACTATTTAAGTTGACAGCGAAGAAAACTGTGTCTCATCAGGCTATTTTGCATAACATGTATCTTAAGTGGCATATTTAAGCCTTTTTTGATAGTCCACACTGAAAAGAGTATCCCCTTTACTTGTGTCCTATGAAGGTAATAATTGCGGTGTTTATTTCATGTCTACTACACTCTCCTTCTGCTTTAGTCCCTGTTGTACACAAGACCAAAAAACAGACTGAAAGAAAATTTTTAAAAATTCCTTTGAATAAGCTTTAAACTCCTTGTGTCTAACTTAACAAAATATTTTAAGTTACATAAATCTCCAAATTACTAATGGAAATAAGAGTCACTACAGCCTATCAGTTTATATAACATAAGCAAGTCAGAATGTAAAGAAAATAATAGTTTTTAAGCTACAAACATAGAAAGGGGTTTGGATTTAAAAAGTGGGTTTTGATTTAATCCTGGATGTAACATATAGAACAAAAGTGCATGCATTTAGTTAATATATCCCATTTTAGACAGAATAATTACATTTTAATTATGACATTTAAAACAAGATCACATTTTAGAGACTCAAATGTCTCATGTTGGAATTGGGTAAATGGAGGTTATTTCTAGGCAGGAGGAGAACCCCAGATGGCCAGCTTTGAAACAAATACAAAATAATATGGGAATAAAACTTTAAACATCTTTTGTGGTTCAAATTTTATGAAGCTATAAATTTGAGAACAAGTCTTATAAATTCATGAAATTATGCATGCAATCCAAAATTGTCTTCATAGTCAGGGTGCTTTTTTAGCTGTAACCATCAAAATGGCATTATCTAACGTTAGTGACTATGTGTTTGTAATCTACCAGTAGGAAAGACCCTGGGAAGTCCATGACTAGGTCTCCAGGAAATCTGGACCTTAGGAGCCTGCAGAGAATAAGGAAAGCTGATTAAAAATTCTCACGGGAACAAAGATAAGATAAGGATAGAGACAGATAACCTGACAAAAGACATACCAGCTTTACATGTTTGCCTGGGTGGTCTACAGAAGGACATTGTTGATGAAACAGACTCTTAAGAGATTCTTTGTGCATTGAGTCCAATCCTGGCTACTCTGCAAGGAGTAGCCTCCTTTTAAACAATAGTAATAATGATAGAGCAGCAGTACCTTACACAGAGATTTTTTTTTTTTTTTTTTTTTTTTTTTGAGACAGAGTCTCTGTCGCCTAGGCTGGAGTACAGTGGCACGATCTCTGCTCACCGCAAGCTCCGCCTCCCAGGTTCACGCCATTCTCCTGCCTCAGCCTCCCGAGTAGCTGGGACTATAGGCGCCCGCCACCACGCCCGGCTAATTTTTGTATTTTTAGTAGAGACGGGGTTTCATTGTGTTAGCCAGGATGGTCTCGATCTCCTGACTTCGTGATCCGCCCACCTCGGCCTCCCAAAGTGCTGGGATTACAGGCGTAAGCCACGGTGCCCGGCCTACATAGAGCTTTTAATGTGCCAGACAGTATTCTAAGTGTTCTATAGCTAATCTGCACAACTTTAGGAGGTGAGAATTCTTACTTTTAATATTACATACGAGGAAAATATAGCACAAAAGCTTATTTCCCCACAGACGTACAGCACAGTAAAGTCAGAATATGAACCCAGGGATTCCTACTCCGCGAACCGTGATTACAATGACTGTGTTTTGCCGCCTTCTGAGAAGATTAGTTTTAAAGAACTACTTGGGTTTGCATTGGAAAAGCCTGCATCCAAGTTCATCAAAAAAACAGAAGAATCAAAAGCCTCTAAAAGGGTTGGACTATTGCTAGTCAGCAAAATTCCAATAGTTACTGACATGGAGATAGTGAAGTTGGGAACAGTGTTTTGCCCTCTTCTCTGAAAGCAGCATTCATCATGTTGGTTTATAACATTGTATTCACTGAAATGCAAGGAGTCTGCTATGAAAAAAAACAGAGGGAAAGAACAAAGATAAAAATGAAATATCTCTGCGTGCTAAGTTACACATTGCAGTCTTTGTTTAACATAAATTAATTCATGTTTTCTGTTTCCACACCACACAAAAGAGCTGTATTGTTTTTCATCAAGTTTGGCAAATACATTTGAGATGGCATTGTTACCATACCCTGGACCTGGATTCTTTGGCTCTCGCAGATGTAGAAATTAGCATCAGGCCAAACAGAAATTTTTCTCAGGCAAGATTTAACAGGCCGGTGGCTTCAATAGCACAAGGGAGCAGCGAACAGGAAAGGGGCCCTGGTGCTAGCTCCTCAAAGGACTCGGCTCCCCTGTCATTTTAAGGAAGCTAGAATGGGAAAAAGAGTGTCTTGGCATGCAGGCATGAGTAGGCGGGGCTTTTCCTGCGCCTTTGGAGTGGGGCATCAGGCCCTAACAGGCGTCCCACGGGCAGAAAATAGTGAATGAACCGTGCCTTGCGGTGAATGCCGGTCAGCACTAGAGACCATCTTGTTGCCCGCCAGCTGGATCTGATGAGGTTCTAATCGGAAATGGCAGAGCCCACTTCAGCAACCTTGGAAGACATCACTCAATTAGATAAACGGTTAAGTTCGTCCTTTTAGGGTTAGGAATTTGGTCCGGCCGGCCAAGTTAGGAGGAAACAGCTTTCTGCTATAGGACTTGGGTCAGCCG
This sequence comes from Homo sapiens, assembly GCF_000001405.40. Lineage (NCBI taxonomy): Eukaryota > Metazoa > Chordata > Mammalia > Primates > Hominidae > Homo > Homo sapiens. The sequence continues at coordinate 61,188,777 of NC_000012.12, read as the reverse complement.
GTTAAGGGAGGCAAGACCTTAGGGGAGTGAGGCCCATTGGGATCTTGGTTACCGTGTCTTTTGTCTGCCGGTACCCAGTGTCTTTCCTACTATTCCAGCATGACATAAAATAGTGGATGCATATTATGCTATATTCAATTTTGGAGCCCCATGGGACACCTCAAAGAGTTAAGCAATCGTTGGCTAGGGCAGAATTTCTCGGCCATTGTATTCTTAACATTTTGGACTGGATAAATCTTTATTGTGGGGACTGTCATGAGAATTGTAAAGTTTGTAACAGCATTGCTAGGTGCCAGTAGTGCTTTTCCCTGGTCTCCAGAAACTGTCAAATATTCTCTTTAGGACAAAATTTACCCCAGTTGAAAACCACTTTGCCAGACGATCTATAAACATAGATTTGAACCAATCTGCTTCTCATGTAAGCAGCTTCATATATAGTCATAATTTAAAATGAATAGGTTATTTATTTATTTAATAAAGTTTAGTAAAATTTCTTTTAGAAAAGATATGTCAGGATAGCTATAATTGCATGTATGTATGCACTTATGTGTGTGTTTCATGACAAAGAAAGTTAGTGAAGAATTGAAAGTTTACAGGTTCATAGGAGAGAAAGAATTCTCTAGCATATGCCAAGTATTATCCAACTAAATGTGAACCAAGACGTACATTATTATCCTTTACTAACTTTTTATAATGAAATAATTTTAGATTTACAGCAAATATATTGTATGACCATAGTATAACTACCGAAATAAGAAAATTAGCATTAATTAAATACTATTTACTAATCTACAGACAATATCAGAATTATTCACTAATGCTCTTTTCTTGGTCCCAGAATTTAATTCCAGGTCCCAGACTATTTACTTAGCATTTTTTCTTATTATTCAATTTGTGATAGTTCCTCAGCCTTTGTTTTTTATGACCTTGACACTGTTGGAGAGTACTGGCCAATTATTTTGTAAAATGTCCATCAGTTTTGGTTTGTTTCATGCTGTCTCATGATTAAAGTTCAGTATTTTTGTGGGGGCAAGAATACCCTAGAAGTGATTAATGCTCTTCTCAGTGCTTTATACTAGGAAGGACATGATGTCCATGAGTCTTAATACTGGTGATGTTAACATCGTGACATGGCTAAGGTAGCTTTTTTCTGCATTTTTCCACTGTAAAGTTACGATTTTTCCTCTATGACGTATAAGTATCTTGTTAAAAAAATACTTTGAGACTGTGCAAACATTCCATTGCATATTCTTTAACACAATAATTTACCACTCATTGATGATTTTTGCCTGTGACAATTAGTACTTTGCTGTCTGCCTAATGGTCATTTGGGAATTCTACTACAAGGAAGAACTATCCTTTCTCCCACATTTGTTCGTTTATTCAATTATTTTTATATTGTTTAGACCCATAGTTATTTTTATTGTATGGTTTAAAATTCATTATTCTCATAATTTATTTTGTCCTGAGAGTAAATTGATAATGTAAATCTTGAAATCTGAAAGAAGCCAAGATACAATTGAAATACATTTTGGGTGCTGAAAGCAGGTGGAAAACAGAGAGTTTTAGAAGAGAGGTAACAAGTGCAGAATTTAAGAGGTTTTTAGATCTGTTACAATAAAAACATTAGTCTGTTCCAATCGGCAAGTTTATCAGATAGTTTTAAAGTGGTGAGTCAGGATTACATATTGAGAGCTTCACAAAGAGGTTCAGTTGTCTGGTAAGAAAGACACATTAAAACTACAGAGCTTTGGAGAGGATATCTGTATTCTAAAGAGAATTGGTTTAAAATATTTTGTCAGAAAGAAAATGTGACTAGGAGGTTTTATTTCTTTCAAAATATTTTTTCTTGTGACTATTTAAATCTGCAATTTTCTTTCTTTTTTATTTTTATTTTTTGAAGTGTGGTATTGGAGAGTTGTTAAGTGAATGGGATCAGGCCAGATAACCAGAATTGGAATCCAGACTCCACTCAAGAATCATCTAAGTTTTTCCAAGTTGCTTAACCCTTCTGAACTCTAGTTTTATTGTTACTTAACCCTTCTAAACTCTAGTTTCATTAACAGTAAAGCAAGACAAATGGGACCTCCCTCACATGGGTGTTACAAGGATTGGAGGAAATAAAAAATAGTAAAATTATTGGTTAAGTACCTGGAATATGGTAAAAGCTTTAGAGATGATGGACATGATTGTTTTAATAATACAGAAAGACAAAGTCAATTAAAAATATTAGAAGCATGTGGAAGGCATTTTGCTTTTCCTCAAATTCAATTTGAATTATCTTAAAATAATACTTTGATCTATTTTCCCCAATAAATCATTACTATCATCTTAAAGGAATATGTAAGTTTGAAGTCCTTGATCACTGGGAATATGTTTTTGCTCCATTTATTTTCTCCTTCTATTAGCACTTTCTTTTTTTCATATCTAAGTTCTTCATATTATTAGTTGCCTCTTCCATGTGAGCTCAAATTGTTTATGGTTTATTAATTATTCATACATCTATGGCTAGTCAACAATTCAAACTGTACATTGACATTTTATTGCTAATTTCAATAACTACAGTTTTTATTTCTAAACTTTATATTTGGTTCTCTTTTTTTTGAGATGGAGTCTCGCTCTGTCGCCCAGACTAGAGTGCAGTGGCACGATCTCGGCTCACTGCAACCTCCACCTCCCAGGTTCAAGGACTTCTCCTGCCTCAGCCTCCCGAGTAGCTGGGACTACAGGCGGCTGCCACCACGCCCGGCTAATTTTTTATTTTTAGTAGAGACGGGGTTTCACCATCTTGGCCAGGCTGGTCTTGAACTCCTGACCTTGTGATCCACCCGCCTCAGCCTCCCAAAGTGCTGGGATTACAGGCGTGAGCCACCGCACCTTGGTTCTCTTGTCAAATCTGCCTGCATTTTTGTTTCTCTTTGAACATAATAGCCTACCTTATTTTGAAGTTCCTTTCAGATTGTCTTCTAATGTCTAACTTTTAAGATTCAAGATACCCATTTGTTTTCATCCTTCATTCTCCGTGATAATTCATTTCTTTTTCATGTTTTTAAGTCTTGAGTCTGAGTGCAGCCTCAAAAGGCATTGCTTCCATGGAAGCCCTGTGGGTTCTGGACTGTGGGCTGAACTCTAGAAGATGTTTAGCATTCACTGTTGCCAGAGCCCTATGGGCCTATATGAGTGTTTACACTGCCTCTCAGCTGGTGTCCCCTCACTGCTTCAGTAGTGTGAATTTAGTGTGTGAATTTAGACCTTTCAGCAAGTTGCTAACAGGAGGTCCCAATTTTTCAAGGATAACAATTTTCACCTTAAGTCATAAAGGACAGCAAACATTCCTGCTGCTAGGGTGGTGGATGGAGGACTTTTTTGTTACTATTTTGGCTTCATTCTTCACTTTTGTCTTTATGTAGTTAAGCTCTAGGTCCCCTTACTACCTCTAACTTAACATCCTGATTTTGCTCTCTCTATTGGACTTTTGTTAAAAATAATTAAGTACTGGTCATTAATCTCCTCTTCATTACTAGCGCAAAGATATTTGTTTTGTTGGTATCAAACTCAGTTATATATTTACAACTTAAAAAATATATTTTATACACAACATTCCTGTGTGTTTAAAGCATCTGGGTAGGTTAATTTCCATTAGCTCAGTTCACCATATTGATTGGAGTTCTAGAAACAGCTTCTTTTTTTTTTTTTTTTTTTGAGACAGGGTCTCACTCTGTCGCCCAGCCTGGAGTGCAGTGGTGCTATCTCCACTCGCTGCAACCTCCGCCTCCCAGATGCAAACTATTCTTCTGCCTCAGCCTCCCGAGTAGCTGGGATTACAGGCACGCCTCACCAAACCTGGCTAATTTTTGTATTTTTAGTAGAGACAGAGTTTTACCATATTGGCAGGTTGGTCTCGAACTCCTGACCTTGTGATCCTCCCACCTTGGCCTCCCAAGGTGCTGGGATTACAGGCGTGAGCCACCATGTCTGGCCAGAAACAGTTTCCAAAATTGCTTGTAATAAGGCTAAAGTTATTTAAGAGTTACAGAAATTAAACTTACAGTAGTAATGTAAGCACTCAATTAAGATGTTGTTAAGTGTTTAAGAAGACCCTGAACTTAGAAAAATGAACCTGATATCAATTGGAGAGCCGTTTGAAAAGGGATGACCTTTCTCCTTCGAAGTTTGCAGAATCTCATCCTTTTGATAATCACCAATTTCAGGAGTCAATACATTTCCTATGAATACAAGAATGGTCTTTTCTTTTTTTTCTCCATCTCTTTGTATATACAGAGAAACGTAGATACACACACACACACACACACACACACATATATACATACACACACATATATATATACACATATATATTTTATTATATATGTACGTGTGTATATATTTCCATTCTCCATTTAAATCTACTAAATGGAGAATGGAGTGAAACAGAATAGTGAACACTTTGACAGTGCAAGGTAAATGGCATCTAAGAAAGCATCATTTTAAGCACATTAAGTATATGTGATTGGAATCTGATTTTATCGAGGCTTTTCAGTCCCATGAGATTTCACTCCGTTTTAGGTAAATAAATGGTGCTGTAGGTATTAATCAATTTACAAAACAGCTTTTTATTACTGCATAAAGTAATAGCATTGCAACTCTTCAAGAAGTGATTCTGTGTTAAAAGCTATTTTATTATATATGTGTGTATATGTATATGCATAATAAAATACAGGAATTTACCAATTTTCAGTGATTGTAACTCTCCTGTCCTTCTGTGAGTTAATTACTTAATTATTTTGGCAATACATTTATTTATGTGCCACCTTGTTTAATAAAAGTTTTTAAGTGGGAGCCATGCTCTCCCATCAAGCCATTTTCTATTAGTCACATAAATACATGAATAAACAAACTAAATGAAGAAATAAATAAATAGCTAAATAGTTAACTTTTGATCTCCCTATTTAGTTAATCATAAGCTTTTAACACAGAATCACCTCTTGAAGAGTTGCAATGCTGTTATTTTATGCAGCAATAAGAAGCTGTTCTGTAAATTGATTAATACCTACGGCACCATTTATTTACCTAAAACGGAGTGAAATCTCATGGGACTGAAAAGCCTCTATAAAATCAGATTCCAATCACATATACTTAACGTGCTTAAAATGATGCTTTCTTAGATGCCATTTACCTTGCATTGTCAAAGTGTTCACTATTCCGTTTCACTCCACTCTCCATTTAGTAGATTTACAGATCAAAATTCTTTCTTCTGCATAATATTATATAATTTTGAATTATCAATAAAAATAGATAAACTTTAACAGCCACAGATCTAAGGAAACAATATAGAGGGAAAAATAACTTTTTGTGCATACTTCGTATTCCTTTATTTCTTATTGTGTCGCACACCAGTAAGCCAAGAGATGAAACAATTTAATAAATCATATTATCTTGAGGAACTATATGCCTCAAGTCTTTTTTGACTCTCATAGTTCCACACTATGTTTTGAGAAATGCGTTTCAGCCACCAAAAGTTCAACATATTTTGGATCTGTGAGTCCTATGTTTGTCATCATCTCAAACTCTGAAAAATGACAATAATATGTTTATTATTTAGCCCAGCGTTGTTTTAGGTCCAGAGGTTATTAGATTACTGTATATTGTTATATATTACTTTAATCTTAGTTCTTAGTGCAATATACAATTTTATTCTTTTTTTTCCAGAGTTGGCCCAGAAAACTGTTCCTACCAACCTTTTATTTCTGCTGTAGTACAGATACTGGTTTGATGGATTTTTAAGCAAATAGTTCCTTATAGTGTTGTAAGGAAACATTTTTAAAGACAAAATACTTCAGACTGTGAATAGACTAAGCAGTATCCTTTCTAGCTATAAAATTCTACGATACTCTGACCAGAGGTATCATAGCATTGATGTTTGTAAACAAAAATACAGTATACTCTTCCATTCCACATTATTAAAATATAAATTCCATTCCATTTTCTATAAGACAGTAAATATAATGCTGTAGGAAAATATAATGTAAACTAATTACAATAAGGACAGATAGTAATGAAATTACATTTTATTATTCTATATATCATGCAGGAATATATTGATCAGCTCATGTAGGTAATGAGTAATTGTTTGTTTCCTTTGTGTGGTACCTACTGTTATATGGTAGAGACCTGAGAGCAGGAACTGTATGTTATTTAAAGCTGTAATCACATAGCCTGGCTTAGTGCCTGGTAGAATTTCTATAATAAAGGGAAGATGATTAGAATGTTGATAAGATTATCACCTGATATGCTACTAACTTTTACTATTCAAATCTTAGGTTTTAGGAGAATTTGAGATTTCAAGTTTGATGTAAACTTTAGCCATGCTCTCCCATCAAGCCATTATCTATTAAACATATAAATATATGAATAAACAAACTAAATGATGAAATAAATAATTAGCTAAATAGTTAACTTTTGGTCTCTGTATTTAGTGAATCACAAGCTTTTAACACAGAAGCACCTCTTGAAGAGTTGTGATGCTATCAGACTACCCAGATGAAGCATGACTTTGATAGCTATAATATCTAAAGTTTAGTCCTATTTCTATGAAATAATCAAATGACCTGTAACCCACAGACACACTTCAAAGAATCTCCTGTGACATGAGAGCAGAACCAAGAGGCCACAGAGCATCAGTGAATTTCCAACCAAGGTGGTATTATATTTCATTGATAATGTCAGAGACTTTTTCTCAAAATGATAGACATATAGCAGTGTGTCTCAAAATTTTTATTATTGTCCTTCTAAAAAGTCTTTAATTATACATTTTCTAATCACCTTTTCCTCATGAAACTAATACTATAGACATATTCTATATATATACTTGTTTACATCATAAGAACCAGTATTTTCCTCTTTAGAGCAATGCTATCCATTGAGGATGGATGTCATATGACAATATTTCAAAGTGTTAGCTTTTAGCAGTGCCAAAATATTTCAAGTAACCTGAGAATGATGAAACCATATTTAATTTGAAACTTTTATGTAATGAAAAAGTTACAGAAGGTAACAGACAGAATTGTACTCTAGTGGATAAGGTGAGGGCTTTATGCATTAGTAATATAGAAAGTAGCAAAAGCTACTCTGTAGTCATATAGGTGTTTGAATGTTAGGATGTGTACATATGTGTGTATTTCTGTGTATAAAGCTTTAATGGTTCTTAGAGAAACTCTTTTTGGGTGTGGTAGATACGACTTTTGCACAGAGTTTAGGGAAGTGTTTGCTATGCTTGCATTAGCTAGGTTTTTGTGGTCACCTCCTCTTTTGAGAAAATTCATCATCACAATTGAAGAATGACAATCCTCGTTTTTAACTCACTCTTAATCAGAAATCCCAAGAAAAATGGGGCATAAACAAGATGAGCAATCTAGTAAAGATATCACACCTTGGAGAGAGGTAGTACAAAAGGGTGGATATGTTTTTGATAGACAAATGGAGTAGCAGTCTTCAGAAAATGTGACCTGTAATAGAATCTTGTGTGACATGGTTCGCCCAGTTTTCACATGTGTAGTAGTACAAGGGAAAGATAATATTTTAATTAATATAGAATGATGGTACCATATTGATTATGAGGAAAAACACTTCTCATTTAAGAAGGTAGGGTAAAGAAATGAAACTCTCACAAGGTCAGCTAAGGTTTCTTAGAATCTCTACATTTTGGCTAGATAAAGAATAATTTTAGGTAGAAAAACATTATAGCTACATATTTAAATTCTTATTGTTTAAAAATTAGTTTAGAATAGACCAGATTAAGTAAGATAGCAAAATTATATTCTAAAAAGCTCCCTTTCCTTCCCTCCCTCCCTCCCTCCCTCCCTCCCTCCCTCCCTCCCTTCCTTCCTTCCTTCCAATAATTTAGTCAAAAACCCATTAGGTGAGGGCTAAGAATGGGAGGACTAAGACAGAGAGGCATCCACCTACACAGCGAGGGTTGAGTGAGAAGGTGAAGAGTGAGGAGCAAACAAAGCCCAGCAGATGGTGTTAGAATTCAGGCAGGGAGTTAAAAAAGAAGGGGATGGGAGACAAGGGCGGTGATAGCAGTTGGAGGTTGGTTATATACTCTGGGGCCTTCTTATTTTCAGAGAAAGGAGATACAAATACAAACAAGGGAACAACTAAGATAAACCCTGTGGTATTGGATTATAATTAGAAGCATTGGTGTGAACTCTTGGTTTCAATATATAAATATGTAGAGAGAAATAAAAATAAATGCAACACTATTTGTGTATTTATATATACATATATTCTCTAGCTCTGCCCCAAACTGGTGAGTAACTACCACTATATTTGGTTTCTAAATATGGCTCCCTACAAGAAGGAAGCAGGGATTCTTGGAGAAAAGACAGATGAAAGAATAATGGAAATATGTAAAAAAGACACAGAATCAAGCTTGAAGACGCTCCTACTGAACAAAACCTTCAACAAGTTTTACATTCAAATAAATTACATATTAAATAAAATGGTAACTCATGAATTCATACAGACATAAATGAATACATGATTGAATTAATGAATGCATGAGTTCACAGAAAGCTATTCCTGGCTGGGCACAGTTGCTCAAGCCTGTCATTTCAGCACTTTGGGAGGCCGAGGCGGGTGGATCACCTGAGGTCAGGAGTTCGAGACCAGCCTTGCCAACATGGTGAAACCCCGTCTCTACTGTAAACACAAAAAAAATTAGCTGGGCATGGTGTTGTGCACCTGTAATCCCACCTACTTGTGAGGCTGAGGCAGGAGAATCGAGGAGGCGGAGGTTGCAGTGAACCAAGATCGCGCCTCTGCACTCCAGCCTGGGTGACAGAGTGAGACCCTATAGGAAAAAAATTATAAAATAAAATAAAATAAAATAAAAACATATAAAGCTATTCCTTACAGTGAACATGCAACAAATAAATGTAGAAGAAATTATGGAATTATAAAAGTACTGCTAGGCAACCATCATATTAAATGATTACTTCGATTAGGAAAATTTAATAGAGGTAAAACTTTAAGAAACAGAATATATGTGAAGTCTTCAAAATACTACAAATGGGAAAAGTAGTATCAATACAAAGGAAAAGATTGGTAAGGACCAATTTAATCAAGTGAAAGACTTAACATCTCAAATAATGGAATAAATTGAAATCACATGGCATCTGATAAGATGCAGGCAAAAACTAAAGCATCATACCTGTGATAAATATGCCATAATGCATGACATAAAACTAATAATTATGATGTCAAAATTGAGGTATATTTTCAAAATAATTCAAACGTCTAAAGATAGTGAATGTCAAGGAACGGCTGAAGTGGTTGAGATTGGTGTAAAGAGTCATGAGAAATGAAGGCAACACATGATCTGAGATCAACTCACTTTTCTTTAAACATCCTAATTGAAATTATTGTCAATATTTTGAACAAGGTCTATGAATTAAATAGTGATAATGTATCAAAGTTAATTTTCTGATTTTCATGGTACACATAGTATAATATCCTTGCTTGTAGAATTTACACATTAACATATTAGATGATGGTAGGACATCAGTTTAGTTGCTTACTCACAAATGTCTCAAGAAAAAAATATATTGGTATTAATTTTGCAACTTGTTTGAGTTTAAAAAAGATTTTTGTTTCCAAATAAAAAGTTATCTTTTGAATTAAAAGGATGTAATTCTTATATATACGTTCTCACAAAATTTAAATTAATAGCATTAAACTTTTTCTTGCAGTGATTCACTGAGAATTCAGGTCCAGTTCTGTTTATCACTAATTATATATGTAAGACTAGACATAGATCTTAAACTTGCTGGACCTCACATTTTAGGGGTGTTGATTAACATTAAGTCTGTTCTAAAGCTGTGACTGAATTCGGTATGAAATATTAATAACCTTGAAGAACACTTTGTAATCAGTACAGTCACCCCTGTTGAGTTGAAATTTCTATCCTGACAACTGAATTTTACTTTGTTTTTCTGTACTCGTTTCCTTTCTTAGAGAACTGTCTAGAATTCCAGTACTTCTACAATTGAGATAATATTGTTACCTTTCAAATTTACTTCTGTAACATACTACAGCCTCTTAACCCCATACTCCATGCAAAATATATTTCTGCACTCAGATAACACTCTAGTTAATGGATATTAAACTTCACTGTTTACCAGTTCTCCAAGCTTTGTTAGATTGTACTGATACCAATTGTCCAAATCATAAAAACTTTCAGAGATACTAGCCTTGACTTATCTTAATGCTGGACTCATTATATTAATGTATCTATTTTTCATATGCAAGAAAATCTGGAATACCAGCTATGTTGCCATAGTCTTCAGAGTCTGTATTGTTTTCTGTTTTGAATTTTCTCTCAGCAACTATAGCTGAGAATGTGAAAGTCCTCTAGTATATATCTTAAGCAAAGAGATAAATCTAGCTTAAACCATGGCCCTTTAGTTTTTTTTCTTAGATTTCAGATTTTTTTTTTAGATTTCAGATTTTTCTTAGATTTCCACATGATAATACTGTGAGACTTCAACACCCCACTGACAGTATCAGACAGGTCCTCAAGGTAGAAACTAACATATTTAGAACCTGAACTCAACACTTGACCTAATAGACAACTACAGAACTCTCCATCCAAAAACAACAGAATATACATTCCTCTCATCTGCACGTGGCACATACTCTAAAATTGACCACACAATTAGACATAAAACAATCCTCAGCACATTCAAATAAGCTGAAATAATGCCACCACGCTCTTGGACCACAGCACAATAAAAATAGAAATCAATACTAAGAAAATTGCTCAAAACCACACAATTACATGGAAATTAAACAACGTGTTCCTAAATAACTTTGGGTAAACAGTGAAATTAAGGCAGAAATCAAAAAATTGTTTGAAATTAATGAAAACAAAGATACAACATACCAGAATCTCTGGGACACAGCTAAAGCAGTGTTAAGAGGGTAATTTACAGTGCTAAATGCCCACATCGAAAAATCAGAAAGATCTCAAATTAACAACCTAACATCATGACTAGAGGAACAAGAAAAACATAGAAAATCAACCCCAAAGCTAGCAGAAGACAAGAAATAACCAAAATCAGGGCTGAACTAAAGGAAATTAACATTTGAAAAACCATACAAAAGATCAACAAATCCAGAAGTTGGTTCTTGGAAATAATAAATATATATAGATAGATGGCTAGCTAGGCTAATAAAGAAAAAAGAGAGAAAATCCAAATGAACACAATCAGGAATGACAAAGGGGACATTACCACTGACCCAACAGAAATACAGAAACCCCTTAGCAACTACAACAGGCAATTCTATGCACACAAGCTAGAAAATCTAAAAGAAATGAAAAAGTTCCCAGAAAGATATAACCTCCCAAGGCTGAACCAAGAAGAAATTGAATCCCTGAGCAGAAGAATAACGTTTCAAGATGGAATCAGAAATAAAAAGCCTACCAACCAGAAAAAGCGCAGGAACCGTTGGATTCACAGCCAAGTTCTACCAGATGTACAAAGAAGAGCTGGTACCATTCCTACTGAAACTATTTCAAAAAACTGAGGAGGAGGGATACACCTCCCTAACTCATTCTATGAGGCCAGTATCATTCTGATAGCAAAACCTCAAAGAGACACAAAAATGAAAACTTCAGAGCAATATTCTTGATGAACACAGATGCAAAAATCCTCAACAAAATACTAGCAAAGCAAATCCAACAACACATCAAAAAGCTAATCCACCACAATCAAGTAGGCTTTGTATCTGAGATGCAAGGTTGGTTCAACATACACAAACCAATAAATGTGATTCATCACATAAACAGAACCAAAAACAAAAACCACATTATTATCTTTGTCATAATTAAAATTTATTATGTGTAGAATCATAAAACAATGTTGATTCACTGTATTTTGATTTCTAGCAGATTGGTTTTAAAGAAAAAAAGAGTAGGTCCCCAGAATAATATATATTGATAACTTCTCATATATGGAAAGCTTCTACTATATATAAGTGACTGTGGTCAATATTTATGAACTCAACATAAAAGGAACATAATGCGTTGCACTTTTTGGAAAAATTAGGCTAAATGAAGATTAAAGAAACTTACAAAATATGCTGCATTGCTTTCCTCTGAATCAGTATCTAAAATTGAAGTGCATAAATTTTTCAAGAAAGTGAATGATTATTACTTTGTTCATTCAGAATATGCAATTTATGCCTTCTGATTTAGCTCAGATGCTTTTTTGCTTCAATTATTTATTGATCATGTGCCTATTTCAATATCATTCACCTATTAATTAATTAAATATATTTTGATTACTACTGTGCCAAGCCAGTAGGTGAAGAATATGTAGAGATAAAATAAGTACCTACATTCTCAGAACTCACAATCTGACAAGGAGGTAGATGCATATATACTCTTAAAAAGACAAGACCTATTAATAGTATGAAAAAGGGGACTAATATTAATTTTGTGCTATTGACTTGATTCTTGATTCTACACATAACACATTTCATTTTATTCCTCCAATAACCTTTGAAAGAGGAACTTATTTGTTTAACAAACATAAATATGATCCCTTACTGTGCGTTAAGTAATATTTTAGGCCCTGGAGATAAAGCTGTTGGTAAAACAAGCAAAAACACCTTTCCTGATGGAGTGTACATCTTTTTGGAGACAGAAAACCAAACATAAACAAAGTACATATGCAAACTCTTTATTGTATGTTATTATGATAAGAGCTATGGAGAAAAGCAAAGATGATAAGAGTGATATGGAGCATTGGGTGGGTTATAATTTTAGCAGGAATGTAAAGGATATTATTCCTTGTTAGATAATATGTAATGATTTTGCTGGATTATAGATTTTGCTAAACATAATAATCTTCGCTAGATTATTATTATTGAAGCCAAGGTTCAGAGCAGGTAAATTAATTTGCCCAAGATCATACAGTACCTAGAAGAGCCCACGTTTAAATTCAGATCGCCTACTATTGTGACTCCCTGTTATTGTCAATATAGCTTACAAACTGCCAAGTGTGTAGTCTTGCCACAGCACCAATTTTACATAGACCTTCTTTTTTAAAATATCATTTTCTTCTCCACTCAACTATACTTTCACCAATTAGATTGAAAAGGGGGATACTGAAGTTACTGAATTGGCTTTGCTTTGAGCAATGGAAAATCTAGAGATCCTTGGACAGCACTGCAGTGAGAGCTCATACACTTTTTCTGAATTACTTCACTCAGTTAAGTGACTGACGTTTGGGTAATTTTTAGAAGTCTGAGCGCAGTCTTGTACTTCTGACATTTTCTGACTGCCTGCCTTTTCTAAGTGTCGCACTGCACTTGTAAGGCATTTTAAGCTTTCTACCTCACTGTGAGCCAAAACACATCTGGCAGCAAGACCAATAAATTTGGCAGTCAGGCAGCAAGTCAGATAGCAATTCCCTTTTGAGAATCAGCCTGGTGGAACCTGAATAAAGGAGGTCACCATTATGCCTATCTAACTAGCAACTGCATCACCTTTATGTGCACGTCTTCATCTCTCCTTATCATTGCCTTATAAATAGAACAATACTTTAAAGTGGCTCAGGATCTTTCTAGCAGCGCTTATTCAACCCTAGGGGATTAGCTTTTCACTCTGACAAAAGCTAGCTGCCAGGTCACCATTTAAGTTCCTCAGAGACCTCTCAGCTGATCATTACTGCAGTTTTCTTTATATTACTGAAAGATTTGTACTTTCTTTTTGGCTATGAATCTACCCAGATTGAATAAAATCTGTTGTCCCAGAATCATGCCTGTGAATTTAAGTACCATACAGTGCCACGTTGTCTTCAGTTAATCTCACAAAAGATTTTCAGAAACAATTGAAAAACAGTTATGTGGAACACCATGTAAAAAGAAAGTATCACAATGTCATGTTTTCACAGATATTTCTTGAGATCATTTCTGGTATTTCAAATCAAGTTGAGAACACTCTAAATGAGATTGTAATGGAAGAGAAAACCCTACTACCACATTCCATCTTACTTCCTTCCCTGTGAGAGCTTTCTGCTTTCTGAAATTTACTGAAGAATCTGTTTTCTATCAGAACAGCTAAAATTTCTCTAAAGGAGTTTGTTACATCTATGTTTTATGTATTCTTGCATCTTTCTAACATTAATATACTACTACTAATATATTTCAAGTCAGGTTTTATAAACCATTTTATTGGCCTAGAAATACAATTTTGTAATATGACAGATTACATAGCAATATAAACTCATCATTTTAAATTACCATTAAATTTACCATTAAAATTACCTCAACTTTAGAGTTTTAGTTAGTTTTACTCCCCGCTATGTCAAACCTCTCATTTCTAAATTTCCATAATTATTGTAATTCAATGAATACTTTAATGTTCCATGTTCTGCTTTGAATCCCATAGTGGTTGAATGAGCATATAATAGTCAATAAACATGCACCCTGAGTTCGTTTAAATATAATGCTTACTTCACTTTGGGAGGCCAAGGCGGGATGATCACTTGAGGTCAGGAGTTTGAGACCAGACTGGTCAACACGGTGAAACCCCATCTCTACTAAAAATACAAATATTAGCTGGGCGTGGTGGTGCATGCCTGTAATTCCAGCTACTTGGGAGCCTGAGGCAGGAGAATCACTTGAACCCAGGAGGCTGAGGTTGCAGTGAGCCGAGTTCACAGCACTGCACTCCAGCCTGGGGGACAAGATTGAAACTCCATCTCCAAAAAAAAAAACTATATATATATCATATATATATATTATATTATACATATATATATAATATATATAATATAATGCTTACTTTTGATGCCTTTATTTACTTGTTTTACTTCAACTTTCTAATCTGATGCAAGCTTCTGAAACTTTCCAATCCGAGGATATTGTAAGTTGTCAAAAATTTGTGTGTGTAACCTTTATTACTGTTAATAATTTTAAGCTCTCTCGCCTTCATAGAATTTTAGAATGTTAAAGCTGGGAGTTTCCTGGCAGGATTATTTAGTACAATTGCCTAATTTTACAGGTGGGAAGACAGAGGGCAAGATAAGTAAATGGATCAGTGTTACAAAGATAAAACATAATGGATGTTGGATGATACGGTGAGTAGAATTCAAAGATGGTCTCCAAGATTCCTACCTCCTAATGTTCATGCTTTGAATAATCCCCTCCCTCTGAGTATGGGTGACTGAAATAATGGGATGTAACTTCCATGATTAGGCCACAATGTATGGCTAAAGTCAAGGGATTTTTTTTTTGGAGCTATAAATTCAGATCCCTAATAAATTTTCTTGAGCTAATCAAATGGGAGATTTTCTTTCATGGGCCTGACCAAATATCATAAGCTAATTTTAAATGAAGATCTAGAAGTCAGAGGTGAAATGAGTCAGAGATAATAGAAGAACAAAACAATTATGTTGTAAATTGCCCATGGAGAAATTCACGCAGCAAGAACTGGAAGGCAGCCCCCAGGAGGTGAAAGTGACCCCAGACGAAGCATCAGATGAGGCTGCAGCCATAGCTGACACATTGACTTCAGCCTGGTAAGACCCTGAGTAGATTGTCCAGCTAACTTATACCTGGACTCCTAACTTAGAAAAACTATAAGATAATATATTAGTATCATTTTAAACCTCTAAATTTTGTCACTTATTACACTACAATAGAAAACTAATACAAACTATAATTCAGTTTTTTTGGTTCCAAAATCAGTTACTTTTTCTATATTATTACCCAACTTTGTAAATGTCGCTTGTGTAAGAAAATTAAGAACCATATGAAACAGATCTAGATATTACTACTTTTGTTGATACTAACCATTACTTTCATATTTTTAGCCCTTTAATTAACCTGTCCAGATTGTCACAGAACAGATCATGGTTGCAGACCCATACACATTCATTCATTCTTTCATTACTAAAGGCAAAAATTATAACACCTATGTTTTGTTTGTTATTTTTTGTGAGTACCTGGTGAATAAATCCTAAATGTAATGAAGTCAACATAATATTTGGTCTCTATTGTAGATATAAATTTGATTTCCTAACAGTAAACACAAGAAGAAAGGAAGATGTGGCAGACCTAATAAATCGAACCCAGAAAAGGAAATCATCCTTATTATTCTCAGTTTGAAAGGTTGATTCTTATTTCAAGCCACACAGATCCATATTGTTTTTCCAACTTTGCCAGATATACCTTTGGGAAAATCAGTTAAGTTCTTCTGTGTACTGCTAGTTTCCTTTAGTAGATCAGGGAGAAATATTATTATTTCTCTACCATATAGAAAAGATATAGATATATCAATATAGATATAAAGCTGAAACAATTTTCTGCTGCCAATAGACTGTGTGTCTTTGAAAATATGACTAGTCCTAGACCCTATTTTTAATTCATTTAAATATAAGGGAAAAGCTATAGTATATCATGCCTATAGTTATATAAAATTCAGCAAGTGGTTGAATTCATTGCTACCATAGTTAGCTTTCATGTAGAAAGAAAAACTTAAATGAAAAGTGGGGGATTAAATTAGAAATATAGTAACCATACATGAAATATTTATGTCAGGAGAAGATGCATAAACAGTAATTGATTAAAATATAACTACTTTTCTAATGGTAGCCATGTAATCCCTACCTGTGCTCTCAAAGTTACTTAGTGCTTTTCAAAACTCAGAATTTTAAGTACTAGCTTGAGCTAAATAAAAATAAAAATAAACAATTCAACAAACCCTATGTTCAAAAAGATCAATCTTCATGTTTTTCTATTTCTTTTAATAAAATAATTTTTTTTGTTTCATATGCTATCTCTTTTAGACAACATATAGTTGGGTCTGTTTTGTTTGTTTGTTTGTTTGTTTTGATGAAGTCTCACTCTTGTCACCCAGGCTGGAGTGCGATGGCATGATCTCAGCTCACTGCAACCTCTGCCTCCCGGGTTCAAGCGATTCTCTTGTCTCAGCTGGGATTATAGGCACCTGCTATCACACCTGGCTAATTTTTGTATTTTTAGTAGAGATGGGGTTTCACCATGTTGGCCAGGCTGGTCTTCAACTCGTGACCTCAGGTGATCTGTCCACCTCAGCCTCCTAAAGTGCTGGGATTACAGGCATGAGCCACCACACCCGGCCAGGGTCTTATATTTTTTATCCATTGTGAAAGTTTTTTTCTTTTAAATGGAATATTTCTTCCACCAACATTTGTGTTATGGTTGGATTTAGACCTACAATTTTAGTATTTATTTGCTGTTTGTAAGTCTTTATTTTTCCTTGCTTCCTTCCTTCCTTCCTTCCTTTCTTCCTTCCTTCCTTCCCTTCCTCCCTCCCTTCCTTCCTTCCTCCCTCCCTTCCTTCCTCCTTTCCTTCCTTCCTCTTTTCCTTCCTTCCTTCTTTTTCTCTCATTCTTCTTTTGTCCCTCTGTTTATCTTTTCTACTTTCTTTTGGATTATTTGATTACATTTTAAAGTTTATCTAATAGTTTTTTAGTTGTACATTTTTTTGCAACTTTTAAATGATTTATTTTAAGGAAACATTTTGGAGTCTATCTTATAAGTACCTTCTGGTGAGTTTATTTTTTATTTTTTCCAGCATTATTTCTGAAGGAAGCAGTGTTTTATTTTGAAATTACTTACACATTTATTTGCATAGGTCCTGTCTCTGTCACATAAATTGAGACACTCATGAGGAAATTTCTTAATCTCTAGACTTCCACTTTCCTAAATGGTAAAATGACTAAAGAATACCTCTTTCCTGGCACTATTGTGAAAAATACATGATACATATAAAAGCACTAGTGTCAGATATACATAGGGAGTGTATTAAAAATGTTTCTTTTCTTCCATGACTTTATTTATTTTCAATTGGAAGATGTTTTTATATAATTCAATCATATGCACAGAGTAAGAATAGATAACACATTTTGGAAAGACTGTATAGCAGTCTACAGGGATACCTCCTTTTGTACAATTCCTTCAAGATTGTGGTTTGGTTCACATATTTATTTTTATATTTATCTTTTTGGATTTTGTTCCGTTTCTTTTAATCCTATTGTTCTTTCACCTTTAATAATAACAATAATATGTTATTATTTCTTGAGCATCAGTTAGTTTCCAGACACTTTCAATGTATTATCTAATTAGTCCTCCCCAAAATCCTATCAAGTTTCCTAAACTTATGCTGTACCGAAAGTAGAACCAGAGACAAAGACTTGGTTTCATGTTGTTAATAGGGAAGTGATCCCAGGAAGCAGATGTGAAGAACTAAGACAGAAGCAATCAATATCCTCTATGTGTTCATGAAAAACTGCTGCTTGGTAAGCTAGAGCTCACTTCCATGAAGGAACTTTTAAAATACTTTTAAAATAATGAAAAGAGTGGAGATGCCTATACCGAAAATGACTGAGAATTATCAACTCAGGATTGCCAGATTTAGCAAGTGTAGAGGATGCCCGGTTAAATTTGAATTGATGGTAAATACTTACACTAAAAAAAAGTGTTGTTTATCTAAAATTCAAATTTAACTGGGTGCTCTGTAGTTAATGGACAATTGTAAACCAGAGGAAATGGAGATGAGGCATTCACCCACTGATTCGCGTTCGCCATTAGTTGAGAATTGCACTCCACCATGCTTCAGCAATCCCACACTTGTGAACTAAGTGAGCAGCTGAGCAAGCTCCCATGATGCCAGATAAAGTCCTTAGTCAGAAAAGAAGAGATTCGAACACAGGCATCCGGGAAGAAAGCCTGGAATGGTGCCAGAAATGCTCACAGGTGCAGGTGAACTCAGGTAGACCCAGGGAATGAAGAAATGGGACATCAATTATGTCTGCTACAGAAATACTGTTATTTTTCTTATTTTAAAGATAAGGAACGTAAGCATCTAAGAGAACAGATAAATATTCCTAAGTCATACAGAGAGTAAATAGCAGTCAGGAGCCAAAACAGGTCTAACTCTGGAGCTGCTAAACCCAACCACTACATAGCTTCCAGCTTGATGAAAAATTATTTGATGGCATGTGGCTAATACTTCATTGCTTTATGTAATTTTAACACTTAGAATGTACTTTTAAAATATCTTCTTGCTGTAATATAAAAGGCTACGAATAAACAATTTTAAAATAATAGCTGGAATCAATGTCTAGAAAGCTTAAAAGTACTTAATAATAGCACATAAGTAATTTCATAATTTTAAATAGCGTTATATGACTGGGAAACAAAAAAGCAAATGTTTAATTCAAAGAAAGTTTATTCAAAAACCAATTATATGGATCCCAGCACACTGTAGGTGTGTATACCCAACTGCACTGGAGAAGAGATGCATTTATTTATTCGTTGTAGCTAATATTTTGCCATTAAAAAGCAGTATATCACTCATTTGATGACAAATATAATAAAACTATTAATAAAACTATTATTAGCATGGTATTAAAATTAGAAAACCAATGCTAACATTTGAATGATATCCCTCCAAATAATCATGTGAATATATTATTTTATCTTGGGTAATTAATACGTTTTTAGAATCTTTTTAAAAATGCAGACAGGCAATTTTCTGATGATATTTTTAATGTTGATAATCATTAAGGAAAATTCTATTTAACCATTGTCTTGTCCTTAATAACCTTGATTTGACTTCGATTTTCTCATTCTCTGTGCACTTATAAACCAAGACTAATGTGATTTGCTGAACAGTAGACAAATACTACAGGAACACAGATTTAAAATGAAATGAATTTTCCACATTATTTTCTGGAAAGGCTGTATATTTTTAAGTGCTTGGAATAAATAAGTAAAAGAAAAGAAACCTTACATAGGCATGAATTCACTTCAGTAAAGGAAATCTATCTCTAATTTAAAAAGAGAAACATTTCCTATGATAATTGTAACTAAAAATAGCATTACAAGGGTTTTTAGATAAATTCTTATGCTTCTTAAATAGTATCATTTTTCTTTTGAGCAGACTGGTCTATTCGTTGCCCCTGATCTAACTCTCATGTGCTTTCCTATTAATCTGTGTTTCATGGATCTCTATTTTCTGATAGTAAACAAGTAAACTAATAAAAATTCTTATTTGTCACATTTACCAATTGTCACATTAAACATACTCATGATAGACAGTTGTAAGCTACTAATGTGACAACACTGAATGCAGAGTTGGATAGTGATGTGCCCAATCACCTCTTGAAAGCCAGTAAAATCTAGCTTCAGCACATTTCTTTCTAGGCCTATGTTTTAAATAATGAAGAAGTTCTTACAAATGTTAGGTTTTTAGAAACATCAGCATTTTCTAACCATTCAAATTATGGGACTGTTATTGAATTTATTAAGTAAATTATATTTTTCATGTTTTGTATTTTGTTTCAGGTATCATATCTGTTATTTACATAGTAATTCAATCCTTACAAGAACTTATGACATATACATGCATTATGATCCTCATTTTACAGGTAAGAAACTGAGGCACAGAAAGACTGAGTAGCCTAAAATTAAGTGAAGGGGCAAATATATAAGGCCAATCTGATGATACTGATGCTGCTAAACCTACTTAAACTCTACAACAGATTTTGAAGTAGTACAATAATATATTTTTAAATTTGGGAAAATGAAGGCTTACATAAGTTAAAAGACATAGCCATCAGCTAATAGACTCATTTTGTTTTCAATTTGGGACACTCATGAATAAAGTTGCTACGTACATTAATCTACATGTCCTTGTCCTTATTTGTCTTGAGTAAATATTTGAGAATGGAACTGGTAGATTGTAGGTAAATGCAGTTTTAACTAACAAACCTGCTTTCCAAATCATTTCACATTTCTACCACCAATGGACGTGTTTCTCAGTTGTTACACATTATTTTCAACATTTTGTATTATGTATTTTTATTCTAATAGGCATATAGTAGTTTCTGAGGATTAAAAATTTTATCTACCTGATATCTAATGATGCTTATCATATTTTCATGTTGTATATCCCCTGTTGGCTAAATAAGAAAATGTCTTTTTTCAGATATTTTGCTCAATTTTTTACTGGGTCGATTTACTCTCATCCTGTAAGGGTTTTCGTATAGATTTCATTCCCAACTCTTGTCAGATAATATGGTTTTGCTGTGTCCCCCCCAAAAATCTCATCTTGAATTATAGTTCCCATAATCTTCCTATGTCATAGGAGGGACCCAGTGGGAGGTGACGATTGAATCATGGGGGCAGTTTTCCTTATGCTATTCTTGTGATAGCAAGTTTGCACGAGATCTGATAGTTTTATAAGGGTCTTCCCCCTTTGATGGGGCCTCATTCTTGCCTCCACCGCTATGTGAAGAAGGATGTATTGACTTCTTCCACCATGACTGTAAGTTTCCTGAGGCCTTTCTAGCCATGCTGCACTGAGTCAATTAAACCTCTTTTCTTTATAAATTACCCAGTCTCTGGTATGTCCTTACAGCAGTGTCAGAACAGACTAATACAATAAATTGGTAGCAGTAAAGTGGGGTGCTATTATAAGGATTCCCCAAAATGTGGAAGCAACTTTGGAACTGGGTAACAGACAGAGGGTATAACAGTTTAGAAGACTCAGAAGAAGACAGGAAAATGTGGGAAAGTTTGGAACTTCCTAGAGACTTGTTGAGTGGCTTTGACCAAAATGCTAATAGTGATATGGACAGTGAAGTCCAGGCTGAGGTGATCTCAGATGGAGATGAAGAACTTGTTGGAAACTGGAGTAAAGGTCACTCTTGCTATACAAAGAGACTGGTGGCATTTTGCTCCTGCCCTAGAGATCTGTGGAACTTTGAACTTGAGAGAGATGATTTAGGGTATGTGGTGGAAGAAATTTCTAAGTGACAGTGTTCAATAGGAAGCGGAGCATAAAAGCATGAAAAATGTATAGCCTGACAATGCAATAGAAAAGAAAAGCCAATGTTTTGGGGAGAAGTTAAAGCCTCCTGCAGAAATTTGTATAGGTAACAAGGAACTGAACGTTAATCACCAAGACAATGGAGAAAATGTCTCCAGGCCATGTCAGAGACCTTCCTGGGAGCCCCTCCATCATAGGCCCTGAGGACTAGGAAGGAAAAATGATTTTGTGGGTCAGGACCAGGGCCCCTCTGCTTTATGCAGCCTCAGGACATGGTGCCCTGCATCCCAGCTGCTTCAGCTCCAGCCACAGCTAAACGGGGCCAACATACAGCTCAGGCCATTGCTTCAGAGGTACAAGCCCCAAGCCTTGGCAACTTCCTCATGATGTTGGGCCCGTGGGTGCACAGAAGTCAAGAATTGGGGTTTGGGAACCTCAGCCTAGATTTCAGAGGCTACATAGAAATGCCTAGGTGTCCAGGCATAAGTTTGCTGGAGGGGCAGAACCGTCATGGAGAACCCCTGCTAGGGCAGTGCAGAGGGAAAGGGAGAGTCAGAGCTCCCACACAGAGTCCCCACTGGGGCACAGCCTGGTGGAGATGTGGAAAGAGGGCCATTGTCTTCCAGACCCCGGAATGGTAGATCCATGGACAGCTTGCACCATGCTCCTGGAAACGCCACAGAACCTCAACACTGGCTCGTGAAAGCAGCCAGGAGGGAGACTGTATCCTGCAAAGCCAAAGAGGTGGAGCTGCCCAAGACTGTGGGAACCCACCTCTTGGATCAGCATGAACTGGATGTGAGACATAGAGTCAAAGGAGAAAATTTTGGAACTTTAAGGTTTAATGACCGCCTTATTGGATTTCGGACTTGTATGGGGCCTGTAAGCTCTTTTGTTTTGGCCAATTTCTCCCATTTGGAATAAGTGTAGTGACCTGATGTCTGTATCCCCATTTTGTTTAGGAAGTAACTAACATGCTTTTGATTTGACAGGCTCATAGGGGAAGGCACCCTGTCTCAGATGAGATTTTGGAATTGGACTTTTGAATTAATGTTGGAATAATAGACTTTAGGAGACTGTTGGAAGGGCATGATTGTGTTTTGAATTGTGAGAACATGAGATTTGGAAGGGGCCAAGGGTGGAATGATACAGTTTGGCTCTGTGTCCCCACCCAAATCTCATATTGTAGTTTCCATAATTGCCACATGTCATAGAAGGGACCCAGTGGGAGGTAATTGAATTAGGGGGGCAGCTTTTCCCATGCTATTCTCATGATAGTGAATAAGTCTTACAAGGTCTGATGGTTTATACGGTCTTCCCCATTTGCTGGAAACTCATTCTTCTTCTCCCTGCTGCCATGTGAAGAAAGATGTGTTAGCTTCTCCTTCCACCATGATTGCAAGTTTCCTGAGGCCTCCCCAGCCATGGTGCACTATGAGTCAATTAAACCTCTTTTCTTTGTAAATTACCCAGTCTCAGGTATGTTCTTATAGCAGCATAAGAACAGACTAATACTTCAGATATATGTGTTGCATATACTTTCTGCTGGTCTGTGGCTTGCATTTTTATTTCTTATAATATGTGACTTCTGAAGAGTATGATTTTATTTTTATTTAATTTGATGAAGTGCAATGTAACAGCATTTTATCTTTGAAGTATCTTGGTTTTATATCACGTAAGATATCTTTGCAACTTTCAAGCTGGAAAAAAAAATTCTATATTTTCTTAGATAAGTTTGGTTTTAGTTTAAGTCCTTAATTCATGTCTACAGTCAATTTTTGAGTTAATTTCTGTGCATGGTATAATATTAAGGTGGAACATAGAATTTCCAAATGAACATGCTATCACTTAGTATTGTTTATTGAAATGACTATCTCCTTTGCAGCAAATTGACCTGGAACCTGTGTTAAAACTAAGTTGACATACATCAGTGGGTCTATTTGTGGGCTCTATTCTGTATCCTGGAATATTTTTTTGTTGGCAGGATTAACCTTATACAATATCACATTATTTTCATTATTATAGCCTTATATTGCCTTAAAATTATTTTGAGTCCTCTAGCTTTGCTTTCCATTTTAAAAATTGTTTTATCAATTTCTGGTTATTTAAATTTCCATACACATTTTATAAGTTTATCAATTTTTATAAAAATATTACTTGCTTTGAATTTCATTGAATTTATATAAATTATGGAGAATTGTTATATTAATAATACTAAGTCTTCAAATGCATAAGCATGGCATATGTTTTTATTTAGATTTTTAAAAATTTATTTCAATGTTATTTTTTAGTGTAAAGTTTTGTACATATTTTGTTTGTTTTTAAGTACTTTATTTTATGTGCTTCTGACATTTTTATTTTAATTACATTTTAAGTTATTTCTTATAGTATTATAAAACTTTATGTATTTTAGAACTTTAAGGGTACTCTTATGAACATTATGCTTTTTTAATGAGTTTATCTTTTTATTATTTTATAATAACCAGCATTATCCCTGGTATTGAAGTACACCTTGAGTAACATTGATGTAGCCACTCTGGCACTTTTAGGGTTGACTTTTTATGTTATAGATTATTCTATTTTTTACCTTAATCTGTGCCTTCACATTTAATATTTTTACACAGTATGTAGTTTTATCTTACTTTTAAAATATAATCATTTAATTTAGCATTAAACTAATCATTTAATTTAATTTAACATTACATGTTCTAACATTTAATATTACCTCTAAATGTAACAAAATTGCATTCAGGCCTACCATTTTATATATGCTTCCTCTTTGTCCCATCTGTTCCTTTTTCCTCTGTTCTTCTGAATGAATTTAGTCATTTTATTATTTCTTTTATGTTAGCTACATCTTTCTTCTAGTGTTTAATTGTAATATGCACTTTTATCTTATCACAGACCGTCTTAAAATAATAATGTATCACTTTATAAAATTCCAGAACTTTCATTTTCTCCTTGCGTTTTCCATACAATTATTGTCACATATTTTACATTTATGTATTTACAACCCCATATTATTATTGATTGAACAATTTATTAATTTATAACAATTTCAAAATATGAGTATAAAAGTTATTTTTATTTCTCACATATATATTATTTTTAGTGTTCTTTATTCAGAGTTTTCGTCTGGTATTATTACCCTTCATAGTTCATAATTTTATTTTAATATTTCTGGTAATACAGTACATATAGTTATGAATTCTGTTTTTCTTCCCTGAACATTTCTTTATGTGGTCTACAGTTTTGTTTGTTTGTTTGTTTGTTTTTTGTGGGAGGTGCATGGGGGGATCTAGATCCAAGTCAACATTACCTTCTACTAGCACTTTAATGATATTTTTCCATTGTTTTCCTACTTAAGTTGTTTATGATAAAATGTTAGCTGTTATTCTTACACTTGCTGCCCTGTAGGCATGTTTTTAAATATATTGCTGCTTTTAGCATTTTTTCTTTGTTACTGTTTTTCAATAATTTGATTGTTATGTTGCTTTGTAGATATCGTGTTTGCCATATAATGAGCATTTTGTATACATAAATTTATAGTTTAATTAAATTAGGACATTTGTAAAAAATTGGATACAATTTTATTTTCAAATACCTTTTTTTAGCTACACTCAAACACTTATTGAATTGAAATTATGCACATGTTTGATTTAGTGATATGGTATTACAAAACACCAATACCCTGTTAATTGTTTCTGCCTTTCTTCTTTCCATGCTGTTTTTCAAATTTTCTATTGCTATATTTCTAGTCACTAATCTGTCTTTTGAAAGGTCTAATCTGTTGTTAGGGCCATCCAGTGATTTGTTTTTAAATTTTAAGTAATTTATCTCTATAAGCTCTATATTGTTCTTTTTCATATCTCCATTTTCTTTTCACTATTGTTATGTGATCTTTAATTTTTTTTTTTTACCAATTTTACATCTAGTTTTTCAGATTTTGTCTGTGAATTCTATCACCTTTAAAATTTTTATAAATTCAAGGGGTACAAGGGCAGTTTTGTTAGAAAGGTATATTGCATACTGCAAAGTCTGGGCTTCTTCTGTAACCATCACCCAAATAGTTTGCACTGTATTTATTATATAAATTCCATTCTATTTTTTTACTTTGACATATGTTTCAATAGAGTATTTTGAATTTTGATTTTTTTGATTAATTGTGACTTTTTTTCTTGTTTGCATATCTAGTTCTTTTGTTCAATGCTGGGCATTGTGACAATCATATATGAATTTTCTTTTCATTTATATTAGAATATTGAACTTTAACATGTAGCTTAATTAATTACATATTCATCTGCTCTTTTTAAGACTTGTTTTAAAAAGTTTTATTCTTTACTCTAGGATTAATTTAGTTCTCCTATTAAGAGGTAGTTGTAAAAAAAAAAAAGGTGGTTCTAGGGTTTCTACTAAATTCTACAGGTGTTCAAACATGTCAATCCCTGTAGCCTTCTCAGAACATAAAAATCTCTCAAACCTGTAATTGCTCTGGGATTTTTAAAATTAATTAATATTTTATGGCTTTATTGAAATTGATCCAATGCACAGAAAACTTAGTATTTGGCAAAACCTCAAGGAAATTCCTCTGAAGTTTTTTTAATAATGTTTTCTTTCCATAGCTCACATGTCTCTGGTTCTTTACTTCTTAAATTACAGCTATGTCACCTTTCGACTTTGATCCTTATCTCTACAACTCAGCATGTTATTTATGTGGGTTTCATCTCTCTGGCCACATTCCATAAAGTGCATTCTGGCAGAAAAGTGGGACAGTCATCGGTTCACCTTGTTTGATTCCCTTCTTTCAGTAACCACAATCCTGACCTCCTGGTTATACAGTGTCTTAACTGAATTTTATTTGTATATTCTTGATTTATTTGTATTTTTATTTTTGGAGACAAGGTCTCACCCTGTCACCTAGGCTGCAGCGCAACAGCCTCCATTTCCCAGGCTCAAGCAATCCTCCCACCTCAGCCTCACAAGTAGTTTCAGGCATATGTCACCATGCCCAGCTAATTTTTTGTATTATTTGTAAAGACAAGGTGTCACCATGTTGCCCAGACTGATCTCAAACTTCTGAGCTGAAGCGATCTGCCTGCCTTGGCCTCCCAAATTGCTGAGATTACAAGCATGAGCCAAAGGGCCTGGTCTTCTTATTATATATTTTCATATTTTACTGATTTTCTTCTTGTTTGTGGCAAGAGATATTTATGACCATATCTGTCTTATTGATACCAGTTGTTTAGACTAGAAAACAATATTTTATTATAAAAAAACACAAATATTTTTGCCTTTTTTGCTTTAATTGATATATTATTTTAGTGTGTATACGTGCAAGATAGGATGATTAACTTGGTCATCATATATTTATTGAGTGCTAATTATGTGCCTCAGGCTCTTCTAAGTCCATGTATCACTAAATAAAACAGGCAAAGATTCCTGATATTATTGGACTTTCTATCAGGAGATACAGAAAATAAACAATCACCATAAGAAAAATTATTTAGCACGCTGTAATGCAAAGTAAATGCTATGGTGATACTAAAAGTGAAGTTAAGGCAGGTATGGGTGGGAACAGGAAGTTTCAATATTTAATGGAATGAATCACAGTAAACCTCATTGAGAAACAAAAATTTGGACAAAACTAAAAGAAGATGAGAATTATTCTGAGCAGATATCTGCAGGTAAGAAAGATGGGGGAACATATTAGATGTCACAACTTTAGGAAAGCTCTAAGGAGAAACATATTTGCACATTGGAGTTGAGGGGGCAAGCATGACTGAAATGGGTTTTATAGAGCATAAGTTGACAAGAAATAAAGAGTAAACACAAATTAGTCTTTCAATAAATTTTGTTACAAAGGGAAGGAAAGAAACAAAGAATAATCAAGAGGTAATTTTTAAAATATGGTAGTGATAATATGATCATTGTAAGTTAATGGGAAATATAGAGAATGAAAATTTCATGCTTTATGAGTAACAGGGGAGAACTGCTGGAGCAAAGCCTTAAAAAGAGAGAGGGAAATGGATTTAGTGCACAAGTGGAAAGATTTGCTTTTGAAAAGAGCATGGCTGCCTGATTTGAGGTATAAAATACACTTACTGGAAGCATTATTTGTCATAAATTTAAAGTGAGTTTAATTGGTATGGCTATATATTTTCCAGCTACATTCAGCTGCACAGGTTCAGAAATGGAAGAAGCAAAGTTGGATTTACTGGGATACTGAATTTTACAAGCAAGTTAGATGCAAGAGTCAAGAAAGTAATAATAATAATTGATTCGAAATTCAAATGGAATAAAAATAAAGGATATCAAAAGGATGACATAACATTTAAAGTTAGTAAGGGTGTATAGATATCCTAACATGGTTAGGTTATGTTTGAAGGAAGAGTAAGAAAGAGGGTACTTATGAGGTAAGCTATGAAAGAGTGTATAGATATTCTAACATGGTTAGGTTATGTTTGAAGGAAGAGTAAGAAAGAGGGTACTTATGAGGTAAGCTATGAAATAAATTATTAGTTGATTTGAATCAAGTTGAGACTATGAAAGGATTGCAACTTGGATTTGTTTTTAACGTGTGTGTGTGTGTGTTTGTGTTTATGTGTGTGTGTTTTGTCATTACATGGTCTAGCCATGCTCACTGGATGAATGGAAGAGGTAGGATGGTGTTGGTACTCAGAAACAATACCCCAAAATCAAGGCCTCAGAAATAGCTTCAGAAGCAAAAGGTTTTCTCTGATCTCTGCCCTCCTGTCTTTCAAGGCCATTCTCCCCCAATGTTAATTATAGAAACTAGAATCCCCCTTTCCCAAGGTAGGTCATAGAAACCAGAATCTGTTTTCCTCAAAGCCAGCCATAAAACCTAAAAATATTACTATAACTTTTCCCCGCCTTTCTTTGTCAAAACTGGCCATAAAGAAATTATCTGACCTACTTTGAGATAGGTCATAAGACCCCCATTCCTGAAAG
The DNA here is from genome assembly GCF_000001405.40 of Homo sapiens. NCBI lineage: Eukaryota > Metazoa > Chordata > Mammalia > Primates > Hominidae > Homo > Homo sapiens. Next base: position 61,159,919 of record NC_000012.12, on the reverse strand, counting down.
GGTCCTGCCCCACACCCAGAAGGAGGGAATGCATGCTCAGAGCGCACATTTCCTTGTCAATTTTGTCTTTAACCATTTCTAAGACTTTTGTTATATACAGACAATTTTTAAAAGTTTTTTCTTTTTTATTACTGATTTATTGCTCTTTTTAACATTTATTTACGTTTTGGGGTACATGTGAAGGTTTGTTGCATAGATAAACATGTGTAATGGGGCTTTGTTGTACATATTATTTCATCACCCAGGTACTAAGCACAGTATCCAGTAGTTACCTTTTCTGCTCCTCATCCTTCTCCCACCCTCCCCCATCAAGTAGACCCCAGTGTCAATAGTTTCTTTCTTTGTGTTCATATGTTTTTATTATTTAACCCCACTTATAAGTGAGAACATACAGTTTTTGGTTTTCTGTCCCTGCATTAGTTTGCTAAGAATAGTAGCCTGTAGCTCCATCTGTGTTCTTGCAAAAGACATACTCTTGTTCTTTTTTATGGCTGCATAGTATTCCATGGTGTATATGTATCACATTTTATTTATCTAGTTAGTCATTGACAGGCATTTAGGTTGAGTCCATATCTTTGCTGTTGTGAATAGTGCTGCAATGAACATTCACGTGTGTGTATCTTTATGATAGAATGATTTATATTCTTCTGGGTATATACCCAGTAATGGGGTTGTTGGGTTGAATGATAGTTCTACTTTCAGCTCTTTGAGGAATCACCATACTGCTTCCCACAATGGCAGAACTAATTTACACTCCCACCAACAGTGTATAAATACTCCCTTTTCTCCACAATCTTGACAGCATCTATAATTTTTTGACCTTTTCATAATAGCCATTCGGACTGGCGTGAGATGGTACCTGATTGTGGTTTCAATTTGCATTTCTCTAATGATTGGTGATACTTAGTTTTTTTTTATATGTTTCTTGGCCTCATGTATGTCTTCTTTTGAGAAGTGTCTGTTCATGCACTTTGTCCACTTTGTAATAGATTGTTTTTCTCTTGTCAATTTGTTTATGTTCCTTATAAATTCTGGATATTAGACCTTTGTCAGATGCATAGTTTGCAAATATTTTCTCCCGTTCTGTAGGTTGTCTGTTACTCTGTTGGTAGTTTCTTTTACTGTGCAGAAGCTCTTAAGTTTAATTAGATTCCACTTGCCAATTTTTGCTTTTGTTGTGATTGCTTTTTTTGTCTTTGTCATGAAATCTTTGTCGTTTCTACATCTAGGATGGAATTGCCTAGGTCGTCTCCCAGGTTTTTTAATAGTTTTAGGTTTTACATTTAAGCCTTTAATCTATCTTGAGTCGATCTTTGTGTATGGTGTAAAAAAGAGGCCCAGCTTCAATCTTCTGCATATGGCTAGCCGGTTATCCCAGCATCATTTATAATAGGGAATGTTTTCCCCATTGCTTGTTTTTTTCAGCTTTGTTGAAGATCAGATGGTCATAGAAGTGCAGCTTTATTTCTGGGCTCTCTAGTCTGTTCCATTGGTCTATGTGCCTTACACAGACAATTATTGCTTTACTTTGATACTTCTCACAAAGCAGTTTATAATCAGCTACAGTCCAAATTTGCTTCTTTAAGGAAATTTGTGAAAAGAACTCTGACAAATACTCTCAAATACAAGTTAATGATAACTTTGGCGATCATATCATTGGAATGGGTAAAAACTTCAAGTATTCTAATTAAAAAACTAATGTGTTCATAAAGATTGCCAATCCAAGATCACACAGAACAGGAGTTTATGATATGGGACTGAACTACCAGAAGATTAAAATGATTTTCATCATGACCTTTTTGTTTAAAGCATTGATGATTATTTTTATGTTCTATTTTCCAGAGTCAAGAAAACATTTTTCCTTTAGACTATTTTAGATTACAAAAATTGGGTAAAATATACTTTTGTAAGCAAAATTGAAACATTTATATTCTTCTCTATCTGATTTCTCCATAATTTGGAAACTATTCAGGATAAATGTTGATTTATGACAATATTGCTATTTGTATAAATTCAATTAGTATCTGCTTTTATTTGTATCAGGACAAAATTGGAGATACTGGTTACTTTACCAAGGTTTTGACTGGAATGGCACATTTTCAGATATGACCAGACTGGCTTGAAAAATTATGGTTAAATTTGTAGAGCAAAGAAAAAGCCCCTTAGAAAGACTGTCCTTATATCTTCTCTTCATGGTTCCTTCACAAGGTTCTTGACCTGATGTAAGTAAAGAATGTCACTTTCTGACATACACAGGAACCTTAAGATATTTTTGAACCTTGAGAAGATAGGAATTAATCCAATTCATGTTATAATCATAGTTTAATTACAAATCCTTGGCTTGGCTTCCTAGCCTTGAGGCTTTTAAAAGTCTAATCTGAGATTCCTTATAAAGAAGTTCCAAGAAAGCAAACTTAAAAAGAGCTTATATAGCAAGTCACTACTCTTGTTGTACTTTATGCAAATAATCAGACCAAGTATAATGAAACTACAAGTATTTTACACAGAAATTTTTTTCAACTGTGTTTTGCCTTTGGTGGAAATCGGGTATTGGAGGAAAAAATATGTTTCAAAAGAAAACTATAGTATACAAGTTACTAGATTTCACCTTGCCCATTGTTTTTGATTTTTTATTATTTTCCCACAATTTAGACAGAATCCTTAATTATTTCCTGGCTACAAATCTCTAAACGAATGCTTTCATTTTTAAAAAATCTTTCTTAGAATAACTGAAATTAAAACTGCTTTTCCCAGAAGTCCTACAAGCTAAAACTAGATAACTTAGTATAAACTTTGGAAAAGAATCATCATTACAGCAACCTTATGTATAACTGTTTACCTGGTCTGGCCTACTCTCGGGATTGATAGACTGGTTCTCTCTCTGTCCCACTCTCCCGCAATGTAAATCATAGAAACTAGAATTCCTGCTTCCCAAGGCAGGTGGCAGAAACCGAACCCATTTTTCCTAAAGCCAACCATGAAACCTAAAGATATTACTCTAACTTTCCCACACCTTTCTTTGCTAAAACAGGCTATAAAGAAATTATCTGGCCTACCTTGCTTGGCTGTAGGTCATAAGACCCCTATGTCAGACAGGGTTCTGCCCCATACTCAGAAAGAAAAAAATACATGCTCAGAGAGGGCCAAGAAAAATCTAGGCAGACAGGGCTTTCTGGGTTCTGTCACTCAATCTATTCGCATTAGGTTATATACTTTTTGTCCAATCATATTTCTACATAGCTGTTTATACTTTGTTGAACCTAAGCATAAAAATGGACAATTTTCTCTGTATCTTTGGGTCTTCATTTTGAAGGCTTTCTTGCCACATAGAACTATTACCAAATCCAGCTGTATGCCTTTTTCACCTATTAATCTACCTCTTGTTAGTAAATTTCAGTGAACCTGCAGAGGGCAAAAGGAAAGATTTTCCTTGTCCATGACATTGGCAAAAAGAAAAGTTATTTTGAGAAGAGTTTATAAATTAAGAGGTCAGAATAATGGACAAATCTTGAATGTGTATATTAAAATTTTAAGAATTATGTTAGTTGCAGTATTGAAGAGAGTGTCAATAATCCAGGACAAATATGTAACTGTTTCTTTCAAAAATGAGTGTTATTAGGGAGTAGCAGGGGAGAAAGACATGGAATCTGCAGTAAAGTGTAGAATATCTACCTCTAGTCACAGTAATATAGAGTGTGGGGGGAAAAAATCACCAGTTGAGAGGATTGCAGAATAAAATCTTTTGTAGGGTGAGTCAGGTTTAGAGCAATAAGGTAAAAGGAAATTTCAAGATGAGGTTGAGATTAAAGGGAATTTTGCAAACGATAGACCATGAATTAGAGTTTCAAGAGTTAAACAGGAGTGGGAGAATGGGATAGATTAGGGAATACACAGAGTCTTAGAAAACTGAAGTGTAGAAGATGAGGGAATACATGAATGTTTCCATTTTGCTTGTGAATTTTGTCTTAGATGACCTAAAACAATGACAATTTTAAGAGTAATACCTGTGGAGGCAATGAAGAAACTGGCGGAAAGGCTATCAGTATTAGCGGTGATGGGGGCAGAAAACATGAGGGAAGTGAGGTTCTGAGATAGTGTCTAGATCTTTTCTTGACTCTTGTAATAGTGGTGAATGTTCTGTGGGTCATGTAGTTTAGACCAAGTGTATTCATTGTCCCTGGATCTCTCTTGTCAGAAAATTAATCTCATTCCCAGTATTGGTTAATTATTGATTCTCTCTGGTGGACCATCCAGAAGACTTCTGGGAAAGGCTGAGTGAATCAGACACGATATTTGGTGTTCTAGTTCTGGCATTTACTAGGTGTATCAGTTGGCAAGTTACTTAGTGCCTTTGAAATACACTTCCTTAACTACTGGAGAAATGGAAGTAATAATATTTATCTCCCCAGAAATGCTATGAATGGTATTACTTTCTATGGTGTCTGACATATTAGTTGTAAATTCAAATTACATTTCCTTTTTGTTCAATCTAGCTTTAGATTGTGGGATTTCCTGTAGGAAGCCCTCAATTTTTAAGCAGTAAATCTGGATGTCTTTAAGGGAAAATTTCAGTGTTCAATGCACTGAACTTATGTCCTTGATCTGGAAAAATTTTGAAAGTGCAGTTGCCCCATGGCCAGTATAAGATACTAGCTCTTATAACGTTTAATTTTGAGCATCACTTCCTAGCAGTGAACCCTTTAAGAAAACACGTCTGCATTAATTTTTGTATAAGGTGTAAGGAAGGGATCCAGTTTCAGCTTTCTACATATGGCTAGCCAGTTTTCCTAGCACCATTTATTAAATAGGAAATCCTTTCCCCATTGCTTGTTTTTGTTAAAGACTTAAATGTTAGACCTAAAACCATAAAAACACTAGAAGAAAACCTAGGCAATACCATTCAGGACATAGGCATGGGCAAGGGCTTCTTGTCTAAAACAGCAAAAGCAATGGCAACAAAAGCCAAAATTGACAAATGGGATCTAATTAAACTAAAGAGCTTCTGAACAGCAAAAGAAACTACCATCAGAGTGAACAGGCAACCTACAGAATGAGAGAAAATTTTTGCAATCTACTCATCTGACAAAGAACTAATATCCAGAATCTACAATGAACTCAAACAAATTTACAAGAAAAAAACAAACAACCCCATCAAAAAGTGGGCAAAGGATATGAACAGACACTTCTCAAAAGAAGACATTTATGCAGCCAAAAGACACATGAAAAAATGCTCATCATCACTGGCCATGAGAGAAATGCAAATCAAAACCACAAGGAGATATCATCTCACACCAGTTAGAATGGCGATCATTAAAGTCAGGAAACAACAGGTGCTGGAGAGGATGTGGAGAAATAGGAACACTTTTACACTGTTGGTGGGACTTTAAACTAGTTCAACCATTGTGGAAGTCAGTGTGGCGATTCCTGAGGGATCTAGAACTAGAAATACCATTTGACCCAGCCATCTCATTACTGGGTATATACCCAAAGGATTATAAAACATGCTGCTATAAAGACACATGCACATGTATGTTTGTTGCGGCACTATTCACAATAGCAAAGAGTTGGAACCAACTCAAATGTCCAAAAATGACAGACTGGATTAAGAAAATGTGGCACATATACACCATGGAATACTATGCAGCCATAAAAAATGATGAGTTCATGTCCTTTTTAGGGACATGGATGAAGCTGGAAACCATCATTCTTAGCAAACTATCACAAGGACAAAAAACCAAACACCTCATGTTCTCACTCATAGGTGGGAATTGAATAATGAGAACACATGGACACAGGAAGGGGAACATCACACACCAGGGCCTGTTGTGGGGTGGGGGGAAGGGGGAGGGATAGCATTAGGAGATATACCTAATGTTAAATGACGAGTTAATGGGTGCAGCACCCCAACATGGCACATGTATACATATGTAACTAACCTGCACATTGTGCACATGTACCCTAAAACTTAAAGTATAAAAAAAAACTTCATTGAATATGGAAAAAAATAAAAAGTCACTTTTTCATTAAAAAAACACATCTGCAAGATAAAATGCAAATAATTAAATATGTGTATTGTTAAATAACATGCAAAATATGGCTGTGTGATATTTTGGACTTTAATTTAATGTATCTTCATTCCTTAGTATGCTAAATAAATTAATACTTTTTGAGTCAATATTTACTGGATATGTATTACAAATCTGTATTGAGCTATTAACACACAAATATATTAATACTGTATACTCTATGCCCTTGAAGAATAGTTTGTTTTTCCAGATGAGATTCACAATAGCTTCAGCTATTTCATGAGACCATTCCTAGAACATGATCAAAAGGCCATGCAACAGAATATAAAATCTGCTCTCTTACTTTGCTAAGGTAAAAGGACATGCATTTAAATTGTTCATATATGAGGGCAAAGTGAATAGAATGGCTTGGCCTGTCTCCTCCTTTGTTCTTAAAATGATAATTCTCTTAATGTAGTCTAGGACATTTGCTGGTCTGGGAGAATATATCACCATGCCTAACCACTGAGTGTACTGTTGCCTAAAATCCCAAAGGTGATTTTTTTCTTTTATTTTTACACATGTTGATGCTAAGCAACTTTTCCCCATTTTCTTGTGCAACTGGATTTCAGTACATTGAGTTCTACCACAGTTTCATTCTTAAAGTTAAAACTAAATAAATTACTGAATAAAAGATTTTAAAATATATCTTTACATGAGACATACAAATGAATTAATACTCACAGAAAAGAATAACAGTGATACTGCTGTCAAAGAGAAGTCAACTCTTTATATACATGTATGACCAATACAAATAAGGGCATGTGATCTTGAAGACAGGTACATACTAATGTGTTTTTTTTCGGGACTTTTATGAACTGGGTTGCTTTTACTATTCGAACAAGCTTTAACTTGGTTTATGTGATATTTTAGGTGAAAGAACAGTCTTTCTGAGATGCATGCTGGGTAATTGATTTTTTAAATGATGTGTATTAGGTTGGTACAAAAGTGATCAAGGTTTTTGCCATTGAAAGTTATGGCAATAATGCTAGGTTATCCCTACATATTTTAATACATTAGTTAAAATGACAGACACATAAAGCAAACATTGAATTGTATAAGGCAAAAAGCAAACCCTTCACTTTACACATTTCACCTGATATATCTTTGATTAATCTTGGTATATAGAATTATGTCCATTTCTCAGGCAAAACATTGGTTACAGGTCTAAAAGAATAAGACTTCAAAAGGCTTTCTAGAAAAACAGTACACTTGTTCTTCTTTCTGCTCATTTAAAACATGGGTTTTAATGTGAAATTATATAATGTAAATAAAGAGACAACTGGAAACAAAAACTAGAAAATAAGTGCATCTTGAATTTTCATTTTGAAAAATATGAACTTTTCCCACATTTAACGCATATTTGTTAAAATGAGCAAACAGGTCTGGACTTCCAGACTTTTAGTTTTCTATAAGTTTTCCTCTCTCTCTGTGTGTGTGTGTGTGTGTGTGTGTGTGTGCGTGTGTGTGTGTATTTCAGTGTATCAATAAAATTAAACTTACTGAATTTTTTTACTGCATATTTTATTCTATGCAGCATTTCTATCCTTTAATATATCTTAGAGAATATGTGCTCCATATACATTCTCAGAGACTGTGTCTACATGGAATAAAATTATCTACAAACTTGACTTAAACTTTTGAGAGGTGTTACTATCAAAATTTTCATCCATCAATTAAATATATTGTATAATAAGGAAACTATTAAATGTATAAACATTTCAGATTGCCAATAAACCCTGTATGTATCATTATCCTATATCTCCTTGTTCCTTTTTTTCCCTGAATTTGTGTTGGCAGATTTTTGTATTAGATCTACTAATTTTTCCATAAGGGGCCCATCTCATTGTATGTTTGACCCAATCCAGTTTGAAGCATAACATGTTTATTTTACTTAATTTGCTTTTGCTTCTCACTCTTTCAGTCTTATTACAATCAGCCAATCAGTACAGGTGATGCCATTATTTGTTCTAATACTCCAAATATTGATTTTCTTAGTTCCTCGCTGATTGCATTCAAAACCTCAGTGTGCTCACCCACCCTTGCTGTCATTAGTCTTACCTAGTTGTTTCTGCAACCACACTGGTGAAGATCGTCTTTCCCATACACCTCTTATTCCATATCAGAATGTCTGCTCCCTGTCCTGCTAGGCTTTAATCTCTATCTCTAATCTTTATTAACAGAAGCAAGCAAAAACAGTTTTCTGTAATTTCAGAAATAAGATTGGGCTGCTACTCATGTGGTCTCAGGGTGCTTCTGGGTCATTAACGTAAGCTGAAGCACATTTTTTTAATGTAATTTTTCCCAGTATAGCTGAGATCAGAATATATGTTTCAAAGTGAATTAAATGAAAGCTTTTCCTTTATTAATTCCTTTTTATTTTCTTTAGTTTCATTTTTTCTTTTTTTTTCTATTTTTATTCTGTTATTTGAATACTTGAACACTTGAAGTAATTAATGTAGCTGTTATTCCTCTTTTTATATGTACTTAATTAGGTCAGTGATACTGTGGGAGGGAGCCTGGTTCAAGTGTTTCAATAATATATTTTTGAACTGGAAGCTTCTAATTCTATTTCACTGACCTGCAAGGTAGAGAAGTCTATATACACTCCATCTTCCTTTTAGGTTCTTATCTCCTGTGAGAAGGAACTCAAACAAATACAACTACTTGCTCAAGAATAAATAATAACATATAGGATCAATAAAGTCCAAATCAATTTTTATAAAACAAATATTAATATTTCTCTACAGAAAATATGGTATACAGTACTGCATTTCTGCCTCCCACATGATGGAGAATAAACAGAAGTTCTCATTCTAGATTAATAAGCCCAACCTACTTTGTGGTTTAATAAATGTCAAGGTACCTGTTTTGTTGTGATGATAACTGGGGAAGGGGTGAGTATTTTCAAAGCTACTGGCGTGTTATGGCAAAGTGGGGATAAGAGCAAACTTAACGCTTCCTGCAATGTTTTGAATGGCCTCACACAATAAATAAAATGCCTCACATAATGAACACAGTGAAGAAACTGACACCATTGGAATACACTATAGAACATACGTACTTTCTTCACATATTTTTATAACCCCATTGATTCACCTCCTTATTTATTTTCTTGTTCATTTACTCTTGTGATGGGATCCATTTGCTTCAGACTCTACCAGATACATTAGGTTTTTAGAGACCTCAGTATGAAGTTTCAGTAAAGGCTTTAGATGCACAATTAATTCTTTCCTCTGACCAATTAGAAATTCAGATGAGGAAGGTATTTAGTCCACAAACTTGGAGAAACAAGAAGTAATTACACTAAAACAATGCTTTCAGTCAAAATACTTCCGATGCTGAACTGAAATCCTGACAAATAACATCCTTGGGATAAGGATATCTATATTTAGCATAGTCATTTACGATGCCATTTGGACTTCGACATGTCAAGTGAGAAGGGTCCACCTGACAAATGGAGTTACAAAAAATTAGAGACATAATATGCTCTGGCCAATAACTCAGATGAACCTTGCGGCAAGGGCTGTCAGTCCAGATGTCTCCAGTTATCCCACAGATTTGTAGGCCCCTACTATTAGCAAACATCATACAACGGTCTGGAATTCCATGAGGGACCATGTTTGGAAAGACCCATGTGTTATTCTTTACATTATAATTAAGGTGGTTACTTAGAGGATGCCACTCCCATTGGGACTTCCAATCAGAAGGAGAGGCTAGATTCTGAAAGCTACCCACTAGGGTTTCTGATCCTTTTAGATCACCCTTGTTGTGCTTTCCTCCCCTAATCTTTGAACTATCAGCAATTACAATTGTGATGTTACAATATCTGAGATCTCCCAAGGATGGTCCTTTCTCACTGCTTTTAAAGCAGAGGGAGGCATTTGCTATTGCCTGGTCAACTTTTCCCAGCCTGAGGGTGTGAAGCTTATCTTTGGGGAGAGTGTTCTTTGACACTGGGGGCAGAGTGTTCTCCTGAGAGGACTTAGTTGTCCAGTAGAAAGTGCTCCCATACCATGTCCCATTTATGCCTGATAAGTCTTTAAGGATTAAAGGTAAAGCTAACAAAGGGAACCCTAAGATGGTGAGTTCTGGGTCATTGAAAGTTTCCTTAGTGTCATTGAACTGAACAAACTGCTAAGGACAGACCCAACAATTAGTCTTGTTGTACAAATGGACCATGGCTGATACTGTAGGAGCTAAACATTGTGATGTATTACTAAGTCTGATAAAAAAGTCCTATCAGACTTAGTGATAGTAAACTGCTTATGTTTACTTTCTGTTAGTAACTGTTATTCCTGTTATAAGGATAATAATTAAGCAAAATGCTACAGTAATTGAGATTCTCTGTTCGATATTCCACCCTGAGGTGCTACAGTATATAGTCCTACTGCGAATAGTAGAGTGAGTATAAGAATTCCCACAAGGGGGGTGTAGTAAATAATTACCATCAAAAAGAAGTTAGAATATTTGGGAATGAATCTCAAAAAGAGAGGTAGGAAAGACAAAAAGCATTTGGTGAGGTAGGGATGAGACTGAGTGAGATGAGTATTTCTCACTCAGTTACTTACCTTTTGTGATTTTCAGCTTAAGATATCCTATTTCTTCACATTGATATTCAGGACGCTCCTTTGGGCTGTCAGGGATCTCTCCCTCAGCTCTCCAGGCTTTGACTCAAGTGTGATGTATCCAGCAGTCGACTCCCATAATTTTTATTGATGAGGGGTTTGAAAGAAGAACAGTGTAAGGCCCTTCCCATCTTGGCCTAAGGGAGGGAGAGAGAGAAAGGAGAAACTTTATCAATACGAAATCTCCTGGGTTAAATAGAGGTGGTCCCATTTCCTGGGGTTGGGCTTTTGCTAATTGTGCTAATTCTTGTTGGAAGTGAGCGAGAGAGATTACATGCTTAACCAGCTCAGAGGTTTCCTGATCTAATAGAAAATCATTGGTAAGAAAAGGTTGTCCATAGAGCATCTCAAAATGGCTAAGACCTAATTTTATCTTTTTATTATACTTTAAGTTCTAGGGTACATGTGCACAACGTGCAGGTTCGTTACATATGTATACATGCACCATGTTGGTGTGCTGCACCCATTAACTCGTCACTTAACATTAGGTATATCTCCAAATGCTATCCCTCCCCCCTCCCCCCAGCCCATGACAGACCCTGGTGTGTGATGTTCCCCTTCCTGTGTCCAAGTGTTCTCATTGTTCAATTCCCACCTATGAGTGAGAACATGCGGTATTTGGTTTTTTGTCCTTGTGATAGTTTGCTGAGAATGATGGTTTCCAGCTTCATCCATGTCCCTACAAAGGACATGAACTCATCCTTTTTTATGGCTGCATAGTATTCCATGGTGTATATGTGCCACATTTTCTTAATCCAGTCTATCACTGATGGACATTTGGGTTGGTTCCAAGTCTTTGCTATTGTCAATAGTGCCACAATAAAAGAAATAAAGGTAATTAAATTAGGAAAAGAGGAAGTCAAATTGTCCCTGTTTGCAGATGACATGATTGTATATTTAGAAAATACCACCATCGTCTCAGTCCAAAATCTCCTTAAGCTGATAAGCAACTTCAGCAAATTCTCAGGATACAAAATCAATGTGCAAAAATCACAAGCATTCTTATATACCAATAATAGACAAACAGAGAGCCAAATCATGAGTGAACTCCCATTCACAATTGCTTCAAAGAGAATAGAATACCTAGGAATCCAACTTACAAGCACTGTGAAGGACCACTTCAAGGAGAACTACAAACCATTGCTCAATGAAATAAAAGAGGACACAAACAAATGGAAGAACATTCCATGCTCATGGATAGGAAGAATCAATATCGTAAAAATGGCCATACTGCCCAAGGTAATTTATAGATTCAATGCCATCCCCATCAAGCTACTAATGACTTTCTTCACAGAATTGGACAAAACTACTTTAAAGATCATATGGAACCAAAAAAGGGCCTGCATTACCAAGACAATCCTAAGCCAAAAGAACAAAGCTGGAGGCATGACGCTACCTGACTTCAAACTATACTACAAGGCTTCAGTAACCAAAACAGCATGGTATTGGTACCAAAACAGAGATATAGACCAATGGAATATAACAGAGCCCTCAGAAATAATACCACACATCTACAACCATCTGATCTTTGACAAACCTGACAAAAACAAGAAATGGGGAAAGGATTCTCTATTTAATAAATGGTGCTGGGAAAACTGGCTAGCCATATGTAGAAAGCTGAAACTGGATCCCTTCCTTACACCTTATACAAAAATTAATTCAAGATGGATTAAAGACTTAAATGTTAGACCTAAAACCATAAAAACCCTACAAGAAAACCTAGGCCGTACCATTCAGGACATAGGCATGGGCAAAGACTTCATGTCTAAAACACCAAAAGCAGTGGCAACAAAAGCCAAAATTGACAAATGGGATCTCATTAAACTAAAGAGCTTATGCACAGCAAGAGAAACTACCATCAGAGTGAACAGGCAACCTACAGAATGGGAGAAAATTTTTGCAATCTACTCATCTGACAAAGGGCTAATATCCAGAATCTACAAAGAACTCAAACAAATTTACAAGAAAAAAACAACCCCATCAAAAACTGGGCAAAGTTTATGAACAGACACTTCTCTTAAGAAGACATTTATGCAGCCAATAGACACATGACAAAATGCTCATCATCACTGGCCATCAGAGAAATGCAATTCAAAACCACAATGAGATATCATCTCACTCCAGTTAGAATGGCGATCATTAAAAAGTCAGGAAACAGCAGGTGCTGGAGAGGATGTGGAGAAATAGGAACACTTTTACACTGTTGGTGGGACTTTAAACTAGTTCAACCATTGTGGAAGTCAGTGTGGCGATTCCTGAGGGATCTAGAACTAGAAATACCATTTCATCCAGCCATCCCATTACTGGGTATATACCCAAAGGATTATAAATCATGCTGCTATAAAGACACATGCATACGTGTATTTATTGTGGCACTATTCACAATAGCAAAGAGTTGGAACCAACCCAAATGTCCAACAATGATAGACTGGATTAAGAAAATGTGGCACATATATACCATGGAATACTATGCCGCCATAAAAAATGATGAGTTCACATCCTTTGTAGGGACATGGATGAAGCTGGAAACCATCATTCTCAGCAAACTATCACAAGGATAAAAAACCGAACACCTCATGTTCTCACTCATAGGTGGGAACTGAACAATGAGAACACATGGACACAGGAAGGGGAACATCACACACCAGTGCCTGTTGTGTGGTGGGTGGAGGGGGGAGGGATAGCATTAGGAGATATACCTAATGCTAAATGACGAGTTAATGGGTGCCGCACACCAACATGGCACATGTATACATATGTAACAAACCTGCACGTTGTGTACATGTACCGTAGAACTTAAAGTATAATAAAAAAAAAAGTGGATTCCACAGTCAGAAATTTCTGTTTTCCTTTAGAGATAACAATCTTAAAAATAGTTAACACATCATTTTTCTAGTTCTTTTTTTTTTTTTTTTCTGCCCAGGCTGGAGTACAGTAGCGCAATCTCAGCTTACTGCAAGCTCCGCCTCCTGGGTTCACGCCATTCTTCTGCCTCAGCCTCTCTAGTAGCTGGGACTACAGGCACCCGCCACCACGCCCGGCTAATTTTTTGTATTATTTTTAATAGATACGGGGTTTCACCGTGTTAGCCAGGATGGTCTCGATCTCCTGACCTCGTGATCCACCCGCCTCGGCCTCCCAAAGTGCTGGGATTACAGGCGTGACATTTTTCTAGTTCTATACCTCCCAATCATGTAGCATTTTATTGCAGTTTGGGTTGTTATTTTCTCTACTCTGTAAAACAATGATTACTAAAGTCACCATCAATATGTTACTTAATCCAATAAGAATTTTCTAGTCATCATCTTACTGAATGTCATGACATCATCAAAAAGTTTTAGTCAATATTTTGTAAACACTCATCCCTCAGTTTCCATGGTACTACAATAAACAAAATGATGCTATTTCTCTAATTTTATTGTATTCAGTTTTGCTGTCCTTTCGTTCTCCTAACTTATGAAATATTGGAATTCATCTAGCCTTGGTACTAGGTACTCTACTCTTTGTCCTATGTTCTCCTTATGAGCAATGCTTTCAACTCTTTTGGGCTTGTATCTTGTTTTTACACTAAAAGTATGATATCAATTGTTTTCATCTTAGTCCCCTCTTCTACACTCTGTATATAAAACTTCTACCCTTTAATCTCTACTGGAACATTGAATTCATGATATTTTCCACATCTTTTTTTATTTTTCAGTCTTCTTCCATTGCAGTAAATGGCACTGCCATTTACCCAGTTATTCATACCAGAAACACTGAAGTCATACTTGAAATCTTCCTTTCACTGATGACATTTAGTTAATTACCAAGTCTTGCCATTTCTTATTCTGAAATATATTCTAGGTCCATTCCAATCACTCTACTACTAATGACAATAGAGCTTGGCCCCAGCTATTATCTCGTCTTACCAGCATGCTGCAACTGCTTAGTAAAAGATCTCTCAAGCACTTTTACACCATAAAAATAACTTTTTAATCATATATGCTGGATTTGCCATTTCTAGGCTCAAATACTTTGGTTACTTTTTGTTTCTTTAGCATAAATTTAAAAATCCCTAACATGGCCTGTAAGGTCCTGCATAATGCTGAGGTTTAACAGCTTTTTAAGCATCATCTCACCTTTCTACCCCTTTGTTTATTATATGTTTTTGCTCTCTCTGGTACATTGTTTTACCATTCCCTCTTTTGCAGTTAACTTTCTCTTTATCTTATTCCTGTCTTAAACATCCACACTAAAAAGCTATCTCTGAACATCTTTTGCCCCACTTTTTTCAAACCTACCTAGGCTAGCTTATTCTTTATTATATACTCTCATAGTATCTTATATTTTATAGTCATAGCGTATATGGTTTGGATGTTTTGTCCCCTCCAAATCTTATGTGAAAACATGACCTCCAATGTTGGAGGTGGGCCTAGTGTGAAGTGTCTGAGTCACGGGAGCAAATCCCGTATAAATGTCTTGGTGCTGCCCTCACAATACTGATGAGTTCTCACTCTTAGTCTGCACAAGATCTGGTTGTTTAAAAGATTTTGGCACTTCTTCCCTCCTTTTTTCTTGCCTCCTTTTTTCACCATAATGGTGATATGCAGGCTTTCCTTTGCCTTCTGCTATGATTATAAACTTCATGAGACTTTTACCAGAAGCAGATGCCAGTACCATCCTTCATGTACAACCTACAGAACGATGAGCCAAAAAAACCTCTTCTCTTTATAAGCTATGCAGCCTCAGGTATCTCTTTATAGCAACACAAAAAGGGACTCACAAAAATAATTCTTATAAAAATTATCTGATTATTTATTTAATGCTGTATTCTATACTACTATATCATAACTTAGTAAAGAACAAGATCACACTTGTGTAGTTCACTCCTGTGTACCCAGTGCCTAACTAGTGCTTAGCATTTATTCCTCATTCACCATATATTTATTTATAGTCCCTCTTTCAAAATCATCAGGTACAAATAATATTTTCTCAACAAATGTTGATAAAATTATGTTTATCTAAATAAATACATAAATTCAAATAATATTATACCAAGAATAATTGAAACCCCTAAGAAATCTGAGACATAGTTTGTGTCATTCTAGAGTTTATACTTTAAATGAAATGTAAATATGCACAGAATATGTTTGGGAATCAATTACACCACAATAAACCAACGAGAAAAATATACAATGCAAACTATATTCCTTTATTAGTTAGGGTTTTTCAGAAAAACAAACCATTAGGAAATGTATAATAATATTTACTCTAAGGAAGGGGCTCACATGATGATGAAGGAGGCTGGGAAGTCCTACGATCTGCCATCTGCAAGCTGAAGGAACAGGAAGTTCTGTGGTATAATTCAAAAACTTGAGAGCTAGAAAGTCAATGGTAGATTTCATCCAGTCTGAGCCTGATGTCCTGAGAACCAGGGTTGCTTTGTCAGAAGAAAGTTAATGTCCCAGCTCAAGCAGTCAGGTAGATAGGAGAGAATTCAACCTTCCTCTACACATTTGTTTTATTCGGGCCCTCAGGGATTAGATAATGTCCACCCACATTGGGTAGGGCTATTTACTTTACTCAGTCCATCAATTAAATGTTAATCTCTTCGAGAAACATCCTTATAGACACATTTAGAAATAATGTTTAACCAGCTACCTAGACTTCCGGCGGCCCAATGAAGTTGATACATAAAATTAAGCATCATATATCTCTATGATGAAATGAGAAGAGTATTTCCTGCAACTCAGCTCACTCCAAGAAACCTACCACATGACACAAACTAATAAATAAAACAACGCATAGAAGATAATAATTTATATATATTTTTTTCAGATTAACTCTACAGTAGGCCAGTTTTATATTTTGATAATATTGCTAAATTTTGCATCTGCTTATGTTAGGTTCTCTGTACATTTTTATACACAGAACATTTATTACTCTTAGGCACACAATAATATCATAGCAATAATAGTAGGCTCACTCAACTGGTTAGTAGATTACACTGAAAAATCTATACGCAAAGATTTGACCCCTTAAGCACATCAGGTGGAGCCACTTTAATTTATCATCACAAACTGAATATCTAAAATGGGTCAGTTTATTTTAGAATTCATGCCGGAGGTAACAATAGAGACCTGTGGCTCCAGCAACATAATTTTTCTTTAATGCAATTATTATACAACACAGGATTCAGAAGTGAGCAAAGACAAATCATCAGTGCAAACCCACTATAAGTATGAGTAATATCTCAAGATGAAAATTATTTTAAGCAGATAGTTTGGTGTAGAAAATGATACTATAAGAATATAATACTGCTCTTAAGAATTATAAGGGATTCAAAATATGCCAAATTTACCAGTGACTAAAAGGATATTCTTACTAGTAATTAGAGCCCAGGTAATTCCCAATTAGTTTATAGATTAAAAAAAATCCATGAGTAATTCTACCTCATAGCTGAAATTACTGACTGTGAATAAGCAAGATATGTGCAAGTGTGTATGTGTGCATGGGAGGGTTATTTGACTAACTCAAATACAACTCTGAAAATAGCATATACTTACAAGGAATTAGCTCATATGATTATGGTGGCTGAGAAGTCCCATTAATTGCTCTAAAGAGCTATATGCGATTCTATTCCATCAGTTTAGATATCATTTCATATAGTACACAAAATGAAAGATGACCTTTGAAACATTTCTGTACACACAACTATACATGTTTTCAACTTTATTCCTCACAGCGAGCTACACTGTCCAATATGGTCATCAATAGCTACAGTCCACAGGCGGATGTTTAGGGTTAAATTCAAATAAGAAAAATAAATAAAATTAAAAATTAGTTCCTTAGTCTCACTAGTCACATTTCAAGTACTCAATAGCTACATGTGACTAGAAGCTATAGTATTAGACAACGCCTATAAAAACGTTTCCATTTTCACTGAAGTTTCTGTTGGACAATACTGCTTTAGAGAAGATCTATGCAAGACAGTTGCATCAATTACAACTAATCCTCAATCTTTCTATATCAACAACTTTAATTTACATAAAGTATCTTGGGGCCTTGACAAGATTCCACAAAGTAGAAGACTACACATGTAGTCTGTATGTTTTCCTACACACATTTAAACACAATGTAATAGTATATGAAAACAAAAATTTACATTTCCCAAATGAGAAGTCGTTTTCACCTAATAACAGATTTTGAGCTATAAATTAAAAGTCAGTTTCTGAAACAGCAATGCCTGTGATTTATTTTGAATTTATCATCTTTCCAAGTTTCATACTTTTTTTGATTCTTGAAATCATTTTACAAAACTGAATCTTTTTATCTAATTTTTCTTATTAAGCTAATTTTCAGCAAGGAAATGCTAAAGTTTGAATTCTTAAGGCTTCACTACTTGTTATATTCTTTATCTGCTTAATGCATGCAATGCTGGAATAGCTTTGGACTTACAGCTCACCTACCGTAAAGCGTTATGCATTTGACTAATTTTTGTTCAATTATTATCCAAGATATACAAGGGGTTATACTAAAGGAACTTAAAATATTAGAAACAGCATAGATACACTGATGTACTTCATAACATGTTTGTGGTCATTCTAAAGTATAACACTCCTGAAACAGAGGCAACACTCAATAAATGAGGTAACATGCAATATAAAGAAAGGAATGAATAGATTACACAGTTTTGACTCTACAGTTAATAGACTAATTTCATATTTTTAAATATATTGCTAAGGTAGTGGAAAAATACAGATATATTTTTCAGGAGTCTGACAGAATTTTGATAAAGAAAAAGAGAAATAATTAATATGAAATGGATAAGGCAGAGACCTACCTGATTTTACTCAACAATTTTACTTCTGGAAAATATACTAAGAAGCTAATTTAAGAAAACAGAGATATGATACAGATATTTACCGTAATAATTTTAAGAGCAAGAATGTGAAAGTAATTTAAACATGTAAAAATATTAGTTAATAGTATCTCAAATGAATGAGATCAATAATATTATTATTATTAACAATCTGTGGAAATTCAGAAATGTATTTATGATAAAATCAGATAAGAAAATTTTCCATGTGACTGCAATATATGAATTTAAGTATAAACTTGGAGTTTTTGGCTTGGTCAGCAAAGGAAGAATAACAATCAGAGATATCTGCATCTTAATTAGAAATAATTAGTCCCTAACAACCAGGGACTTGTGATTTTTGAAATGTATTCTTAATGTTTTGTGCTCTGCTTAAAAAGTCATGACTAATGTCCAAATCACAAGGAAGCATTGAGATTTAGACTTTAACAGTGGTTCTTAATGCTTGCTCACTGCACCCATGCCCAATCCACCTACATTTCCTCAGGAATAGATATCCTCTAACCAGGATTTGTCAAAATCTTAGATGCTTGAAAGCACACCTAATTCTATCCTCTTGTTTGCCATTTCTTGAAATTCACTAGCACGTAAAGAAAGGAATGCATAAACATATACTTAACAGATTTTAGGATTAATTATTAGTGATAAAAATTACCTGAATACACATTTATTGGGTTCTGACATACCTGTGAGGCCATTTGTATTAGATTTTTAAAAGAGAGCTGTGATTATTTGGAATATTTAAGTCAAGACATGGGATGATGGTAGAGAGCTGAGTGTGTGCAGGTTAACACACTCTCTGGTGAAGTGGTAATGGGAGGGGCCGCTGGTGGAGTAACTGCCTTCTTGCAAAGGAAAAGAAGAATCTCATATCAGCAGACAAATGACAAAGTAGTCTGTCATTTGCTGTAGGAGTGTCAGAAATCTAAAGCTATTGGCTTCATAATAAATCATGCTGGAAGAAATTGTAGCACACATTTATTAAGCACTTATTAAACAAAGGTCTAAATATGAAAAATATGTACTGGAGACAAAAGGTAACTTTAAAAGAGTTATGGTAGGACATTATTGAGAACATTTGCATATGCATTCAACACTTTTTCATATTTTTTGAGTGCTTAATAGTCAATGTTCTAGGCACTTGAAACACATCTTTGGAAAAAATTAAGAACAACAAAAATCCCTACACTTCTGAAGCTTTCACTCTACAGGGGGAAGCTAGCAAATCGTAATCATAATATATAATTAGATTATAGGATATATGCATGGGTGATAAAATAATGGGATTAAAGCTTGAAAATAAGGAATTTGGAATGCTAGTTGATTGAGGGATGGTTTAAAATTTTAAGTAAGGTAGTCAAGGTAGGTCTTACTGAGATGACATTAAACCAAGGAATTAAAAATCTGAGGTTATCCATGTTGCTATCTGGAGGAAAAATATTCCAGGCAGAGGAAACATAGTGTAAAAATGTGTTCAAGGATCATCAAGAAGGCGAGCATAAAAGAATCCAAGTAAAGCCAGGCATGGTGGCTCATGCCTGTAATCCCAGCACTTTGGGAGGCCAAGGTGGGCAGATCATGAGGTCAGGAGTTCGAGACCAGCCTGACCAACATGGTGAAATCCCATCTCTACTGAAAATACAAAAATTAGCTGGGCATGGTGGCACATGCCTGTAACTCCAGTACTTTGGAAGGCTGAGGCAGGCAGATCACCTGAGGTCAGGAGTTCGAGACCAGCCTGGCCAACCTGATGAAACCCCATCTCTACTAAAAATACAAAATTAGCTGGTGCATGCCTGTAATCCTAGCTATTCAGGAGGCTGAGGCAGGAAAATTGCTTGAACCCCGGAGGCAGGGGTTGCAGTAAGCCGAGATCGAGACATTGCATACCAGCCTGGGTGACAAGAGCAAAACTCTGTCAAATAAATAAATAAATTAATTAATTAAATAAATAGAAAGAAAAAGAAAAGAAAAAGCAAACTGGTTGAAGGATTTTATATTCTAAATCAGAAAAGATGGTGGCTTGGGCCAGAATGGCAATGCCGAGATTGGTAAAATTTCATCAGATGTTGGATATATTTCAGAGACAGAACCAACAAGATTTCCTAATAAGCAGAGATAACTGCATAGATGAAGCCTGAGGAAGTGGAAGTGTAGACCAGCAATCAACTAAGGTAGCTAGAAGTTTGTGGTGGAGCAAGTGTGGGGGCAAAATGGGCTTCTGAACATTTTATATTTGACACGTTTATCAGACATAAGTGGGAGATCATCAGTAGGTAACTGTATGTGCAAGTTTTAAATTTAGAAACAAGGATTAAGCTGTAACATTGAGTTTCAGATTATTAACAATTATACCATCTATCACTGTGATTAAATACATGAGACCAGATGAGATAAAGAAACAGATGACATAAAATAGGAAAAAGGACACTAGACGCTCCAAAATTAAGAGTAGGATAGAGAGAGAAAGTATCAAAGGAGATTAAGAAGGAGCATACAATAAACTGATGAAGTGCTCACTTGAGCCAAGAGTCCAAATAAAATAAGGGCTTATAACTGATGGCCGCATTGGCATTGTGATATTTATGGGTGGACTTTACACAGGCAGTTTCAATGGAATGGTTATGGCATCAGCCCAATTGTCTTATAAAACTGATGTTTATGTTTTTTAAAATGAACATAGAAATATTCAAGTTTTAAAACTTGAAAAACTTGCATTTGTCTTATCTAAGTTTCTTTCTCAGGAAACCAACTATTAGCCCTCCCAGACAGTATCAAAGAACTGAAACTGACCAGATCACCACATCTGGACAATGAGACATGAGACACCCTCAGCCATCATGATTGCCTAACTGACCACCTGCTTCCTGTTGACCAACTCCTCTTCCTCACCTCTTCCTAATTCCTGTTTTCCCACACATAGTTACATTTTCCCCTTCTATATAAACCCCTAATTTTAGTTGATTGAGGAGAGGAATATGAGATGAGATTGCTCTCCCATTTCCTCAGCAGCAGCACCTAAGTAAAGCCTTCTTTTCTGGCAATACTCATTGTCTCAGTGATTGGCTTTCTGTTCTGTGAGCAATGGGCCCTAGACAGATTTCCTGACATGTGGTAACAGATTTTATTTCCCTGACTGGGAACACATTGCTCCTTGGCTTGGCTGCAATGGGCCAGAAGAGTTTCAGAAGCCTCTTAAGCAGCTGCCTGACCCTTTTTGGCTGGAAATGGATTTGGGTCTCTCTCTTTGGCACTGCTCTTTCAAATTCCAGCCATGGTCCCAATTGCTAGGAAGAACAGCCTTTAAAATTTGTCATCTGTGTCCAGACAGATGAGTGTCTTTTCTGGGTACCAAACAGTGAGATCTGATCCTTTCGATTTGGGAAATTCAGAAGGAATTTCCATTTGCATGTTGAACAAGTCCAACCAATTTAGAGAGGAAATCATCCCAACTGTTTCAGTTTTAGACATTCTTGGGGCTTGTTGGTTGTTACAGCAGTTGCGTTATGTCTTTTATCATGGTTGGCCCTTCATGTCTGTACTTCAGAACAAGATATGTACAAGTTTTGCAATGGCTTAAAGATGCATATGAAGAAAGATACCTAATCAGTTGTCAGTACTGCATCTAAAATCCGGTTTTGAAAATGTGTGATGGTATACTTTTAAGATAGCTGAAAAAAATTATTGGGTGCTTTTTCTTACTTTGTCCTTCTTTTGTTATATGGTATTTAAATACACAAGATAATTTATTTTCATACTGAATTTCCAAAATAATATAAGCATTTACCATTTTTTTGATGGAGAAAAAGGTTAAATGTCTTACTTCGATAAAGCTGGCATAGGACTTATCACGTCTTTTTATGGGTTTGGCCACAATTCTGTTACTAAGATGCTAGCAATTAGACATACACCAGGAGTAACCTAATCAGTGTAAGACGGTGGTTTGAAGGGCTGCAGGCAGTACTACTAGACACCAAATTACAGCGTTTTAATTTGTGATATGTTGAAAAGAATGATAAGATTTTCTGCAGTATGGTAAACTAAACTACTAATTTATATATGTTCTTTTTCATGTCTCTAAACATTTCATTCATTGGCTTATGTTCTTAGCATAAATGCATATAATATGCTTGATCATTTATATTGTAGATGGAAACTTATTTTATATCAAACTATTATATCTACATATTAGACATAGAATATTCCTTTATTATAATTGTATTTCCATATTGCTTTCAAAATCTTTTGATTATTACTTAGAAATGAATAATTATTAATTTACAATAACTTGTAATTCTGTTTTTAGCAAATGTTTTGAGCTTGATATACAGCCTACTAGCTAGTCTTTGACCTGTTGAATTACTGGGTCTGAAAAAGGCACTGAATCCTGTTAAATCATAAACATTGACACCAGTCAAAGCCTCATCTTCAGACCTGGGAAAACGCCACAATGAAAATAAACTGGTTTTGTAAGACACAGGACTGGAAATTAAAACTATTCAATCTCTCTAGGCCCAGGGACTACGGTGGAAGAAGAGGACATGAAAAATTTTAAGGACTGATTTTAGGATAAAATTAGTCCTGAGATTTTTAAAAGCATGCTGATACAGGGCCAGCATTTTCTTGCTCTTAAACACGAAAATGAAAAGGTTTATAAATATCTTACCATCTCAAGTGCAGAGACACACATAGGCTCAAAACAAAGGGATGGAGGAAGACCTACCAAGCAAATGGAAAACAAAAAAAGGCGGGGGTTGCAATCCTAGTCTCTGATAAAACAGACTTTAAACCAACACAGATCAAAAGAGACAAAGAAGGCCATTACATAATGGTAAAGGGATCAATTCAACAAGAAGAGCTAACTATCCTAAATATATATGCACCCAATACAGGAGCACCCAGATTCATAAAGCAAGTCCTTAGAGATCTACAAAGAGAATTAGACTCCCACACAATAATAATGGGAGACTTGAACACCCCACTGTCAACATTAGGCAGATCAATGAGACAGAAAGTTAACAAGGATATCCAGAAACTGAACTCAGCTCTGTACCAAGTGGACCTAATAGACATCTACAGAACTCTCCACCCAAAGTCAACAGAATATACGTTCTTTTCAGCACCACACCAGACCTATTCCAAAATTGACCACATAGTTTGAAGTAAAGCACTCCTCAGCAAATGTAAAAGAACAGAAATCATAACAAACTGTCTCTCAGACCACAGGGCAATCAAACTAGAACTCAGGATTAAGAAACTCACTCAAAACTGCTCAACTACGTGGAAACTGAATGACCTGCTCCTGAATGACTACTGGGTACATAACGAAATGAAGGCAGAAATAAAGATGTTCTTTGAAACCACAGAGAACAAAGACACAACATACCAGAATCTCTGGGACACATTCAAAGCAGTGCGTAGAGGGAAATTTATAGCACTAAATGCCCACAAGAGAAAGCAGGAAAGATCTAAAATTGACACCCTAACATCACAATCAAAAGAACTAGAGAAGCAAGAGCAAACACATTCAAAAGCTAGCAGAAGGCAAGAAATAACTAAGATGAGAGCAGAACTGAAGGACATAGAGACACAAAAAACCCTTCAAGAAATCAATGAATCCAGGAGCTGGTTTGTTGAAAAGATCAACAAAATTGATAGACCACTAGCAAGACTAATAAATAAGAAAAGAGAGAAGAATCAAATAGATGCACTAAAAAATGATAAAGGGGATATTAGCACCGATACCACAGAAATACAAACTACCATTAGAGAATATTATAAACACCTCTATGCAAATAAACTAGAAAATCTAGAAGAAATGGATACATTCCTCGACACATACACTCTCCCAAGACTAAACAAGGAAGAAGTTGAATCTCTGAATAGACCAATAACAGGATCTGAAATTGAGGCAATAATCAATAGCTTACCAACCAAAAAAAGTCCAGGACCAGATGGATTCACAGCAAAATTCTACCCGAGGTACAAGGAGGAGCTGGTACCATTCCTTCTGAAACTATTCCAATCAATAGAAAAAGAGGGAATCCTCCCTAACTCATTTTAGGAGGCCAGCATCATCCTGATACCAAAGCCTGGCAGAGACACAACCAAAAAAGGGAATTTTAGACCAATACCCTGATGAACATCCATGCAAAAATCCTCAATAAAATACTGGCAAACCAAATCCAGCAGCACATCAAAAAGCTTATCCACCATGATCAAGTGGGCTTCATCCCTGGGATGCAAGGCTAGTTCAACATATGCAAATCAATAAACGTAATCCACCATATAAACAGAACCAAGGACAAAAACCACACGATTATCTCAATAGATGCAGAAAAGGCCTTTGACAAAATTCAACAACCCTTCATGCTAAAAACTCTCAATAAATTAGGTATTGATGAGACATATCTCAAAATAATAGGAGCTATCTATGACAAACCCACAGCCAATATCATACTGAATGGGCAAATACTGGAAGCATTCCCTTTGAAAACTGGCACAAGACAGGGATGCCCTCTCTCACCACTCCTATTCAACATAGTGTTAGAAGTTCTGGCCAGGGCAATCAGGCAGGAGAAGGAAATAAAGGGTATTCAATTAGGAAAAGAGGAAGTCAAATTGTCCCTGTTTGCAGATGACATGATTGTATATTTAGAAAACCCCATTGTCTCAGCCCAAAATCTCCTTAAGCTGATAGGCAACTTCAGCATAGTCTCAGGATACAAAATCAATGTGCAAAAATCACATGCATTCTTATACACGAATAACAGACAAACAGAGAGCCAAATCATGAGTGAACTCCCATTCACAATTACTTCAAAGAGAATAAAATACCTAGGAATCCAAGTTACAAGGGATGTGAAGGAACTCTTCAAGGAGAACTAGAAACCACTGCTCAATGAAATAAAAGAGGATACAAACAAATGGAAGAACATTCCATGCTCATAAGTAGGAAGAATCAATATCGTGAAAATGGCCATACTGCCCAAGGTAATTTATAGATTCAATGCCATCCCCATCAAGCTACCAATGACTTTCTTCACCGAATTGGAAAAACTACTTTAAAGTTCATATGGAACCAAAAAAGAGCCTGCATTGCCAAGTCAATCCTAAGCCAAAAGAATAAAGCTGGAGGCATCACGCTACCTGACTTCAAACTATACTATAAGGCTACAGTAACCAAAACAGCATGGTACTGGTACCAAAACAGAGATATAGACCAATGGAACAGAACACAGTTCTGTTCTTACACTGGAGAAAAATCCAGTGTAAGAACTCTGTCAACTCACAGAAAGAGTGACCACAGAGCTCTTCAAAGATTGTGGGATTTCCCTCAAAAACGTATTTCTCACAGTTGTGGATGAGTAGGTCTTCCGTGATAAATGCACTCTAACCTTTCAGTCTCCCTAAGCCTTAGGATACCTTCCTCTGCAGTATATCAACGTGGCCCTAGCACTTAACTTCATTTTGTTTTAGGCCACTTTGCGGTCCATCTTAAAGTCAACGAACCAAACTATTTGAGCCCTTTCTAACTTCTTGAGCTAAAGCATGAAATCCAAAGTCTCTGCTTAGTGGGCCCATATCAGTAAATTCAACCTGATCCAATGTATGTTTCTTCCACCATGTTCACACATTGTTAAAGTGAACCCCAAATATCTGAGATAGGTCTCAGTCAATTTAGGAAGCTTATTTTACCAAAGTTAAGGATGTACACCTATGACACAGTTTCAGGAAGTCCATTTGCCAATGTGGTCAGGACACAGCTTGGTTTTACACATTGTATGAAGATATGAGACATCAATCAATATATGTAAGATGTACATTAGCTCTGTTCGGAAAGGCAAGACAACTCAAAGCCAGGAGGGGGCTTCCAGGTCATAAATAGAGAGGAACAAGCAGCTGCATTCTTTTGAGTTTCTGAATAGTCTTTCCAAAGGAGGCAATCAGATATGCGTTTGTCTCAGTAAGCAGAGGGATGATTTTGAGTTCTGTCTGTCCTTTGTCCATGAGGAAATTCCTTGTGAGAAAGGCATGTAGTTGTGTGTGTGTGTGTGTGTGTGTGTGTGTGTGTGTGTGTGTTTGTCTTAGTAGTTCCCCTTTTCAGGAAAAGAATGAGAGGCAGGTTTGCCCTAAGCAGTTCCCAGCTTGACTTTTCCCTTTGGCTTAGTGATTTTGGGGTTCCAAGATTTATTTCTCTTTCACATTAAGATCCATCCTCGAACATGTTATGATTTTATATAAACTGAAAAAAATATGCTGTTCTTTTGGCATGCACCTCCATAAAGGTCACACTTATATATCACCCTTTGGGGTCTGCTGAAACTTGGGTCTCCTTATTGGTCAGAAGCCAAGAGAGGTGGCGAAAGTAACTACCTCAATGGAGACCATTACAGTTTCTTTAGACAAAGCAGGGCTAATCAACTTATTCAGGGTAGAAGGTCAACTTCTACTGACAATAAAAAGTTGGCAGAATTTAATTTTTTAATGTCTCCAGCTTCACTGTGATATGCCCAAGTGCCCCCATTGCTGTTTGCAGGACCTATTACTTCCCAATTGATGTCTTCATTTTACAGGAGAAACCCTGCTGCATGCTTGGGGATTCAATTGACATTGTAAATCAGCTATTTTCAGGATGTGACTCTAGGTTTGATTTTCAGAAATTTCAGTCACTTAACCATAGAGAGATAAAGGTATCTATCTATGTGGGCAGACACAGATCTTTTCATGTCATTGAAACGCTAGCTTATTCTTTTTTTTTTTCCCTCACTTTCACCAGTGCAGTTAGGATTGAAAAACATGAATCTCATTATATTTCTTATTTTGAACAAAATGTTCTAAGGTATCACATGCGTGGTACACAAAACCTTGTCTTCTATAGGTATTTGGTTTGGAGTATTTAATAGCAATATTTTGCCTATTTCTATTTTCACATTATGGCATGGACTACTATGCCCTCTTTTTCATAGAAATTGGAATCATTACTACCTTTAGATCTAAATCTTATTAGACAGCCAACTCTAGGAAACCCAGAACCAATTCAGAAAAAAATCATCTTTAAGATTCTGTTTCTCTAGGACAAGTAATCAGTACCAAAATTCGTGTTAACCAGGGTCCAAATCAGGAAACAAAACTGATAGGAGATATATATTAATAGATCAATTGCAAAGAATTGGCTTACGCCATTAGGAATTCTGGCAAGGCCAGTACTAAATCCTTAGGGTAGTTATCCTGAAGGGTAAGCTGAACCTCCAGACATGAGCCAAAGCTGTTATCCACAGATGGGATCTCTTCAGGGAAGTTCAATTCTGCTTTTAAATCCTTCTACCTGACTAAACCTGGCATACCCCATATTATTTACATTAATCTCCCTTACTTGAAGTAAATTGATAATGAACTTAAATTACATCTGCAAAATAATTTTACATTTTCTAGATAAGTGTTAATGAGTAATTATAAACTATAGCCTAGCCAAGTTAGGATATAAAGCTTACCATCACTGAATATTTGTCAAAAACCAGTTGACCTTGCATATCCTCAAGTTCTCTAATTTTTTTCTTCTACAAAATTACTTTTTCTATTTGTGTGTGATTGCGTTTTTGTAGAAATTGTAAAATCAATCTTTCTTTATTTTCAAAAACAAAACAAAAACATCCCATTTAGATTCTGCTTGGGATTGCATTGAAAATATAGATTAATTTGGAAAAAATTGGCATTTTTAACAATACTGAACCATTTGGTCACCAAACATGGCAAATTTCTCAATTAATTCAGGTCTTTAACATTTTTAAGCAATATTTTAAATTTTGATTTTATAGGTTTCACACATATTTTGCTAAATTTACTTCCAAGTATTTTTTGGTTTCTTGATCTAATTTTATAGTCATTGATTTTTTTTAATTTTAATTTGGAAGATTTTATTTCTACTACATAAAAATGATTTATTTTTCAAAATATTAAACATATCTGAAGACATGGTAAATTCACTTAGTTAAATAGAATTTATTGTAGTTTTCTTAGGCTTTTCTACATAACTAATCATGCATGTTATTTATAAATAAAGGAATATATATATTCCAATATGTGCAAGTTTTATCTTTTATTTCATTTTCTTGCCTTTTATACTGGCTAAAACTTTCAGGATCATGTTGCAGAGAAATGGGCATCCTTGCTTGTTTTCAGTCTTAGAAGAACGATATTCAGTGTTTCACCACTAAGTATAACATTTAGTATAATATTTTTGTTAATGCTTTTTATCAAGTTGAGGACTCTAGCTTTTATTCTATAGTTGATAGATTTCATAATGAACTGGTTTTGATGTTTTCAAATGCTTTACTGCATGTGTAGAAATAATCATGCAGTTATTCTTTTATTAAGCTTCTTTATGGTTAACTACATTTGTATAATTTTCTCATGATGTAATAGTCTTCATTTAACCAAAAGCTCATCTTAGTCATAATGTATTTTTCTTCTTTGTGTACTATATCCAATTTTCTAATATTTGGTTATGGAGTTTTGCTTCTGTGTTGATAAAGAATATTAAACTGTGGTTATATGTTCGGTTCATGTTTTTGTCAGGTTTTGATATCTCAGTGATATTAGCCTCAAATAAATTAGAAAGTGTTTCCTTTTTTTTTAACTTTACATATAGCAGAATCTGTAGAATGAATTTATTTCTTGCCAAATGTTGGTAGAATACCCCAGTAAAGCCATTTGGAAAGGTCTTTTTCTAAACAATATTTAATTTGTGTGGGTGAGTATGTGATTAGGTAATCTCTCGAGATTATACATTTACATATCAATCTTGAGATTGATACATTTCATCTTTCAAAGATTTTTTTATCCTTTCATCAAAGATACAAATTTATTAGCAAATGTTCCCTTATTAGTCTTTTCATGTCTCAAGATCTGTAATGATGCCTCCTAATAATTACTAATATGATTTATGAGTTCTCTCCCACTTCTTTTGATGAGTGTTGCTAAAATTTTGGTTTTTTGTTGCTCTTTTCACAGAACTAGCTTTGAATTTCACTTGCATTTCAATCTATTACTTTTCTGGTTTTAACTTTATCTGCTATTATATCTTTATTATTTTATTTCATCTTTATACAAATACTTTTAATGATTAGGAGAAAATGTTAAAAAACTGTCATTAAACACAGATGATTTTATTAAGAGATGATATGGTTGTCTAAACCAAAGACCCAAAAGATCACACTGTTAAATTGTTCAAACGAATTAGAGCATTTAGTAAGCTTATTAGACAGAAAATTGTTATACAATCTTCAGTTGTATTTTGCAGATCAACCAAAAAAGAAAACTGCAGGTACGTAAGACAGAGTCCAACAAAAATATGTATAATAATTTTATGCAATTTAAAAGAAACGTTAAAATTCATTAAATATTTAGTATTGATGAAGAGTCATAACATTTTTATGACTAGCTGCATTAAATATTATACATAAGTCATTACTCTACTAAGTTATTCATTGATATAATACAATTTCAATCAAATTTTCAATTAAAAACTTACTGGAGTTTTTCTAAGATAGTAGAAATATGATTCTAAATGTAAATAAAAGATAAGAAGCCAAGAATAACCAATAAAATGGTAAGGAGGAATATATTTTAAAGTGAAATTCCAAAATATATATTGGGACTTATTTTTTCTACTATTCTTCCCAATTTTTAACACTTGCATTATATTCATATAGCAGAGTATATAACATTTACATGCTATTTTAGCATATATACCTTTATAATCTATTCTTAATGCTACCTTTAATTATATCCAAATTATTATCTGTCCTTATGCCACAACTTCTCCTATGATTCTTTGGTTACCCGAATCTGATTTCTCTAGTAGATTGTTTTACAGTATCAAGCTAAAATTTCTTCCCTCTTGTCTTATTTTTGTCAGTATGCCTTTATGAAGATATTTATGAAGATAATTTTCTTCATTTTTACTGCAGTATTTTGGTATTGGAAATTTATATTAGTCTGGTTTAAATCAGATAGTTTCCTAGGTGAAATTTGCAAGTGTGCCTGTGTGGCTCTATGCTTATTTGTGCAGTGTTCCCTTCTTTTCTGAGATCTATGTTCTCTGAAACCTTATTGCCATTTTTTAAATTGGATCTTACCTTCAGCTGATTTTCCTGTGTACAGTCCTCAGTCCTACTGAAAATGTTTTCTAGGGTTCTTCTGAAATCATCAGGGCTTTTGTTGTGACACTGTTGTCTTTTCCACACTTGCCCAAATTCACCAGTTGTTCTCAGATTCATTTGCTTAATATTGCATTCAGAATGAAGCCTTTCTGGCAGTAAATTTTTTGGGGGCAATTTCTGTGATCTAATGCTTAATATACCACCAGAATTCATTTATTCTCTCTTTTTCAACTCTACTTAGCTGCTAAACATCCCAGACACTTTCTGTCTCTGAAGAGAGAGATCTTGCATTAAATTTAATTAAATTACTGTACATTAAAGTTAAGTTCTTAAAAAGCATTTTCAAATTTACTATTTTTAGTGACTATTATCTCTAACATAGACACACACATACACACACACACACACACACACACACTATTCAACTCTACGACTTTCATTTGTTTTTTATTGTAGCTGGCGGGCTTATTTGTGTGATTTTATTTATTTTAGAAAATTCCATACTCGAGTGGCTTCAAGATGGTTGACAAGATGTATTTAGCGCTTACCTTCTTCAAAAAGAATATCTCAAATAGTGAGTAGTTAATTACACTTCAAATTGAGTACAAAAAAGAGAATGCTTAAATTCAGCATAAAAGTGACAGGAAAAACCTGAGGCACAGAAGGAGAGGTAAGTCAGGCAGTAATTGGCTAGTAGCCCAGAGAGGCTCCCCAGCGTGGGGAAAAGTTAAGAGAAATCCTCAGTGGCAAACATTTCCAACATTGACTCCTGCAATCCTAGTCACAGTAGGGCCTCTTGAGCCTTACTGGCACTGAGGGTAGAATAGAGAGCTGTGTGGAGTCCACAGAGTGACATTACTCCAGAGAAGGAGCTTACTCTGGGTCCCACACACCCCACCAAGACCCAAGCAGCTGCAGCTAACCAACATTTTGAGAGCCTTGCCCCCACTACCTTGCATCGTGCACTGGGGCCAAACAGCCCCTGCACCTCCACATACCTGGAAGCCGGCTGACATCAATCTATGTGTAGTGGCAAATGTCAGTGAAACTCAGCAGTATGGTAGAGTCTCCAGCACTCTTGTGCATACCATTTTTTATATCGGGGGGAGTGAGTGGGACAGTGAACAGAGGAAGCTGCCCCCTGGGACAAATGGAGCCAAAGTGTGTGCTACTGAGAGCCTGACAGATACCTACCTGGGGCTACTGCCACTGACAGCAATCCTGACCACATTAACAACAGGACAATCATGCAATTTCATACGCCTTGAGGCCAGACACTGCCTGTCTATGACTGCAGCTACCACTACTGGTGGGGGTGAGGGGAGCCAAAGTGTGCACTCGCCAGAGCCTAAGAGCTAACTGTCTGGTGCTGTTGCAACTGACAGCAGCCCCTCCACCCCCAACACACACACACACACACACACACACAAACACACACACACACACACACTCTTTCAGGACTGCTCTGCACTTGCAAATGCCCTGAGGAGAGGCTCTCCTCATCCACCACTACTGCTGCTGCTGCCACCCAAAAATGGCACTTGGAGGCTTGGTGATCTTGGTGATCACCCCACTCTACACACCATGGCCTGCACCTGTGCATACCACTGGGGAAGCCGAGGGCAGGACTACATGGCCTGGCATTATCTCTCCTCTTAGTTCTCACGCTGCTTGAAGTGCCTTGAGATCACCTTGCTCCATCCATCACTGCTGGAATCTGTGCAGAATCCTTGGAGGTCAGTAGATGGGCCTGCTCATCCTGTTACCATCATCATCACCCGCAACCACTTGCACACACCACCTAGGGAACTGGGGACTGTCCTGCCAAGCCCATTAAAGCCATCACTAATGCCAGGATGTGATGCTTGGGAGCCCAAAGTAGTCTCACTACCACTTCTGCCAATCTTCCATGCCAATGCTATGCCTACAGCTCAGGGGCTCAAGAATCCACAAATTTACCAGACCCCAAGCTGCCACTGCCAGCACTTACTCAAGCTGCCTAGGGGTTGAGGAATTCGCCCACCTTGACTCCCTAACAACAGAACCATGTATGCCACCCAGGGGAACAAGGACAAGAGTGTTCACCCTACTGCTGCCACCACTGTAGTACAAGGACTGGCCCATCTGGCATAACTATCTTCAGCGAAGCCTCACCATACCCTCTTCTAACAATCATATCTGAAGCCACTGAGAAAATTAAGCACTATTAATGCTGTTCACAGTCAAAGGAATTATACAGAGATTACACTACTGCATGCACCCAGAAGCAAAGCTAAGGTGCCCTAACCAACCAACACTAAAGATACATCTTTAGGAGAAGTATTTTGCTATGAAAGCCAATTCAGAAAATTGGAAGATGTAACTGTTATACCACATACATGAATATCAACAAAGGAACACAATACAAATGAATAATCCAGAAAATATGACACCTCCCAAGAAACACAATAATTCTCCAGCAAGATTCCCATGGGAAAAAATTATAAAATGCCTGTAATAGAATTCAAAATAATGATATTAAGCTCAGTTATGTACAATAGAACACAGATAAATGAAAGAAAGAAATCAGGAAAATAATTCAGGATATGAATCACAAATTCATTATATATATATGTATATATATGATAACTGAAACTAAAGAATTCAATAAATGATATTTTAAAAATGCAACCAAGAATTTTAATAGTAGACTAAATCTAGCAGAAGAAGGTATCAGAATGTGAAGACATCTTTTACAATAACCCAGACAGGTTTTTAAAAAGCATAAACAACAAAATGAATGCAAAAAGCCTATATGACAAATGGGCCACAATAAGCCAACAAAATATTACATGTTTGAGAAAGTGAAGAGTAGATCAAAGGTATGGAGAACCTATTTTCTCAACTAATAACTAAAAACTTCCAAAGTCCAGCAAGAAATTTAGACATTAAAATACAGGGGGCTCAAACGTTTTCAAGTAGATACACCCCAGAAAATTCTTCTCTGAAGCAAATTATAGTCAACATGTTAAAAGTCAAAGAGATAATTTTATAAAAAGTGAGAGAAATCATCTTGTTACATATAAGTCAACTTTGACAGACTTCCAGGAGATTTATCAGCAGAAAACTTAGGGTGAGGAGAGAATTAGACAAAAATTCCAAGCACTAAAAGGAAAAAAAAATAAAAAAAATACTGTCAGCTAAGAATACTATGCCCAGCAGAGTTATCCTTTGTTACTGAAGGAGAAATAAATTCCCAGATGAGCAAATGTTGAAGAATTAATAACCACTAGACTGGATCTACAAGAAATTCTTAAGGACTACTACACCTGAAAGCAAAAGAATGATATATATCATTATAAAAACACACAAAACTATACAACTCACTGGTAGAGCAAACACACAAATGAGGAAGACAAAGTATTCAAATGTTATCACTCCAAAAACCCCACCAAACATCAATGATTAACAATACAAAAGAAAAAGAAAATATTCAAGTAAACAACAATATGACAGGAACAAAATCTTACATATTAATAATAATTTTGAATATAAAATGATTAAGGTATCCTCTTAGAAGAGAGATGGGCTGAATGGATAAAGAAACAACATTTTCCCATATGCTGCCAACAAGAAACACACTGCACATCTAAAAATGCATATAGGCTCAAAGCAAAGAAAAGGAAAAAAGATATCCCATGCAAAAAAAAAGTCACACTGGGTAGCTATACTTGTATCCGATGAAACAGGTTTTAAGTCAAAATGGTTAAAATAAGAAGATAAAGAATGTCACTATAAAATGATAAAGGAATCACCTCACAAAGGAAAATAACAATTTAAAACATATATGTACTCAACACTAAAGCACTCACACATATAAACAAACATTACTAGACATAAAGAAAGAAATAGCAATACCATAACAGTAGGGGATTTAAACACCTCATTCCTAATACTAGACAGATTATCGAGGCAGAAAATCAACAAAGAAATGACACAAACAAATGGAAAGACATCTTACAGTCATGTATTATAATTACTATTTTTAAAATGGGCTTGTTGCCTAAGGCAGTCTACACATTCAAAGCAATTCCTATCAAAACACTGGAAATAAATTGGAATTTAGACAAAATTGAACTAACAGTCATTTTTAGAACATTCTCTTCTATAATCACAGAACATATAGATGAAAATTTAAAAAATGAAACAAATAAAAATGGAAATACAACATATCAACACCTATAGCTTACAGCAAAAGCAATACTAAGAGGGAAGTTTATGGCAGTAAATGACCATATCAAAAAGTAGAAATATTTCAAGCAAACACTAATGATGCATCTCAAGGAGCTAGAAAAGCAAGAGTAAACAAAACAAAATTATTAGATGTAAAAAATAATAAAGATCACAAGCTAATATCTCAGCAATTTGGGAGGCCGAGGCAGAAGGATCACTTGAGCTCAGGAGTGTGAGATCAGCCTGGGCAACACAGTGAGACCTTATTGCTACAAATAATAAACAACAATAACAATAAAAATAGCTGGGCTTGGTGGTGCACACCTGTAGTCTCAGCTACTTGTGAGGTTGAGGTAGGAGGATTGCTTGAGTTTGGGAAGTCAAGGCTGTAGTGAGCTAAGATTTCACTGCACTTCAGCCTGGGTGGCAGAGTGAGATTCTGTTCCAGAAAACAACAACAATAATAATAAAGATCAGATCTGTATTAGTCAGGGTTCTATATGGGAACAGGAGTAATAGAATAGATATATACATGAAAGGGAATTTATTACAGAGTGTTGACTCACACGATCACAAGGTGAAGTATCACAATAGGCCATCTGCAAGCTGAGGAGCAAGGAATCCAGTCTGAGTCCCAAAATCTCAAAAGTAGGGAAGCCAACAGAGCAGTCTTCAGTTTGTGGCCAAAGTCACAAGAGCTCCTGGCAAAACACTCAAGTAAGACCAAGAATCCAAAAGCTGAAGAACTTGGAGTCCGATGTTCGAGGGCAAGTAGTATCCATCAAGGGACAAAGATGAAGGCTGGAAGACTCTGCAAGTCTGTTCCTTCCAACTTCTTTGCCTGCTTCTTTTTGACCATGCTGACGGATGAGTAGATGGTACCCACCCAGATTGAGAGTGGGTCTTCCTCTCCCAGTTTACTGACTCAAATGTTAAATCTCCTTTGGCAACACCCTCGTAGACACAGCCAGGAAGAACACTTTTCATCCTTCAATCCAATCAAGTTGATACTCAATATTTATCACCACAAGTCCACTTTTATCAATTTGAACCCATACACATCTCCTGAAATCATACATAATATTGAAATAAAGACAATAGTTATGCCATAATTATGCCTAACATAATACGGCTATCCTCCGTACAACTGGAAGAACATTAATCCTTAACCTAAATGTTATTATGTAAAATTAACAACAGTTAAAACTTGGTATGTCAATAAATCTTATGTCACATGATTTTTAAAAAAGGAAGGAAATACAATGGATATATTTTATTAGTATAAGTGTGTACATACACAAACATGTTCTTAATAAAATAAGGAGAAAATACTTATGACAATTACAGTAGTCATTTCTGCAACTGGTCATATGGTAGTAGCTGGTATCGATGACTACCTTCTTCTACTACCCATTCTGTATTCCCTTTGTCTTCAGCGAGCACCTCAGCAGGTTATGGTTTTTTAACTGGTGGAGTGACCCAAAACTTCATTCCTGAAGGATCTGAGCCATTTTAATCCTGCCTAGATTGAATTGTTGTAGATTCCCATTGACCTTAATCACAGGGCATGGTAATAGTAAGAGATGCCCTAAGGGATCTCCTGATTTCTTGCATACTATTTCTTACCTCCATGTGGAGTAGTAGACTGATTTCATCTTGATAGTCTGGGTAAGTCACCCTAAACAACACTGTAACTCCCTTCTTAGCCTGTTGGCTTAGAGTAGGAGGAACCTAAAGTGGCCAGGTGGAAATCTTAATTTCCAGTTTAATGGGATTACTGTTGTGTCTCCTAGGGGCAGCATTCCTCCATCCAGAGCTAAGACCTCTAGGCCAGCAGAACGTAATGTTGCGTGAACAGGAAGCAAAAATTTTGCTAGTGATCACTAAGGGTGACGGTGAGTGGTGCCACTTACACTTCCACCCCTTGATTCCTAGACCTATGAATCCTGGCTATGGGAGAAACAGTATCATATATTGGACACTGATTCAGAGCATACATGGCCTTTGGGAGAACTCTGCGCCAGCCCTGCAAAGTCTTGTCACCTAGTTGGCATTGTAATTGTGACTTCAAAAGTCCATTTAACTGTCCTATCAATCCAGCTGCTTCAGGATGATAGGGAACATTGGAAGACCAGTGAATTCCATTAGCATGACCCCACTGCCACACTTCTTTAGCCACAAAGTGAGTGGCTTGGTAAGAGGCAATGCTGTTTGAAATACCATGACAGTGGATAAAGCATTCCATGAGTCCACAGATGGAAGTCTTCGAAGAAGCACTGCATGCAGGATAGGCAAACCCATTTCTAGAGTAAGTGTCTATTCCAGTGAAGACAAACCTCTGCCCTTTCCATGATTAAAGAGGTCCAATACAATCAATCTGCCACCAGGTAGCTGGCTGATGTCCCTGAGGAATGGTGCCATATCGAGGGCTCAGTGTTGGTCTCTGCTGCTGGCAAATTGGGCACTCAGCAGTGGCTGTAGCCAGATCAGCCTTGGTAAGTAAAAGTCCATGTTGCTGAGCCCATGTGTAACCTCCATCTCTGCCACCATAGCCACTATATTCATGGTCGATTGGGTGATGACAGTGGTGGCTGAAGAAAGACGCTGAGTGGTGTCCACTTGATTATTAAATCCTCTTAGTAAAATCCTCTTCTGCTGAGGTTACCCTTTGGTGAACACTCACATGGGATACAAATATCTTCACAGTTTTTGACCACTCAGAGATGTCCATCCACATACCTGTATCCCAATTTCTTTGTCACCAATTTTCCAATTATTCTTCTTCAAAGTCCCTGGCCATCCAGCCAAACCATTGGCTACAGCCCATGAATCAGTATATAATCGCACATCTGGCCATTTCTCGTTACATGTAAAGTGCACAACCAGGTGAACTGCTTGAACTTCTGCCCACTGGGAATATTTCTCTTCACCGTTGTCCTTCAGGGATGTCCTAGAAAGGGGTTGTAGTGCTGC
The DNA here is from genome assembly GCF_000001405.40 of Homo sapiens. NCBI lineage: Eukaryota > Metazoa > Chordata > Mammalia > Primates > Hominidae > Homo > Homo sapiens. Next base: position 61,122,019 of record NC_000012.12, on the reverse strand, counting down.
AGCTGTGTACTTTTGGGCGGTGCCTGCATATTGTGCAGAACCATCTGTGAACGAGGCCCTAGTCTTCTCTTCCTCTGTCAAATGATCATAGGGAGCTCCCCATGAGGCCATCAATGCAGGTTGGGGGAGAGAAGGCAGAGAGGCAGGAGTGGAGACCATGGACATTTGATCCACTTCCTCATGTAACTTATATGTATCTTCAGGACCTGCTGGAGCCTGATCATGTAATAGCACTTCCATTTGATGATGGAATGTTGCTGTGCACAGCCCACTTCTGGCACCAAAATCTGTATTAGTCAGGGTTTTCTAGAGGGACAGGGCTAATTGGATAGATGTATATATGAAAGGGAGTGTATTAAGGAGTATAGACTCACACAATCACAAGGTGAAGTCCCTCAGCAGGCCATCTGCAAGCTCAGGAGCAGGAAAGCCAGTCTAAGTCCCCAAACCTCAAAAGTAGGGAAGCTGACAGTGCAGTCCTCAGCCTGTGGCAGAAGACCCAAAAGTCCCTGGCAAACCACTCATATAAGTTCAAGAGTCCAAAAGCTGAAAGAACTTGGAGTCCTATGTTCGAGGGGAGGAAGCATTCAGCATGTGACAAAGATGAAGGCCAGAAGACTCAGCAAGTGTGGTCATTCCAACTTCTTTTGCCTGCTTTTTTTTCTAGCCATGCCGGCAGCCGATTAGATGATGCCCACCAAGATTGAGGGTGGATCTGCCTCTCCCAGTCCAGTGGCTCAAATATTCATCTCCTCAAAGACACACCAGGAACAATTCTTTTCATCCTTCAGTTCAATCAAGGTGACACTCAATATTAACCATCACAAGGGCAAAACTAAATAAAACAAAGACTAAACATACAAAGGATCAATAAAAGAAAGAGTTGTTTTTTCTAAAAGACAAACAAAATTGATAAGCCACAGCTAGACTAACCAAGAAAAAAAGAAGACCCAAATAAAGAAAGCTAGAAACAAAGAAGATATTACAAATCATACAAAAGAAATACAAAAGCTCATCAGAGAATATTATGAAAAAACTCTCCACTAACCAACTGGAAAACCTAGAGAAAATGGGTAAATTTCTAGACACATACAATGTCCTAAGGATGAATCACTAGGCAATAGAAAACCTGAGCACACCAGTGGCCAGTAATATAATGGAAGCAATAATAAAAGGTCGTTCAACAAGGAAAAGTCTGTTACAGAATAACTTCAACTATAAGGAAGAACAAACACAAATTCTTCTCAAACTATTTCAAAAACTTGAAGAGGAGGAAATTCTCCCTAACTCATTCTATGAGGCTAGCGTCACCCTGATACCAAAAGCTGACAAGAATACACCAAAAAGGAAAACTACAATCCAAAAATTGTCATGAATATAGACACAAAAATCCTCAACAAAATACTAGCAATCTGAATACAACAGAACATCAAAAAGGTAATATACCATGATCAAGTGGAACTTATCCCATAGATATAAGGATAATTCAACTCAACACACACACAAATCAATTAATGTGATACATCACATCAACAGAATAAAAAAACATATAACCATCTCAATAGATGCAGAAAAAAAATGATAAAATGCAACATCCCTTCATGATTAAAAAGTCTCAGTGAAGTAGGCATGGAAGGAAAATACCCCAACATAGTAATGGCCATATATCCATATATTAAAAACCCACAGCTAACATTATACTGAATAGGGAAAAACAGAAAGCTTTTCCTCTAAGAACTGGAACAAGATAAAGATGCTCACTTTCACTACTCCTATTCACGATGTTATTGGAAGTCCCAGCCAGAACAATCAGGCAAGAGGAAGGAGTAAAATGTATCTAGATTGGAAAAGAGGAAGTCAGGTTTCCTCTCTTTTCAGATGATATAATCTTATATTTAGGAAAACCTAAATAAATAAATAAATGCCCCCTTAGTTATGATAAGCAAAGTTAATGAAGTTGCAGAATACAAAATCAATATACAATAATCAGTAGCATTTCTATACACCAAAAATAAACTAGGTGAAAGATAAATCAAGAAAGAATCCAATTTAAAACAGAAACAAAAATAATAAAATACTTAGTAATAAATATAACCAAGAAGGTGAAAGAACTCTATAAGAAAAACTGCAAAACATTGATGAAAGAAATTGAAGGAGATACAAACAAGTGGAAAGATATCTGGATCAAAAGAATTAATATCGTTAAAATGGTCTTACTTCTGCCCGGGTGCAGTGGCTCACACCTGTAATCCCAGCACTTTGGGAGACCGAAGTGGGCGGATCACAAGGTCAGGAGATTGAGACCATCCTGGCTAACACCGTGAAACCCCGTCTCTACTAAAAATACAAAAAATTAGCCAGGCATGGTGGTGGGCACCTGTAGTCCCAGCTACTCAGGAGGCTGAGGCAGGAGAAAGGTGTGAACCCGGGAGGTGGAGCTTTCAGTGAGCCAAGATGGCACCACTGCACTGCAGCCTGGGTGACAGAGTGAGACTCCATCTCAAAAAATAAAACTAAAATAAAATGGTCTTACTTCCAAAAGCAGTCTACAGATTTAATGCAATTCGTATCAGAAATAAAAATATTTTTCTATTTCATAGAAATGAAAGAAACAATCCTAAAATTTGTAGGGCAACAAAAAAGAGCCTGGATATCCCAAACAATGCTGAGTGTGAAGAAAAAAGCTGGAGAAAACTGCATGGTATTGGTATGAAAAAAAAAAAAAAAAAAAAAAAAAAAAAAAAAAAAAAAAACCTTTGATGAATGGAACAGAATAGAGAACCCAGAAATAAATTTACATATTTTCAGTCAACTGATTTTTGATAGAGGTTCCAAGAACATACATTAAGGAAAGGACACCCTCTTTAAAAAAAATGATGCTGGGAAAACTAGATGTCCATATGCAGAAGAATAAAAATAGATTTCTATCTCTCACCATCCACAAAAAATAACTCCAAATGGATTGAAGACTTACATGTAAGACCCAAAACTATAAAACTACTAGAAGTAAACCAGGAAAACAGTGCAGGACATTGATCTAGGCAATGATTTTTTGCCTAAGACCTCAAAAGCACAGGCAACAACAAAAATATTAAACAACCGAGACTTTACTAAACTAAAAATCTTTTGCAGAGCAAAGGAAGTAATCAATAGAGTTAAGTGACAATGTGTTCAATGGCGGAAATATTTGCAAACCATGCATCTGACAAGGGACTAATATCCACAGTGTAAAAGGAACACAAACAACTCAACAGCAGAAAAACAAATAATCACATTAAAAAGTGAGCTAAGTTTCTGAACAGAAATTCATCAAAAGAAGACATACACATGGCCAACAAGTGTATGAAAAAATGTTCAACTTCACTAATCATCAGGGAAATCCAAATCAAAACCACAATGAGATATTATCTTATCCCAGTTAGAATGGTTACTAATATCAAAAAGACATAAAATAATAGATCATGGCAAGGATGTTGAGAAAATGGAACTTTTATATACTATTGGTGGGAATGTAAATCAGTATAGCTTTATGTAAAATGGTGTAAAATTTATCTTAAAAACTAAAAAATTTCCATGTTATCCAGCAATCCCAGTAACTGGCTATTTAGCCAAAGAAAATGAAATCAATATTTTACAAGGGTATCTGCATCCTGATATTTATTGCAGCATGATTCACAATAGCAAAGATATGGAATCAACCTAAATGTTCATTAATGGCTGCATGGATAAAGAAAATATGGTCTATACACATAGTGGAATACTATTTGACCATAATAAATAATAAAATCTTGTCAATTGCAGCAACATGAGTGAAACTGGAGGTCATTATATTAAATGAAATAATCCAGGCACAGCAAGAAAAATATTCCATGTTCTCACTCAGATGTGGTAGCTAAAAAATGTTAATCCCATGGAGATACAGTGTAAAATAATAGTCAACAGAGGCTGGGAAGGGTGTATTTTGGGGTAAGAATGGGCAAAGGCAGAGTATAAACATAGAGTAATACAGAAAAAAATATGTTCTAATGTCCAATAGCAGCACAGAGTGACTATAATTACCATCAAAGTATTATATATTTCAAAATAGCTAGATGAGAGGACTTGAAATGCTCCAAAAACACAGAAATGATAAATGCCCCAGGTGATGGATATCCTAAATAGCCTGAACTTAACCATTGCACATTCTCTGCATGTAAGAAAATATCACATGTGCCCCATAAATATATACAAATACTATACACCAATAAAAGTTGAAAAATAGAGTGGGGCGCAGGGCTCACACCTGTAATCCCAGCACTTTGGGAGGCCGAGGCAGGTGGATCACCTGAGGTCGGGAGTTGAAGAGCAGCCTGATCAACATGGAGAAACCCTGTCTCTACTAAAAATGCAAAATCAGCTGGGCATGGTGGCGCATGCCTGTAATCCCAGCTACTCGGGAGGCTGAGGAGGAGAATCACTTGAACCCAGAGGCAGAGGTTTTGGTGAGCTGAGATTGTGCCATTGCACTCCAGCCTGGGAAACAAGAGCAAAATTTCATCTCAAAAAAAAAAAAACAGTTGAAAAATAAAATAAAAAGTATTCCATGCTCAATTATTTTGTATTTTGTATATTTTTAATAGAATGTTTAAAGTTGATAAAGATCTACATCTAAAGATATTTGTTATATTAGATTGCGAGTTTGTATTTGGCTTATATAACCAATATCCCAATGTTTCTTTCCCCTAAAAGGCTTTGCATTTGTGCCTGTTCTGTGATAGGGACACAGCATCCTGAGAACAGCTTAAACTCTTTCCAGCATTTAGCAAGCATTTTCCATAATTATTCCTACCTTTTGGAAATGCTTATAAATCACTGTTTCTAAATTTTTATTTTCAGATACTTTTAATGTGGGATTGATTTGGATAATTTCCTTCACATGCTTAGACCTCCACAATAAATTACAATTTCTGCTACATTTTCGTTCCATTTCTCTTTTATGTAAGGCTCATAAGTCTGTCTAGTATGCTATGCCATTCTGTAATTGCTCTTTAACTTTTTTTTCTTTTAATTAAGATGGCATCTCACTGTGTGTCCCAGGCTGATGGTCTCTAACTCCTGGCCTCAAGTGATCTTCCACCTTGGCCTCCCAGTGTTTTAGGATTACATACAGGCATGAACCACCCTACTCAGCCTAACTTTTTGTTTCTCTTAGTAGATTGTTTAACATGTGGTTTATTTGTATTTGAGTGAAGAAATGAGAAAATTTGTGTCACATGATTTGTCACATCAATACAGGTAACAAAATCTAGGTTTATTTAGTCTTTTACCTGAAGCACTGGATGAGATTAAGTAAATTTTACAGAACTTGGTGTATTAGTTGATTCTCTTATTGCTATAAGGACATAGCAATAAGAGACCATAAGGACTGGGTAATTTGTAAAGGAAAGAGGTGTAATTGACTCACAGTTTTGCAGGGCTGGGGAGATCTAGGAAAACTTAAAGTCATGGCAGAAGGGGAAACAAACATCTCCTTCTTCACATGGCAGCAGGAAGGAGAAGAATGAGACGAATGAGAACTGAGTGAAGGGAGAAGACCCTTATAAACCCATCAGATTTAATGAGAACTTACTATCATGAGAATAGCATGGGGACAACCACCCCCATGATTCAATTACCTCCACTAGGTCCCTCCCATGACACATGGGGATTATGGAAACTACAATTCAAGATGAGATTTGGGTGGGGACACAGCCAAACCATATCATTCTTCCCTGGCCCTTCCCAAATCTCATGTCTTTTTCACATTTCAAAACACAATCATGCCTTTCCAACGGTCCCCCAAAGTCTCAACTCATTCCACCATTAACCAAGAAGTCTAAGTCCAACGTCTCATCTGAGACAAGGCAAGTTCCTTTTGCCTATGAGCCTGCAAAATCCAAAGCAAGTTAGTTACTTCCTAGATACAACGAGTTTACAGGCATTGGGCAAATGCAACTACTTCAAATGGGAGAAATTAGTCAAAACATAAGGGGCACAAGCTGCAGACAAGTCCAAAATTCAATAGGGCAGTCATTACATCTTAAAGTTCCAAAATGATCTCCTCTGACTTCATGTCTCACATCCAGGTCACACTGATGAAAGAGATGGGCTCCCACAGCCTTGAGCATGTGGCTTTTCATGGTACAATCTCTCTGTCAGCTGCTTTCATGGGCTGGTGTTGAGTGTCTGTGGCTTTTCCAGGTACAGGGTACAAGCTGTCAGTTGATCTCATTCTAGGGTCTGAAGAACAGTAGCCCTCTTTTCACAGCTCTACTAGGCAGTGCCATGCCCCAGTGGGACTCTGTGTGGGGACTCCATCCCCAAATTTCCCTTCCACACTGTTCTAGTAGAGGTTCTCCATGAGGGGTCTGCCCCAGCAGCAAACTTCTGACTGGACATCCAGGTATTTCCATACATCCTCTAAAATCTACGTGTAGGTTCTCAAACCTCAATTCTTGTCTTCTGCATACCCACAGGACCAACACCACATGGAAGCTGCCAAAGCCTGGGGCTTTCATGAACCTCTGAAGCAATGGCCTGAGCTGTATCTTGGCTTCTTTTAGCCACAGCTGGAGCTGAAGCAGCTGGGACTCAGGGCACCATGTCTGGGGGCTGCACAAAGCAGGTGGGCCCTGAGCCTGGTCCATGAAAACATTATTTCTTTCTAGGCCTCCAGACCTGTGATGGGAGGAACTATTGGTAAGGTCTCCGGGATTCCTTAGAGACATTTTCTTCATTCTCTCGGTAATTAACATTCAGGTCCTTGTAACTTACGCAAATTTCTGCAGCTAGTTTGAATTTCTCATCAGAAAATTTGTTTTTCTTTCTATCACACTGTCAGGTCGCAAATTGTCCACACTTTTATGCCCTGCTTCCTCTTGAATGCTTTGCCACTTAGAAATTTCTTCTTCCAGATACCCTAAATCATCTCTCTCTGGTTCAAAGTTCCACAGATCTCTAGGGCAGGGGAAAAATGCAGCCAGCCTCTTTGCATAGCAAACTGACCTTTACTCCAGTTTTCAACAAGTTCCTCATCTCCATCTGAGACCATCTCATCCTGAACTTCATTGTTTATATCACTATCGGCATTTTGGTCAAAGCCATTCAACAAGTCTCTAGAAAGTTCCAAACTTGCCCACATTTTCCTGTTTTCTTCTGAGCACTCCAAACTGTTCCAATGTCTACCTGTTAACCAGTTCCAAAGTCACTTCCACATTTTGGGGTATCTTTTCAGCAGCACCTCACTCTACTGGTACCAATTTATTGTATTAGTCTGTTCTCCCATTGCTATAAGGATATGCTGAGACTGGGTAATTTATAAAGAAAAGAGGTTTAATTGACTTAAAGTGTAGCACAGCTGGGAAGGCCTCAGGAAACTTACAATCATGGTAGAAGAGGAAGCAAACATGTCCTTTTTCACATGGTGAAGGACAGATAATGAGAACCGAGAAAAGCAAGAAGCCCTTATAAAACCATTAGTGCTCATGCAAACTTACCCAGTATCATGAGAATAATATGACAGAAACTGCCCCGATGATTCAATTAACTCCCACTAAGTCTCTCCGATGACACATGGGGATTATGAGAACTACAATTTGAGATGATATTTGGGTGGGGACAGCCAAACTATATCACTTAGGTTCTCTAACTTTTGTTTTTTACGTAAATTGTGAAAGAATACCTCTTTTAAAAAACGCTTTTTATTATTTGTCATATATTGCTCTAGATTGAAATCCATTCTGATCAATTTCAATTTTCCTTATCTTTAATACATTTAAAAATTAATTGACTTAATTTATAGATTAAAGTTTACAGAAACGTTGGACAGAAAGTACAGAAAACTCCTATTTACTCTCTCCTCTCCACCCTCAATTTTCTCCTATTACTAACATTTTTATTTAGTGTGTTGTTGTTGTTAATTAATGACTATAAATGTGTTTATTATTAACTTAAGGCCATGGTTTGAGTTTACTCTATGTGTTGTACATTCTGTGGATTTCGACAAATACATAATGAAATGTATCTACCATTAAAATATGAAACAGACAATTTCACTGCCATAACAATTTTCTGTGTTGTGCCAATTAATCCCTCCATCATGTCTAAACTTTGGCAGTCACTGACCTTTTTGTTGTCTCTCTAGTTTTGCTTTGTTCAGAATATGACACAGTTGGAGTCATACAGTATGTCACGTTTTTAGATTGGTATTTTTTTCTCTTAGCAATATGCATATATTGCTAAATTTCTCCATGTCATTTTGGGATTAATTGTTCATTTATTTTTATCGTTGAATAATGTTCCATTACTTTCTGTATATACCACAGTTTATCCTTTCACCTATTGAAGGACATCTGAGTTGCTAAAAGTTTTTGCAATTATAAATAAAGACGTCATAAACATTTAAGTTCCGGTTTTTATAAGGATATATACTCCTTGGTACATTGGTAAATACCAAGGAGTATGATTAGTGGATTATATGGTATAATTATATTTAGCTGTGTAAGAAGTTGCCAAGCTGTCTTCCGAAGTGGCTATGATGATGGCTGTTGTGAGACCTTGGTTTTTGTCTTCTTAGTTTATTATAATTTAAAAAAAAGACACACAGCAAAAGAGATACAGCGTAGAGTAACTTTTGCAAAAGAAAAAAAGTATTCTGATAGTTAAGTATAGAATAGACAGTACACCCTGAGAGAGATTTCAGGGAATGCTGCACGTAAGGATGAGACATCAAAGACTGGCACCATGGAGACTCCATTATGGAAGTCTTACATGATTATTCATAAGGGGATGAGGAGAGGTGTTACTAGTAAGTATGTTTCAAGTGGTCCTTTCGGTGTGTATGTGCAGTAGCTGTACATGCTTTTTCATACATTGCAAGTCTCAGGGTTGTTGTGTCCCAAGGACATGGTCACCTCCTTGACTACTAACCTGCCTCAGCGATATACCATTTTGTTTCTCCCATTTTGTTTCTCCAATAGTGATGGATGAGAGTATTTGTAACTAATAACACACCTTTACCAGCATTTCGTGTTGTTAGTCTTTTGGATTTTATCAATTCTAATAGGTGTGTAGTAGTAATGTCTCTCTGTTGCTGTACTTTGCAATTTTTAAATGACATGTGATGTTGAGCATATTTCCATATGCTTACATGCCATCTTTACATTTTCTTTCAGATCTTTAGCTCCTATTTTAATTGGGTTGTTTGTTTTCCTATTGTTGAGTGTTCAGAATTATTTATTGTATCAGATAAATGTTTTCTAAGTATTTTCTCCCAATTTGTCACCATTTTTTGTTCTTAATAGTGTCTTTTTTTTCAAAACTAAACTTAAATTTTATAAATTTCTACGTGTCAGTTTTTTTCTTTTATTTCTAATGCTTTGGATATCTGAAAATTCATTGACAAACACAAGTTAAAAAATTTGTTCCTATGTTATGTTCTAGAAGTTGTATAGTTTTGCCATTTACATTTAGATATGTGATTTAGTTTGATATAAATTCTGTAAAAGACGAAAGATCTGTGCCTAGATTATTTTTTGCATGTGTATGTCCAGCTGTTCCAGCACCATTTGTGCTGTGTATCTATATATGTATATATATCATACATAGCTACCATATTAATGTTTCTAAATTGTTTTTTGTCCCAAAAGATACAATAAACCTGTTAGCATTAGGAAAAGAGGAAGTCAAATTGTCCCTGTTTGCAGATGACATGATTGTATATCTAGAAAACCCCATCATCTCAGCACAAAATCTCCTTAAGCTGATAAGCAACTTCAGCAAAGTCTCAGGATACAAAATCAATGTGCAAAAATCACAAGCATTCTTATACACCAATAACAGAGAGCCAAATCATGAGTGAACTCCCATTCACAATTGCTTCAAAGAGAATAAAATACCTAGGAATCCAACTGACAAGGGATGTGAAGGACCTCTTCAAGGAGAACTACAAACCACTGCTCAATGAAATAGAAGAGGATACAAACAAATGGAAGAACATTCCAAGCATTAATATATATTACCAAATCAAAACAGCTTCTTATTAAAGGAACTCAAACTACAAAATAGTTTAATTTGTGAGTGAAGGTGAATTTGTTTCACCAAAAAAGTCATACGTCTTCTATACTTCAAATAATGCTTTTTAGCTAATAGTGTCTTTTTGGGGGGCTTTACCCTCAGTTAAAAATTAAGTGATATCTAACATATGAAGTTAAAATAAGTGCTTTATTGCACTGAATCTTCTTTTCTAAACCAGGTATATTACAAGGCATGCATTTTTATTGAATTATGGAGAAAATATTACTTAAAATACGAGTGTTTATTTGATTCTGCCAGGAAACAAAATCTTTTCATTCCTTTTTCTAAATTTTATTATCCCAACTAGTGGACTGAAATAATTGCTTTTATCTCCTGGGTCCAATAAAGCAATTTAGCTTTTTAATGTGTCTTGTTAGATTTGAAAACCAGTCCCTTTTCGGGACTTTTTTTTTTTTTTAGCATTAGTGGTACATTACCTGCTGAGTCATCAGCATGGAAATCAGAGGTTAATTTCCTTCCTACTAAATGAAGCAGATAATCAGCCATTGGAGAATGGCTCCTACACTGTAAATAAGTCTTGACAAGCTGAGGGATAACCCAATGCATCACTCAGTCCTGTTCATGCCATCTGTCCACAAATTAGAATGAAGTAAAGATATTAATTTGTTACATTTCAAAAGCTGTACTGACAAACCCATATGGACATTTTAAATGGCAATGGATAACTAAAACACTTTGCTAATATTCCATTGAGTCACGGGTTATAGTTTTGTGAATTTTCTTTCCAGCAACAAATATGTGGACAGTATTTTTTTTACCAGATGTACAGCTAATGACTATCAAAGCAGATGCTTCCCAAAGCTTTACACAAATAATTTTTTAAAAATCTAAGTTAGAGGTTACATCAATTTGATGGCATAAAATTTATTTATTTTACTGAAAATGAATTACTCAGTTACATAACTGGGATTGCTGTGTGCTTGACAAAGAGATTATATTTATGAAATACTGCTATCTCCTTCAAAGAAATGTGTCACAATCTAAAACTAGGAAATTGCAAAGTTTGCCTCCTCCTATGTAGGAATAACATGTCAGACAACAGAGAGGCAGAGATCCAATTAATCTTCTTGCAAAGAAGAAATCAGCAGGTAGGTTTTAGGAAAGCAAATGACAACAGTCATAACCATATAAAGGTTATCTTCTGTTTGTCTTGTATTAAAAATAAATGTATATCTGCACACATATGTATATTTGGGACAAACTGTAGGACACATTGGCAAAAGATATTTTAATGCAAGTCCTTTGAAAGGATGTCATTAATATTAAATATGTCATTATATGAAATACCTTGATAACATATTTGTACAATTAATGTGATAACTAGCAAGAAATATATTTTATTCCTTTTTTGAATACCTTTTATTCCATTTCCTATTTTTTAAAAACTTTACCGGAAACATGTCATTAAGGTACATAATAGTTTACTCTTTTCACCCTCATTCTAAATAAAAAGGAGTGCATCTAAGACTGTGTCATGTAAAGCATCTCTTGCAAAATATATTTACGTACAATAAAAGCAAATAATAATTTACATAGAAACATATTTGGAGAGAAATTCTGATGACTGATCTGGAATATAAAGTAATTCATTCCCTAGCTATCATTTTGGATGGACTTTATAAACTGTCAGCTAAACTACTTTAATGTAATTTCTTAAAACCTTTTTTTTTTTTTTTTTTTTTTTGCTTTCTTATTGACTTACTGATCAAGGGAGAACTTGCAATATGATCCACAATTTACAGACGAGACAAGTGAGGCTCAGAAAGTTTTTCTGACTTGTACATGATAACATCATTTACCTTTGAATCTGATGTCTCTTTCTTCATTGTTGTTATAAATTAAAAAATGGAACTTCTGGCACAGATCAATCTTAATAAAGCATATAGCAGGGGTCAGTTTTGCCTCTGTGATGTTAAGACATCATTGAAACACATCATGTCCAACCTGAAAACTGTTCCTAAATTGTCTTAAAATTGTCACTTGAAGTAAACACAACTGGAATTCTCAGAAATTTTTAAAATATTTTAGGGTAAAAAATATTTATTTATTTTTTAATTATTTAACAGTCACCATTATCATTTATTATTGGGTAGTGGAAGTACTGTGTCTGCTTTATGTCAACATCAGCAACATCTGTGATACAAATGGTGGTATCAATATTTAACTCTAATGCCATTAATCTAAGAATACTAGGCAAATCAAGAAAAATGTGCTCCTTTACTATCTTTATATTCTGTCATCATTTTTTTTTCAAGTTGGAGAGTATAGAGATAAAGGAATTGTCAGTACCAGGATTTGTTGATTTGGGGTCAGAGTTTAATATGTAGGTTAACCCCCAATTAGCCAGAGTCAAAATAAGAAACAGAATAAACAAGAGGATAGGGAAATTATAAGTGGACATTTAGAACTCAATTGAGGATAAAGGCAGTAAATAGACAGAGCTTAGATTTGAGATAGAAGTAAGATTGAATCTAAAAATCCAATCACTTGGTAATCCACATGGTTTAACTGTACAGGATTGAAATATATCTTTTTCATCCTTATTTGCACTAACAACAATCTAAAAAAATGGTATTAAATCAAGTTTCATCAATTCCATTTCCTAGAAACTGAGAGAGCCAAAGATCATGCAAGTTGTGACGAAGGAAGCAATTTTCTAGAATCAACAATTTTATGACTAGCTGGATCCTCTCTATAGAAATACTCCAGAAATACTGGTGTGATCATATGGCATTATTTCATACCTTCTGTTTGGTCACTGCCACATAAATGACTACTAAAATTCACATTTTGTGCTTAGTTTACCAAGATTTTGAAGCTTTTGTCTGTGTTGTATAGAATGTCTATAACATTATAGTATTTAATGAAGGTGAATGTTAATGACGCTAATATTTTCTCAGTGAAATTCACAGGACTTTTCACAGGATTAAGTAAGCCAAGGCAATTCATAACGTTTTTTTCCCCTAATGTGTTCTTGTTTTTAACTATCTGCAGAGCTTTAGGGGTAGCCAGATTTATTCCTGTAATTTTCTTCAAACTGTTCATATATCTTTCTTAAGCCATAAAAAGAACCTCCACTGAAGTTGGTTTTATGAACAAAGCCATATTCTTGTCATGCCACATTTTATTGTTAATGTATAAAACTCTAATAAAGATACATCATATTTTTTCTAGAGTTGAAGATTTGCTAGTTTTTTATTATATTTTTGTGGGGCTGTGTTTTGTCTGATTGTTTTTTAATATCATGACATCAAGGGGCTATTCAGATGGAGAAGGTGGCCTCTAGTTTGGAAGTAACAGGCAGCAGATACTATCAACACATTTTAATCAGCCCTTTAGTCTTTATCAAATATTTATATCAAAGTTTACCTACAATTGCAATATTAAACTTTTAAAAATAGAAAGAAAATGTATTTTGAAACTATCATTCCAAAGGTGATTATTAGAAAAATATGCATATGATATAATTAATAACAAAATTACATAGAGGTTTAAAAAACATAAAATATATTCATCAATAGAATAACATGATATGACTATATAAAATTTAACTTTACATATTTTTGATGATTTAAAATTTTCCATACTGCACATATATATTACATTTATAAATATAAAACATTTTATATAAAATAACAGTAACACTTTTTTATTTATAAAACCAGAATTTTACTATAAAAATTGTTTTTTAACTGTTCTGTTATTTTGAAAAAGCTTAATCAACTTAACATTTCATTGTATGTTTAAAATTGTAGTATGCTCCATAAAGATAGAGAACACTCCTAGACAACATCATTATATTATTTTTGCCAGATATTGTATTGTTCTAGTTAACATGAAGTTATCTTGTATGTTATTATTTTTTCCCTCACTAGATTAAAAACTTCTGAAGTCCAAAGACTCCATAATATGATACTTTGAATTTATTTTCCCAATGTTCCTAACACAACTGATCTGTAATCTGACATCGATCAACTGAATGGTCTTGGGTAAATAACTTAATCCCTCCAAGCATGGTTCCATTGTTCAACTAAAAAATTAGCATAATTTTAATTACAGACCTAATGTACTGACACAATTGAAAAAAAAAAACAGTAAGGATGAGGCATCATGCAGAAAAGTACAGGGTTTGGCTCATATTAAGCATTTAAATCCTTTTAGTCAATAAATCGATTACTTATCAATATATAATGCTATGGTCACCTATCTTATAAAGCATGATTCAGCAAACTATGCTTCTCAGACTAAAACTGCCTGCTCCACGTTTTAATAAATAGAGTTTTATTAGAACACATTCACATTTATTTACTATTCTCAAAGGCTCCTTTTGTAGTACAACAGCAAAGCTGAATAGTTGTGACAAAGACCTATGTCCAGCAAAGGCTAACATTTCACTATCTGGTCTTTGAAGAAAGTTTACTGAACCCTGTCTTACAGTATAAAGTCAAATACCTTAGCTTGGCTTATGTGAGCCATCATAATCTAGCTGCTATTTTATGCTCTGTCATTCCCTGTAAATATCATATGCTGTTATCATATAGAAAATTTGCTTGTCATATCCTCATGACATTCAGGACATAAGTAATTTCCATATTCCCATTGCACAAGTTTCTCTCTCATCTTGTCACCTTTCAGAGGCTTAAAGCATAGTCTTAATTGTCTGTGATATCTTTATTCACATACAGTCTGTTTTTGAGTTTTTCCTTCACTCAAATGGACTGTGATAAATGTTTATGTCTTCCATGCATTCTTGGCTCACTGTAAGCTCATTCAATCAACATGTCTAGTGAGGGTCTACAGTGTTCAGTGCTCAATAGTGAAACTAGAAAGATGAATAACAAGCATTCTACGTCCTTACAATATGTTGTAAATATTAAATAAATTAGCACAACAATCCTTAGAATACACTCTCACACATGATGAGCACTCAATAATACAATGGCAAGCACTGATTGAGCACTTCTTATTGTGCCAGACACCATTCCAAATGGTTAGTGATATGGTTTAGCTCTGTGTCCCCTCACAAGTCTCATATTGAATTGTAATCTGAATTGTAGTTCCTATGTGTTGAAGGAGGGACCTGGTGGTAGGTGATTGAATCATGGGGGTGTTTTCTCCCATGCTCTTCTCACAATAGTGAGTGAATTCTTAGGAGATCTGGTTGTTTGTTAAGTATCGGGTGCTTCTTCTACACTCTCTCTCTCCTGCTGCCATGTAACATGTGCCTTGCTTCCCCTTAGCTTTCTGCTATGATTGTAAATTTCCTGAGGCCTCACCAGCAATGTGGAACTGTGAGTCGACTAAACCTCTTTGCTTCATAAATTATGCAGTCTCAGGCAGTATCTTCATAGCAGTGTGAGAACAGACTAATATGGTAAGTTAATATATCACCATGTAGAAATGTCAATATCAAATCTATTTCAAAGATAAGTAAATTAACACACAAAGCTATTAAGCAAATTTCTCATCACATTGCTAGTGAATGACAGAGCTATGCTTTGAATTAAAGCACTGTGTTTCCAGTGTTCACATGCTGAATGACTATGCTAGAATACTTTTTGAAAAGGGTCATCTATAATTATTTTAGTATGAATAGTGTCTCCTAGCACATAGAAGAATAATAAGCATAGTTCCTGATAGGTATATTGTAGACAATCCTATCTTTTATTTACCTATATTTATTTATTCCATTGGTAGCTCAGCACTAATATATATAAGAAATTAATATATATATAAGAAATTAATATATGTAAGAAATTAATATATATAAGAAAATAATATATATTAGTGCTGAGCTATCAATGGAATAAATAAATATAGCTAAATAAAACATAAGATTGTCTACAATATGCCTATCAGGAACTATGTTTATTACCCAGTTGACAAACGTATCTGTACACCAAACCCCTGTGACATGGAGTACACCTATATAACAAACATGCACAGGTACCCCTGAGCCTAAAATAAAAGCTAAAAAATCATTTTTACTCAAATTATTTTTAATGCGGCTAGGAAGTAGGATGAATTATATGTTACAATAAGTGAAGATAAAAATAGAAAAAGTAAATACCTAAATATTGAGCCAGTGGTCCTGAAGCTGAATTATCATGAGAGACATCAGATGTGATTTCTCAGAAATATAGATTCCTAAAGTAAAATGCTGATCTATTGATTCATGTTATCTAAAAATTAGGCCCATAAATATAGTAATATATTAAAAACAAAAGCAGGCCAAATAAAACAAAACAAAACATGTTCAGAAATGGAAGTCAGAATGATGATGATTTATGTATAACTTTATCATCACTGCAATGACCAAACATTTAATATACACTAATAATCAAAACACTACATAAATCTGTTTATCCCTCTAACAAAATATGCTTCCACAAAACATGCAACTCTAGGGAGAGAGAGATGGCAAAGAAACAGTGCTAAATAAGAAGTTATGGCCTTGTATTATGGGCATCCTAGATGAAAAGCAGCCCTAGAAGACAGTAACTCCTATTGAGTAAAGTCAAAACAAGTACACCATGTATGGTGAAGTGGTAGAACTACGCTTCCTATGTGAAACTGTGGATGGGGCATCTACAAATAGGGACTGGAAAAAGCTAAGCTTGATTTTTACATATAAATAGATAAACACACTATTCACCCCTAAGTGTATGGATGTTTAATCTAACTATGTATGGAACAGTTTTATTAAGTGACTATACTTTTTTACTAACAAAGTTTCAAGAAATTCCAAGGAATCAGGAGCAGATAGTCAATTTCATGGGCCACAACACCATTAAAAAGCAAAAATAAAAATAGCCACACACACATATTTAGAATCTTAAAAACATTAAGTTAGAGGGTAAATTGAAAAAAAAAATCCCAAACTAACAGCATCAAAAGGATAATAGATCAAAACTTGTTGAATGGAGATAAAGCAGGCCTGATAACCAGAAATGTATAGAAATATCATACAAGTAAAGAAATCCAAACAAACATGTAAAAAATGGAAAGAAAAGAAGATGGAGCAAGATAGATGAATAGGACATTCCAGTGGTCATCCCCTGACAGAAACATTAACTTGAAAAACTGTTCATGCACACAATTACATTCACAAGAACTAAGGAAACTAAGTGAGAAGTAACAGTTCCAGTTTATACAAAAATAATAAAGGACATATTGAACAGTTTCAAATTACCTGCGTCACTTCTCCCCAGCCTTAGGCAGCAAAGGGCAGAGATACCTTCTGATTAAGAAAAAAAAGAAGAGAATGAGTATAAGACTTTTCCTTAGACCCTAACACCAGACATGCCAGAATAAAACTCAGCACTAAGCAGACATCCAAGGTCCCTGACTCCAGGACAGTATTCATGGACTAAGTCTCCAAGGCTTCCCCAGCACCAGGCAGAAACCCATAACCTCTGTAAGATGGACTCAATCTTCAGTCTGCATTGCCACTTGTTGACTATAATGGCCTTGACTCCAGAAAACCTTCAGCTGCAGGCAGGCCTTGGCAGCTGTGGACTTCTGCCCCAGTACTGCACCAGCCTCAGTGGAAGTGGGTGTTAGGCACACACCAGCTCTACAACTATACAAGTCTAAGTGGCCACAAAATTCCAGCCCAGTACCATGCTAGCTACAGTGTTCCCAGGCTTAGGACACACTCAAGTACCATAATGGCCACGGTGATTCCAGCTGAGGGACCACACCAGATGGCTGGAAAAGAATCTTTAGACAGGCTTAATGTTGAAAGACATTTCCAGGCAAAGCCAAGCTGCAGAGATTATAAGTAACTACTTCAAATGCACAGAAATTGATGCATGACCACATAGATCAAGAATAATCAGGGAAACATAGCATCAACAAATGAACAAAATAAAGTGCCGGTGGCTGACCCTAAAGAAATTAAAATGTAGGAACTACTTGAAAAATGATTAAAAATAACTGTTTTAATGAAGCCCAGTAATATTCCAGAAAATAAAAAGTAACAGTTTAATAAAATGAGGAAAACAATCAGAGAGAATAAAAAATTTAGTGGACAGACTGAAATAATTTAAAAAAATTAAACAGAAAACCTGGAACTGAAAAATACCATGAAAAAAATAAAAATGCCACAGAAAGTAACAACAGCAGAATTGACCAGCCAGAAGAATTTATGAATTCAAAGACAGATTATTCAAAAATATAGAGAAGACAAAATAAAAAAATAATACATAGGAATAAAGGAAACTTACAGAATTTATGGGACAGCATAAAAGAGCATTTTCTGAGTCAATAAAAGTTCAAGGAGAGAAAAATTATGAAGTAGAAAGTTTATTTTTTTAATAACAAAAAACTTTTATTAAATGGAGAGTGACAAATATTTAGGTACAGAAGGGTCAAATGTTACCAATCAGATTCAATCCAAATAATTCTGCTGCAAGACATATTATAATCAAATTGTCAAAGGTCAAATGCTAAAAGAAGATCTTAAAAGCAGTAGGAGTAAAGAAATGACATATATAAGAGAGTTCCAATACATCTAGCAGTAGACTTCTTCACAGAAACATTACAAGACTGAAGACAGTGGTATGATTCAAAGTGCTAAAACAAAAACCCTGCTAATCAGGAATACTATACCCACATAGATTTTTTTTTTTTCAGAAATGAAAAAGAATTAATGAGTTTCTCAGACAAATAAAAGCTGGGAAAGTTTTTCCCCACCAGATCTGTCTGACAAGAAATAAAGTTATTCAAGATGAAATAAAGGACACTAATCTGTAATAAAAAAATTTTGAAAGTATAAAACAGTGATATACAGTCAACTTTAAAATACTCTAATACTGTAATGATGGTAAGTCAGTTATGTCTTCAGTATGAAGATTAAAAGACAAAACAATTACAAATAGTAATAACTACAACAATTTGTTAAGGAATATGCAACATAAAAAGTTACAAATTTGGATATCAAAAATTAAAAATATATGGGGGCTGGAGTGGGGTGAAAGCATGATGATTATATATTTTGATTAATTTTAAATTGTTATATTAAAACAACCTGTTATAACTATTAGATATTTCTTCTAAGCTGCATGGTAACCACAAAGAAAAAGTCCGTAGTAAATACATAAAAAACAAAAAGTAAGGGATTAATACATGCCACTAGACAAAAAAATTACTTAGCCAAAAAGGATGATAAAAAGAGAGGAAGAAAGTAACAGCTGATATACTATACAATTAGAAAACAATTAGCAAAAATAGCAGTAGTAAGTCCTTACCTATTAGTAATAATAGATATACCTAACGTTAAATGACGAGTTAATGGGTGCAGCACACCAACATGGCACATGTATACATATGTAACAAAACTGCATGTTGCGCACATGTACCCTAAAACTTAAAGTATAATAAAAAAGTAATAATTATCTTGAAAGAAAATGAATTAAATTCTTCAATCAAAAGATAGAGTGGATAAAAGGATTTTTAAAAAAGCAAAAGAAACAAAAAAACCACAACAGCAGTAAAAAAACAAGACCCGACTGAATGCTACCTGCAGGAAACTCAGCCCCCTTCAGTTGCTTTCACATAGACTGAAAGTGAAGGAAAGGAAAAAGAGATTCCATCCAAATGGAAAGCAAGAAAGAGCAGGAGGAGCTATACTTTTATTAGATAAAATAGATTTTAAGTCAAAAATGAAAGAGTGAAATAAGGTAATTAAATAATGACAAAAGGGTCAGTGTAGCAAGAATGTAACTGTACACATATATACAACTAACACTGGAGCACCTAAATATAAAAAACAAGTATTAATAGATATGAAAGGAGTTGTAGACTGCAATGCAATAAGACTAGGGGACTCCAGCACTATACTTTCAGCCATGGACAGATCATTCAGACAGAAAATTAATAAAGAAACATTAAATTTAAACTATGCTCTAGACAAAATAAACCTAAAAGACATACACAGAATATTTCATCCAACAGTTGCAGGATATATATTTTTCTCAAGCATACAAAGAAAATTCTCCAGGATAGATAATCTGTTAAGCACAAAGCAAGTCTTAAGCAATTTAAGAGACTGAAATCACATTAAGTATCTTTTCTGACCATAATATTAAAAAGTGTAAAGCTAGAAACTAACAGGAAGAACTTCAGAAAATTAAAAAATAATGGAAATGAAACAACATGCTCCTAAACAACAAATTGGTCAATAGAGAAATTTAAAAAGAAACTAAAAGTACTTTGAGATAAATAAACATGAAAATACATCATACCCAAATTTAGGATGCACCAAAAGCAATTCTAACAGGAGGTGTATAGCAATGAATGCCTGTATCAAAAAAGAAGAAAGATAAATAAACTAATGCTGCACCTCAAGAAACTTGAAAAACAAGAGCAAACTAAACCCAAAATTAGTGGAAGAAAGGAAATAATAAAAACCAGAACAGAAACAAATGAAATAAAGACAAGAAACATAATGAAAATGATTAATAAAGTTTTTTTATAACATTGAGAAACCTTTAGCTAGAGTGAAAAAAGATTCACGTAAATAAAATTAGAAGAGGAAAAGGATATGTAGCTACTAACATCATAGAAATACAAAAGCATGAGACTATTATGAAGAACTATATGCCAATAAATTGAATAAACCAGAAGATATAGATAAATTCCTTGACACATTCTATCAAAAGTGATTTAGAAAGAGATAGAAAATCTAAGCCAACGAATAGTGAATAGGGAAACTTAATCAGTAATAAAAATTTCCCAATAAAGAAAAGCCCAAAACTGGGTGGTTTCATGGTGGAATTCTACCAACCATTTAAAGAACTAATACCAATTCTTCTTAAACTCTTCCAAAAAATTTAGGAGCAGGAATACTTCTAACCTATTTTATGAGGCCAGAATTATCCTCATAATAAAGCCAGATAGAGACTTTATAAACAAACACCAAGAACAATTAATATCCCTGATAAACATATATGAGAAACTATTAACAAAACACTGGAAAACACTGAATTCAATAGCACGTTAAAACAATCATTCACCATGATGAAGTGGAATTTATCTCAGGGATGCAAAGACACTTAACAATGTACACAGAACAGCTGAAGGACAAAAACAATGTGAAGTGTGGAAGAAACACTTGACAAAATTGAACATTGCTATATAATAAAGTGTTCAGCAAATTATATTTAAAAAGAATGTACCTCAATGCAAAACAGGGCATATATCACAAACTTACAACTAAATAACATTCAATGGGAAAAAATTTGAAAGCTTTTTTCTTAAGATTCTGAAGAAGGCAAGGATGCTCTTTCTCACCACTGTAGCCTCAGTCTCCAGGGCTCAAGCCCTCTTTTTGCCTCAGCCTCCTGATTGTCTGGGACTACAGGCATGTGCTATCATGCCTGGGTAATTCTTTTAACTTTTTGTAAAGACAGAGTCTCACCATGTTGCCTACACTGGTCTCAAACTACTGGGCTCAAGCAAACCTCTCCCACCTCAGACTTCCAAAGTGTTGGGATTACAGGTGTGAGGCCACTGTGCATGGCCTAATTTTTTTCTTTAAGCATGCTAAACATAGTCCTCCTGTCTCTTCTGGCCTGTAGGATTTCTGCTGAGAATTCCACTTTTACTCTGATTGGTTGTCCTTTATAGGTGTCTTGGCCATTTTTTTTCTAGCTGCTTTTTTGATTTTTTTCTTTAGCATTGACGTTGCACAGCCTGATGACTATATGCTTTGGTAATGTTCCTCTTGTGTAGTATGTCACAGGTGCTTTCTGAATTTCTTGTATTTGGATATTGAGCTCACTTACAAGATTAGGGAAATATTCCTGAGTTATTTCCTCAAATATGTTTTTCAGGTTGCTTAATTTTCTCCTTCTCTATGAGGAGTGCCAATAAGTTGTAGGTTTGGTTGTTTTACATAATCCCATATTTCCTGATGGTTTTGCTTTTGAAAATTATTTTTTTCTTTATTTTTGTCTGACTGGGTTATTTTGAGAGGCCAGTCTTCAAGCTCTAAAAATCTTTCTTTTGCTTGATCTAGTCTATTGTTAAATCTTTTAACTGTATTTGGAAATTCTCTAAGTGAATTTTTTTATTTCCAAAACTTCTGTTTATTTTTTCTAAAAATATATATTTATATTATTCCTTATTTCCTGGACTACTTTTTAGTTTCTTTGTGTTGATTTTCAACCATGTCTTGGATCTCATTGAGCTTTCTTGCAATAAATATTTTGAATTCTTTATCTTTCATCTGAGTTTCCATGTTGGCTAGGGTTCATTGCTAGAGAACTACTGTAACCCTTTAGTGGTGTCACAACATTCAGATTTTTCTTGGTGTCAGAATTATTATGATAATTCTTTCATATGTGGAGAGGCTGACACTAGTTTTGTCTGATGAGATTTTTTTCTTTCCCTCTATATGTTTTATTCCCTTCCCCACCAGAAGTTATGACGGTAGAATATGTTGGATGAAATTTTATAGCTTTGCTTCTATAGTTCTGTGTCTTTCCATCAGTAGGTTTCATATTGGGCTGTGCAGTTTGACCTGCAGGCAAGTATATGATACTTACTGGTAAAGGCCAGCTATGGCACAAGCAGATGCATATGTACTTGGTCTTTGTCCACTGTGAGGTGATCTCCATTATTTCAGATGACAGGTAGTACAGAGGAGTGTCTGGTGCCCTGAGCATCCTGTTCTGTGGAAGATAAGGGAATATAGCTGGGCAGAGCTGGATCCCCTAGCTTTACTAAGAATACCTCTATGATGGGCACAGGAACCAGCTCTGATGGGGTTGGCTGGGGGAGCTTGTGGTGAAATGTATGAAGGTACCTTAGGGAGATGAGGGAGTTGTACTGGTCCCATGTCTTAGGTAGGCTGAAATCCCATCTATATCCCCATCACACCCCTGTTTTGCCTGTTTTGGAGCTCATGGCTGTAGTTTAAATGCACAGTGTTGTCTCTCTGCAGGCCACAGTGTGGCCATGAGCCATGGATAATGCCTGTCTCGTGACTCCACAGGAGTGGTTTCAGGGTCGAACCTCTTCACTCAGCGTGATACTGACAGCTTTATGGCTTGCCTGCTCTCCAATTTATTGCTTCATGTGAGGGGTAGTCTCTACCTTTTGATATGTGCAGGTGTGTGTCAGTTGTGGTGGTGTCTTGCTGGTTGGGTTAGCCTGATCTCAGGCCATGAGGGAGTGTCAGGTGCCAGCAGTGTTGGTCTTGGCTAGGTCAATCCTCAGTTTCCAGGCCTTCTAGATGGCCCACTGGATGGCGTGTATGAGTCCTCTGGGTTGGGTCAGCCCAGAGTTCAGGTGCTAGCTTAAATGGAGAGGGGTGGGCTGGTCCCTGGGTCACCAAAAGAACTCTCAGGCAGATCTGGTGGAACATTCAGGCAGTAGGGCCATGGGGGAAGACGACAAGCCTGTGGTTGTTAGGCTTTCAGAAGGGCCCTAGGCTGCAGCTGAAATGTTCAGGCAGGGGCAAGTTGGCTGTGCTGCTACCCTTTCACTGGGAAGGGCAGGGTTGCCTACCTGGGGCAATCGAGACTGGCAGCTATGAAGTGCGTGACACTTGCACTTTACTTCTGCAGACGCAGTGCTGGGTTTTACTGTTAGGGGCACACAAAGGTGCTGGGCCTCTTTGTTTCCTCCCTGGCCTGGGGCCCAGCAGGGACAGAGGCAGCAGTGGCAGCGGCAGCTGCAAGGAGCTTGTCAACAACCTCTGAGAGTTGTGCTCCTCAAGAAATGTAGAACCACAGCTGCAGTTTTCCAGTGGGATGCAGTGTGGATGTGCTGGGGACTTGAAGCTGACAAGCCTCATTTGGCAGGAAGCAGAAGAGGTGAGGGGACGTGGGGCACCCGGTTCACTCACTGATTCTCTATACCTCTGCTGCAGAATCTGTGCTGGAAGTGTGGGAAAGTGCCCAGCCTCCTTATTCCAAAATGTTAAATAAACTGAATAAGTGTCTAGAAGTCTCTTTCCATGTGATTTCACAAACAAAGGAAAACATTCCAGCTCCCCCAGGTCTAGACATTTTTACAGAAACTTTTATTACATTTTTAGAAATTATTTCTATTATACAAAATAAATAGAGTTGGCTACAAAATCTAAGGAGGCATAATTACCTCAATGTGAAATCTGGATCACAACAGTACAAAAAATGAAAATTTTAGAATGAACACAGATGTCAAAATTCTATATAAAACCTAAACACATTAATTAAGTAATGTATTAAAGAAAATTTATTATGAACAAATTGGATATAATCTGAGAATTACAAATAGACATTCAAAAATCTATCATGCATTTCACCACATTAGACAGAAAGTGAACAAAGCACATTTTCATCCTAAATTATGCAGATTATTTTTGCAAAATTCAGTATTTATTTGCTATAAAAATTCACCAAACTAGGAAAAGACGAAAAACGTCTTGACCCTATAAAGTTTCTACAATCATATTTAATAGTTTTTTTTTTTTTTTTTTTTTTTTTGAGATGGAGTCTTGCTCTGTCACCCAGGCTGGAGGGCAGTGGTGCAATCTCGGCTCACCTCAAGCTCCGTCTCCCGGGTTCACGCCATTCTCCTGCCTCAGCCTCCCGAGTAGCTGGGACTACAGGCGCCCACCACCACGCCCAGCTAATTTTTTTGTATTTTTAGTAGAGACGGGGTTTCACTGTGTTAGCCAGGATGGTCTTGATCTCCTGACCTCGTGATCCGCCCAACTCGGCCTCCCAAAGTGCTGGGATTACAGGCGTGAGCCACCACGCCCAGCCTTTAATAGTAAATTTTTAGAAATATTTCCACTAGTGGTTATTATAGACTCAATTGTGTCCCTGCTGTACCCCAAATTTATGTTAAAGCTCTAAGGAGCGGTACCTCAGAATGTGTCTGTATTTGGACATAGCAACTTTAAAGATATGATTAAGTTAAAAGAGGCTGTTAGGGTGGGCTCTAATCCAACCTTACTGGTCTCCTTTAAAGAAGAGGAAATTTGAACACACAGAGACAATAGGGTATGTCAGGCACAGAGGAAAGACCACGTGAGGACAAAGAGGAGGGCAGCCATCTGGAAGCCAAGAAAAGAAGGATTAGAAGAAACTGAACCTATCTTCATCATAAACTTGGACTTGTAGCCTTCAGAACTGTAATAAATAAAGTTCTGTTGTTTAAGCCACGCAGCCTGTGGCGCTGTGTTAAGTCAGCCTTAGCAAAGGAATATGTTGACAAAGCAGGTAAGACACTCCCTGCTTCATTTCAACATTGTAAAAGTTGCTGTATCCAATGCAAAGGAGTATGTGTTTTACCATAGAAAAAGGCTATTCCTGTATATCCAGACAAAATGATTGTTTATTAAATCCCCCATTTATTAAGGTTGCTGGAGGAATCATGGACATATGAATATCAATAGCATTCCTGTACACCAGCAACAACTTATTATAACAATGAATAATAAAATAGAGAGCTTGAGAATCTCAATAAAAACAAATATTACAGAGGAATAGGTCTAACCAAAGGTGTTTTAAAATTATCTTTTAGGATAATATTTCAAAATAATATTGAAGACCATGTAAAAGCAAACATGAGTAAATGCAAGAAAATATAACCTCTTAAAGGATAAGAAAATGATAAATTAAATATTCCAATTCTCACTGCATAAAAACATATGTTAATTCAATCCCAATAATAGTCCCAGCAATTTTTTTCATAGGAATTGATTACTTGACTCAAATTTTTATACAGAATTAGGTAGTACAAGTGAAGAGAGGCAAATTTTTAAAGGCTAGAAACAAGTAGGTGAATTTACTTAAAAGATAATTTAAACATACAACAAGTAAAATAATATAGAAAAAGGGAGAGTAAAGAAACAGACATAAACATATATGTGGAACTGCTACATGAGTGACAATAAAACATCAGAGAATAAACTAACTAATAATTGGTATTAGTTCTATTGACTTTACATATATAAAAAGGAAAATGTAATCAGAAGTGTGGGATAATACTACTTTACACCTTGTCCCTTTGCTATAAAAGATAGAATAGGAATCTAGAGTAAAAAAAAAAAATAAAATAAATAAAGATATTAGTGAAAATAAGAAATTACTTTTTCAGCAAACTGTGCAAGACTAGTTCTAGCCAAAGGTGGAATAATTTTTTACTTATATATTGCCTCTAAGAGTGGGCTTCTATGTTATAATTATTTATTTCATAAATAATCATGATAATCTGTTATAATCTGTTTACCCACACACACAACACATAGATTTTCACCTTACATTGTCTAATCTGGAGTTAAATGAAAATATAAAATGCTTAATTCACTTTTCTATAACGTTAAAGACTTTCAATTATTATCTGTTTAAGAGAAGTAAATCTAATTATTGAAAATCTTTTTCATTCTTTTTCTTTTCAGATTATTTTATTTCACTGAGGTTTCATGGGTCTTCTTTCTGATATAATCATATTCTGGTCTTTAAAATAAATGGGCAGTGGGGGTTCTGTTTTGTTGTTAATTTTTGAAATTCCTTATGAGCCTCTTTCATCTGCTTTCCAGACTGCTGAAGAGGGTGAAATAAATGATTTCATCCTTTCTACATTCCAGTGACATAAATCGTTGCTCCAGTGGAATTATTGTCGCTATTTTCAAATAGTTTAACAGACTATTCACCAGTTAAACTCACAGAAGAAACAACAAATCAATTGTAATGAGACATATGAGTTTATCTTTATTTATTTAATCAAGCTATGAAGAAGAAAGTGTTAAATTAATTCAGTTTCAGATAGCATGCTGTTAGATGATAATCTGTTTACCCATGCACAGCATATAGATATGTATTTCTGTTGTGAACATTCTGTGGCTAGCGTGTTTCAAATATTGGCATTTTAAGATAAAAGGGGAATCTGTAAGCCCAAAGATGTAAAGCAATAGCGGGTTCTTTGGGCAGCAGGCACTCCTTCTCTATTAGTTCCTCTAGAAGCAAGCATTTCTAAACGTTCAAGTCTCATCTCTTCGGAAGTTTGTTAAGTTCATTCAGGATCAACAATTACAGCACTAAGAAAAAAGGAAGAAACAAAAGAGAAGCAGAACTCATCTATAAACTTAATAGTTAATGTTAACAAAATAAAAAACTAAAATGCTGCCAGTCTGTTGAAAATTCTACAGATTTTAATTTAAAGATACCACTGAGTAATTGATGTGCAAAAGGATAAATCATAATTGAAATTTAAAAATAAAATAAAACAATAATATTAAAAATGATACAAGCCTAAACTTGAGATATGTCTGTAGCCTTAAATAATACATTTAGAAATATTAAGGTTTGAAAATTAATAAGAAATATTGATGCCATCCAAGAACTTTAAAGAAAAACCAAAAAATTGAGTAAGAATATAGAAGAAAATAATATTTATAAAACAGAAAAATATAATGTAGTGTTGGTCAACAAATTAAAGGTCGGTTATTTGCAAAAGTTTGTTTAGAAAACAGAAGACCATCTTGTAAGATCTAGAATGAAAATTCAGACGTTAAAATATAATTTTTAAAAAGATAAAACCATCAGTATAATTTAAATATAAAATAAATACAATGTAAATAATTTTATTCTACTCAGTAATTAATAGAAGAACTGCTAATATGTTAAAACTGTCCAAACTGCATTTGAGGAACTGGGTGTGTGTGTGTATATATATATATATATATATATATATATATATATCTACACAATTTAAGAATCTTAAAATAAGATTACTGGGTTTTGTACTATAGGGACATCTACTGTAAACTTTTGAATTATTTTTTCTAATGCAGAGAAATTCTTTGTATTGCTACCAAACAGAAATATGTAGGTTAAATTCTCCCTCTACAAAATTGCAAAATAACACATTCAATATAAGATCTATAGAGACATGAAATCTAGTAAGTGAAAAAACATTAATATCATATATATATATATTCAAGTCAGATAATTTTTCAAAAAATATAAGGCAAAATTAAACATTAGAGAAATAAAAGAATATAAACTATAGAAAGATCCAATAACATAATAATTGAATAAAATATGAAAAATTAAGTAAGCATGTTAGACAATATGTTTTCAAAACTCAGTCAAGATTGGATAATCTCTATCCAATCTAAAAATCCTTGGCAAGTTAGCAGTACAAATTTGTCATTCTATAAAATGGAGAAAGATGAGTTTAAAGAAAGAATTGAAAAAAAAATTCTGGCATGATAAATTTACCACTGTTTGTTCAGGTAGATCAGTTTCAGGAAAGAGTAAACACAGATATTGGTTATCTGGAAACTACTTCCCTTAAAACTATCTTGGGAAAACTTCATGCGCCTCTAAATGTACTGTACTAAGACTGATGATGTAGAAGAAACTTTTCTCATGTACACCTGAGAGCATATATAAGGTAATTCATTGCAATGCTGCTTGTAAAAGTAAAGAATTAGAAGGGAACCAAATGGTCTTCAACAGTAGAATACATAAATCAAGGTATTGCCACAGATGAACAAGTGAAAGCTACATATATAAAAAAGAATAACTTTCAAAAACAGAATGCTGAATTTTAAAAAAAGTAAGCACAGGATGGAATGAACATTATGGGAGTATTTAAATAAATTGGAAATGCTGCACAATAATACACTTTTAGGTTCATGAAAATTTAATAAATACATGAATATATGTTCCATAGGAAATGATATCCGTATATGAAATGCTAAACACAGGCATCTTAAGCCAGTTATCTTCAGGGAGAAAGAATAGAAAAGAAAATAGGGCAGATAGTTGTCTCAACTATGTAGATGTTGCTTTACTTTTCAACAAGAAAAATAGTTTGTAAACGTATATAGATGTTCTTCAGATTTGATGGATTGGGTTCTGGGAACATTACTGTCTCATATTACTCTCTATTCTCATCTCTCTGAAAAAAATGGACATTTATGAAAAAATACACATAGAAATGAATCTCTAGATAAGAGAGATTAAGTGAGAAAAGAAAGAGATCACAATGTGAAAATCTAAATTATTAAGTACACTTTATGGTAAAATGTTTAAAATGTTTGATTCAAATTTCAACATAATATTCCGTTATAATATAATTTCATGAAGAAGTTACAAAATGGGTTTTCTGGGTTCAAAACTAGCTAGGAGAACTTAAGAAAAAAATTTAAATTTAAACCTCAGTTCTCTCATCTGTTATAATTGAATAATTATACGGCTTATATGTGATTAGAAAAGGATGGTCATCTGTAAAAATCTAATGTGGCTAAAATATCTTATTGGAGCCTTATGATAGGATGTCTACATCAATTAGCTGGTTCACTAGCTGAATGATCTCTACAGTGAGAATTTCTTATATAAACATCTGCATCATATATGCCTTAGCTTTATTTTTAACTGAGATATATTTAATAACTGCCATTTATTTCACTTAATGTATCTGGTTCGTGTAATATTTTATATTCCTTTTATTATATTTAAAAGAGTTTTGCTACCTTGTAGCAATTAAATCTTTTAATAAATAGCTATGTAGATTTAAAATTAAATTAAATCTATTTATATTTCACTTTGTGAAACTCAAGCAAACCAAGTATTAACTTCTTTGGCTTGTGGCTGTTAAACTATATATACACAGCACATTAATTATACGTAAATTTGAACTTGTTAGATTCTGGAAACATAATTTAAAATAGGTTCAGAAATTTCCTCAAGAACTCCCTCAGAAGAAAACCCAGGGAATGCAGAGCCACATTATTAATACTACAGTTTTTGTTTGTTTGTTTTTTAACTAGCCAAATACTCAGACCAAAGTAACCTTTGTAATAGGAACAACTGCAGTTTAAAATGAGGAAAGAAAAATGGAAGGCATATATATATACATATATATATATGTATTTATATATGTATATATATGTATATATATACACACACATATATGTGTGTGTATACATGTATTTGTGTATATATGCTTGTATATATATGTATATATGAGATAAATTTACCATGATAAAGGAGTGTGTGTGTGTGTGTGTGTATATATATATATATATAAATGAAGTGTATATATGTGTGTGTGTGTATATATATGAGGAAAGAAAAAATAGGAGGCATATATGTAGATATATATATAAATTTATCATGTCAGGGTTTCTTTTTTCAGGTTTATTTCCTTTATATATTTATAAAGGAAATTTTTTTATCAACAAGATGAGGATTTTCCAAAATTTTTCTTGAACTTTGCAAATAATTTTAATCCAGTCGATTTTACTGTACTCATTTTAAATAAAACCTAGCTCTTTAATAAGGATTTATCAATTTACCTAAGTAGCTATTTACAGTTTTGAACTGTGAATGATTACTATTCATAACAACACAGCAAGATATTTAGATTAAAACAGGAAATGATGACTCCTTGCTCATTTAAATATGAAAGGTTATTGGAATTATATCCTTTTGACTTAACTCATACAATGTTCATTTTGAATCAACTAAAATTCTAGAAAGTTGGGGGGATTGGAACAAGATGGTTGAATAGAAGGCTTCACTGACTGTTGCCTCTTCAAGGACACCAATTTAACAATTATCTACACACACACACACAAAGCACATTCATAAGAACCAAAAAGCAGGTGAGCACTAACCATATCTGGCTTTAACTTCATATTGCTGAAAGGGGCACTGAAGAGGTGGGAAAAATAGTCTTGAATTGTGGAAGACATCCCTCCACCATCTCTTGGCAGTGGGAGCATGGTGCATAGTGTTTCTGGGCCATGGGGAGAAGGAGAACGAGCAATTGTGAGGCATTGAACTCAGTGCTGCCCTTGTTATGGCAGAAAGCAAAACCAGACAAAACTCAGCGATGTCTACCCATGCAAGGCACATTTAAACCAGTCCTAGCCAGAGGGGAATCACCGATCCCAGCAGCTGGAACTTGAGTTCCTGCTCATCACAATGACCTAAAGGGCTATGGGGCTCTAAATAAACTTGAAGGACAGTCTAGGCCACAAAAACTGAAACACCTAGGTGAATCCTAGGGCTGAACTAAGCCCAGAGATAGTAGACTGAGGTGGTGAGGGCACATGACCTACTAAGACACCAATTGGCGTGGCTAAGGGAATGCTGGCATCACCCCTCCCCTTAACCCAGGCTGCAAACCTCAGGGTTCAAAAAAAGACCGCTTGTTTACACTTGAGAGGAGATGGAAGAGTGGGGAGGACTTTGTTGTGCATCTTGGATAACAGCTCAGCCACAGCAAAATAGGGCACCAGTTAGAGTTGTGAGGCCTCTTTTCCAGGCCCTAGCTCCCAGACATTTCTAGACAAACCCTGGGCCAGAAGGGAACCCACTGCATTAAAGGGATAACCCAGTCCCCTGGCAGGATTCATCACCTGCTAATGGAAGAGACCTTAAACCATGAATAACCAGCACTAATAGCCAACTACTTCATTGAGGACCTTAGTGGAGACACTGAGACTTGGCATTGTCAAACATGATTGTAAGTTTCCTGAAGCCTCACCAGCCATGCTTCCTGTACAGCCTGTGGAACGGTGAGTAAATTAAACCTCTTTTCTTTATAAATTACTCAGTCTCAGGTATGTCTTTATAGCAGTGAGAGAATGGACAGATACAACTTTACTATTGAATTCTACAAAACATTTAAAGAAGAACTAACAACAATACTACTCAAAGTAACTCAAAGTATCCCCAAGAATAGAAGAAGGGATACTTCCAAACTTATTCTACAAAGCCCGTATTATACTGTTGCCAAAACCAGACAAAGACACATCAAAACAGAAAACCATAGGCCAAAATCCCTGATGAACATAGATGCAAAAATCATCAACACACTACTAGCAAATCAAATTCAACAATGCATTAGAGAGGTCATTCATCATGACCAAGTGGGAATTATCCCTGGAATGCAAGAGTGATTCGACATATGCAAATTAATCAGTGTGATACATCATATCAACAGAATAAAGAATAAAAACTATATGATAATTTCAATTGATGCTGAAAAATCATTTAATAAAAATTTAATATCCCTTCATGATGAAAACCCTTAAAATCTAGGTACAGAAGGGATATACTTCAACCTAATAAAAGTCATATATGACAGACCCACAGCTAGTATCATACTGAATGGGGAAAAACTAAAACCTTCCCTTTAACATGTGGAACATGACAAGGAGGCCAATTTTTATCACCGTTATTCAAAATACTACTGGCAGTCCTAGCTAGAGGAATCAGACAAGAGAAGGATATAAAGGGCATCCAAATTGGAAAGGAAGAAGTCAAATTATCCTTGTTGTAAGTTGATGTGATCTTATATTTGGAAAAACCTAAAAACTCCACAAGAAATGTATCAGAACTGATAAACCAATTTAGTCAAGTTGCAGGATACAAAATCAATATACAAAAATCAGTAGCATTTCTGTATGTCAACAGTGAGAAATATGAAAAAGAAATTTAAAAAGGAATCCCATTTATAATAGCCACACATAAAATTAAATACATGGGAATTAACCAACAAAATAGAAGATCTCTATAATGAAAACTATAACATATTGTTGAAAGAAATGGAAAAGGACACCAAATAATAGAAAAATATTCCATGTTAATAGATTGTAAAAATCAATATTGTTACAATGTCCATACTATGCAAAACAATCTACAGATTTTATGCAATCGCTATCAAAACACCAATGACTTTCTTCACTGAAATAGAAAAAAAAAATTCTAAAATTTTTGGTACCACAAAAGATTCATAATAGCCAATGTTGTCTTAAGTCAAAAGATAAAACTAGAGGAATCACATTACCTGACTTCAAATTGTATGACAGAGCTACGGTAACCAAAACAATATGGTACTGGCATAAAAACAGACACATTGACCAGTGGAACATAATTAAGAACGCAGAAACATATCCACACACCTACAGTAAACTCATTGCTGACAAAGATGCCAAGAACATACACTGGGCAAAGGACAGTCTCTTCAATAAATGGTGCTGGGAAAACTGGATATTCATATGCAGACAAATGAAGTTAGATCCCTGTCTCTTGCCATATAAAAAAAATCAAAGTGAATTAAAGAATTAAATCTAAGACCTCAAAATATGAAACTATTACAGAAAAAGGATGGGTAAGAAAAGGACGGTAAATTCTCCAAGACCTTGGTTTGGACAAAGATTTCTTAAGTATGCATGTATGTTCTTGGCATCTTTGTCAGAAATGAGTTTACTGTAGGTGTGTGGATAGGTTTCTGGACTCTTAATTATGTTCCATTGGTCAATGTGTCTGTTTTTACGCCAGTACCACATTGTTTTGGTTACTGTAGCTCTGTCATACAATTGAAGTCAGGTAACGTGATTCCTCTAGTTTTATCTTTTGACTTAAGACAACATTGGCTGTTATGAATCTTTTGTGGTACCATATAAATTTTAGAATTTTTTTTTCTGTTTCAGTGAAGAAAGTCATTGGTGTTTTGATAGCAATTGCATAAAATCTGTAGATTGTTTTGCATATTATGGACATTGTAACAACGTAAAATTTCTTGAGTAATACTCCACAAGCACAGGCAACCAAAGCACAAATGGACAAATGGGATCACATCAACTTAAAAAGCACAGTGAGGGAAACAATTAACAAAGTGAAGAGAAAAGCCACAGAATAGAAAAAAATATTTGCAAACTACCCATCTGACAATGGCTTAATAACCAGAACATATAGGGAGCTTAAGCAACTCTATAGAGAAAAATCTAATAATCTGATTTGTTAAATGAGAAAAATATTTGAGTAGACATTTCTCTAAAGAAGACATACAAAAAGCAAACAGACATACGTAAAGGTGCTCATCATCAATGATCATTAGAGAAATGCAAATCAAAAATACAATGTGATATCATCTCACTCCAGTTAAAATGGCTGACATCCAAAAGACAGGCAATGAGAAAAGCTGGCAAAAATGTGGTAAAAAGGGAACCTTCGTACAGTGTTGGTAGGAATGTAAATTAGTGCAACCACTATGAAGAACAGTTTAGAGATTCCTCAGAAAAGTAAAAATAGAGTAAAAATATGATCCAGAAATCCCACTGCCAAGTATATGCTGAAAAGTAAGGAAATCAACATATCCAAGAGCTATCTGCACTTCCATTTGGAAGCAACCTAAGTGTCCATCAGCAGATTAGTGGATAAAGAAAATATACATGTACACGATGGAGTACTATTCAACCATTAAAAAATAAGATTCAGTTATTTGCATTAACATGGATGGAACTGGAGGTCATTATGTGAAGTGAAATAAGCCAGTCACAGACATTACATGTTCTAGCTTATGGTGGGATCTAAAAATCAAAATAACTGAACTTCTGTAGATGGAGTAGAATGAAGTCTATCAGAGGCTGGGAAGGGTAGTGGATTGTTGTGGGAAATGAATAAGGCCTAGCACAACAGAATGACTATAGTCAATAATAATTAACTATAGATTTAAAAATAACAGACATAGTACAATTGGATTATTTGTAACTCATAGATAGGATAAATTCTTGAGAGAATAGATATCCCATCTTCCATGATGTGATTGCTATACATTGCCAGACTATTTCCAAGTAGCTCATGTACTCTGTAAATATACACACCTACTATGTACCCACAAAAATTAAAAATAACAAAGAAATAAAGTTCCATATTGACTCATATCATATAATGTTTTCTATTTTTTCAATTATTTATTTTCAACCTCACTAACCTTTATTTGTATTTCTCTTTCTTTAATGCTATTTATATTAAACAAAAATCAAATTTTAAATAAAAATATCAAAAGTTAAACTGATCATCATATTGCTTCCTTTCATCCTTTATACTTTCTTCTCTATGTGTTAATGCCATTAATAGCGTAGCCATTTGCCAGTAGATACAGTAAGCGCTTTCTGAACATTTTTATGAACCATATTCTGCTATGCACAGGGCATAAGAATAATAAAATATGATCTTTGCTTTGTGCAACTCATGCTTTAGAATGGGAAATATATATCAATTAATTAGTACATGTTGTAATAATTGAAATAATGTTAATTTATTTATAAATGTTTTATTTCCATGAGAACGTTAATACAAATAAGTGTTCAAAAAAGAGTGTGAATGTTTGAATATTTAGTAATTTTGCTTCTGTTTCCTCCATAAAATCATTTATTATTTTTCAGGTAACAAAAACATTTGTTTTGTGTCCCTGAAAATAGCCTAGTGTATCTCACATAAAAACCACTTTAAAATTGCTTTGAATGAACCAGGAAAAGTAGCTAAGTACAAAACAACAAAAGTTACAGAAAGGTCCTGGTAACTCTGTTGAGATTGAATGCTATAATTGTTAGTGAAATATATTACGAGTGGAAAAAATTGGATGTGAGATCCAATTAAACTTGTCATTAATTATAATTTTCTAAATAAAATGAAATTCAGTTATGCAGAAACTCACAACTACTATAATTCCCAAACTGCATAATTAGAAAAATATATCTAAAATTCAAATTTTTAAGTAAAACAAAGACTTAAAGATAAACGTGGTTTGAAATGATTCTGTTTTTGCTTTTGCATTTCTACATTTTTTTCTCCCTTCAACTTACCTCGTGTCTTCTTACCTCTTCTGCCACTTTCAAATTAGTTTAAATGGGACCTAGATGATTATTCTTTAATGTAATTGAATATCACTTGCATACACTACTCACTAGTTTTTAAATTTTTTAATACTTGATGAGGGATTGCTAAGGAAGTCCTGCAAATATGAACTTATTTCCACAAATTTTGTAATTGCTTTTTGGGGTGATATGAGAAGTGTAAAACAACTACTCTTAAAAGATAAATATGTAGAATGTATAGAGCAACTTGAAATGAGAGTCTAAGAAACGTCCATGTCTTTGTAATAAACCTTTTTAATATTCATTCACTCAAATCCATTTAATACTCATTTTCTTTACCAAATATCTGATTTGTGCCAAGGTGTTAATGTGCTAGGTGTTAATATGAGAATAAGAAAATGTAATCTTTAAATATTTTTGCATAAATAAGATTTAAAAACAATGTCACATCAAGAACAATTTTTTTATTATTTTCTCTGATCATTATACATATGATGCATATTTATTACTAAGATGCATAAAAAATCTTGCTTTCATTGAATTTAATTTAACAATAAACATTTTCTGATTTATGCTAATTTTTTCTTATAAACAAAGAATAATGTGATCCTCACTCTGGACTTCTCTTTTATCTTCCTTTTTTAAAAATGTATTTTACATTAATTTTTCCAGCTTTACTGAGGTATGATTGACAAACACAAATTGTAATTATGGCATACAATGTGATATTTTGATATATGTATACACTTTGTGGAATAATTACCACAATCAAACTAATTAACATATCCATCACCTCACATGCTTATCCTTTGCGTGTATCTGTGTTTGTATGTGTGTTGTGAAAGCATTAAAATCTACTTTGCTAACAATTTTTAAGTATACAATACAGTGTCATTAACTATAGTTACCATACAATAGATCTACAGAATTTATTCATCCTGCCTAACTGAAACTTCGTACTCTGAGCAAAGTCTCCCCACTTACCCTCAAGCCCCTAGCAACCACCATTCTACTTTCTTCTTCTATGATTTTAACTTTTTTAGATTATACATATAAGTGTGATCATGCAGTATTTGTCTTTCTGTGTCTGGGTTATTTTACTTAGCATAATGTTTTCTAGGTTCACTTACATTGTTGCAAATGGCAGAATTTCCTTATTTTTTAAGGCTGAATAATATTCCACTGAATATACATACCAATTTTTTTTTAAATCAGTTCATCCACTGACACACTCGTAGGTTGGTTCCATATCTTGGCTTTTGTGAATGAAGTTGTAATAATCATGGGAGTCAGGCATATCTCTGACATGCTGACGTCATTTCCCATGTGTATGTTGGATCACATGGTAGTTTTATTTTCGATTTTTTGAGGAACCTCATTACTGTTTTTCATAGTAGCTGTCCTAATTTACATTCCCACCAACAGTTATGCAAGGGTTGGTTTTTTTTGTTTTTTGTTTTTTTTCCATATCCTCACACCAGCTGAAGGGATCTCCCAAAGTGGTTTTGATCTGCATTGATTACTGATGTTGAGCCAGATCTCATAACCCTGGGGACATTAATATGTCCTTTTTTTTTTTTTTTTGAGATGGTGTCTTGTTCTGTCGACCAGGCTGGAATGCAGTGACACGATCTCGGCTCACTGCAACCTCTGCTTCCCGGGTTCAAGTGATTCTCCTGCCTCAGCCTCCTGAGTAGCTGGGATTACAGGCATGCGACACCACGCCCAGCTAATTTTTGTACTTTTAGTAGAGATGGGGTTTCACCGTGTTAGCCAGGATGGTCTCGAACTCCTGACCTCGTGAAACACCCACCTTGGCCTCCCAAAACGCTGGGATTACAGCCCTGAGCCACCACACCAAGCCAATTTATATGTCTTCTTTTGAGAAAGGTCTGTTCAGGTACTTTGCCCATTTTTAGTTGTGTTCATTTCTTTCTTTGCCATTGAGTTATATAAGTTCCTTATATATTTTTTAAGTATTAATCCCAAATATTTTTTTCCCATTCTATATGTTCTCTCTTCACTCTGTTGTTTTCTTTGCTGTGTAGAAGCTTTTTATTTTGATGCAATTCTATTTTCTATCTTTTGCTTTTGCTTTCTGTGATTTGGGAGTCATATCTAAATTAAAATTTAAAAAAAAAATCAATGTCCAGACCAATGTCAAGAACTTACTTTGTAATTTTGTTAGTACTTTTGCAGCTTCAGGACTTATATATTTAAGTCTTCCATCCATTTTTGACTTGATTTTTATGTATGATGTGAGATTAGGGTGGAATTTTATTTTTCTGCATGTAGATATTAAGTTTTCCTAGATCCATTTATTGAAGACACTATCCTGTCACCATTATGTGTTATTGGCATGTTTGTCAAAGACTAATTGACCTTAAATGTGTGGATTTATTTCTGGGATCTTTATTCTGTTCCATCGGAATACATGTTGTTTTTATGCCAGTATTATGATGCTTTGATTACTATAGCTTTGTTTTGATTACTATGCCAGCATTATAATGTTTTGACTACTATAGATTTTGAAAACTGGTAGTGTGATATCTTCAATTTTGTTCTCTTTGCTTGTGATTGCCTTGGCTATTTGATGTCTTGTGTGGTTTCATATGAATTTTAAAATTACTTTTTCTATTTCTATATTTTTCTATTTTTCTACTTCTATAAAAAATGCCTGGAATTTTGGTAGGAATTGCATTGTATCTGTAGATTACATTGTGTAATATGGACATTTTATTAATATTAAACATTAAATAATATTGGTGATGTTATTCTCCTCTGACAGTTTTCTCAAGGCATCTCTTGGCAGTAGAATAATTTATGCATAAAGTTTTAAAAAAATGGGTGTTTTCAGTTTAGTTCTATTCTTCTTTTCTTGTTCTTGGGACTTGTTCATTTATAAAAAACAGCAGTATGCCTCTTATCCTCTAAGACTTTAGGTTATTCAATACCTAAATCTTTTGAAGAGTGGGCCTGCTCTGGTGCTGAATTTGTATGTGTTGTACTGTTTCCACATTCTTCATTTTGTTTTATTGATCAGTTTAAATGTCATAATGACAATAGCAAAATGTATGAATTAATATTATATCAGGTTCTTTGATAACTAGTAGCATAAATCCAGTAATTTTCTTCTTTTCCATCAAAATGTTCCTTGTTATTTGTGAGTTTCCAAGTGAGTTTTAATAAAAACTAGTCAGAAACCCAACTTTAATGATTTTATGTGAAATTGCTTTGAGCCTAGAGATCATTTTGGGGAGAAATGATTTTTATTTCAATTTTAAGTCATTGGTTAATAATCATTGTATATCTCTCCATTTATTTAGAAATTAGAAATCCTGCTTACATTCCAAAATGTTTTGTAGTTTTCTTTGTAGAGGCCTTAATACATATTTCATTAGATTTGTAATATTTGTTTCTTTTAAACTTAAATAAAATAATTTTACAATTTGCTTTTATGAGTGTTTTTGTTGCCAGATAGCAATAAAATTAACTTTCTTATATTGAACATGAACGCAGATTGTTTAAATCACATATTTATTAATTCTGACAGTTTGTCTATATATACTTTTGCATTTTCTAAAATCATAGTTATCTCTGAATTATTAGTTTTATTTCTTTTCTTATAAAACTTATACCTTACTTATTTTGCTTGTTTGTTGAACTAGCTAGAACCTCTACTACAATGTTGAATAGAAATTGTGATAGCAGATATTTTTCTCTTATTCCTGATTCAAGGGTAAAATTGTCAATGTCTTCCCAATTAGTATTATAATTGTTGTGTTTTTTTGCACATGTTCTTTATCTGCAAAATAAGTTCCCTTTTATTTTGAGTTTTCTTATAATTTTTTAATGATTTACCATTGCGTTTTTTGAAATACTTATCAGCATTGATCAAATAATCATATTTTTTCTTTATATTATTTATATGCAAATTGCATTGATTTTCTAATGCTAATCTATTCTTGCCTATCTGGAGTAAAGCCCACTTATTCATGATTTTTTTTTTTTTATATTTGAAGGATACTCATTTGCTAATATTTCTTGAGTATTTTCATCTACCTTTTTGAAAGAATTATCTGTTTTTTTTTTTCCTTTTTAGAATATTCTTTTCAGGTTTTGAAATCAAATTTACCATGGGCTAATAGCCTCATAAGTGTTTCCTCTTTTTCTATTTTCTGGAAGAGTTTGTAAAAAACTGGTGTTATATCTTCTGTATATATTTGGAAGAGTTACTGGCTAAAGCTATCTGGGCCTAGATTTATCTTTGTGATAAAATATTTTTCAATGGGTTTTATTTCCAGAAATAATTTCATATAAAAATTTAAATTTGCTTTTTAAAGTTGCTCTAATATATGTTTAATGTCCTATTGATGTATGTAAAATTTGATGTTTATGACACCCTGGTATTCAATTTTACAAATTTTTTTTCTTTTTATTTCTTTTCACCTTGGGAAATTTTAAATTACATTCTATGTTTAATTTTAGTTTCCAATGTTAATTGCTAGCATGTATAAATATGATTTTTTTTGTGTAAGGATCTATATCTCACACATTAGCTTCACTCATTTATTAGATTTAGGGAGTTTCTTGTAGATTCCTTCTGATTTTCTACACAGATTCTAATGCCACTTGCAAACAGAAATTTTTATTTTTCCTTTGCAATCTATGTCCTTTGTATAATTTTCTTGCTTTAATGTACTAGCTGAGACACCCACACTTTTTTCGAATGAAAATTGTGGGCCAGTGTCCTTGCTTTGTTCCCTAGTATAAGAGAAAAGCAGTGTTTTACCACTAAGTATGAAAACTACCATAGATTTATTGTAGATAATTTTTATCATCTTAAATTTTTAGTTTGCTTGTAGTTTTTGTTATGACTGGATGTTGAATTTTGCCAAATACATTTTTGTTTCAATTGATGGGATCATGTGGTGTTTTATCTTTGGCTTGTCAATATGATATATTAGTTGATTTTTTAATATTTAACCACCTGGCATTCATGGAATAAAATCTCTTGGATGTAGTGTATAATTTTTCCCTCTCTCTCTCTCTCTCTATATATATATACACACACACACATATATAAAATATATATTTATATATATGCACACATATATACATATTATGTAAAACACTGTATATAATAGTGAATTGCTAATATTTGAGTATCCTTGTGCTTACAAAAGATTTGTGTGAAGTTTTTTATGTTTTTAATTGTGTTTATGTATTTTAGAATGTGTATAATGTTGGCCCTATAAAACAGTCTAGAAGTATTTCCTTATCTTCTATTTTCTGGAAATGATCATACAGAATTGGTATTATTTATTTTTAAATATTTTGGATAGTTTAACAGTTAAATCATCTGGGACAGAGGATTGTTTTAGAAGAGTTTTACTGGAAATTTAATTCCATTAATTGCTATGAAACTATTTGTATTATCTACTTATTATTAATGTTTGGTAGTTTGTGGTCTACAAATAATTGCTTTATTTTATCTAAATGCTGAAAATATGTGCATTAGGGTTCCTCGTGTCTTTTAAATGACTGTGGGTGCTATAAGCTACCATTCTTTCATTTTGGATAATGGTGATTTGGTCTTTTTTCTTTTTTATCCTTCCATTTTCTAAAGCTTTGATTTTGTTGGTCTTTTACTGATTTTATTGGT
Organism: Homo sapiens; assembly: GCF_000001405.40. Lineage (NCBI taxonomy): Eukaryota > Metazoa > Chordata > Mammalia > Primates > Hominidae > Homo > Homo sapiens. The sequence goes on along the minus strand of NC_000012.12, from coordinate 61,080,617 downwards.
CTTTTCAAAGAGACTCTTTTTGTTTAATTAACTTTGTTATTTTTCTGTTTTCAATTTTATTGAGTTCTGTTCTAATAGTTACTATTCTTTTTTCCTTTTACTTCTGCTCATTCTGGGTTTAGTTTGCTTCTCCTTTAGTGGTTTGTTATATTGAGAAATTAGATCATTAATTTGAGTACGTTTTATTTTTCAATAAAAGCATCTATCTCTATCATTTTTTCTCAAAGCACTGCTTTAGCTACAATTGGCAGATATTTTTAATTTGTATTTAACTCAGCTAAATATATATTTTAATTTTCTGTGATATTTCCTTTTTAACTTACAGATTGTTTTCAAATGTGATGTTTAATTTTCAGGTCTTTGGTATTATTGGTCTGTTACCGATTTTATAGATTGATTCTATTTTTATTGGTGAAAATACATGATTCATATGATTTCAATTCTTAGGAATATATTAAATTTTTTATTATTATTATTATACTTTAAGCTTTATGGTACATGTGCACAATGTACAGGTTAGTTACATATGTATACATGTGCCATGTTGGTGTGCTGCACCCATTAACTGGTCATTTAGCATTAGGTATATCTCCTAATGCTATCCCTCCCCACTCCCCCCACCCCACAACAGTCCCTGGTGTGTGATGTTCCTCTTACTGTGTCCATGTGTTCTCATTCTTCAGTTCCCACCTATGAGTGAGAACATGTGGTGTTTGGTTTTTTGTCCTTGTGATAGTTTGCTAAGAATGATGGTTTCCAGCTTCATCCATGTCCCTACAAAGGACACAAACTCATCCTTTTTTATGGCTGCATAGTATTCCATGGTGTATATGTGCCACATTTTCTTAATCCAGTCTATCATTGTTGGACATTTGGCTTAGTTCCAAGTCTTTGCTATTGTGAATAGTGCTGCAATAATTATACGTGTGCATGTGTCTTTATAGCAGCATGATTTATAGTCCTTTGGGTATATACCCAGTAATGGGATGGCTGGGTCAAATGGTATTTCTAGTTCTAGATCCCTGAGGAATCGCCATACCAACTTCCACAATGGTTGAACTAGTTTACAGTCCCAACAACAGTGTAAAAGTATTCCTGTTTCTCCACATCCTCTCCAGCACCTGTTGTTTCCTGACTTTTTAATGATCACCATTCTAACTGGTGTGAGATGGTATCTCATTGTGGTTTTGATTTGCATTTCTCTGATGGCCAGTGATGGTGAGCATTTTTTCATGTGTTTTTTGGCTGCATAAATGTCTTCTTTTGAGAAGTTTCTGTTCATATTCTTCACCCACTTTTTGATGGGGTTGTTTGTTTTTTTCTTGTAAATGTGTTTGAGTTCATTGTAGATTCTGGATATTAGCTCTTTGTCAGATGAGTAGGTTGCAAAAATTTTCTCTCATTCTGTGGGTTGCCTGTTTACTCTGAAGGTAGTTTCTTTTGCTGTGCAGAAGCTCTTTAGTTTAATTAGATCCCATTTGTCCATTTTGGCTTTTGTTGCCATTGCTTTTGGTGTTTCAGACATGAAGTCCTTGCCCATGCCTATGTCCTGAATGGTATTGCCTAGGTTTTCTTCCAGGGTTTTTATGCTTTTAGGTCTACCATTAAATTCTTTAATCCATCTTGAATTAATTTTTGTATAAGGTGTAAGGAAGGGATCCAGTTTCAGCTTTCTACATATGGCTAGCCAGTTTTCCCAGCACCATTTATTAAATAGGGAATCTTTTCCCCATTTCTTGTTTTTGTCAGTTTTGTCAAAGATCAGATAGTTGTAGATATTTGGCATTATTTCTGAGGGCTCTGTTCTGTTCCATTGGTCTATATCTCTGTTTTGGTACCAGTACCATGCTGTTTTGGTTACTGTAGTCTTGTAGTATACTTTGAAGTCAGGTAGTGTGATACCTCCAGTTTTGTTCTTTTGGCTTAGGATTGACTTGGCAATGCGGGCTCTTTTTTGGTTCCATATGAACTTGAAAGTAGTTTTTTCCAATTCTGTGAAGAAGGTCATTGGTAGTTTGATGGGGATGGCACTGAATCCATAAATTACCTTGGGCAGCATGGACATTTTCATGATATATTCTTCCTACCTATGAGCATGGAGTGTTCTTCCATTTGTTTGTATCATCTTGTATTTCATTGAGCAGTGGTTTGTAGTTCTCCTTGAAGAGGTCCTTCACATCCCTTGTCAGTTGGATTCCTAGGTATTTTATTCTCTTTGAAGCAATTGTGAATGGGAGTTCACTCATGATTTGGTTCTCTGTCTGTTATTGGTGTATAAGAATGCTTGTGATTTTTGTACATTGATTTTGTATCCTGAGACTTTGCTGAAGTTGCTTATCAGCTTAAGGAGATTTTGGGCTGAGACAATGGGGTTTTCTAGATATAGGATCATGTCATCTACAAACAGGGACAATTTGACTTCCTCTTTTCCTAATTGAATGCCCTTTATTTCCTTCTCCTGCCTGATTGCCCTGGCCAGAACTTCCAACACTATGTTGAATAGGAGTGGTGAGAGAGGGCATCCCTGTCTTGTGCCAGTTTTCAAAGGGAATGTTTCCAATTTTTGTCCATTCAGTATGAAATTGGCTGTGGGTTTGTCATAGATAGCTCTTATTATTTTGAGATACATCCCATCAATACATAATTTATTGAGAGTTTTTAGCATGAAGGGCTGTTGAATTTTGTCAAAGGCCTTTTCTGCATCTATTGAGATAATCATGTGGTTTTTGTCTTTCGTTCTGTTTACATGCTGGATTACGTTTATTGATTTGCATATGTTGAACCAGACTTGCATCCCAGGGATGAAGCCCACTTGATCATGGTGGATAAGCTTTTTGATGTGCTGCTGGATTCGGTTTGCCAGTAGTTTATTGAGGATTTTTGCATCAATGTTCATCAAGGATATTGGTCTAAAATTCTCTTTTTTGGTTGTGTCTCTGCCAGGCTTTGGTATCAGAATGATGCTGGCCTCATAAAATGAGTTAGGGAGGATTCCCTCTTTTTCTATTGATTGGAATAGTTTCAGAAGGAATGGTACCAGCTCCTCCTTGTACCTGCGGTAGAATTCGGCTGTGAATCCATCTGGTCCTGGACTTTTTTTGGTTGGTAAGCTATTAATTATTGCCTCAATTTCGAAGCCTGTTTTTGGTCTATTCAGAGATTCAACTTCTTCCTGGTTTAGTCTTGGGAGAGTGTATGTGTCGAAGAATGTATCCATTTCTTCTAGATATTCTAGTTTATTTGCATAGAGGTGTTTATAGTATTCTCTGATGGTAGTTTGTATTTCTGTGCGATTGGTGGTGATATCCCCTTTATCATTTTTTATTGCGTCTATTTGATTCTTCTCTCTTTTCTTCTTTATTAGTCTTGCTAGCTGTCTATCAGTTTTGTTGATCTTTTCAAAAAACCAGCTCCTGGATTCATTCATTGTTTGAAGGGTTTTTTACGTCTCTATTTCCTTCAGTTCTGCTCTGATCTTAGTTATTTCTTGCCTTCTGCTAGCTTTTGAATGTGTTTCCTCTTGCTTCTCTAGTTCTTTTAATTGTGATGTTAGGGTGTGAATTTTAGATCTTTCCTGCTTTCTCCTGTGGGCATTTAGGGCTATAAATTTCCCTCTACACACTGCTTTGAATGTGTCCCAGAGATTCTGGTATGTTGTGTCTTTGTTCTCATTGGTTTCAAAGAACGTCTTTATTTCTGCCTTCATTTCATTATGTACACAGTCAATCAGGAGCAGGTTGTTCAGTTTCCATGTAGTTGAGTGGTTTTGAGTGAGTTTCTTAATCCTGAGTTCTCGTTTGATTGCACTGTGGTCTGAGAGACAGTTTGTTATGATTTCTGTTCTTTTAGATTTGCTGAGGAGTGCTTTACTTCCAACTATGTGGTCAATTTTGGAATAGGTGTGGTGTGATACTGAAAAGAATGTATATTCTGTTGTTTTGGGGTGGGGAGTTCTGTAGATGTCTGTGCCGTCTGTCACCCCTTTCTTTGACTAGGAAAGGGAATTCCCTGACCCCTTGTGCTTCCCGGGTGAGGCAATGCCTCTCCCTGCTTCGGCTCATGCACGGTGTGCTGCACCCACTGTCCTGCACCCACTGTCCGGCACTGCCCAGTGAGATGAACCTGGTACCTCAGTTGGAAATGCAGAAATCACCCGTCTTCTGCATTGCTCACTCTGGGAGCCGTAGACTGGAGCTGTTCCTATTCAGCCATCTTGGCTCCACCAGGAATATATTAAATTTTTTTATAAAACAGGATACTGGCAATTTTGTTAAATGTTCTATGTGAGCTTATAAGGAATGTGTATTCTGTTGTTGTTGTTGTATACAGTGTTTTATAAATATCCAGTAGATTTTACTAGTTGGTTGTGTTATTTAGTTGTTCTATATTTTTGATAATTTGCAGTTTAATGGATCTATCAATGAATGAGGAATAAATATTTGGTAAGCTGGATATGGCCACTATAAGATATTCATGTCTTAATCTCAGAAGTCTGTAAATATTTGTTCTTACATGGCAAAATGTCTTGACACACTAAGTTAACAATCCTCAAATAAGGAGACTATTTTGGATTGTATGGCTAGGCTCAATATATTAACAATGATCCTTAAAAATGGGAGTAAACCAACCCAAATGTCCAACAATGATAGACTGGATTAAGACAATGTGGCACATATACACCATGGAATACTATGCAGCCATAAAAAATGATGAGTTCATGTCCTTTGTAGGGACATGGATGAAATTGGAAATCATCATTCTCAGTAAACTATTGCAAGGACCAAAAACCAAACACCGCATGTTCTCACTCATAGATGGGAATTGAACAATGAGAACACATGGACACAGGAAGGGGAACATCACACTCTGGGGACTGTTGTGGGGTGGGGGGATGGGGGAGGGATAGCATTAGGAGATATACCTAATGCTAAATGATGAGTTAATGGGTGCAGCACACCAGCATGGCACATGCATGCATATGTAACTAACCTGCACATTGTGCACATGTACCATAACACTTAAATAAAAAAAAAAAAAAAGAGGGAGGAAAGAGGGGAAGAGACAGAAAAAGGAGATTTCATGATGTAAGCCGAGGTTGGAGTGATACAAGGAAGAGACCACTATAAGCCAAGCAATACAGGTCATCCCTAAATGATGGAAAAGAAAATAAACTGAATTTTCCACTAAAATGTTTTAAAGGAACACAGCCTTATCAACCAATTTTAGATTTCTGACTTCCAAAACTGTAAGATAATAAATTTATCTTATGCAAGCTACTAAATTTGTGGTAATTTGTTACAACAGCAATGGGAAACTTATTCAGGTGTTGAAATTTGTAACTAGCATTGTGCATTTATTTATTTATTCTTTTAGTTCTGTCCATTTTTGCCCCTTTTTGGTTGATATGCATTTAGAATTTGTATGTCTTCTTCATAAATTGATGAATTGCGGTTTTTATCATCATGTAATTACCCTCTATTTTTCTCGTAATTTTAATTTCCCTAGCACTAAAGTTTTGTTTATTTGATGTTGATATAGCCACTTTAGCTTTCTTGAATTAGTGTTTGCATAGTTTATATTTCCCTTCTTTTCACTTGTAACTTATCTATTTATTTATTTTAAAATAAGTTTCTTTTAAACAGAATATAATTGGGCCATGTTTTATTTTATCTAATATTTAAATTCTTATATTTTCCTTGGTGTATTTAGACATTTGTAGTTAATGTGAATTTGATGTTTATGATACCTTTGTATTCATTTTTAGAGATTTTTTCTTTTTATTTCTTTTTACCTTTGGAAAATTTTAAATGATATTCTATGTTTAATTATGTTTAATGTGATTATTGATATATTAGAATGTAGGCCTTCCATTTTATTTGCTCTCTCCTCTTTTTTTTTTCTATTTTCTTCTCTCTTCTGCCTTTCTAGAGTTACTTGAACATTTTTTTTAAGTTTGCTTTGATTTTTCTGTAGTGATTTTGAGTACATTTATTTTGTTTGTTTTTATTGTATCCTCTTGGGATTTCAACATACATTACTTATTCTAGTCTGTCAGTATCAACATGTTGCTGGTTTAAGTGGAATATAGAAATTTTATTACCACTTAGGTCCTTTTGCCCTCACCCTTTTATAGTATAATTGTATTGAATTGTATTAAATCTTTCCTTTACAAACACTGAGAACAACATTAAACACAGTTAATATTTTTTTGGTGAAAAAATATTTTTAAAAATTAAAATATATTTTAATTTTTGGTGAAATCTATTTTTAAAAATTCTAAAGGAGAATAGTGTATCATATTTACTCATGTATTTATTCTTTTTTCCTCTTTTTTCATTTCTGATTTTTATAGTTTCTACTTTTTAGCTTTTTCTCTCTGTTGGAAGAATTTTCTTTACCAGTTTACTTAAGGCATGTATGCTAGTGACAAATTTTCTTAATTTTCTTTTACCTGAGAATGTCTTTATATTAACCTTTATTCCTGAAGAATATTTTCACTGGCTACAGAATTTTGACTACACATTTCTTGCAGCACTTAAACAATGTGCTACTTTTTTCTTTTCTCCATAATTTTTGACCAGAAATCAGCTGTCATTTTAATAATTTTTTTCATAGATAATATATTCTCTCTGGCTGCTTTCAATAATTATTTTTCCCATTTCATTTTAAAAAATGTGATTATCATAGTGCGTATTTCTTCAAATTTATTCTTTTAGAGGTGCTCAGCTTCTTCAATCTGTAAGCTTATGGCTCTTGCTAAATTTGGGAAGTTTTCAGCTATTATTTCTCTAAATGCTTTTTCCACACTCTGTCTCTTCATCTAAGATGCCAATGAAATGAAAAATAAATAATTTTTAATGTCCCACTGGTATCTGGGTCTGAGTTTATTTTTTAAAATATATATTTTTCTTTTGCTTCAATTGGATCATTTCTATTGATTTATCTTCAAGTCCACTGCTTATTTTTCCTCTGTCATCTACATGTTGTTACTGAGTCCTTCCAGTGTTTTCTTTTATTTCTATTATTATATTTTTTAGTTTTGAAATTTCCATTTGTTTCTTTTTTACTTCTTCTATGTTTTTTGAGACTTCCTATTCTTTTTAACTTGTTTAAGGGTTTTTTTTTTATATTGTTATTGGGAGCATGTTTATAACAGCTGCCTTAAAAGTCATGTTGGATATTCTAACATCTGTTTTGTACCAGTCTTGGCATCTGATAATTGTCATTTCTCATATGAGTTAAGATTTTTCTGGTTCTTGGTGTAATATATAATTACTAATTATATGCTGAAAATTATAGGTATTATGAAAATCGTGTTCTCTTTAAATCTGCTATTTTCACAGGAAAAAAATCTGTTAGGTTTCAGAGAACATGTTCTGTCCCACATTTTTGGGCTATGATTCAAAGGCCAATTTAATTTTTGGTCTTTGTTGTGCTATTCTTGTCTTCCATGCTTGCATGCTACCCAGAAGCCAATGTAAAACCTGGTCAGTATTACACACTATAGCTCATTCCTCAAACTTTTCACAGTTAATTCTAGTTGGTTCAAGCATAGGAGTGATGTTGGGTCAGTTTGGGGTTCTGTTGAGGACTTAATGTATAAATTTAAAAATATTTTTTCTCCACCTTTTTTCTGTCATCTTTTTCCATACACTAGTTGCAAAAGGCTTGCTGACTCATTACTGAAGAGTGGAAACAGAACTTAGGTCTCCAGACACAATGTCCATGGCCATATTCCCATGATTTATTTAATTAATTAATTAATTTATTTATTTATTTTTAAAAGCATAATTTTTAAAATGTACTAGAATGCTTTCAATATTTTGTAATATTTTGTAATAATATACAAAATGAATACAAAAACTTTTATGCTAAATTGAGTTTAATTATCTCATGCAAAACTATTAAAAGCATTGTTGTTTCAAAGATATTACTCTATTTTTGTTTACAGAAAATATTTCAAATAAAATGTTATTTCTAAAAACTTTTGAAAGCATACTTTTTAATATAGAGAATATTTAAAATCATATATTCAAAAATTTATTTTAATTTTATTGGAAATACATAAGTAATATTTTTATATTTATATATACTTTATTTTTGGGGGAATATAGATGAATAAAAATATATATTACATATATTTAATTTTCTTGGAAATATATAAATATAAAATACTATATATTATATCTACATTATATATATTTAATTTTATTGGACATATGTAAATATTTAATATAAATATATGTATATATTTATAGATAAATATATTGTAAGCTCTTAAAATAGCATTTAATTTTATTAAAAATCTACAAGTAAAGCCCTTTTGCAGATTTTGAATTGAATTTCTACTAACAAAAATTATAATAATTGGGTGTTTCCTTGAAATATTTTTATGATATAATTTTGATTCCTACTAATAGTCTTTTGTAGATAAAATAAGGGCACATATTTTTTGAAGTGAATTATGCATAAGATTAGTTGGGGAAAATGCATAATAGATTTTAAATCCTATTATTTCTAATAATTATTTCTAAATACTCAAAGTGCAGAACTTTGGCATTCAGGGCTGTGTTCCATCTGGAAAACTAATAGTCAATAAGAACTCATAACCTATGTAGCCAACAGAATATTTCTGATGCTTCTTAGACATTCTTTTATGTCTAAGAAACACAGAAACACCTCAGGGATGTTGAAGGTTCTGTTCTAGACCACTACAATAAAAAGCAAATTACACAAAATTTTTGGTTTTCCAGTGCATGTAAAAATTATGTTATAGTCTTTTAAATTTGCAATAACATGTCTAAAAAATGTATACATCTTAACTAAAAATATTGTATTGCTAAAGCATGCTGACATGAAGGTATATAATAAGCCCATGCTTTTGGGAAAATAGTACTAATAGACTTGATCGAAGCAGTTTCTACAAATCTTCAATATGTAAAAAACAATAATTGTAAAGTACAATAAAGTGCAATAAAATGAGGTTTGTCAGTATTCAGCATCGTACTATTAAAAATAGATGCCCCTTTAAAAATTATTTTATTGCTATCTCCAAGAATAGCCTCCTCCTAACACACAGGAATATGGGATGCTTAATACTGAAGGTTACTATTTTAAGTCGCCATTGCTACTGAGTTTAAAATGCTGATTGTCATCACTGTAATCTGAATTGTCTTAATTTAACAAGTGCAGTATAACTTCTTTAATTAGTGTTAATTTAATTAGAAGCCCAAAGAAAAAAATATGAATTTAATTATAATTTTTGCCAGTAATAAATTGCCATGGTACACTCAGGCAAATTCAACCTCTGTACTTCAAGGCAAGGTCAATAACATTTTTAGAGAAAGTAAAAATTTAGTTGATCAAAGAAAATAACAGGGACATTTTTACTCCAAAAAGAGTGGAGTCAGCATATTTCAGACAAAAAAGATTTGGCAAAAAGGTTGAGCAAAAACAGAAAATGATCCAATTTGATCTGTTAGTCATTTTTATTTTTAATATATTAAATATACTTTATCATAAATAAATCAGTTTTTCTAAATATGCACATTTTGAGCATTATACAATAGTCCTCCTTATCCACGGTCTCACCTTTTGGTGTTTCAGTTAATCATGGTCAACTGTGCTTCACAAATATTAAATGAGATATTTCAGATATCAACATTTCTTCAGTTTTAAATTATGCATCATTCTGAGCAACATGATGAAATCTCATGTCACCCACTCCATCCCGCCCTAGACATAAATCCTCCCTTTGCCTAGTGTATCCACACTGCATATGCTACCTACCTATAGTCACTTAGTAACGACCTGGGTTATCAGATTGACTGATGTGGTATTGAACTGCCTGTGCTTCAGTAACCCTTACTTTACTTCATAATGGCCTCAAAATGCAAGATTAGTGATGCTGACATATTGTTATAATTGTTCTGACATATTGTTACAATTGTATAATAAATTGTTCTATTTATTATCATTGTTGTTAATATCTTACCATGCCTAATTTATAAGTTATAATTTAAACTCTGTCATAGGTATGTATGTATACAAAAAAGTGTTCTTAATTTATATATATATATCTCATATGTGTATATGCAGATGCAGATAAGAGGGAATTACTGCACATATAACCATGGTCCTTCCAATCTTATTTTCACAGAAGAGAAATCTGATCACATATAATTAGGGTATGGTGCATGTGGGGATGAATATAGCTATAAATATTCTTGCAAGTGCCCCTGCAAATTCTTGAAAGATGTTGGATCAGGAGCATGATGGATCCTGAGAGAGGAAGTCCAGCTGTGCTACCTGAAGTTTATTCTCTGAAGCAGCTTGGAGCAGAGAAACATGTGCAAGACCTTACAAGCTTCTGGGGCACCACAAAGCAGGTCATTTAATTTGTCCTATTTAGAGTTTAATTATAGAACCACCACTACATTTTTTCTTAAGGCAAAAAAGGTCAATATTTTGAAAGCAGAATGTAGAATTTTATGTTATGTTGGTCAAGCCTTATTACTGAACGTTGCCTCCACAAACTTTCAAAAAGTATTAAATAAAGTGAGCTTGGGGTGATTTGATTATACTTTGACAGCTAAAACTAAGAGACATTATTTCCCAGCTTCTTGAACCATTTCAGTATAGCTGAGCTCATGCTGTCCATGGTGAATTATTAGAAGTCACTCTGTGTGCTCAGTTTCAAAGAAAAATGTTCATTTCACCCAGCCTCAGTACCATTGCTTTGTTTGGTTTTTATAGCATCTAACAGATTTTGTCATCTGGAAATTTATATTGCTGCAAAACTGGCAGAAAAGTACTGAGAAAAGAGTATATGAGGCAGTTTAAAGCAACACTGAATGATGCAAAGCTCAATCAAAAGAGGACACATGAGGCCCCACTTGTTTACTTCCTTAGTCTGAACTATTTAAAACTTGCATCTATACTGAGACAGTGGCACATTTCATGCACACACAGGAGAATTACACTATAATGTACACTATTTCCCTATGTGTATATATGTGTTCATGTATATATATATGTGAGTTTTCACTCATATAAACCACTCCTATGTTATGAAAACCTAGTAAATAAACAAAAGATAAAGAGAAATAATTAAAGCATACAACTATAAAATGCAACACATTAAAAAGATAGCAAAATTGGAATAGAAGAACAATATAACTACAGATCAGTTTGTAAAAGTAACAAAATATTACTAGCAAATCCTTACCTATCAATAATTAATTTACATGTAAATGGATTAAATTCTCCAATCAAAAGACACAGAGTGGCTGAATGGATTTTTAAAAGATCCAACATACGGTGCCTACAAGAGACACACTTTAACCTTAAGGACACACATAGATTGGGAGTGAAGGGACGGAGAAAGATACTTTAGGCAAATGGTGACCAAAAGATAACAGGGGTAGATATTTAAACAAAATAGACTTTAAATGTAAAACTATAAAAAGAAACAAAGAAAGTCATTATGAGAAAGAGGTCAAATTCATTAAGAAGTTGTAAAAATTTTAAATATATATGCATCCAACACTGGAGCACCTAAATATATAAAGCAAATCTTATTAGATCAGATGGGTGAGACAGACTGCAATTCAGTAAGAGGAGGGTACTTCACTACACTTTCAACAATAGACAGATCACCTGGATGGAAAATCAATAAGAAAATTGTGGACTTTAACAGTATTATAGGCCAAATGGTCTAACAGACATATACAGAACATCCTACCCACCAGCAGCACAATACACTTTGTTCTCAAGCTCACATGAAACATTCTTTAAAATAAATCATATATTAATTCACAAAACTAGTCTTAACAAATTTGAAAAGATTGAAGGTAGTGCTTATGGTTCAATACAAAGAAAAAAGGAAGCTATATTTTATATGCCAAATATAATCAGTTATTAGTGCTGTCTAGCATGACAGCAATATAAATTACTAGTCTAGTATCACTAATAAAAAAGAAAAGAAGGATGAGGATGAATTTGAAGAGAAGAAGGAGAAAAAGCAAAAAAGGATGCTACATTTGAATCGTGGGTAAGGAAACCATTGCGAATTCTCTAATCTTCAACTTTTCTATGTACAAAGTTAATAAAATATATGTTGGCCTTGCCTACCTCACTTGATTTTAGAAAATATCAAATTTGGTAAAATACGTAAAATGTTCAAACTCAAATTGTTATACTTTAATGATTATTTTGATATTTTACGAGTGACTAGAGATACATGTTGGCTGGCAGAGATGCATTACTTCATATTTTTGATCAAGAATTCATTATTTCCTTTTATAAAGAGTAAGTAATAGTTTATGCTTCTTCTGATTCAGAATTTCAGAAAAGAGAAAGGGCGAGTTTCTATATTTTACAATCCCCAGGTAGAAAAAAGCACATGAAAACAAAATGAGGAACAATACACTTTTTAAAGGCTCTATTTTATCTTTAATTTTTAAATTCTAAAGGGAAAACAGATGATATTTTATGCAATGCCATGGTTTAAATATATGAGAACATTTAGATGTTTGAAACATTTTTAAACAAATTCATTTATTCTTTAAGTAAATGAATATTCATCATAAACCTACCGTGTTAGTAAGTGAAGTGTAAAAACAAATGTAAGAGTCTTTCTTGCTATTCAGGACTTTGCAAAGCAATCCAAATTTTTATGTCAGTCAACAAAGGTGAAACTGTGGCAATATGGTATTGTGATTAGGATTGCAGGTTTGCTTGCAGACGGGGGTTTGAACTATCCTAGTTTGGCAGTGTACTAGGGTACAATCTCAAGCATATTATTCCATCTCTGTAAGGCTCAGATTCTTCTAAATAGAGGATAAATGCACAAGTCAAAGGGGAATAATAATAAAAATATATACTAAGCAGTTGTTGCCAAAATTGATTGAGGTAATAGATGGAAAATGGATTACACAGTATTTGACATACAACAGTGTTTGATAATGGTAGTTATAATTTTTATATTATATCAAACACATATTTAGTATTTTTGTTCTTTATAAAAAGGAAGATTATTTTAAAATGAAGAATACTATATGAAGACAAGAAATTCAGGATAATGGGAAATATTAGAAGTGCTTTATATGGTTTCAATTGTATCTTTTATTCAGCTATGGAGACTTGCAAAACATTACTTCACACTATTTTATTTTGTTTCCTCTTGTAATAAAGAGCATAATAACAGCTACACTCCAAGACTGTAGAAAAAGTCAATGACATAATGTAGGGAAGAACCAAAAATCCTCTTAAAAAGAAAAATGCCTTTTTTGGAAAGAATGCTTCCATACATATTTTGAGGTAGGAGAGGAGATGCTGAGAATAGTAATCTAAGTTATGTCCCCTCTCCCCAAATGTTTTCATTAGAAAATAAGAATAACTTCCATTTACTGCTGAGAAAAGAAGGGAAAACAATGATGAACAAAGACCTGATTGACACGGGAAATGAACTAGCTGTAAATACAATAAAATATTTATATCATTAAGTAATGATGCTATCATTGTTACTGTTGCAGGTAATGCGTTCTCAGTTTTCTCAAGTTCTCCCATTTTAGTTGCAATGACTCTGCTCAATTCTGTGGCTCTTCAATTAACTGTAGACCTCTCAATATGTTATACTTCTATGTTGTAATGTGGTAGGATGCCGAAAATCTAAAAACATTGAAATGCGTATTTGATTAATGTATTCAATCACATCTAGTTTACCTAATGGCAAAATAACACCTTGCAAAGGGACATTCAGTCAATCAATACTTGCTCTGTCTCTGTAGTATCAAATCAATGAGTTTTAGATACTCCTACACCACTTGCCATTGGCTGGGATCAACATTAGTTTAGACAAACTGAAAATGTAATCATATTTGTGTTTTTATTGTAGTTAGTAAAAGTATTTTCAAGTAAAACAGAAACTCTTTCAACAAACCTGTTTTGTTTCTTCTCGTATGAATGAAGCTAAACCACTCACCAAGCAAATACTGGGAATGCCCCAAAACTTGTTAGGGTCACTGGCACCAAAATTCAATCAGAAAATCTTCAATTTAGTTGTGCCACTAATTCTTGTTTCTAAAATTATTAACCCCTCAGGGCCTTTGCCTCTCTGTTATTGTTGTTTTGGTTTTCTTTGGAACTCAGCTCTAGGGGTTTAACTGCCAATTTCAATAGATAACACGCAACATCTTTATTTGTCTAGCTTTTATCCATAAAAAGCCCTAGGACATTGACTTCTATATTTGCTTATGGCTCCATGACTACATTTAAGATGAATCTAGCCTAAATACTACCAGCTAGGCATTGCAGCATCTATGGGACAGGTTGCTAAAAGAGCCCACTTCTCACAAACTTGCCCTCAAAATCAGCTTTCGTTCACAGCAATGCGACACCAGATCTGGTGAAAACCAGTCTTCACTAATCATAATTATTATAGGTAAATATAATTTTATAATATATAAATTTGTAGATGCCAGAAAGGAATCCTGCTTTAGCCTGTTTTAGGGCAAATTTACATGCTAAGACTTTATCACAAATAAATATTAAGGCAGAAAGAATCAGTAAAGTGAGGCAAGGAAGGAGGAAACACAAATACATTGTTGTGTCTTACTAAGCTAGTCACACGGTTATAAGAAAACAAGTTGTTAAGTCCCAGTATTTTCTGAAGGAGGCTGTGTGGAATTGCCCCACTTGGGACAGATGGGTGGTAGGAAAAATAAAGTGAGAAAAATTTATCTGCCAGAGGTTTCTTTCTTACCTAAACTCATAGCACATAGCATTGGATCCCTTGAATTTCCTGGTTTGATACCTGTCCCCTTCAAGCAACTGCCAGGTAAGTCAAATCCTACACACACGAGGAGGAGCCACTGGCTTAACTCAGACTGTGGCAGACATAGTAGAGATTAGGCCAGCTGAAGGAACATGAGACAGGTGGTGAGGCTACAGAGAGGGAAACCAGAGTTTTACAGTGATGAAGTTGTTGAGGTTTAGGGCAGATTAGTTTGAGCAAATCTGGGTGGATTTATACATTTGGAAGGTTAGAGAAATTTTTAAATCAGAAATGTAACCCTCAAATTGATGCCATAGATGATAATCTGATATAAACTGTTGAGAAAAAGAGCTGGTAATGTAATAGTAATGGAAGAATTAGAAACAAGGTTTTATACCTTATGCTATAAATCAGGCAACAGAAAAGTTGCTCCCAGAAAAGGAAGTTTTAAGAATACCAATCTTTAGGAACAAAAAGGTTCATTTCTTCTGTATTCTGAGTAGGGGAAAAAATCCCCATAATAAATTGTAGAGATAAGCATCTAAAATACATAAACGTGGCCAGGTGTGGTGGCTCACATCTGTAATCCAGCAATTTGGAAGGCCAAGGTGGGAAGACTGCTTGAGACCAGAACTTCACACTAGCCTATGCAACATAGTTAAATGCCACCTCTACGATTTTTTTTTTTTTAATTAGCCAGGTATGTTGGCACATGCTACTTGGGAGGCTGAGGCAGTAGGATTCTTGAGCCTACGGGTTTGACGCTGCAGTGAACTATGATTATGCCACTGCACTCCAGCCTGGGAACAGAGTGAGATTGTGTCTCTAAAAATATAAATAAATACATAAATAAATAAATAATAAAATACATGAAAGCAAATTCAAAATTATACTGCCCTGCTGGGGCAGGAATCCCCAAATAGAAAAATTAATTTTAGAACAGTTCTGTGAATTTTTAAATATCCTTATGCTGTTATGAATTGGCTATTATCAAGTGATTAAAATAAAACTCTTGCCTAGGACCTTGGATATTAAGTTGTTTCAATTTTCCTACCATATCAAATTGTACTGGGAGCACTCACTCTACATATGCCCCAAATATTTTTATGAAGCTTCAAACTGCCTCCACAAATAATAATCTCTGAAAATAACCTTCTTTTCAAAATCTAAAACTCACTTTTTTGGCACTCCGCACTGTCAAACTGAAAATAAAGCAAATGATGAAAGAAACTATATACTGTGATATACAAATGCACTGAGCAAAATTAAGAAAATGCTGTCTTGATTACATATCCTTAAAAGAATTCATTTTGTGACAGAATGTTGCCGTTTTATAAGTACGTTATTAATATGATATTGTTAATAATGATACTGGTCTTATTCAAAATTAACTTCAGATCACTGAATAAAATAAATTAGAAATTATATTGATATTATTAATAATCAGGATTTCCACATAGAAAGAACAAAAGATACAGTATAAAATCAAAGAAATGAAGAAGGAGTGCTGTCATTTTGAAACAAAATTGAAAAGACCAGTGTTTGTTAATGATTTTAAAATAATGTGAATTAATTTTAGCTCTGTACAATACAATCAACTACAGAGATGTCATTTTACCAGGATAAACCTAACATAATGCTCTTGTGGTTCAGATTATCATTTTCCACTCAAAGGAACCATGGCTTTCTACTTGAAGCAATGGTCAATTTCATGTTTGGGGGAGGAAATATACAGGGTAATACTGGCACATCTTATTTTAGCCGACAGCAAGGAATTTTAATCTGGTTGTGTCAAGAAACTCAAGAACTACATTGAAAGGTCAATCTGACAGTAGTCAGATTGTGATAATTTAATTATCAAAATAATAATAATTGTAAAAGGTTGAGACATAGTGTATCTATAAAATTCCATGTGTACATAATGATATCACAAATAATATTGAAAGGTTATCTTCAATATATAGTGTCAAAAATTTTGATACACACAAATCTTAGATTTCACTTAAAGCATAATATGTGTTAATACTTCACTGTTATCTGGTAATGAGGTTTTAGGAGAAGACAACCATAGCTGTCACTCCATATATTATTTGATAGGCAGTATGTTAACCAGGAACAAAAAGAGTCATGTTCTGTGGATTTGATGATGTCCCTGATTTCTGCCCTTCTGAGCTTCCAAATCACTTTTTTTTTTTTTTTGTAAAAGGCTCAGTAGAGGACTATTCTGGTGCTAAGATATAACTATTTATTTTTCCAGTTAGGATCTAATGAAACATAATCCTCTAATAATCAGCTCTGACCAGAAACTCTTCAGACTCCAAACTAGGGTGTAGGCAATCAGATGTAAGATATTATTATGCCTTTTTTCATGAGATAATCACAATGCTATACAATATGTTTAGTCGATCCATACACATTTTCTCATTTCATTAGTGAAAAATAATTGTTAAGATTTACAATTGTTCTTAACAAAGCCTGGGGTGATAAGTGGTGGTCTATATATCTATTCTGCCTATCGAAAATGTATTTTCCTAAAGGACCTAATAATTATAAAGGACCAATTGCTTTGTTGGCAATACCAGCCTAGAAGATTCTAATGAGCCTAAACTCAAATTTTAATAGGTTTAGATGAGACTAGACTCAATATTGAGTCTCAGTTTTAAGTATTTTCTGCCATTCCACATGAGATTTCCAGGTCTTACAATGAGGCTCTTCCAGGCAAATGGCATAATACAATCTCTTCATGGAAGTAATGGACTAAATAAGTGCCCTCTCATTAGTTGATGCCATTTCTTCCTAGCTTCGATGGTCTTTACAATTTGGCATGATTTTGCAGTGGCTGGTACCGGTTGTTCCTTTCCATGTTTAGTGCTTCATTCAGGAGCTCCTTTAGGGCAGACCTGGTGGTGACAAAATCTCTCAGCATTTGCTTGTCTGTAAAGTATTTTATTTCTCCTTCACTTATGAAGCTTAGTTTGGCTGGATACGAAATTCTGGGTTGAAAATTCTTTTCTTTAAGAATGTTGAATATTGGCCCCCACTCTCTTCTGGCTTGTAGAGTTTCTGCTGAGAGATCAGCTGTTAGTCTGATGGGCTTCCCTTTCTGGGTAACCCAACCTTTCTCTCTGGCTGCCCTTAACATTTTTTCCTTCATTTCAACTTTAGTGAATCTGACAATTATGTATCTTGGAGTTGCTCTTCTCGAGGAGTATCTTTGTGGCATTCTCTATATTTCCTGAATCTGAATGTTGGCCTGCCTTGCTAGATTGGGGAAGTTCTCCTGGATAATATCCTGCAGAGTGTTTTCCAACTTGGTTCCATTCTCCCCGTCACTTTCAGGTACACCAATCAGATGTAGATTTGGACTTTTCATATAGTCCCATATTTCTTGGAGGCTTTGTTCGTTTCTTTTTATTCTTTTTTCTCTAAACTTCCCTTCTCGCTTCATTTCATTCATTTCATCTTCCATCACGGATACCCTTTCTTCCAGTTGATCGCATCAGCTCCTGAGGCTTCTGCATTCTTCATGTAGTTCTCGAGCCTTGGCTTTCAGCTCCATCAGCTCCTTTAAGCATTCCTCTGTATTGGTTATTCTAGTTATACATTCGTCTAAATTTTTTTCAAAGTTTTTAACTTCTTTGCCTTTGGTTTGAATTTCCTCCTGTAGCTCGGAGTAGTTTGATCATCTGAAGCCTTCTTCTCTCAGCTCATCAAAGTCATTCTCCGTCCAGCTTTGCTCCGTTGCTGGTGAGGAACTGCATTCCTTTGGAGGAGGAGAGGAGCTCTGCTTTTTAGAGTTTCCAGGTTTTCTGCTCTGTTTTCTCCCCATCTTTGTGGTTTTATCTACTTTTGGTCTTTGATGACGGTGATGTACAGATGGGTTTTTGGTGTGGATGTCCTTTCTGTTTGTTAGTTTTCCTTCTAACAGACAGGACTCTCAGCTGCAGGTCTGTTGGAGTTTGCTAGAGGTCCACTCCAGACCCTATTTGCCTGGGTATCAGCAGTGGTGGCTGCAGAACAGTGGATTTTTGTGAACCGTGAATGCTGCTGTCTGATCATTCCTCTGGACGTTTTGTCTCAGAGGAGTACCCGGCCGTGTGAGGTGTCAGTCTGCCCCTACTGGGCAGTGCCTCCCAGTTAGGCTGCTCGGGGGTCAGGGGTCAGGGACCCACTTGAGGGATCAAATTCACACATAACAATATTAACTTTAAATGTAAATGGACTAAATGCTCCAATTGAAAGACACAGACTGGCAAATTGGATAAAGAGTCAAGACCCATCAGTGTGCTGTATTCAGAAAACCCATCTCACGTGCAGAGACAAATATAGGCTCAAAATAAAAGGATAGAGGAAGACCTACCAAGCAAATGGAAAACAAAAAAAGGCAGCGGTTGCAATCCTAGTCTCTGATAAAACAGACTTTAAACCAACAAAGATCAAAAGAGACAAAGAAGGCCATTACATAATGCTAAAGGGGTCAATTCAACAAGAAGAGCTGAATATCCTAAATATATATGCACCCAACACAGGAGCACCCAGATTCATAAAGCAAGTCCTGAGTGACCTACAAAGAGACAAGACAGGAATTTACAAGAGAGGAAGCATTATTTATATATGACTTTTAAAAATAAGACTAAGGAAGCCTAAATAATTTGACCTGGATCATACAAAGCATGGGAATAGGAAGTAATCATTTTTTTCTTCTTTATTTATTTGCTTGTAAACTAGAGTTTTGGACTTCGATAAAACTATTTGTAATTTAGTGTCATAATAATGTATGAGAATGGAAAGCAAACCAGAAATGGAGGATATTAGGGATAAAATAGTCTTAACACTTTTGAAAAGCGGTTCAATCTCTACAGTATGGTAGACAGGCAAACCTCAGAAATACTGTGGGTCCGGACCACGGCAATAAAACTAATATTGCAAAAAGCAAGTCACACAAATTCATTGGTTTCCCTGTGTGTGAAAAGTTATATTACACTATACTATAGTTTATAAAGTATGCAATAGCAATGTCTCCAAAAACAATGCACACTCATTAATTAAAATACTTTATTGTTAAAAAATGCTAAGAATCATTTGAGCATTCAACAAGTCATAAACATTTTGCTGGTGGAGTATCTTGCCTAGATGTTGATGTGTGTTGACTATCAGGGGGATGATTGCTGAAGGTTGGGGTGGCTATGGCAATTTCTTAAAATCTGACAACACTGAAGGTTGTCACATTGATTGACTTATCTTGTCATACAAGATTTCTCTGCAACATATGACGTTATTTGATAACATTTAAAAAACTTTTATTTTAGGTTCAGAGGTACACGTTCAGGTTTGTTATATAGGTAAATTGCATATCGTGGGGGTTTAGTGTACAGATTATTTCATCACCCAGGTAATAAGCACTGTAACCAATAGGTAGCTTTTCAAGCATCACCCTCCTCCCCCTCTTCACTTTCAAGTAGGTCCTTGGTGTCCTTTGTTTCCTTCTTTGTAACCATATGTAATCGATATTTAGTTCCCACTTATAAGTGAGAACACGTGGTATTTGGTTTTCTTCTCCTGTGTGAGTTTGCTTAGGATAATGGCTTTCAGCTCTATCCATGTTGCTGCAAAGGGCATCCTTTCATTCTTTTTCATGGTTGCATAGTATTCCATGGTATAAATGTACCACATTTACTTTATCAAGTCTACTATGGATGGCCATTTAGGTTGATTCCAAGTCTTTGCTAATGTGAATAGTACTACATTGAACACACAAGTGCATGTGTCTTTATGGTAGAACCATTTATATTCCTTTGGGTATATACCCAATAATGAGATTGCCAGATCAAGTGGTAATTCTGTTTTAAGTTCTTTCAGAAATTGTGAAACAGATTTTAACAATGGCTGAACGTAATTTACATCCCCAACATCAGTATGTTAGTGTTCCCTTCTATCCACAACCTTGCCAGTATCTATTATTTTTTGACTTTAATAATAGCCATTCTGACTGGTGTGACAGGGAATCTTATTGTGGTTTTTGTTTGCATTTATCTAATGATTACTCATGTTGAGCATTTTTTCGTATGCTCCCTGCCTGTGTGTGTGTCTTTTGAATGGTGTCTATTGATGTCCATTGCCCACTCTTTAAAGTATTTTTGTTGTTTTTTGCTTGTAAATTTAAGTTCCTTTTAGATTCCAGTTATCAGACCTTTGTCAGATTTACAATATGCAAGTATTTTCTCCCATTGTGTAGGTTTTCTGTTTACACTGTTGATAGTTTCTTCTTCTGTGCAGAAGCTCTTTAGTTTAATTAGGTCCTATTGTGAATTTTTGCTTTTGTTACAATTGCTTTTGGTGCCTTCATCATTATAATGAACTTTGCCAGTTTCTGTTTCCAGAGTGGTATTTCCAAAGCTATCTTCCAAGGATTTTATAGTTTTAGGTTTTACAATTAAGACTTCAATCCAACTTTTGTTGATTTTTGTACATGGTGTAAGGAAAGGGCCCAGTTTTAATACTCTGCATATAGCTATCCAGTTATTCCCGCATCATTTATTAAGAAGTTCTTCCCTATTTCTTATTTGTGTCAACTTTGTCAAAGAGAAGAACCAAATAAACATAATCAGAAATGACAAAGGGGACATTACCACTGACTCCACAGAAATACAAACAAACAAACAAAAAAAACCCCAGGGACTACAATTCTACCAGATGTATAAAGAAGAGAGTGCGCCATTTCTACCGAAACTATCCCCCCACAAAAAAAAAAAAAAAAAAAAAAAAAAGAGGAGGGACTCCACACTAACTAATTCTATGAGACCAGCTTCATTTTGATTCCAAAATCTGCCACAGACACCACAAAAAAAGAAAATGTCAGGCCAATATCCTTGATGAACACGATGCCAAAATCCTCAACGAAATACTCGCAAACTGAATTTAGCACATCAAAAAGTGAATCCACCACAATCAATTAGGCTGTATTTCTGGCATGCAAGGTTGGATCAACATATGCAAATCAATAAATGTGATTCATCACAAACAGAACAAAAAATAAAAATGACATGATTGTCTCAACAGATACAGAAAAGGCTTTTGATAAAATTCAACATCCCTTTATGTTAAAAACTCTCAAAAAACTAGGCATTAAAAGAATATACTTCAAAATAATAAGAACCATCTAGGAAAGCCCACACTAAACCTCATACTGAATGGGCAAAAGCTGGAAACATTCCCCTTGAAAATCAGAATAAGAAAAGGATGCCCTCTCTCACTACTGCTGTTCAATATAGTACTGGGAGTCCTAGCCAGAGCAATCAGGCAAGAGGAAGAAATAAAAAGCACAGAAATAGGAAGAGGGGAACTTTAAATATCCTTGTCTGCAGACAATATGACTCTATACCAAGAAAACCCCATAGTCTCTGCCCAAAAGCTCCTTGATCTGATATAGAAATTTTGTAAGATTTCAGGAAACAAAATTACTGTAAAAAAGTTAGTAGCATGCTTATATGCCAACAACATCCAAGCTGAGAGCCAAATCAAGAATACAATCACATTCACAATAGTCACAAAAAGAATAAAATCCATAGGAATATAACTGACCTGGAAGGTGAAAGATCTCTATAATGAGAATTACAAAACACTGTTCAAAGAAATCAGAGATGATGTAAACATTTTAAAGCTGATTGATAACAAATCAATATTGATTCTTCCTATCCATGAGCATGGAAAAACATTTAATGCTGATGAATAGGTGAGCATGGAAAAACATCCCATGCTTATAGATAGGAAGAATCAATATTGTTAAAATGACTGATAGTTTGATAGGAATAGCTGGAAGGCATTTGATAGATTCAATGCTATTCCTATCCAAATACTAGTAACATTCTTCACAGAATTAAAAAATAAACTATTTTAAAACTCATGTGGAACCAAAAAAAAGCCTGAATAGCCAAGGCAATCCTAAGCATCAAAATAACATCAAATAACAAAGCTGGAGGCATCACATTACTTGACTTCAAACTATACCACAAGGCTACAATAACCAAAACCTCTTAGTACTGGTACAAAAGCAGACACATAGACCAATGAAACAGAATAGAGAGCCCAGGTATAATGCAACACACCTACAGCCATCTTTTTTATTTTACCCACAGCATTTTACCCACAACAGAACTTCTTTCAAACATTGGAATCAATCCTCTCAAACTCTATCACTGCTTTATAAACTAAGTTTTTGTAATGTTCTAAGTCTTTTGTTTTCATTTCAACAATGTTCATAGCATTTTTATTATGAGTAGTTTCCATGTCAAGAAACTATTTTCTTTGCTCATTGTTAGAAGCAACTCCTCATTCATTAAGGTTTAATCATGAGATTGTAGCAACCTTGTCACATCTTTAGCTTTAGACTACTTCTAATTTGTTTCCTTCCTACTCCCATCACCTTCTAATCTTACTTCCTCCACTGAGGTCTGGAATCCCTCAAAGTCATCCATGAGAGTTGAAATAAACTTCTTCCAAACTCCTGTTAATGTTGATATTTTTATCTCCTCTCATGAAATACGAATGTTCTTAATGGAATCTACAATGGGAATTCCTTCCATGTGGTTTTTGATTTACTTTGCCCACATCCATTGAGAGGAATCACTATCTCTGGCAACTACAGTTTTTAAAATGTATTTCTTAAATAATAAGACTTGAAAGTAAGAAATTACTCCTTGATTCATGGGCTGGAGAATAAATATTCTGTTAGCAGGAATGAAAACAACATTAATCTCCTTGTAAATCTCCATCACTGTTCTTCAGTAACCAGATACATTGTCAATAAGCAGTACTCTTTTGAAAGGAATCTTTTTTCTTTATTCTCAGCAGGTAGGTCTCAACAGTAGGCTTAAAATATTCACTAAACCATTCCGTAAACAGATGTGCTTTCATCTAGGCTTTGTTTTTCCATTTATAAAGCACAGACAGAGTGGATTTAGCATCATTCTTAGGGGCCTTAGCATTTCTGGAATGGTAAATGAATACTGGCTTCAACTTAAAGTCACTAGCTGCATTGGTTCCTAACAAGAGAGCCAGCCTGTCTTTTGAAGCTATAAAACCAGGTATTGACTTTTCCTCTTTATTTGAGAATTCTAGATCGTATTTTCTTCCAATAGAAGGCTGTTTCATCTACATTAAAAGTCTGTTTTTTATTGTAACCATTTTAGCTAAATATTCTGAATAACTTGCTATAGCTTCCACATCAGTATGTGCTGCTTCACCTTGCACTTTTAAGTTATGGAGACGGCTTCTTTTCTTAAACCTCATGAACCAACTCCAGCTGCCTTCAAACTTTTCTTCAACTTCTTCACCTCTCCCAGTCCTCTAGAATTGGAAAGAGTTAGGGCCTTGTTCTGAGTTAGGCTTTGGCTTAAGGGGATGTTGTGGCTGGTTTGATCTTCTATTCAGACCCCTAAAACTTCCTTGATCTCAGCAATAAGCCTGTTTTTTCTTTCTTATCATTTGTGCGTTCACTGAAGTAGCACTTTTAATTTCTTTCAAGAATTTTGCATTCACCAGTTGGCTGATTGGTGCAAGAGATATTGCTTTCAGCCTTTCTAGGATTTTGACATGTCTTTCTCATTAAGCTTAATAATTTCTAGCTTTTGATTTAAAGTGAGAGATGTGTGACTCCTTCTTTTACTTCACCAGGTAGAGGCCATTGAAGGGTTAATAACTGGCCTAATTTCAATATTGCTGTGTCTCAGGGAAAGGGGAAAACCAAAGTATGTGAAAGAGATGGGGTCATGGCTTGTTGTGGAGCAGTTAGAACACACACAACATTTATTGATTAAATTTACTGTCTTATATGGGCATGTTTCATGGTGCCTCAAAACAGTTAAAATATTAATGTCTGTACATTGATTTTGTATCCTGAGACTTTGCTGAAGTTGCTTATCAGCTTGAGATTTTGGGCTGAGACAATGGGGTTTTCTAGATATACAATCATGTCATCTGCAAACAGGGACAATTTGACTTCCTCTTTTCCTAATTGAATACTCTTTATTTCTTTCTCCTGCCTAATTGCCCTGGCCAGAACTTCCAACACTATGTTGAATAGGAGTGGTGAGAGAGGGCATCCCTGTCTTGTGCCAGTTTTCAAAGGGAATGCTTCCAGTTTTTGCCCATTCAGTATGATATTGGCTGTGGGTTTGTCATAGATAGCTCTTATTATTTTGAGATACATCCCATCAATACCTAATTTATTGAGAGTTTTTAGCATGAAGGGTTGTTGAATTTTGTCAAAGGCCTTTTCTACATCTATTGAGATAATGATGTGGTTTTTGTCTTTGGTTCTGTTTATATGCTGGATTACATTTATTGATTTGCATATATTGAACCAGCCTTGCATCCCAGGGATGAAGCCCACTTGATCATGGTGGATAAGCTTTTTGATGTGCTGCTGGATTCGGTTTGCCAGTATTTTATTGAGGATTTTTGCATCAATGTTCATCAAGGACATTGGTCTAAAATTCTCTTTTTTGGTTGTGTCTCTGCCCGGCTTTGGTATCAGGATGATGCTGGCCTCATAAAATGAGTTAGGGAGGATTCCCACCTACCATCCCATTACTGGGTATATACCCAAAGGACTATAAATCATGCTGCTATAAAGACACATGCACACGTATGTTTATTGAGGCACTATTTACAACAGCAAAGACTTGGAACCAACCCAAATGTCCAACAATGATAGACTGGATTAAGAAAATGTGGCACATATAAAACCATGGAATACTATGCAGCCATAAAAAATGATGAGTTCATGTCCTTTGTAGGGACATGGATGAAATTGGAAATCATCGTTCTCAGTAAACTATCACAAGGACAAAAATCCAAACACCACATGTTCTCACTCATAGGTGGGAATTGAACAATGAGAACACATGGACACAGGAAGGGGAACATCACACTCTGGGGACTGTTGTGGGGTGGGGGGAGGGGGAAGGGATAGCATTAGGAGATATACCTAATGCTAAATGACGAGTTAATGGGTGCAGCACACCAGCATGGCACATGTATACTATGTAACTAACCTGCACATTGTGCACATGTACCCTAAAACTTAAAATATAATAATAATAATAATAATAATAATAAATTAATGTCTATGATTAGTGATTACAGGTCACTATAACAGGTATAGCAGTAATGAAAAATGTTTGCAATATTGTAAGAATTACCAAAGTGTGGCACTGAGACACAAAGTGAGCACATGCTGTTGGAAAGTTGTGTCAATAGACTGGCTCCAGGCAGTGCTTCCACAAACCTTCAATTTGTAGTAAATGTTAAAAATCTCCAAAGCTCAATAAAGTGCAATAAAACCAGACATGACTTTACTTTCTTGCCAAGGTTGGAAGTTAATAAGTCTGATCACATCTTTGAGTTTCATTATCTCTATATTATTTAGGAAACACTAATTTAGATCAAAACCACATAGAGATGAATCCCAGTAGCAACAACAACAGCTGAAGACCATTGGACATTTTCCATGTTACTCTTTTTCAGGCATTGTTGCAATAGCATTGCATGCTTTAACTGGCTTAAATTTTACCACAACTATCTATACGGCATGTTACTATAATTATTCAAATTTTATATGTTATGGACCTGAAACCTGGATCTGTTAAACAGCGTACTGCTATGTTTTAAAGTTTTGTGCTTCAGAACAAAATGGCATGGCCCTCATGATTGAGATTTGTGCCCTTATAAAAGAGATTGCAGAGAGCTAGGTAGCCACTTCTACCATGTGATATTACACTGAGAAGACAAATGTGTCTTAGTCTTGGAATTCCCAGTCTCCAAAACTGTAAGAAATAATATCTAGTATTTATAAACTATGTAGTTTATGATATTTTGTTATAGCAGCCTGAGCAGATTAAGATATTAATATGGTTTGAATATTTTTCCCTCCAAATATGTTGAAATGTAATCCCCAATGTTGGAGGTGAGAGGTGTTTGGGTCATGAGGGCAGCTCCCTCATTAATGGTGTGGTGCCCTCCCCATGGTAATGGTGTGTCCTCACTGTGAGTACAGGTGAAATCTGGTGGCTTAAGAGTGCAGCAACTCCTTCTCTCTCTCTTGCTCCTGCTATCGTCATGTGACGTACCTGCTCCCCCTTTGCTTTCTGCCATGACTGTAAGCTTCTTGAGGCTCTCACTAGAATCAGATGCTGGCACAACACTTCCTGTACAGCCTGAAGAATGAATTAAAACTTTCTTCTATATAAATCATCCAGTTTCAGGTGTTCATTTTTAGCAACTCAAAAACAGCCTAACACATGCATGTACCAATATTACAAAGTTAAAAATCAGGAATGAGTTTCAAATTCAAACCACTGAGCTCTAGTTTACACTCATCTATTATATAAGAAGTTACTCCCAGATACAACGGAAACATCCTCAATCATGAACAAGGAATTAGGCCCCTTGTTAATCTTCCATTCTTTTCTTTGGAACACAAATTAATGAGAGAAACATTCCTTATATATTTGGAGATGACTGACATGATTCCTTGTGCCTGGCTATGTTTGAACTGCTTCAGAATTTGCTTTACCAGTGTGCATTATAGAAATCTCACTGAAAGAATGTCTGGAAGGCATTTTCACTGATTATGTGCCTATTAATTCTTCATCTAAAACCTCCTATAGTTTCCATATAGACTCAGCCTAAACCTTACGTTTCTCTAAATGGTTGATCATATTTAGAAAAAAGGAGCTTAATATATGTGTCCAGATAAGTCTGCAACTTAAGACTCATAGTGATACCAGTGTTTCTGTGTACCTTCTTGTTTGCATAATTAATTACCCTAGGGTAAAGCTAATAGATTCCCAAATTAATTAGGTTCACAAAATGTCTATGATAGAAATGTGAATCCACATGCTTCTACACTTAGTATACAGTTACCTTATAACTGCACAAGAACATTAAAATATTTTTAATGGTGAGTAATACAGTATACATGGCTATGCACACTAACAGATATTTTCAGTAGTTCAGGCTGTCCAAAACTAATAACATTAGGACAGAGAAATGTGTTGAAAAGTGAGAGTACAAAGGTTTCCACAAGAGTAACAGAAAATAAAAAGTAATTTGTTATAAAAACTGAGTTTAGATGTGAATTTAGTTAGTGCCTTAGAACAGCATAAGATAAAATTAATGTAATCTAATTTTAGCCATATTACTTATTACAGATTACCTCCTGTATTAATTAAATTTCCTCTAGGAAATTAGCAAGTTAAATCCAAAATGCTAATAATTAGACAAAAGACATGTAGTGATTTAAAACATCTTTTCGCTGTTACAGATCAAAGCCACTTATTTTTTGAACAAGAATATTTGCTTTGAGAAACAATGAAACAATAGATTTTTCAAGCTACAAGTTTGCTATAAATTATCTATCTTGAACAGGAAGAGTTAAAAGTTGGGAATTTTAAATTGATTTCAAGGAGTTTGAGGGATGTATGATAATATCATTTAGTATTATATAGCCCTTAATAAGAAATTTGTTAGTTTCTCCTTAAAGTTTGAATGGGAATAATATTCTTTACAGGTAGCTGCTGTACTTAAAAATAGAGAATATCAATTGAGCATAGTTAAATATTGAAATAAGTGCCAGAAATAATTTTTAGCATTTTCCCCTTTAGAGAATATTAAAAAATAAGTTGGCTAGATCCTGTTAACACCCAATTGAAAGATTCCCTCTACCTTCTTTTATTTGAGGTTTATAACCTATTGCCATTATAACTTCGATGAATTGATTCTTACTTCTTCAACCACTATTTCTTTGGCAGTATAAGGTATTCTTAATTCAAAAAAAAAATGTTCTTAAACCTTCAAATAACCAATGTACAATAATCAAATTTTTACTGTGTATACAAGAAAAAATAAATCTGCTTTACCATCAGCTTGTGTGGCACAATATCATATTATGTGGCAACAAAAGTAATGTCCAATGAGCACTAAAAACAAAGCTCTATTATGATTATGTGCTCTATGTAATAAAGAATTTAACATCAGCCAAAGAGAGTTCTGGCCTTTGCCCTTGTCTCTGGGGAGGCAATCTCTATGCTCTGAGCAAATGTCTTCATTTATAGGGAGCCTTAAGCCAGTCAGATAATAACAATGTGATTTGTAGTTGGGGCTTTAGGTCTCATGGTACAAGCTTAACTTCCAAAGGTATTAGAGACTGAAGTCAGCCAGGTGGCCAGCCAACCAGGTTTACATGATTGACCCTCAGGAAAGACTCTGGACATGGAGACTTGGATGCAATTTCCTGGTTGAAAATCCTCTGTGCATACTGTCACATATTGATGCCAGGAATATAAGAAATGTTCATGACGCTGGAAGCTCCACATTTGGAACTTTTTTGAACTTTGCCCCATACATCCCTGCCCTTGGCCAATTTTAATATGTGTCTTTTACCTTAAATAAACTGTGAGTATAATAGTTCTGTGAGTCCTTCTAGCAAATTATTGAACCTTGGGTTTTGTAGTACCCCTGAACTTGCAATTGGTGTCAAAAATGAAGGTAGTCTTGGGAACCCTGGTTTCTCTAAACCTGCAGCCATCTACCATAAAAATAATTTTAAAAAATCATCAAATACTTCTTATTATGCTTATGCAATGTTATAGTGAAATCCTTTTCACCAGGTGGCATAAAATTCTTTTGAAAAGATGTATGTGTGGACAACCTATAGAAGAAATGACCTTTCTATTTCTCTTCTCAATTCCACTAGCTAAAACCCTGCAGTGATATTACTTATCAATGCTATGATCAATAAAGTTTGAAAAGAAACACTTATTCACTTTCCATTGAATTACATGATAGGCCTGTAATGATACTAAAATGAAAATAATGATGTAGATAACAAAATTCTTGCCATGAAATAATTTACAAAAATCTTGCATATGATATTTACAAAACTACGTATAATTTCAGCTAGAAATACAATGAAATTAATAATATTCAGTGTAGAAATAAGAATAACCTAGGACATACCTTAAAATGAATTTAGATATGATGAGTTTTTTATTTATTTGTACATTCTTCAGTTTCTTTCAGCAATGTTTGGTAATTTTCATTTCACATGTCTTTTACCTCTTTGATGAAGTTAGTTCTTAAATATCTTTTGATACTATTGTAAATGGAATTACTTTCTTAATTTAGTTTTTGTGTTGTTTATGGTTAGTGTATAGAAACCCATTGGTTTTTGCCTGTTGATTTTGTATCCTGCTATTTTACCAAATTTGTGTTTGTGGTGTGTCTGTGTGTGTGTGTGTGTGTGTAGAATCTTTAGGGTTTTCACTTGTAAGTGGGAGCTAAACATTGAGTACACAAGGATGCAAAGAAGAAAACAACATACACTGGGACCTACTCGAGGATGGAGGGTAAGAGAAGGATGAGGATTGAAAAACTGCCTGTTAGGTACTACCCTTATTACTAGGTGACAAACTAATCTGTACACAAAACTCCTGTGGCACACAAGTTACCAATATAAAAACCCATACAGGTACCCCCAATCCTAAAATAAAAGTTGGAGAAAAAAATGTAAGGACATAATGATTATGAAAAATTGGGAAAATATGACACACCAAAAGAAACTAAGAAATTTTCAGTAATGGAAGAAAAATGAACTTTATTCCTAATGAAAAATTAGATTAGTCACAGTATGCAAAATAAATACATATGTTCCCTGTGGATTTTCCAATATTGTACATGATATCTGATTTTTAGTTACATTGATAAACAGTTACATATTTAAATAAATGTCACAAATATATAGGCAAAAATTGTTCTTGAATTTATGTAATTTAGAATTTAGCTTTAAAAGCTACTAGATTTATTCAGAACTCCGCAGTTCTCAACCTTTTTGGCACCAGGGATCAGTTTCCTGGAAGATAATTTTTCCACAGATGGTGGGGAAGGGAGGACGGTTTTGGGATGAAACTGTTCCACCTCAGATAATCAGGTATTAGATTTTCATAAAAAGCACGCAACCTAGATTCCTTGCATGTCCAGTTCAAAATAGGGTTTGTACATCTATGAGAATCTAATGCCACCACTGATCTGACAGGAGGCAGAGCTCAGCAGTAGTGCCTGCTGGACCACCGCTCACCTCCTGCTATGCAAACCGGTTATTAACAGGACATGGACCGGAACAGGTCTGTGGCCCAGGGGTTGGGGACCTCCTGTGTTAACTCATCAAAGTGTATACTAAAATGTGTGCATTTTAATTGTTTGTAAATGGTACTTCAATAAAGTTCAGTCAAAATGGAATACCAACAGAAAAAGCAAAATGGAATACCAACGGAAACAGATACTTACTTTATAGTCAACATATTTTTTCTTTTGTATATAGCAGGTAAATATAAAAAAAATCCATCCTTTTAATTTAATGAAGCTTGGGTAGGGCTACTGTTTGGGGGTACTGAAAAAAGGTATGTTAGAATAAACTACAACTTTATTCTCTTATTGCATGAATATATTATAGCATTAAAACAGTGAGATTTATACAGCAGTAGAGATTAGTAAAAGAGAAGTCATTTTTTCCAGTTAATTTCTAAAATCTTTTGTTTAGTAATTTTTTAAAACCTGTAGAGGTAATATAAAAAGCAAATCAAATAAGACTAAATGTTCAAGAGTGCACTTACAATTGAATTAGTTCTTCCCTGGGGACTGAGATAAGTGTCACTAGTTTGTGAGTTAGTCATTGGCCATACTAATTCTGAAGTTATTTTAGTAGCTATGCTTGATATTATCTTATCTGTTTAGCTACTCTTTTTCTCCCAAAAATATTAAATGCTAATGAATGATCCACAAATTGCTATATTGGTATATTATTAAAATTGTGAAGGTTCTGGTAAGGTAAGGACATCTATAATTTTAAATGAAATATAATTTTAAAATATATATGTTATCTAAATTCACTGCATTGGTACTAGCACGCATTTTGTAATACTGCAAGGATATCTTGTCTTAACCAGTTATCAGCTATTCAACAAATACTTTTTGTGTATGTGCACTTAAAAGTATTCATCACTATTTTAGGTGTCCTGGAGGTGAATAAAGTATGAAACTTTTCATATGCCTTCGAATCAGCTTCAAATTAGCTGCAGATATAACTAAGAAAGAACAAGAGCCCTGAGCTATTTCAGAAGAAAGGGGATTATCATTGTGGGTTCCTGTAGATGAATTCTTCACTGGGTGCATATAATATGGATTGAGAATAGTCTTAACTGGAAAAAATATAAAGAATCACCAAGTAAACTATAAAGATTCAAGTCTTTTAAATTCTCATTATTCTTACACAGAAGCCAAGGGGTTCTGTTGGGCATCTGTTCTGGGTTTGCCTTTCAGGGAAGGGACTCTATCTTTTTCTCTCATATTTGTAAGGAGGAAATACTTATGTCAGTGAAGAAATAAACAGACTATTATTGTATTATCCAGTGGCCTGGATTTGGTGTATCAATTGCATACTGGATTTGCTGGGGAAATACAGCTGCTCAGCACCTTAGGTACTGGCAACCATGGGGAACTAACCTCTAAGGGAAATTATATATCTCTCCCCAGGAGAACATAATCTCCACTCATCATCTTCCCGGTGCTATATGTCCCTTGTGTATCTAAATATATTTTTCCCAAATAGTTGTTCTACTTCTTTGTAACCATCATCTATGCTTATTTGTCACAACCTGGGAATTCTCTTTCTGGATGTTCTCTCATGCCCATCTGTGTTTTGTATTAGTGCATCAGCTTTCCATCGCTGTTATTGCTGACAAAGTTCAAAGAAATTTGGTTTATTAATATCCATGAAAAACTATATGAAAAATGTAGCTTTTCTATTAAACCAGACTGTAGCCTCCATGGCAATACTGCCTTTTGAATTTAGCCATTATCTTCACATCCATTTTATGAGTGTGGAAGGCATGTCTTCTCTCTCCAGATTAACCAGTATGGTACTTTGTTCTGAATCAAAGCCCCAGTGAACCTCTCCTTCCTACCTCACATTAGGCCTCACTCAGTTACATGAAGAAAAATAAAGAACTAAGCCTCTTATAATTTTTGCAGCCAAGAAGACATTAGTAGATGGAGATTTATTTTCTTCCCAGACATTGTGACATTTCACATGTACCTGATTTTTTAAAGCCCCTACATGGTGCACTGGTTAATTAATCAACCACCCATTCATCCATATGGCAGCCTGTGGAATATTATTCAATGTCCTTTGTAACTGTAGTCATGAGGGGACAGCAAGACCTATGGATTCATAAGGGTAAGTCAAAAGACCAAATTAGGAACATTCCTCTATGAAAATAGACATCTCAAGAAGGTCACTTATATTCTAAAGACACAAAATGTCTGCCTCTCCCCCTGAGAAAGGCCAAAAAAATATCTATTGATTAGATATAGACATATTTGACACCCTATCTGAACCCCTAGAAATAATGAGGTGCAAATAAATCACTGTCAGTAATCACTCTCTTTTCTGTTTCTTATAGGGACAGGATAATTCCCCAGATAAACTGAACACATTTGACAAGCATTGAGCATCAGGGAATGCACTGTGATATAAGGAGACTGAAAATAAACTTTACACTGTTGGTGGGAGTGTAAACTAGTTCAACCATTGGGGAAGTCAGTGTGGTGATTCCTCAGGGATCTAGAACTAGAAATACCATTTGACCCAGCCATCCCATTACTGGGTATATACCCAAAGGACTATAAATCATGCTGCTATAAAAACACATGCACACGTATTTTTATTGAGGCACTATTCACAATAGCAAAGACTTGGAACCAACCCAAATGTCCAACAATGATAGACTGGATTAAGAAAATGTGGCACATATACACCATGGAATACTATGCAGCCATAAAAATGATGAGTTCATGTCCTTTGTAGGGACATGGATGAAATTGGAAATCATCATTCTTAGTAAACTATTGCAAGGACAAAAAACCAAACACCGCATGTTCTCACTCATAGGTGGGAATTGAACAATGAGAACACATGGACACAGGAAGGGGAACATCACACTCTGGGGACTGTTGTGGGGTGGGGGGAAGGGGGAGGGATAGCATTAGGAAATATACTTAATGCTAAATGACGAGTTAATGGGTGCAGCACACCAGCATGGCACATATATACACATGTAACTAACCTGCACATTGTGCACATGTACCCTAAAACTTAAAGTGTAATAAAATTTAAAAAAAAAAGAAAATAAACTTGAAATCTCACTTCAACTTTTTAAAAATTCTTTTAAATTATTCATTCATTTATTTTTTTGAGAGGAGTCTCACTCTATCACCCAGGCTGCATTGTAGTAGTGTGAGCATTGCTCACTATAACCTCAAGCTCCTAGGCTCAAGAGATCCTCCTGCCTCAGCCTCCTGAGTAGCTAGGACTATAGGCACATGACACTACACTTGGCTATTTTTTATTTTTTTAGCAGATATGTGGTCTTGCTATGTGGCCCAGGTTGATCTCAAACTCCTGGCCTCAAGTGGTCCTCCCTCCTCAGGCTCTGAAAATGCTGGGATTACGGGTATGAGCCATTGCACTGGGTCTGGAATCTCACTTTGACTTTTTGTAATAAAGAGCTTCTTGGGACTAGGAATTCTGCTTTACCAGCAGGATAAGTTTCATTTAACCTTAGCTTCCCAGTAAATTGGTGTTTTCTGGTTTTGTTTGTTTTTGTTTGTTTGTTTTCCCTCTAACAAGAAGTATTGTGCCTGACTCTAACTTCCCATTGACCTCAAGTTCTACAGGTGCTTAGCAACTGTCTTACCCATAAACTTGACAGAATGGTTTGGTGTTAAGACATCTGTTTATAGACCAATGGTAGGGTTGTAGTTGCTCTTGTCTGATGAAATTGGAGAGAAACATGAGGTGGAATACTTTCCTTAGAAAGGTAACCTACAGCACATGCAGAAGAGTACACTGGGCTCAGCAAAACTCTCTGTGGGGATGAGGGTCTGATTACCTACCACTTACTAACTTTATTTTCAGCACTCACGTATGTTTCTCTCTTCATTCTCCTCCTTTCTTTAGCATCCTAAATGAACAACAGTCACATTTCTAAATATTCCCTTAAAATTGCTGTACCAAATAGAAGATCAGTATAAACTAAACATCTAGAGCTGAGCTGAGGACTGCAATTAAGAGTTTTACTAAACTTTGGAAAAACAAAAAAAAATTGGTGCTGAATTTCAAATACTGATTACTTTAAACACTTTTTCCTATGCTACCAGTTAATTAAGGTCTGACTAAATTCACTGGTAGCATATGCTGTCTCCCGAGTCTGACTCCATGTTTCTCTCCATCTCAGTTTTCCTATCATTCACCTATTCCTCATTCTTTCCACACTTCCCAAATTTTGCTAAATGAAGACATTCCTTTGATTACCGTAACTACTTGCATATTTTATTTCCTCCTTTGATGTTGGGAAGCTATTATTTAAGCTTTAGTTTAAAATTAACTTTGTGAAGCATGTTTTCAACCATATCTCATCAATTAATCCAATATCTAAACTGTAAACCAACTTGTTTCTTGTCACTTTATAACCCTTGCTTGTTGTATTATAATTTATTTTCTTATATGTTCTTCTAAAATGTTATGTAATCTTCATAACATCAGTACCTTATTTATCTGTGCATCCCTTAAGCCAATGACTGAAGTATTTCAATAAATGAGTGTTGAATGAATAAATAAATGACTTCTCTTCCAAACACTGGAAACCCTTAAAGGTATTTGGCCACAGAAGAAGCCATACACACACCAGAAAGTAAATAAGTGTTGCTGACTTTGGATCATCTGTGCTGAGAGTTAAAACTGGTGAAGTTTTAATTCATGCCTTATTTCAAATATATTCCAGCTGTTTCCTGTCTCCTAGACAATATTTATCCAGGCAGTCGCAATTCCAACTAATATTAGCATAAGCAAATATATAATTATATAAATAAACTGACTAGAAAAAAATCTAAACACTCTTTGAATTGTCTAGATGACTATTCCTATCTGTTGACATAGAAAATTGAAGGCGTCGTCTGTTTTAAGCTTTGCCAAACATGCAAACCTTTGTAAAAATGAACATAAAATTTGAAAAAAGGATTTCCCACTTCCTTTATATTTTTAAGAGAATGTGTAGGTGTATTACAAAAGTTCTTAAGGCTGGTCAGGGTTATAGTAGACCCAGATGCCCTAGCAGTCCCAACATCATGAGAACAGTTGTGGGGTACAAAGAAGACCCAATACATCTACAAGGGAGACATAACACCCACACAAGTCATGCAAAGCATATATATTACTCACAAATGGGTGGCAATAAATAGAAGCACCTTAGTTCATGTGAGCTGCTATAATAAAATATCTTAGCCTGGGTAACTTATAAATGATAGAAATTTATGGTTCACAGTTCTGGATGGTAGGAAGTCCAAGATGAAGATAGCAGAAGATGTAACATCCTGTGAGCGCTCACTCTCTGTTTCAAAGATGGTGACTTTTCTGTGTGTCTTCACATAGTGAAAAAGGTAAACAAGCTCCCTCTGGCCCTTTTTATAAGGGCGCTAATTCCATCTATGTGTATGTGTGTACTCTGTTTTAGAAAATTCCTATAAAATCATCTATCACCTGCCAAAGTCCCCACTTCTTAATACTATTACATTGGGATTAAGTATTAACATATGAATTTTGAGGGGGAACAAACTTGCAGACCATAACCCCTGGGATCTGAAGTGAGCCAGTGCCTTAGGCTGCCCAGGGCTTATGAAGGCATGTCTGTGCATGCTTCGTTTTGCACCATGGGTGATGAATTTGTAAAGAACGTCACCCTGAGTTCCACACCTTTCATAACTATCAGATATAAATGACTTTTTTTCACTGCACTTCAACTGGATTTAAAAGTGCTTATGGTCTTTATCTACGATAAACTCAAGGTATACCAAAGTCATTTCTCCTATTTTCCAATAAGATCTCCTTTACATTATACAGGCTCTGCAATTGTTTTTTGTTTATTTGTTTGTTTTATAAAGGAAAAACCTATCAGACCGATTTTTAAATGTTTTTGAAACGGCATGGCTCTAACTTCAGCACAGAGTAGTTTTAGGGTGCTTGGATGGGTTTTTCTTGAATCACTAAGGTGTTTCTTGGATCACTTGGGTGATTCTTGAATCACTAAGTTCAAGTGTTGCAGAATATCCTGTTCTAGGAGTGATGAAGACATAGCTCAGGTTTTGCCAGCACTTTCTCTTTAACTTAGGATGTTGCATTTTTGTATCTAAGAACTACAAGCACAAGGGGGAGAAAATGGATCAAGCAAGGTCATCTGAGTAGCCGTCCTTCTGTATGTATAAGTGTATATATGTGCATATATATCCACACACATATACATATAAATACACATATACATATATGAAGATCTGTACATACACACACACATGTGCATGTGCTTGTGTACGTGTGTATTCTGTTTTAGAAAATTCCTATCAAATAGTCTGATATTTTTACATTACATAATGCTATACTTGCTTAAGTAGGCACTATGAGGAGGCTTTCCTCCACTGGAAATTGACCTGGGAATGTCTGCTATGTTTGGACCTGTTATCATGCATTCAACATGTATGTGGCTAGAATATAATGGAATAAGGTCCCAGGTGTCCTTCTAGTAATAATTTTATTTACTTGGTTGTTATCTATTTTCAAGTCATTTGAGTCAGTGATCTTAACACTTTTATTCAAAAATGACCATTACTGATATAGATTTAAACAGTGCATTATTAAGCATGTCTTTAACTTTGAAAATAGATTTTTCCAATCATATAAGTTTCTTAGAGATTTTGAGAAACATTTTTGGATGATTTTGACCAACACAAAGAAGGGACCATTGTTGCCTAATTTACCTTGGGAAAAAAATATGTATAAAAGCCACCAATGCCCCTGAGAGATTCTATATTTTTAATCTTCACCCAAACCAATTTTTGCAGTTTACAAGTCTCAGGTATAGATTTTATATATATATATATATATATATATATATATATATATATATATATATATATAGCATTGTTAGTATTGCTGTATGCATCAAGGTCAATAATACTACCTGTATATACAAAATATTTTCAAATCATGAGATTAAATCATGCTTATGAGAAACCACCACCACCAACAACAAAATGGGTACACATCTTTCCTATCTTTCTCCTTTCTTTTTTTTATTTTTCCAAGTTCTGGATAATATATTGTCTAGTTTCTAGTACTAGTTGTGCCACTAATAAATTCTATAATCTTTCAGAAATTACTCATTATTCATTATTTCTTGGCTTTATGTTCTCAACAATTTGATGCTTCTGTACTAGATAACACTAAAAAAGATAAAAGCAATATTTTAGACTCATTATTATGCGTGAGGAACTAATCTAAATAGTTCACCTTTACAACCATAGAGATAAGTAATATTATAATTCTCAATTTACAAAGAGGAAACTAAAGGCAGAAAGGTTAAATAATTCGTCTATAGTTATCTATGTGACTGGGTAACTGTAGACAGGGAATACTAAACTGTCTGATTTCAGAACCCATGCACTTCACCAATGCCTCAGAGGAGATGAAAGTTCTTTTCAATCTCAATGTGTAATCACTCTAAAGTCACTACTTCATCTATAAGAACCTACATCTAAGGTTTTAGAACAAACTGAAAAGGGAATATTATCTTGTCAAAAGACCAAATATTTAAATATGGGATTTGTGCTGATCAAAACATTGAAAAAATAGGACAATGAGACCATCTAGAAATTTTTACTTTAGTGAAGGAAAGTAGATAGTAATAGATTATGTTGAAATATAATGACATAATTACAAACTAGCTTTATGTTAACCTATGGCTACTGTAATTCTATTCATTGTTCAGTAAAATTTATTTACATGGAATTTGTGTGTGTGTGTGCATGCATGTGCATGTGTGAGTGAAGTGATTATCTGTCGATAGAACCTCATAAAAGAAGAAATCCCTAAAGATTTTTGAAACCCATTTTCTTGTTTACTAATTTATTATATTCAATAAAAGACATATCTTAGTTATTTTGTTTTTCTGACTTCCAAATCTATAGATAGGATTGACATTCATCCAATTAATAACATGTGCTGTGGAATGGAAAGGTAGAGGGCATATGATATGGTTTGGATCTGTATCCCCTGCAAATCTCATGTTGAACTATTAATCCCCAATGCTGAAGGGAGGGCCTGGTGGGAGGTGATCGAATCATGGTGGCAGTTTCTCCTAGTGCTGTTCTCATAGTAGAGTGCTCATGAGATCTGGTCGTTTAAAAGCTTGTGGCACATCCCAACTCTCTCTCTTCCTCCTGCTCCTGCCATGTAAGACATGCCTGCTTTCTCTTCATCTTTTGCCATGATTATGTTTCCTGAGGCCTCTCCAGAAGCAGATCCTGTCATACTTCCTGTACAGACTACAGAATCATGAGCCAATTAAACCTCTTTTCTTAGTAAATTACCCAGTCTCACGTATTTATTTATACCAGTGTGAGAATACACTAATAATATGTGAGTGTGTGTGTGCGTGCGTGCATGTGCATGTGTGTACTCTTCTGTAGCTATATTTTTTCCATACAAACTCATGATAACATTTCCAGATGGAAAGAAATGGAACATTTATCTGGATTAAGTAATGATAATTTAAAAGTAGGCATTAAGGTCAGCGAGTTGACAGAGCTTTGGCATCCTGCATGTTTTTTCTTTCTCTCTGACCCTTCTTGCTTCTTGCTTCCTACATTCTCTCATTGTTTTCATATATATATATACATATAAAACATTCTTTCCCTTCTCACTCTACTACTTGTTTCCTTATTCTTTCCCATGGCCAACTCTTTAGGTTTCTATGGGGAAGTAATGAGTGCTGCTAGTACATGAAGGGCTAAAAAAGGACACTAAACTCAAGTATTTCTTCTTCCCCCAACTACAAACTCATATTGACCAAGGGAAGTCCTACAGACCTTGTTTTTTTGTTGTTGTGGTTCATAAAGAGACACTGAGTTATCTCACAAGAACTGCTACTGAGGAAAATGAATAATTACAGTGCACAAATACTGATTATAAATATGGAATTCAAAAATTTGTAGGTTTTTAAAAACCTATAAATCCCAAATTACATAACTGATTTTATACATTTCATCAAAATGCTTATAAATGTGATGTATCAGGTGATGTTAGGGGCTCAATAAGTAAAAGTGAACTATAAATATTATTTAATTTAAAGGGACCTAAAAACTATTGGGAAGTGACAACCACATAAAGAAATATTTTAACGCAGTGTGATAATATGAAAGATATGATTGGGTATAACAACATTTGTAAGACAACAATATGGCATGTAAATGCCAGCACTATAGTTAGTAGCAATTGCATCTCCATAGTCTTTAGGTCATTCTTTTAAAACTATGGTAAATTCAAAATGACAGTGATAGATTGAATAACTCTGTCATTAATTGGAATAGAGACTTCAAGATTGTTAATTAGGTTCCGGATACAGATAAACATTTTGTATGTAGTTTCTTTCATATAAAATAAAGTCCCACATGCTTTAGGAGTGGGAAGTGTTGTTCATGTTCAATACCCTGATTTTCCAGGTATCTATTTTGTCTGTGGTCATCCATTTGTAAGTTTAGGGGTTAAAATTTTATTAAAAAGCTTATTTGATTCAGTATTTCTATATTGTACTTGAAATTTCCAATATTAAAATATATTAACTATAAGAACAAAAGTCTTCAGTACAGTAAAATTTTGAGAGACATGGAAGTAAGTACATTAGAAGGTTATATCTCCCCCAGCAACAGTAACTCTGCCCCTGTGCACAGGTGGAGCATTTTGGCACTGCATATATACTCTAACGTGTATGTCTTTTTATATATACTATATGTAGCCTGCCAGAGCTATTTTCACTCTGGGAACCATGAACTGAAATTTTCTGACCCAGGTGTATTCATAATCAAAGTCTTAAAATCATAGTAATACAGTTTTTGGCAAACATTTCCTTTCCTTGCTTTATTTTCAAAATATATGAAGAAAATAGTGATATTGATTGCTCAGAGAAATAAAGGTAGTTTTGAATAAGTGTACATTCATAAACTTACATTTTATAACTACCTAACAGAAGACATACAGGTTCTGTCGAGGGCCCAGTAACTTATTATTTTAATGAAACAATACTAAAACTACATGCTTTATGATGATAGCTCCTTGTTCTCTAATATTTTGAGGCCAATTTGCAGCAGCAATAATAACCATTACTCTCTACCTAAAAGAGAAGTGGTAAAATTTGATCTATCCAAATATTCATCCACGAATTTTTTTCTCTTTTGTATTTTTTATTTTCACTGATCTGAAGTATTTATCACACTGAAGACAAATGAGACACTTTTATTGATAATTTTCTTTCTTGAATACTTGGATTGATTTTCTGGAGTGTAATATATCCCAAATATATATTCTGAATGACGTTGGAATGCTTTGTTCCTTTGGACTGAAAATTATTATCCTTTTGGTTGACGAGGGTAATAGTCTTGCCATGAAACTCAAGAAAATGACATGATATTGAGTGTGCTACTAGAATGGCCCTATCTCATTTGGTCACAAATTTAAGACTAGAAACTGCTTCAGTAGTGTGCTGGTAAATGTCTAACAACAAGCTCTCTAAAGGGAATTTTTAAAAATCTCTGGTTTGTAGTATTTCTGCATTTTCATGAAGTAAATATTCCCACCACAGTGGGAATATTTCAAGCTATAAATGCAGCGGCAACCAATTTTGAGAGATTTTAAAACCAGCAATTAGGTATTTTAAGCCACATATACTGGTTCTAGCACTGCACTGCATTGGTGTTACCTAAGAAGGCATGAAATTGTCCATTTCAAATAACATAACTTTAAGTCAACCTGGTGCCATAAAGAAAAACTCCTGATAAGAGGACATTAACTTTGGTCTAGTAGTTCTTATGCATTCAATATTAATAAATAATTTGTTTCTTCATTTCAAATACCTGAATATTTAAAACTCTAAAGAAATTTATGTTGTATGTCTATTGGGACTTTTATGGTAATATAGATCTGAGAATGATTTTTGCCTACATTTTACCTGAGCTAGCCTTTGATTAAGACTATAATGAATTCCCTTGTAATTATGACACATGAACATTCTTTATGAGAGTACAGATCTTTTGGGGGGAAGAATCCAGATGAGATTAATCTTGGTAACCTAGTCGGTATTTAACAGGGGTTTCTGAAGTAGTCAGAATATTGAATAAATATATTTATTGAATAAAGGTATTCAATTCTGGATAAATGAACAAATGAGTGAGTGAATGAAAAATTGTGCTCTTTGGCATTTGACATGCAAGCATATGATAAGGAATATGAATATGTTACTTGTAAAATAAATTTGAAATAAATGATTTATTGTTTCATTATTGTGACAGAGAAAAACAAATTTAATCCCTGAACTTTTATTTGTTTTAAAAAGAAAAAATAATTTGAAGTCTGTAGACACCACTGTGGTAAAGACTTTTGTAAATAGAATCTGAACAGGCTAAGGACTTATTGATTTGATAATCACAGCTTTGTTACAGTAGGTGGAATCGAGGGACTCAACACTAATGTTGTTTGATGAAGAACAATGGGAAAATAGACACAGACATTGTTATATAGGAGTATATCTTACAGTGATTCATGTATAGGATATTCTATTAAAAATTCAATGAGCTATGCACATCATTAGACATTCCTGCTGTCACAATGAATCACCTTTCTGAACACTCTGATGCACCTTGACATGGGGTGGGGAGCTCAGGCTGGCTGACTTGCCTCTAAATAAGGATCTGCTGACTAATTCACATAAACTTCTCTTGCATTTCTAATAGGTTCACAGAGACTCCTCTTTAAAAAAGCAGCATCTGAAAACAAACAGAATCTCCTATTTCACATATTGCTTTCTACTGAAAAGATTTTGGAAATGTCAGAGGGAATTTCTTATTTCCTCAATGACTGTCATTCAATTTCATGGGGAAGAACACAGAGATGGAGAGGATAGAAATGGTAACATACTTTTTTTTTTTTGAGACAGAGTTTAACTTTGTAACACAGGCTGCAGTGCAGTGACACAATCTCAGCTCATTGCAACATCTGTCTCCTGAGTTCAAGTGATTATCATGCCTCAGCCTCCCCAGTAGCTGGGATTACAGGTGTACACCACCACGACCGGCTGATTTTTGTATTTTTAGTAGAGATGGGGTTTCACCATGTTGGTCAGGTTGGTCTCAAACTCCTGACCTCTAGTGATTCACACACTGTGGCCTCCCAAAGTGCTTGGATTACAGACATGAGCCGCCATGCCCAACCCCCAGAAATGGTAACATCCTTGAATACACAGGATATTCCTGCGCAATATATAACTGTTCTGCCCAAAATGTAGATTAATGTGTATGATGGCCAGCCTCTAAGATGCCCTGAAAGATTCCCAACTCATGGTGTGCACACACTTGTATATTTCCAGCCTCCATATTGTACCAGGGTGGTCTGTGTGTTCAACAGTATATGGCAAAAGAAATGATATGTTACTACTGAGGTTAGACTATAAAAGACACTTAGATGCACTTGCTTTTTCTCTATCTCAGACTTGCTCTGGAGGAAGCCAGCTGCGCTGTCATAAGGACATTCAGGACTGGCTAGGAAGAGGTCCACAAGTCAAGGAACTGATGTCTCTACCCAATAGCCAAAGGGGAAGAAAGTTCTGCCAACAGCAGTCTGAGTGAGATGGGAAGCAGAGTTGTAGCATTTGTTGAGCCCCAGTTGAGCATTCATTTGTTTGACCGAAGTCCTGGCCAACAGCTTTACTGCAATCTCTTGAGAAATCTTGAGCCACAACCACCTAGCTAAGCTGCTCTGAGAAATCTGGTGGCAAATATTTTACTGATTTATCTGAGAAATTCCATACATATAGATAATTGGTCCATTTGTATTCCATACAAAACCTAAAATACTCCTTACTGACAAGGAAATTTTTGAGACTTTCAATGTGGTCTTTAGCATAGATTAGAAACAATATCATATGAAATATTTTCATAGTCTA
Source organism: Homo sapiens (assembly GCF_000001405.40). Classification (NCBI taxonomy): domain Eukaryota; kingdom Metazoa; phylum Chordata; class Mammalia; order Primates; family Hominidae; genus Homo; species Homo sapiens. The sequence continues at coordinate 61,036,688 of NC_000012.12, read as the reverse complement.
CTTTTCTTAATAATTCTATAATATATTTAAATATGTATATTGTATGCCACATTTTTAAATATTAAGTTTCCTGTTGGTTATTTGAAGGAATTGTTCAATATTTGCAATATGTTTAGTGTAAATCTGCTTCAATATCCAATTTGATATTTTTCTCATTTGATGTTATACATTGTTGTGAGTTGGATGTTAAACTAATTGAATTGGTGGTGGGACAAGAAAAAATTAAAAGTATGAAACCATTCCACTTTATATGGACCTTAAAATCATTTCTCTTTTGTTAAATAAATGGTTTTAAATACTGCCTTGTTTTAAAAGTCTATTTTATTCATTTATCCTTTTGAAATATTCATGTATTACTCCAGATGCTCCACTGTGCTGGTAACCACATTGATTAAAATGAAAGTCATAGAGATGAGAATAGAGAATTTTCCTATACTTAGAATCAGTTTTTCAAATTGGGAGTATAAGAAGAGAGACAATAACCTGTGTCTCAATATTGTCCTCTGTGACTTAGAAGTGTAGAAATTTACTTGGCCTATTTTATGGATAAAGTTCAACTTCTCTTTTATTCTTTAGATCAATGTCCTGACCCTGGCTGGTCCTAGGAAATGATAAGAGATGAGAGATTTTTGAGAATACAAAAAAAGAAAAGAGAAAGAGTGTCTCAAACAAGGGAAATATTGATATAATAAGATTTAAGGTCAAGATTCTGTAAACGATCATATTTAGCAACTAAGATAATCATTCCTGAGCATGGGCAATCTGTATAACACAGTGTAATCGGAAAAATGCTGATAATTTAAAGTCTTATACTGACATACTTGGTCCTATGGGTATCAATTCTGATTTATGGTTTATAATATTGATTCACAAAAGGAATATCATTCCTAAATAATACTTGGACTACAGGATTACAATGTTTTCTTTTATTTGAAAACAATAATTTACTGAATACCACTGTAGGATCTAGGAACATTATCATGAATGAAGAAGAAAAATAAAGTCCCTGTCCTCATGAATGTATTCTAGTGTGGTAAGACAGCAAGTAAGTAAATACACAACACACTTTGTACATCAGGTAGTGTAATAGTTTGAATACTATCTCCCACAAATTCTTGTCCATCTAAAACATCAGGATGTGACCTTATTTGGAAATAGGGACTTGACTGATGCAATCAAGTAAAGATAAGTAATACTGGACTGGCGGGGGGACCTAAGTCCAATGGGATGTGTCCTTATGAGTAAGGAAGAAGACATACAGAGGAGCACCTGAAGATGGAGGGAGATTTGGAGTGGTGCATCTTACAGGCCAGAGAAGACCAAGGATTGAATGGAGCCGCCAGAAGCCAGAAGAAGCGAGGAAGGATTCTTTTCCAGATTCTTGAGTGGGAAAGCATGGGCTTTCTGACACCTTGATTTAAAATTCTTGCCTCCAGAACTGTGAAAGAATACATTTCTGTTGCTTTGAGACACGCAATTGGTAGTATTTAGTTAAGGTAGACCTAGCCAAGTAATATAGGTGATAATGAGAACTACAGAAAAAAATAAAACAGAAAATGTGGTTAGGGAGTACTAGGGTAGGAGAGTGCTATTTTAAATAGATTGATTTTAAAAATTCAGTGATGAGGTGACATTGAGAGAATTTGCTATTGTGTATTCTTCATAAGGCTGGGCACTAGCCTCTGAACTCTGTATGAAGGCCCTTTTCCTCTTTTAGTAGCAGGGGTAATTTGAGAAGACTGTAACACAGGAAAAAACTCTTACCTACTGTCTGGGCTTCTTGGCACCTCAATGATACAGAATGCAAAGAAATGCAAATTAGTGAAACATATGTAATATGTAAAAATAGATACCACTGAAGACAAATACTTTTATATCAAAAAAGCTTCAGTTTGATAAAGTAAAATTATTTGCTAGTTTAACAAATTTAGTTCTCTTGTATGCAGTACTAAATAAAATACTAAAGAATATAGGCAGAGCCTGTGTAAAGCTGATCTAATGAGAAGCGATAATGAACAATAAGGATATACAGAAGCAATGATAAAGTAGCTACTGCTTTATCAATGTAAATTCAATGTAGATGCAAATGACTCTGTACACCCAGGTAGAGCCTGAGAACAACACTGGATTAAAATATGTAATATTTTAAAATATTTATTGATTTATGACTTTTTAAATTTTCTTCTTTTTTCATTCATTCAGAAAAATCCCTGGCAAATGTCTAATACATGTTATTGGAATTATGGCCCCTTACATGGCCCAAGTTTATAGTCACAGGCTTACTGGATTACAGATATATACAGAAGGGCTTAAAACATTACAATATATGCTTTATTATTTGGTTAGTTTTAAGTGCCACGAGAAAAGTAAAGAGAGTAATCAATGCAGTCTACGTTGTTGTAGAAAGGTGTCTCAGGGTATGGTTATTTGACCTGAATATTTCAGGATATGTAAGTTGGCCTCTAAGAATGGATATGCACAAGTCAGAAAACGAATAACATGAGAAAAGATAGATATTTAAAACTTTCTATGACATATTTTATTTTAAAAACATTTTTTCCTGATTAACTAGAACAATTATTCTTAATTCTGACTTTACAATAGAATTTTCAGGGAACTATTTAAAAGAAACTTATGCCCAGGTCCCACTTGTGACCAAGTAAATAAGAATCTTTGAAGATGGGACTTGAGTATGATTGCTATTTAAAATTCTTTAGGTTATTTGAATGTAAAGTCAGCAGTTAGGACCGCTACCTAGAAGATACTCTAAACTGGAGAGCTGGTGGAAGTTGATCGTAGAAAGCTACATTGACGGTAGTTGATGAATAACTTATCAGGAGACAATACAAAAGGAAAAGAGGCAGATTCACAAACATAAACCAAAGGCTCGCTGATGGCACACCACAGCATAACATAGAAATACTGGTTTCATGTATTCCAAAGAGAGACAAAAGGTGGAAATTGAGGTATCACACAGTCAAACATGGATTTAGGCATATGCAACCAAAGTGAACTTGTCCTATTAGCAATCAGCTACATAGTCACATTGTGAGCAATGATGATTAGAATTTAGTGACAATTCGATCATGTTAACTTGAGCTCCATTTTAATTTTGTATATTTCTCAGCAGATATTCTTTTTTACTTTGTTTTTATGGTTTTCAAAAGTTATTACAGAGTATGCTTAATTTTAAATAATATTGTACTTTTAAAAATGAATGTTAACACTTTTCAGAAAAGAAGATTACTTTTATATAGAAATTATTTCTATTTTAGAAATACACACGCACAGTTTTTTTTTTAAACTTAGCTTTAAAGGTAGAAAAGTTTAATGGAAGGAATACATAAGATGATATTGAAGAATGCATATTAAACTAATTTCATCATTGGTTAGTTTCGTTCATTTTGTAAAACACGTAACTTCTATGAGCTTTGATATTTAGTATGCAAATTGAGATAAAGAAAACATTTCTTCAGGGTCATACCTAGGATTTTGTGAATATTAAATAAGATTACTTACATTAAATATTTTAGTAAATTAGTAGATGTTAAACATTCCTGGCTTATAGATTCTATGAAACTATTTGCAGCAACTTTCCCTCTCTCATTCGTCTTTTTCTGTGTGTTTGTGTTTATGTAATGTGATGGCAAAATGGTACTCTAGGAAAGGATCCCAGAGCCTTAAAGCACTTACCTTTTGTAATCTACAGCCCATACGTCTCCAGACAATATCAAGAAGAAACAAAGAGAAGGGCAGTGATTGATTGGGGAATACTCAGGCAAGAGGGCCCTGTGCTGGGGCCAAAGCCTGCACATGGATTTGGTCTTAATAACTTTCCATTACACACACTTCCTTTGGCACCAGTGAAACAAGGTTTGATTTATTTTTGATGGATCTTCTCAACATCAGAACTCTATTGCTTTCAAAGTTGTTGCTGCAGCAACACCTGAAGTGATTTTTATCACTGACATAAAAACATTAAATGATTTCAGGTGCCAGAGACCTTTTTCAGGTTCTGCAGTTTGATAAGTGAAGTCAGTTGTTAAAAAATGTTTTTCTGCTGCTTTAACTTTTGACATGCCCCCTAGAAAATCTATATTCTGTACCCAACAGGATGTGTGATGCTTTATAAATGTGGGGAAACACAGACAGATTGAGATTTGTGAGGTATTTGTAATATTCTATGCAGAATCACTAATGACATTTAAGCAAAATTATATGATTATAATTATATATTGAAATTTTTGCTTGTTAGGGTTATTTGGGATTGGTTTGGTTTAGTTGGTTTTCATGTGGTTTTAGCAGGTGGGGGCTGTTAGAAAGAAGGTTGTGGGAGGATCCTATGGGCTCTTCTTACTTCCAACTTAGAGAATTAAAGGATAATTATTCTAGTACATCTCTCACTGATTAGGCAATTATAACTAAAGCAGCAAATATTCCATTTGACTCTAATTTTAATGTCCTCTGGCCACTGATTGTTCAATGTCTTACTGAGGTGGATTATGATGTCTCTCTACATCAGGTCAACTCCGAGGGAGAAACAGTACAAATGAATGACAAAGATATGCAGTTAGAGATAGCTAACTATATGAAGATTGCACAAGCATTGGTATAGTCACCTGTGACCTCATTATAGGCACAGATTTAAGACACTGAGAACTAATATTTTGAGAATCTGTCTAGCATGGAACTAAATAATTTACTATGTGTTAACAGCAGCTTTCTCAAAAGCTAGAATATTTCTCTTTCAACATATAAATATTCTGAAGTGTAGAAATTTTCACAAATAATTGTAATTATTTCTTAGTATTTCAAAAATTTTAAAAGGTCCTTATTTTTATAACAGTTCTGTTGAATTAAGCACATTTCCTTAAATTTTGGAATATTAAAAAAATTTCAATCTGTATTCTTGGAACAAATTATTTACTTTACAGTTAGAGTTGACATCAATCCTATCAATCTGGCCAGGGTGCACATCCATAAAAATTTGGATTGGTCTACTTCTGGCACTATTTTTATCTTCAAAAATAGTGTTAAGATCTCTAAATAAGAAATCAAAACATTTTTTAAAATGTTTTGACCAGCAAGTACCATCTGATGCTAGACCTAGAACTTTCTTTTCCCAGGTTTTGGAAAATAAACCAACAAGCAACAACAACAAACTCTGTTGGGAACAGGCCCCCAAATATGGCCATAAACTGGCCCCAAAACTGGCCATAAACAAAATCTCTGCAGCACTGTGACATGTTCATGATGGCCATGATGCCCACGCTGAAGGTTGTGGGTTTACTGGAATGAGGGCAAGGAACACCCGGCCCAGCCAGGGTAGAAAACCTCTTAAAAGTGTTCCTAAACCACAAACAATAGCATGAGCGATCTGTGCCTTAAGGACATGTTCCTGCTGCAAATAACTAACCAGAGCCCATCCCTTTGTTTTGGCCCATCTCTTTGTTTCCCATAAGGAATACTTTTAGTTAATCTACAATCTATAGAAATAATGCTTATCACTGGCTTGCTGTCAATAAATATGTGGGTCTAACTCTGTTTGGGGCTCTCAACTCTGAAGGCTGTGAGTCTCCTGATTTCTCACTCGATACTCTATATTTCTGTGTGTGTGTCTTTAATTCCTCTAGCGACACTGGTTTAGTCTCCATGACCGAGCTGGTCTTGGCAAAACTCAACTACTAAGTTTGATTAAGAAATAAAAAACTGGAATAGATTTTATTAATTCTAGGAAATTTCAGCATATTCTTGTTTCCAAAATATTGAAACAATAGGTTAAACAATGTACTGGATAGACTATGTGTTGGTCTAAGTTTATCCAGCTATATGAACTAGCCATCATATAAACTTGGGAAAGTAGCTTAGTATATGTTTCTCAATTTTCTTACGGGCAAACTGCAAGTGTTAAGAATCTTCCTTTTTTGTTATTATTTAACTAAATTTACTTAAAATATGGGACATATTTAGTGTTCTTTCAACATTATGCAGAATACTGTATCAAAAACACATATTTGTGATTATTTAAATTACAATATTAATATTAAATATATGCAGTAGTGTCTTAGCCTGTTTTCTGTTTCTTTCACAGACTACCCCAAACTGGATTATTTATAAAGAAAATAAAATTTCTCACAGATCCAGAGGCCAAGAAGTCCAATATCAAGGTGCCAGCAGCTGTCAAGGGGCCTCTTGTTGAGTCATCCATAGTGGAAAGGCAGAAGGGCAAAGGCACATCCATGAGAGAGAGAATGGAAACAGTTCAAACTTATTCTTCTATCAGGACCCACTCTTGAGATAACTCACGCCTATGATAATGGTGTTAAACCACTCATCAGGGCAGAGGTTTCATGATGTAATCACCCTTTAAAGATCTCACCTCTCAACACTACTGCATCGAGGATTAAGTTTCCAACACATAGACTTTGAGGAACATATTCAAACCATCACATATAAGATAGAGTATGTGTGTGTGTATATATATGATGAAATATAAAATATTAAATATAAAATGAATATTCAGGTTTTTTTTGTTCTGATATAAGATGACATAGGTTCTCTTTTCCTTATGCTTCTGAATACAGAAAATACCCTAGAAAAAACTCGACAGATATTATCTAGGACTGTGAAAGGTGAAAAAAGTGTGAGCTGACTGGTCTTTGAGGACTTAAATCATGACACTGAAATAAATTTTCCTGGAATTTTTTAAATTTCCCACATATACCAGATTGAGCTTTTCCAAACTCTGCAACTTAGAAGTGCCAATAGGCATAGACAGAAGAAGAAAGAAAAAAGAAGAGGAGGAGGAGAAAGAGGAGGAGGAAGAGGAAGGAGAAGAACAAGAAGGAGAAGGAGAAGAAGAGAACGAAGAAAGAAGAAGAGAAAGAAGAAAGAAGAAGAGAAAGAAGAAAGAAGAAGAGAAAGAAGAAGAAGAGAAAGAAGAAGAGAAAGAAGAAGAAGAGAAAGAAGAAAGAAAAAGAGAAAGAAGAAAGGAGAAAAAAGAAAGAAGAAGGAGGAGGAGGAGAAGGAGAAGAAGAAGAGGAAGAAGAGAAAGAAAGAAGAAGAGAAAGAAGAAAGAAGAGAAAGAAGAAAGAAGAGAAAGAAGAAAAAGAGAAAGAAGAAAGAAGAAGAGAAAGAAGAAAGGAGAAAGAAGAAAGAAGAAGAAGGAGGAGGAGAAGGAGAAGAAGAAGAAAGAAGAAGAAAGAAGAAGAAAGAAGAAGAGAAGAAGAGAAGAAGAAGGAAGAAGAAGGAAGAAGGAGGAAGAAGAAAAGAGAACGAAGAAGAAAGAAGGAAGAAGAAGAAGAAGAAGGAGAAGGAGAAGGAGAAGGAGAAGGAGAAGGAGAAGGTGGAGAAGGAGAAGGAGAAGGAGAAGGAGAAGAAGACAGGAGAAGAAGAAAAACGTTTTTCATTTTGTTTGTTTTGTTTTTGCCAGAGGACTGGGAGACAGAAAGTTTGCCAGGAATGTAGTAAAATGACCCTTGCCTAGTAGCAGAAGTAGATGTGATCTGGCTATAGCAGCAGTACCAGCAGACCATGTTACATCCCACGCCTGCTGAGAGCAGTGGGCCTGACCTGCCAGCAGCAGAGGCAACAGCAGAATTGGGACAGGCCCACTATCCTATGCTCTATCTCCACTGAAAGCAGCAGCCTCTTTACTCACACTAGAAGTGTCAACCATGCAGTGTCTTCTGGCCCTTCAATGAATGACAAAATATGTTCCAGGAAAGGCATTTTTAAATCTTTCATCCAACAACAGAAAGTTGTGTGGTCCCAGTGGCTCCTGGCTTTCCAGGAGTGGCAAAAGAAAACCCAGGCCAAGTATTTCATAGCCGTCCACACAATGACATAAGGATGATTTAGATTTGAGGTCTCCTGACCTTTCATAAAATGGCAGAGAATCATTTATATTCCTCATCTCCTGGCCTTCCACACACAGACATAAATTAGCCCAGGTAGATGCTTCTGTCCACTGGCGGTACAATAGTGACATAGTTGAGAGCCCACCAGGACCAGGTGACCTCAAAACAAACCCAGGGAAATGCTGTCCCTTCTACAGGCCTGTCAAAACCCATCCTATATCAAGTGACCAGAACATCAAATGAAGTGACTTCCATTACTGAAAGAAGCATCATTAGGAATCCAGAAGGAGCTCAAACAGAGCCAGGAAAAAGCAAGCCAGACTAGCACTGCAAGTGCTCAGAAAATGAAGTCATCATTAGAAATACAGATCACAAAAGTCAGAACCTACAACTTAAACCTAAACAGAGCAAGTACCTGCTAAAATATAATATTTAAATATAATTAACACTTTTCTAATATAACATTTGAAATGCTCCAAATTTAATAGAAAGACACATATCATAGCAAGTCCCAGAAAAGTCATGCCTTATATGAGAAAAAACAGCCAACTGATGCCAATAGCAAGCTGAATCAGATGTTGGAACTATTTAAAAACTCTTCTAGGGCAGCCATCATACAATTCCTTCAACAAGTAATTACAAATATTCTTGAAATAAATGAAAAAATTGAAAATGTTAGCAAAGATATAAAAATTATTTAAAAGAATTGAATGGAAATTACAGAATTCTAAATAGCCATTAGATGGGACCAATACTATAGTGGAGACAGAAAATAAAATTAGTGAATCTGATAATAAAAGAAAAAAATTGCTTTATCTGAACAACAAACAAAATAAAAGTAGAAAAAAAAAGAACAATGCCTCAGGCATCTGGGGGATGATAAAAAATATCTAAAGGTCCTATTATTGGAATATCAGAAAGGGAGGAGAAAGAGTTATATGAGTTGAAAAAGTATTACAAGACATAATGGCTAAAATTTTCAAAAATTTGACAAAAGACATAAAACTACAAATTGAATAAGGTGAATGAATCCTAAACAGGATAAGCCTAAAAAATATATGCCAAGATATATCATAATTAAATTTCTGAAAACTTAAGAAAAAAAATTTAAAAGCAGCCAGAGATTATCTGTAAGTGAACATCCATTTGAATGACAGCCTATTTTTTAATCTCAAAATATGTAGGCCAGAAGGAAATGACACATTTTTCAAATGCTGTAAAAACCGAATCGTAAACTGCCAATTTTATATATGGTGAAACTAAACTTTAGATATGAAAATGAAATAAAGACATTCTGAGATGTAGGAAAACTAAAACTTTGTCACCAGTAGATGTACCCATAAGAAATGGCTAAAGAGAACTCTCCAAACAGAAAAAAAAAAATAAGAAAAGAAGGTCTGGAACTTTAGGAAAGAAAGATGAACACTGTAATATAAATATCCTCTTCCTCAAATTCTTAAGTTACTGTATTAATTTTTTATTGCTACTGTAACAAATTGCCACAAATATTGTGGATTAAAACAACATAAATGTATTATTTTACAATTTTGGAATTCAGAAATCTGGAATGGGTCCTCCTGGACTAAAATAAAAAAAAAATTAGCAGGGGGCCCCCACCCTTATGATCTCATCTAAAGTTAATTATGTCCCAAAGGGATCATCTCAAAACACCATAAAATTGGGATTAGGACTCCAACATGTGAATGTTCAGGGCACATGATTTAGTTCACAGAATTCCCCTAGAGCTATTAGAGGGAGCATGTCCCTATCAACACCTTGATTTTGAACTTCTTGTCTCCAGAACTGTGAAAGAATAAATTTCTGCTATTTTATGTCACCCAGTTTAGGGTAATTTGTTATGGCAGTCCTAGGAGATTAAGACAACTATAAGCCAATATCTCTTGCAAATTCAGTTGCCATAATTCTCAACAAAAAATTAGCAAATCAACCCAACAATGTAAAAAAGAAATATGCATCATGACCAAGTGTGACTCTAAGTATGCAAGGCTGGTACAAAATTCCAAAATCATTTGATGTAATCCACTACATGAACAAGCTAAAGAAGGAAAATTACATAATCATATCAAATGGCACAAAAAAAGCATTTGACACAATATAATACCAATTTATGATTAAAAATCTCAGTATGTTAGTAATAAAAGAGATCTATATCAATTTGCTAAAGGTCATCTTAAATAAAATATAGCTAATATCATAGTTAACACTGAAAAATAAAACACTGTTTTTTAAGATCCATCCTATGGCAAGTGTGTATGCCCTTGTCACTCTTATATGACATAGTACTGAAAGTTTTAGATACTGTAAAAAGTAAAAAAAAGAAGGAAGGAGGAAGGAAGGAAGGAAGAAAGGAAGGAAGGAAGGAGGTATACTGATTGGAAAGAAATATAATCACCCTTATCTTCACTGACATGATGACAAACATAGACAATTCAAAAAAATGTTTAGTAACCTCTCTGAACTAATAAGTGAGTTCAGTATGATCACAGAATAAAAGGTGAACACAAATAAATCAAATTTTCATACTCTAGAAAATTAAATTTAAAATTACATCATTTAAAATTGCTCCAGAGAAAATGAGATACTTAGTTATAATCTTAGCAAGACATGTTCAAGATTTGTAAATTAATATTACAAAATTTAAAAAAATCAAAAGATTTAAATAAATAGAAAGATACATGGTGTCCATGAATTGAAAGGCTTAACATTATAGTTTTCATTTTTTTCTAATTGATCAATTTCTATCCAAATGTCAGAGAGGTTTTTTGTAGACATAGACCATAGACAATCTTATTCTAAAATTTTTACGGAAAGGCCCAAGTTCCAGAATATCTAAAACAATCTTGAAAAACAAATGAACAGGAATCACTCTACTCAATGGTAATGTTTACTATAGATTTATATGAAAAGCAATTCAGAAAATCAGTTATTAAGCTAATCAAGGAGGAACCAGGGAAAAATAAAATCCAATTTAAGGAAATTAAAAAATGATACAAGAAATGAGGGAAGAAATCTTCAGTGAAATAGATGGCATGAATAAAAAACAATCACAACTTCAGGAAATGAAGGACACACTTAGATAAATGCAAAATGTTCTAGAAACTCTCAACAATAGAATAAAACAAGCAGAAAAAAGAACTTCAGAGCTCAAAGGCAAGGTTTTTGAATTAGCCCAATCCAACAAAAACAAAGAAAAAAGAATTAAAAAAAGAACAAAGCCAACAAGAAGTATGGGATTATGCTAAGCAACCAAACCTGAGAATAATTGGCATTCCTAAATAAGAAGAGAAATCTAAAAGTTTGGAAAACATATTTGGGGGAATAATCAAGGAAAACTTCCCCATCCTTGCTGGAGACTTAGGCATCCAAATACAAGAAGCTTGAAGAACACCTGGGAAATTCACTGCAAAAAGATCATCACCTAGGCATACTGTCATCAGGTTATCTAAAATCAAGATGAAGAAAAGAATCTTAAGAGCTGTTAGACAAAAGGACAGGGTAACCTATAAAGACAGATCTATTAGATTAACAGCAGAATTCTTGGCAGAAACCTATAAACTAGAAGGGATTGAGGCCCTATCTTCAGCCTCCTTAAACAAAACAATTATCAGCCAAGAATTTTGTATCCAGTGAAACTAAGCTTCATAAGCAAAGAAAAGATAACAGCCTTTTTCACACAAATAAATGCTGAGAGAATTTGCCACTACCAAGCCAGCACTACAAGAATTGCTAAAGGGGGCTCTAAATCTTCAAACAAATCCTGAAAACACAACAAAATAGAGCCTCTGTAAAGCAAAAATCTCACAGAACTTATAAAATAAAAATACAGTCAAAAAAAAAACACTTTATACTGTCAACAAATTCCATTATGAATGGAATAGTACCTAACACCTCAATACTAATCTTGAATGTAAATGGCCTAAATGCTCCACTAAGAAGACACAGAATTGCAGAATAGATAATAATTCACCAACCAAGTATCTGCTGCCTTCAAGAGACTTAAGTAACACATAAAGGATGCACATAAACTTAATGTAAAGGGGTGGAAAAAGACATTCCATGCGAACACCCAAAGCCAGCAGAAGTAGCTATTCTTATATCAGACAAAACAAACTTTAAAGCAATAGCAGTTAGAACTGACAAAAAGGGACATTATATAATGATAAAAGACCTTGTCCAACAGGAAAATATCACAATTCTAAAGATATATGCACCTAACACTGGAGCACCCAAATTTATAGAACAATTACTACTAGACCTAAGAAATGAGATAGATAGCAACACACTAATAGTGAGGGACTTCAATACTCCACTGACAGCACTAGATAGGTTGTGTCTGGAATTGGTGGGTTCTTGGTCTCACTAACTTCAAGAATGAAGCTGCAGACCCTCGCAGTGAGTGTTACAGTTCTTAAAGATGGTGTGTCCAGAGTTCGTTCCTTCTGATGTTTGGACGTGTCCGGAGTTTCTTCCTTCTGGTGGGTTTGTGGTCTTGCTGACTTCAGGAGTGAAGCTGCAGACCTTTGTGGTGAGTGTTATAGCTCTTAAAGGCAGCGCATCTGGAGTTGTTCATTCTTCCCGGTGGGTTCGTGGTCTCACTGGCTTCAAGAGTGAAGCTGCAGACCTTCACGGTGAGTGTTACAGGTCATAAAGGTGGTGCAGTCCCAAAGAGTGAGCAGCAGCAAGATTTATTGCAAAGAGCAAAAGAACAAAGCTTCCACACAGAGTGGAAGGGGACCCGAGCATGTTGCTGCCGCTGGCTAGGGTGGCATGCTTTTAGTCCCTTATCTGGCTCCACCCATGTCTTGCTGATTGGTCCATTGTACAGAGGGCTGATTGGTCCATTTTACAGAGAGCTGTTTGGTCCATTTTGGCAGAGTGTTGATTGGTGCATTTACAGTCCTTTAACCAGACACAAAAGTTCTCCAAGTCTCCACCCAGTTAGCTAGATACAGAGCACTGATTGGTGCATTTACAAACCTTTAGTTAGATGCAGAGTGCTGATTGGTGCATTTACAATCCTTTAGCCAGACATTAAAGTTCTCCAAACCCTACCTGTCCCAGAAGCCCAGCCGGCTTCACCTCTCACTGGCACTCACTGTGGGACTTTGCATCACCTAGCCTGGGCATTCTGACAGCCCCGAGGGAGCTCATCCCAGACAACCAAGAGGAAAAGAGGGGAAGCGAGAAAGAGACGAAAGAGATGGAGACCCGCCATCATGGCCACTGACCCCATGAAGAGGGAATGGCGGTCCACGCACGGGACCCAGCCTCTGATCAAGCCCATCAGGCACTGGCCAGCCACATGGAATGTGGGGCCTGCTGAGCCCATGCCCACCTGGAAGCCATGCAGGCCCACGAGCACCGTGCGCAGCCCTGGCTCCTGCCTGCGCCTCTCCCTCCACACCTCCCTGCGAGCAAAGGGAGCTAGCTCCTGCCTTGGCCAGCCCCAGAGAGGGGCCCCCACAGCGTATTGGTGGGCTGAAGGGCTTCTGGAGCGTGGCCAAAGTGGACACCAAGGCCAAAGAGGTGCCGAGAGCGAGAGAGGGCTGCTAGCATGTTGTCACCTCTCAAGGTCAAGACAGAGAGTCAAAAGAAACAATGGATTTAAACTGTACCCTGGAACAACTAGACTTAACAGATATTTACAGAACATTCTACCCAACAACCATAGAATATACATTCTATTCATCAGTGCATGGAACTTTCTACAAGATGGACCATAGCATCAGCCACAGAACGAGTCTCAATAAATATAAGAAAACTGAAATTATATCAAGTACTCTATCAGACCACAGTGGAATAAAACTGGAAATCAGCTTTAAAAGGAACCTTCAAAACCATGCAAATACATGGAAATTAAATAACCTGCTCCTGAATGGTCATTGGGTCAACAATAAAATCAAGATTGAAATTAAAAAGTTATTTGAAGTGAACAATGATAGTGACACAACCTATCAAAAGCTCTGGGATACAGCAAAGGTGATGCTCTCAGGAAAGTTCACAGCCATAAATGCCTACATCAAAAGTCTGAAAGAGAACAAATAGACAACCTAAGATCACACTCTGAAGCAACAAGAGAAACAAGAACAAACCACACCCAAACCCGGCAGAAGAAAGGAAATAACCAAGATCCAAGCAAAACTCAATAAAATTGAAACAAAACAATACAAAAGATAAGTGAAACAAAAAGCTGGTTCTTTGAAAGATAAATAAAATTGATAAACCATTAGCAAAATTAACCAAGAAAATAAGAGAACAACCAAATAAGCTCAATCAGAGGAGAAAAAAAGAGGGAGATATCACAACCAAAAACATAGAAATAAAAAAAAAAATCAAGGCTACCATAAACACCTTTACACACATAAACTAGAAAACTTAGAGGTGATGGATATATTCCTGGAAAAATATAGCCTCCTAGCATAAATCAGAAAGAATTAGACACCATGAACAGACCAAAAACAAGCAGCAAAATTGAAATGGTAATTTAAAAATTACCAACACCAAAAAAGTCCAGGACCAGACAGATTCACAGCTGAGTTCAACCAGACATTCAAAGAGGAATTGGTACCAATGTTATTGACACTATTCCACAAGATAAAGAAAGAGGGAACCCACCCTAAATTATTCTATGAAGGCCGTATCACTCTAAAACCAAAACCAGGAAAGAACATAACCCAAAAAATAAAACTACAGACCAATATCCCTGATGAACATAGATGTAAAAATCCTTAACAATATACTAGTTAACTGAATCCAACAACATATCAAAAAGATAATACACCATGATCAAGTGGGTTTCATACTATGGATGCAGGGATGGTTTAACATATGCAAGTCAATAAATGTGATACATTACATAAACAGAATTATAAACAAAAATATCACATGATCATCTTAATAGACTCAGAAAAAGCATTTGAAAAAATCAGCCTCCCTTTATGATTAAAATCCACAGCAAAATCAGCATACAAGGGACACATCTCATTGTAATAAAAGCCTTCTATGACAAACCCACAGCCAATATAATGTTGAATGGGGAAAAGTTGAAAGCATTTCCTCTGAGAACTGGGACAAGAGAAGGATGCCCATTCTCACCACTTCTATACAATATAGTACTGGAAGTCCTAGTCAAAGCAATCAGAGAAGAGGAAGAAACAAACGACATCTAGATCAGTAAAGAGGAAGTCAAACTGTTACTGTTTGCTGATGATATAATGGTATACATAGAAAAATCTAAAGACTCTTCCAAAAAGCTCCTAAAACTGATAAATGACTTCAACAAATTTTAGGGTACAAAATTAATATACACAAATCAGTAGCTCCATTATACACCAATGGCAAAGCTGAGAATCAAATCAAGAACTTAAGTCCTTTTACAATAGCTGCAAAAAAATACAATGCTTAGAAATATACTTAACCAAGGAGATGAAAGAAATTTACAAGGAAAACTACAAAACATAAACAGCACAAACAAATGGAAACACATCCCATGCTCATGTATGGGTAGAATCAATATTGTGAAAATGACCATACTGCCAAAAGCCATCTACAAAGTCAATGCAATTCCCATCAAAATACCACCATCATTCTTCACAGAATTAGAAAAAACAACCCTACAATTCATATGGAACCAAAAAATAGCCCACATAGCCAAAGCAAGAGTAGCAAAAATAACAAATATGGAGGCATCACATTACCTGATTTCAAACTATACTATAAGACCATAGTCACCAAAACAGAATGGTACTGATATAAAAATAGGCACATAGACCAATGGAACAGCATCCAGAATCCAGAAATAAACCTAAATCTTTACAGCCAACGGATCTTCAATAAAGCAAACAAAACCATAAAGTGGGGAAAGGACACCCTATTCAACAAATGGTGCTGGGATAATTGGCAAGACACATCAAGGACTTAAATCTCAGACTTGAAACTATAAAAATTCTAGAAGATAACATTGGAAAAACTCTTCTAGACATTGGCTTAGGCAAGGATTTCACGACCAAGAACCCAAAAGCAAATGCAATAAAAACAAAGATAAGTAGCTGGAACTTAATTAAACTAAAGAGCTTTTGCATGACAAAAGGAACATTTGGCAGAGTAAACAACCAATCAACCAAGTGGGAGAAAATCTTCATAATGTATACAACTGACACAGGACTAATATCCAGAATCTACAATGAACTCAAGCAAATCAGTAAGAAAAAAATAATGCCATCAAAAAGTGGGCTAAGGACATGAACAGGCAATTCTCAAAAGAAAATATACAAATGGCCAAGAGACATATGAATAATGCTCAACATTATTAATGATCAGAGAAATGTAAATCAAAACCACAATGTGATACCATCTTACTTCTGCAAGAATGTCCATAATTAAAATATCAAAAATAATAGATGTTGGTGTGGATGCAGAAAAGAGGGCACACTTCTACATTGCTAGTGGGAATGTAAACTAGGACAGCCACTGTGGAAAACTGTGTGGAGATTACTTAAAGAACTAAAAGTAGAACTACCATTTGATCCAGCAATCCCATTGCTGGGTATCTACCCAGAGGAAAAGAAATCATTATACAAAAAAGATGCTTGCACATGCATGTTTACAGCACCACAATTTGCAATTGCAAAAATGTGGAACCAACCCTAATGTCCATCAATCAATGAATGGATAAAGATACTGTGTGTGTGTGTATGTACACATACATGTATATATACACACATGTGCATGTACACATACATGTATATATACACACATGTATATACACATACATGTATATACACACGTATATACACACGTATATATACATACACATGTGTATATACACATGCATGTATATATACATACACACGTGCATATGCACATACATGCGTATATGCACATACACGTATATATGCACATACACGTGTATATGCACATGCATGTGTATATGCACATACATGTGTATATGCACATACATGTGTATATGCACATACATGTGTATATGCACATACATGTATATACACATATACACACATACATGTATATACACATACATGTTATACACACATACATGTATATGCACACATACATGTATATACATATATACACACATACATGTATATATACTCATACATGTATATACTCATACATGTATGTACATACTTGTGTATATACATACATATATATACATATATATGTATATATATATATATGTATGGTGGACTACTACTACTCAGCCATAAAAAGGAATGAGTTAATGACATTTGCAGCAACGTCTATGGAATTGGAAACTATTATTCTAAGTGAAATAACTCAGGAATGGAAAATCACACATTACATATTCTCATTCATAAGTGGGAGATAAGCTATGATGATGCAAAGGCATAAGAATGACACAATGGAATTTGGAGACTCAGGGGAAAAGGGTGTGACGAGGGTGAGGGATAAAGACTACAAGCTGGGTTCAGTGTATACTGTTTGAGTGATGGATGCACCAAAATCTCACAAATCACCACTAAATAACTTACTCATGTAGCCAAATACCACCTGTTCCCCAAAAATCTATGGAAATGAAAAAAATAGTGTGGTATGGGGACAATGCTGCAAATAAGCAGCTTACAAATAACCCATTTTAAAATGGGACAATAAAATGCTGAAAATAAAACCCACAGTGGGAGACACCTACATCAATTTGCAGAGAAAACAAATCGTCTTGTTTGTGCTCTAATAGAAGAGGACCGACAAGTAACAGCAGAAACAATAGTCACCACCACTGATCTCTCAATTGCTTCAGCCTGCACAATTCTGACTGAAAAATTAGAGTTGAGCAAACTTTCCACTAGATGGGTGCCGAAATCATTGTATCCATATCAGGTGCAGACAGGAACAGAACTACTAATGAACATTTAAAGCAAGTATGATCAAGATCCTGATGCATTTTTTTTTTTTTTTTGAAGAATTGTAACAGGAGATGGAACATGCTTTTACCAGTACAATCCTGAAGACAAAGCACAAAGCAATGGCCACCAAAAAGGGGAAGTGCTCCAGTCAAACCAAAAACAGAAGTGTCATGAGCAAAGGTCATGACCACCATTTTTTCAGATGCTGAAGGCATTTTGCTTGTTCAGTTTCTGGAGAGCCAAATAATAATAACATGCTTGTTATGAGTGTGTTTTGAGAAAGTTAGAAAAAAGCTTTAGCAGATAACACCTGAGAAAGTTCACCAGGGAGTTCTTCTCCACTATGACAATGCTCCTGCTCATTCCTCCCATCAAACAAGGACCATTTTGTGAGAGTTTCAAAGGGAAATCCTTAGGCATTCACTTTATAGTCCCGATTTGGCTTCTTCTGACATTTTTTTTTTTTTGGATCATAATATTAAAAAATCTGTAACGGACACTAATTTTTCTTCAGTTATTAATGTAAAAAGAGATTGTATTTACATGGTTAAATTCTTAGGACCCTCTGTTCTTTAGAAATGAGCTAAAAGGCTAGTATTGTCACTTATAAAAATCTTTTGAACTTGATGAAGCTTGTGTTGAAAAATAAAGTTTATACGTTTTACTTTTATCTTTTAATTACATTTTTCCCTGAACTTTGTGAAGTCCCTTTATATATGTTTTATTTTTAGATATTGACTTACATGATTATGGAGCTGCCATGTCCAAAATCTGCAGGGTGGGCAGGCTGGAGACCTGGAAAAAGCCAACACTATAGTTGAAGTCTTCAAGTTCAAAGACTGCTGGCAAAATTCCCTGTTGCTCAAGGTGGGGGTCAATGCATTTTTCTCTATTTGGACTTTCAGCTAATTAGAAGAGGGCCATCCACAAAATGAGGGACAATTTGCTTGACTCAAAATCCACCAAGTTAAATGTTAATCTCATTCACCTTTACAGAAACACGCAAAATAATGTTTGCCCACATATATGAGCACCATGACTTAGCCATGCTGACACACAAAATTTACCATCACACAGAGGTAAAGACAAGAGTGGTGGTATGTGGCTGGCAGAAAGTATGTGTGGTTATAAAAGAGTAACAAAAGATCTTTTTGGCGAGGGAACAGTTCAGTATCTTGACCATAGTAATAGATATGCAAATCTACATATATGATAAAATTGCCAAGAAATAAATACACACAGAGACACACAAATGAATACAAATAAAATTTAAGAAATAGGAACAAGATTAGTAGATTGTGTCAATGTCAATATCCTGATTGTGATATTATACTGCAGTTTTGTAAGTTATTATTGAAAGAAGCATGGCAGACAGTAAAAGGAATCTATGTGTATTAATTCACACAACTACATATTAATCTATAATTATCTCAAAGCCAAAAGTTTAATTTAAAAATAAAGACGTTAATTTACTCACAAAAGTGATTTTTGAAATTATTTTTATACTAACAAAATTTGATCTTGCTATGGTTATAAATATACAGTACCTGAAATTTAAAATTATTACCTACGAAGTTCTTTGGTGATCTGCACAGTCTTTTTACATGCTCTTTGAATATTATACATTACTGATCTATCTTTATGTTCCAGAATTCTATTCCTCATCTCTCAAAACCAGCTTTTGATCTCCCACTTATTAAAATATTTTGACATTTCCCTTTCAACATTTTGAAATCCTGTTCCACGCATTTGGAGATGTTCCTTTCTTTAAAAAATATAGGATTGGATCAAATATTTATTTTCAGTTTACTTAGTGATAAGATCGCTTTGCTATGCTCTGTGTTATTTAATTTTCCTTATTTCAGAAGGATCAGGCTTGCCAAATACCAAATTAGAATTTCTTTGTAAAACCTCATATATTCAGTAAGGGATGGGGAAAAAGTCTTGAAAGACTAGGAAAAGGAAGGGAACATAAGGTAAGCAACTAACAAATTGTCGTATAGGTCATACAAATGTCTACATCTGTCTGTTTTCTACTTTCAAATGCCTCTGGCCAAAAGTTAACTAATATGGTTATCCAGACAAAAGAATTTGATACACATTTTCCCAACAATGAATAAAGAGCCTATAATTTAAATGAAAACAATGGAAAGGTTTTTGTTGTTATGTTGATGGTGGTGGTGGTGGTTGTTTTGAGATAGAGTCTCGCTCTGTCCCTCAGGCTGTAATGCAGAGGCACAATTATGGCTTGGCTCGCTGCAGCCTCATGTTCCCAGCCTCAGGTAATCTTTGTACCTCAGCCTCCCAAATAACTGGGACTACATGCATGTGCCACCATGCCTCAATAATTTTTAAAAATTCTTTGTATAGACAGGGGTTTGCCATATTGCCCAGGCTGGTCTTGAGCTCTGGGCTTAAGTTATCTGCCTGTGTTGGCCTCCCAAAATGCTGGGATTACAGGCTGAAAGTATTTTTGTCAAGGATAAAATTTGAACCTTCAAGTGAAAATAAAAATTCTGAAAAACTTGTATCACCCACCAGGGGCTTCAAAGCATCAGGACTAATATACTTTACTATTGAGATCAGATATTATATTAAAAATATGGCTTTTTGTTTTTGAGTAATGAGATATGTCAAACATTTGGAATATTTGCCAAACTCAATGAACCAATATGTCCCAAATAATCTATGCTTGATTTTGTAAAATTTATGTATGAGTAAAAGGCCTATTCAAACAGCAAACAGTTCAATGGATTTTACAAGGCAAAATGAACGCACTGATTATTTTAGATTTCACATTGCAACTAAATATTAAGAAAGTACGATTTGTTGACTTTTGCTGTAATATGTTATCACATTTCCACAATTATCACATATCTAATTAACTATCCATGTGAGACTGAATTTTCTTAACTTACCTCAACCAAAACAATGTATTGTTACAGACTGAATGTAGAAGCAAATATGAGAAATAGACTGTCTTCTATTAAACCAGGCATTACAGAGATTTGAATGTGTGTAATACAATGCCATTCTGCTCACTAAAGTGTTTTATTTGGGAATTGTATATTATAAGTTTATGTTAGCATGCAATGGTTTTATTATCTTATAATGATTTTACAAGTGAATATTTTAATTGCTCAATTTTTATTTCTAACATGAAAAATATTAACAGATATAGCCCACATGAACATCTCTTTATAGACCTCAATATTTTTTTAAACATTTAAAAGTCATTCTGAAACCAAAAAATATAATTGCTGAGACAAGTTTTAATTAATAAATTTATTAGTAGATTATAGAATTAAACTTTTCCACATTTGGGGAAGTCTCCTTCAGTTTAGTTAGAGTAGTTGTTCTTGGGCAAGAACACCACTTCTTATCTATGTGTCTTTGCTAAATAATGGAGGTATAATTCCTCTTTCTGTTGGTGGAATGAAATGAGTGTTCACTGTTTGCTTATTGAAGGGTAGTAAGTATGGTTAGCTTTGCATGGCTGCAAGGAATGAGTGATATCTAAGTTAGGAATTATTATTTTCCTATATAACTTGGACCTATCTCCACTTGGGCTCACTCTCTAATCTCTAACTGTTTCTGTTTGTCCTTGTTTATCCCTTTCACCTATTTCTATTTTCAGCACATTTTTCTTTTCCTCCCCCACCCATCCACATTTTTGTCTTTCTGACATCCATCCCTGTCCTCCTCTCTTTCTTTTTTTCTCTCTAACCTTATTGCATATTGGAGGATTCTGTTTAAAGTGGCTTGTGTTCACTGATAGATGCTTGGAATAACATTGGATCTTGAAGAATATTTTAAAGATATTATCACCAACATTATCTTTGATTTTAATCAGTCTTATTTACTGGTGGAATAGGCAACTCAAATAACAGTGATATTATCATGTAATAATTGTTTGATAGGAAAATAGCATAATCCTTTTGAAACACATGGTAAAATCCATTATGTAGACAACAAAGAGACAACGATACTCTTCTAAGATTGATTTCTAATAGGACAATTTGCAAGTAGAGTATAGTAGGTTAGTTAGAAAATGCAGGGATGTCTAATGTGATTCAATGTGATAATTCAAAATCTTTATATTCAAAGGACAGTTAAGAATAATGTAATATTCTTATGGTGCTGGGAAAACTGGCTAGCCATATGTAGAAAGCTGAAACTGGATCCCTTCCTTACACCTTATACAAAAATTAATTCAAGATGGATTAAAGACTTAAATGTTAGACCTAAAACCATAAAAACCCTAGAAGAAACCCTAGGCAATACCATTCAGGACATAGGCACGGGCAAGGACTTCATGTCTAAAACACCAAAAGCAATGGCAAGAAAAGCCAAAATTGACAAATGGGATCTAATTAAACTAAAGAGCTCTGCACAGCAAAAGAAACTACCATCAGAGTCAACAAGCAACCTACATAATGGGAGAAAATTTTTGCAACCTACTCATCTGACAAAGGGCTAATATCCAGAATCTACAATGAACTCAAACACATTTACAAGAAAAAAACAAACAACCCCATCAAAAAGTGGGCAAAGGATATGAACAGACACTTCTCAAAAGAAGACATTTATGCAGCCAAAAAACACATGAAAAAATGCTCACCATCACTGGCCATCAGAGAAATGCAAATCAAAACCACAATGAGATACCATCTCACACCAGTTAGAATGGCAATCATTAAAAAGTCAGGAAACAACAGGTGCTGGAGAGGATGTGGAGAAATAGGAACACTTTTACACTGTTGGTGGGACTGCAAACTAGTTCAACCATTGTGGAAGTCGGTGTGGCAATTCCTCAGGGATCTAGAACTAGAAATACCATTTGACCCAGCCATTCCATTACTGGGTATATACCCAAAGGATTATAAATCATGCTACTATAAAGACACATGCACACATATGTTTATAGTGGCACTATTCACAATAGCAAAGACTTGGAACCAACCTAAATGTCCAACAACGATAGACTGGATTAAGAAAATGTGGCACATATATACCATGGAATACTATGCAGCCATAAAAATGATGAGTTCATGTCCTTTGTAGGGACATGGATGAAACTGGAAACCATCATTCTCAGCAAACTATCACAAGGACAAAAAACCAAACACCGCATGTTCTCACTCATAGGTGGGAATTGAACAATGAGAACACATGGACACAGGAAGGGGAACATCACACACCAGGGACTGTTGTGGGGTGGGGGGAGGGAGGAGGGATAGCATTAAGAGATATACCTAATAATAAATGATGAGTTAATGGGTGCAGCACACCAACATGGCACATGTATACATATGTAACTAACCTGCACATTGTGCACATGTATCCTAAAACTTAAAGTAAAATAATAATAATAAATTTAAAAAAGAATAATGTAATAGTTTTATGATATACAAATGGAAAATGATATATATGATATATTCAGAATATATACATGCATAAGAAAAAGCAGCACTAAGAAGGAAGGAAAATATACTAAAATGGCCATTTAGTGACTAGATGATTAGAAATGTGACAGCTATCAGGTGCTTTTGAAATTTGGGAGGAATGTGACAATGAATACTTCTAATAAAGAAAGATGCATAGCCAGATACTTCACTGTCCAGTGGGCTCTGTGGCAATGTTGGAGCCTGAAACAAACACTGGGATCTAGTGACTTGCTATGTAGTATATCAGAGTTCCAGATTTATCTTCTACATGTGAGAATTGTTCCTCCAAGAAATCCTGACTGCATTTCATGTGAAATAATATTTTGAGTCAAAGTCACAAATGCTCATTGCCATGTGTTGGTCATTGTGTCTCAGCCTTTTTCTTTATATTGCATATATTCTTTTTATCTAGAGACACAAATACTTTTTTCTTTTCCTTTAATATCTAGGCATTTTGCTAGAATATATCTTGTTATTCATTCTAAATTTTTATTTTTGGGTACCAAGTGTGCTCTTTCAATATAGTAGTTTCAAATCTTTAGTATTTCAGGAAAGCTTTTTAAAAGTTGTTTTAAAGTAATTTTAAGTATTAATTTGGTTCTTGTTTTGGATCTCCTCTTTAAGATCTCCTGTTGTCTATATACAACATTTTTACTTTCTCTTGATTTATTTTTATCTCTGCCTTTTTGATTTTTTATGTGTGTGTGTATATATATACATGCATAATACACATATGTATATATATAATGCACATATATATATATACACATACACACAAATAAATATATATATATATATATATATCCTTTCTATCTTCTATTTACCTTAAGGCATAGGCATTTTATTGTTGCATTTATTCACTTCTGTTTCTTCTAGTTCAGCTTTCATTTATAAAATTATTTTATTTCTAAAAATCTCCTGTGTTCCCTCATTTTATCTGAGTTTTAAAAAATATTTAATGTTACTATTTCACATTATATGATTTTCTTAATGCATGTAATGTGCTGTTTTATTTTCAAGCACTTAGGACATTACAGGTATAATCTGATTTTTGAACATGTCTTTATGACATAGTTACATTTTCTGTGAGGATGTTGTTTTGCATCTTATTCTCTTTTTTTAGCGACTTACATGGAATTTGGCCTTCATGACTTTCAGTTGATCATTTTTCATGCAAAAGTTTCTGAACTTTTAGAAAGAGGCATAGCTCAGGGTAATTTTCAAACTTTAGAGAGCTTCCTCTTCTGTGGTTTCATGTGGTATTTAAAAGTATGGCAGCTTACTCTCTAGAATTTGCTGGAGGCTCTATAGCCTTTCTTTGTCTCTGTTTCTCCTATCTTTTTTAATTTTGATTCCACTCATAGACATTTCTCTTCTATGTTTTGTTCCATCCTAGAAGGAACTCTGGCAGCTCAGCTTAAGTGATTTTTGGTTGTTAAGTTGTTCCAGTCCTGTCCAAATTACCGGAGTACCTTCACATTTGCTCCCTAACTGAGTGGGGGAAACTCTCCCAGTTGCTGCTGCAGTACTCAAATCCATCTGCCATGCTTTAAAACCAACAAATGCCTATCTTTCTGCTATGGGTGCCTCTCTGACAATAAGCTTTCATTTTGGAGTTCATTTGATTCACTGTCACTTAGTTCTGTTTTAAATATCTCCAGAAATTTGTGTTTGTTTTGTGTTTTTGTTTTGTTTCTCTTTCTGATTTTATGTTAGGATTCTGGAAGTCTCAAAAATGATGCCACTACTGCCATTTTCCCTACATCTGCTACCTGTAGTTTAAGTTAACAAGTTACTTGAGAGAGAAAGTTTTATCCCCTGGCCCTCATTCAGAAAATTTGTTTTTATGGGAACAAAATATGAAGATAATTATTTTATTCGCATATCTCCAATTATACTCAATCAATTTTTTATAATTTCTATTGCATCCAAAGTAACACAGTATTCTCTTCATCATATGAAATAGCATTGTTGACCTATTGTGAAAGTGAATCCTATGCTTTTCTTTCCTTTTGTAAATAATGTAAAGAAATAGTGTGGACATATTCCAGGATCAAATGTGAAATATGTATTTTGTATCTAAAGTTAGTAGATGATAACTTCTATGAAAGTTTTCTGTACGTGGACAGCTTCTATATAGAATTACAGAATAAAGCATTTTATCACAAGTGAGAGTGGGTGGGGGAGGGTGAGGTAAAAGACAGAGGTCTTCTAGTGACCTGTAACAGTGACATCCCAACCCTCTGTCAGTGGGATGCCTGTCCTGGTGCTTCTAATCCTCTTATTAGCCAGTGCTTTGGCTGTCATGGTGTTTGGGTCTACACACAACGTGTAAAGTCAGTAACATTTAGCTTCCCTAGATGTGCAGAACTAGGAAAAAAGCCACAGTAATAAAGTTGTTATAACATTCCTTATCTCCAATATGCTTTTTCAAGTAAGCAGCTGCTTAGATTGTACTTATTTCAGCTTTTTCTTCTCTAGGCACTTTAAAGGATGTCACCAAACTATGACTACTCTTACTTATGCTTTTTCTACTTTTTAAGTTGTATTTTTTCCAAGGCATAGAGATGGTGTTTTAGAAAAGTTATCTCCCATAAAATATCTTAAATTTTTTTCTTACTGTTTGGAAGTGTCCTTACTTGATGCTTTATGCACTCTTTTTTCTTCCTCTTCTTAGTCATCCCCTATCTCAAAATCTCTTTAAAGTATGTACAAAATAACACTAAGAAGTATGCGAGCAATGCATCATATTTATATATCAACTATAAAAAATGTGGTTATGCATAGAATAAGTTGGTATTTACAAATTATGGATAAAAAAAGGAAAAAAGTGAATAATTAGGCTGAGTGTGGCAGCTCACACTTATAATCCCAACACTTTGGGAGGCTGAAGCGAGAAGACTGCTTGAGTCCAAGACTTTGAGACCAGCTTGGGCAATATAGCAAGCTCCTGTCTCTACAAAAAGAAAAAAAAAAAAAATAGTCAGGTATTGGTGGGGGCCTGTAATCCTAGCAACTTGGGAGGCTGAGGCAAGAGGAGTGCTTGAGCCCAGGAGTTCAAGGATGCAATGAGCCATGATCTCTCCACTGCACTCTAGCCTGGGTGAAGAAGCAAGACCCTGTTTCAATAAATAAGTAAATAAAATAGAATAGGCAAACAGTTGAAAGTGAGTAGTGGATGAAAGAAGCCAGAAGTCAGAGGAAAAGTAAAGAGATGGAGCTAAGCAATCAAAATGTTGATGGCAAAAGAAGAACCAGCAATCAGAGAATTATTAGAGCTAGGACAAAGCAAGCAATAGACCAGAAACAAAGTAGACCAAAACAAATGAACAGAAATAACAGACACTGTGATCAAATAGATTATCAGAAGTTCAAAGCAATCAGGCAGGAGTCTGATGACATAAAGACTGAAGATGCAACCAGCTTATAAAACAATGGGGATGCAGACAAATATATAAAGAGAGTCTTGCTCTGTTGCCCAGGCTGAAGTGCACTGGCATGATCTCTGCTCTCTGCACTTCTGCTTCCTGGGTTCAAGCAATTCTCCTGCCTCAGCCCCCCAAGTACCTGGGACTACAGGCGTACACCACCACGCCCAGCTAATTTTTTGTATTTTTAGCAGAGACGAGATTTCACCATGTTGGCCAGGCTAGTCTCCAATTCTTGACCTAAGGTGATCCACCTGCCTTGGCATCCCAAAGTGCTGGGATTAAAGGCATGAGCCACCATGTCTGGCCTCAAAGAGTTATAATTAATGAGACCTTATGTGAACATATGGATAGAAAAGTGTATTTATGTAAAACAGACGCTGATGTTCAATCCTGCTTGACTTCTTTAAAATGACATGTTTACCCCTCCCTGTGAGATGAATCAAACCACTCATAAGGTCATTTTTGACACCCAGCCCATTTGCATATTTTTTGTCAAATGTGGCCTGAACCATGAATATTATTTTGTTTAAATCACAGGTGGTGCTTGCCATGTGAAAAATATTGCCCTAAGCATTTTAAACATAAAGTTATGCAATTCTAATAATGATGTTTTCAATTTATTTCACTCTCTATTTCTCAATCATTTTCAAAATTGCCCAATTTCCAGCCTCGCTTTTTTATTTGTTTAAGCTCTCAGCTCAACATGTGGAAATAATTTTTATCTTGCTGCTATGGCTTGGACCTGTGGCTTCATTTAAAATCCATACCTCTACTTTGAGTATTCCATGTTGACCCTTTTTCGAAAATCTCTCTCTGGGTCCTTGATACAGAGGAATATGTAACTTGGTATTATGTGTCATGACTGCCAGGTTGCACTGGCCATGGAAATGAGATCAAGTACATGATCAATGATTCTTAAAAGAAGCTTCTTTTATTTTAATCTTATGATGAAATGAAAGAGATCAAAAGAACCACACTAAAAGTCAAGACATTTTGGGGGGAACATTTAACACATTCAATTGTATGCCCCAAGTATTTATTAGGCATTGATTATGAGAAATTTTGATGAACTGTATTGGTTATACTGCAAAATAAATGCCTCCATTGTTCAAATAATCTTATAGTTCTACAAACTTTACAAGATTAAAACAGAAAGCATAATAATTACATATGTTAACCTCTAAAACAAAATTAATTTAAGGGGAAGTCTATAAGACTTTACTCATTTATTTATCTATTTTCTGTTTTTAGAAATCTGAAGCCACTAAAAGTATCTCACAAGCTATTAATCATGTTTCTTTTTTGCTGTTTAACTATATGTAAATAACTTTTAAAATTAGAATTTTATCACAAATATATTTTAGAGTTATTTTTCTTATTTGATATCCTTTTGATATTCATAAGCATAGAAAATATGCCTATCTGTTTTATCAGCTGCCATAGTGCTTTTTAGAATACGAAGAGTGTGTGATTAATATAAATAAATAAATAAATATGAGTCAAGAACATCTGAAAAGTTTTGTGTTTCCATATTTCCAGCCATAGGAACTAGTCAATTCTTATGAACATTTCTGTGACTGTTGTAATAGATTAAAAACATGTTTTGGTAAAGTGTTTAAAAACCTCTAAATAAGGAGTTCTATGAATTTATTAATACTGAATTCAAGAAAATAAAAGTTATACCAGACTTTTACTGTGCTGTTGCTCAGTGATTCAAGCTTCCCTGTATTAAGTCCTTTTTTTGTCCCTCCTCATAGTGACTTTGGCCTCAATCATGTGATTGACTTTGTCCAACTTCTCTCACATTTAATAACTGCATAAACTGTGAGAAAACACTTCATTTTGCAGAAGTTCATTTCTCAACTGGTAAGAAATATTTACCTTAGAAGTTTGACGTAATAATTACATATGTTAACCTCGTAACAGTATTAATTCTTCTGTCCTCAGTGCTTGAATTACTGCCAAGTATGATTTAGACATTTGGGAAGATTGAGTACAAATCACTTAAATAGTTAAGCTTTTTGTTAGGCTACAAAATAATTAACTCAAAGCACAAATGTAAATTAATTCAAACATTTGAGTACTCTAAATACTATGATAATTACTTTAATTGTGAAGTGTTGGGCTAAGCTATACTAATTCTTATACTATGTTTCCTGAATGCACACAGTGTTTCAGAGAAGTTTTCTGTATACTTTTGTTACTCTCCAGAGAATTATATTTGGTAACATTCTCCGTCGAAAATAGGCCTGAATCAATGATCCTTTCTCACTGATTTTAATGAAGTCTGAATTTCTGACTGAAACCAGAATAGAGTTCTTGTAAAAATGGCAGTCACTAAAGATGACCACCAAGGTGAGGAATAAGAGTGTTCACCAAACACAGCCTGTCTATGTTTTGATGGGAGTGACATGTTAAGAACCCAGTATCACTCTATACAGCTATTGGATATTTGATAAGGTTTTCACTTAAACTATTACTCTATCTGGAACCATTACTGAAAATAAAACAAATGTTTTTAAGATGGGTAAGTGGAAGGATGCATCCTCTTTTAAGGAAATAATCACTTTCTACCTGTAATATATGTATACTTTTATTTATTTTAACATATCGGATAAGTAGCAGTTTGAAAGGAGGTATTATTTATTGTATGCCTTCTAAAGACTTGTAAATATTGTATATATTCAAAAAATATTATAAAATATTATGAAAGTGAAAGTGTAAAGAACTAGAAAAGGAAAAATAAGAAGAAAAAGATAGAGGGAAGAAAAAATAATATACATCTTAGAAGGAGAATATATACATAAATATGTATATATACATACATTTTTATATATTTGTATATATACATAAATATGTATATATACATATTTATGTATACATATATACATAAATATGTATATATACATATTTATGTATACATATATACATAAATATGTATATATACATATTTAAGTATACATATATACATAAATATGTATATATACATATTTAAGTATACATATATACATATTTACATATTATTGTATAAATATACATTTATATATGTGTATATATACAGATATTTATGTATACACATATATTCTTTATGTATCAAAATATACTTAGGATAACAAAGAGATACAGTATCTTGTCCAATTTGTTGTTATCGTTCAGAAGCTGCCTAAAGCTAAGTAATTAGAACCAAAACAGTTCAATTTAAACGTAAACATATTTTGTAGAATAATTTGCCTCTAATTTAAACAAAATTCAACATATTCATGTTCATTGGTTCTGTAATGCCACCTCCAGAATTTTAATCAAAGAAAACTGCTTAAAATACATTTAAAGATGGAAGTCCAATAATGTCCAACTTTGTTCATTGAACGTCCAGTCCATCTTTAAATATATTTAACTAATATTCTTAGAGTAAATTTTTAAAGAGTTTAAAATTTTTTCATTTAAAATTTTTTATGTGACTTTAAAATTTTAGAGGCATTTTTAAACAGTGTGCTTGTGGGGGGGCTTAAAAAACTACATGACCAACAATAAGTTGTAAGTTTAATATGAAAGGACATAATTTATACAATTGGGCTGTATGTGGCCATAAAATTATGTCATAGATAATATTTAATAATATGGTAAAAATATTTGTGATATAGAATTAAAAGGCATTTTACCAAATATAAAATATAATTTTATATATAACATAAAAATATGAATTTACATGCATATGAGAAAAACATAAGAAAGGTATATGACCAAAATATGAGTGTTTTCTGTTAGAAACTATAAACACATTTATTTTCTTATTTATACTGTTCTGTACACACCAAATATTCTACTATGTATATCCTCCACTGGAAAATAATGGCCTTTTTAATGCCAAAACTAAGTAAAGACTTCTCAAGAAAGAGTTACCCAAAAATAGATTCTCAGATATTTGTTACTATATGCTATATCTGGGTCAACAAAGCCTGGGATTTGTATCAGATGATTGGTAAATACTTTCTAATATATTCTTAAGAACTGTAATTCTTTATTTATAAAAAGGCTGTCAAACTTTTTATTTCATTATATTGTTTTATATTTGATGTATTCATAATTCAATTATAATGGCAATGACTTAATTACTGCATTCATTGTGTTGACCAAAAATGCTACATGACTATCATCGGTCCCCAACTCTAAACAACTCCCTAGTCTCCAACACACAATATATTTGTAGGCAATGTACCCACATCAAAGAGCATTGTGGGCTGGTCATGGGGGCTCACGCTCTAATCACAGCAATTTGGGGCCAAGATGGTCAGACCACTTGAGGTCAGGAGTTTGAGACCAACCTGGCCAACATGGTGAAACCCCATCTCTACTAAAAATACAAAAATTAGTTGGGCAAGGTGCCAGGCACCTCTAATCTCAGCTACTTGGGAGGCTGAGGCAGGAGAATAACTTGAACTCAGAAGGCAGAGGTAGCAGTGGGCCAAGATCATGCCACTGTACTCCAGCCTGGGCGACAGAGCAATAATCTCAAATAAAAAATTAGAAAAAAAAAAAAAACAACACAGAGAGAAAGGTCGGGTTACCCACAAAGGGAAGCCCATCAGACTAACAGCGGATCTCTCAGCAGAAACTCTACAAGCCAGAAGAGAGTGGGGGCCAATATTCAACATTCTTAAAGAAAAGAATTTTCAACCCAGAATTTCATATCCAGCCAAAATAAGCTTCATAAGTGAAGGAGAAATAAAATCCTTTACAGACAAGCAAATGCTGAGAGATTTTGTCACCACCAGGCTTGCCCTAAAAGAGCTCCTGAAGGAAGCACTAAACATGGAAAGGAACAACCAGTACCAGCCACTGCAAAAACATGCCAAATTGTAAACACCATCAAGGCTAGGAAGAAACTGCATCAACTAATGAGCAAAATAACCAGCTAACATCATAATGACAGGACCAAATACACACATAACAATATTAACTTTAAATGTAAAAGGGCTAAATGCTCCAATTAAAAGACACAGACTGGCAAATTGGATAAAGAGTCAAGACCCATCAGTGTGCTGTATTCAGGAAACCATCTCACGTGCAGAGACACACATAGGCTCAAAATAAAGGGATGGAGGAATATCTACCAAGCAAATGGAAAACAAAAAAAGGCAGGGGTTGCAATCCTAGTCTCTGATAAAACAGACTTCAAACCAACAAAGATCAAAAGAGACAAAGAAGGCCATTACATAATGGTAAAGGGATCAATTCAACAAGAAGAGCTAACATCCTAAATATATATGCACCCAATACAGGAGCACACAGATTCATAAAGCAAGTCCTGAGTAACCTACAAAGAGACTTAGACTCCCACACAATAATAATGGGAGACTTTAACACCCCACTGTCAACATTAGACAGATCAATGAGACAGAAAGTTAAAAAGGATATCCAGGAATTGAACTCAGATGTGGACCAAGCAGACCTAATAGACATCTACAGAACTCTCCACCCCAAATCAACAGAATATACATTTTTTTCATCACCACACCACACCTATTCCAAAATTGACCACATAGTTGGAAGTAAAGCTCTCCTCAGCAAATGTAAAAGAACAGAAATTATAACAAACTGTCTCTCAGACCACAGTGCAATCAAACTAGAACTCAGGATTAAGAAACTCACTCAAAACCACTCAACTACATGGAAACTGAACAACCTGCTCCTGAATGACTACTGGGTACATAACAAAATGAAGGCAGAAAAAAAGATGTTCTTTGAAACCAACGAGAACAAACACACAACATACCAGAATCTGTGGGACACATTCAAAGCAGTGTGTAGAGGGAAATTTATAGCACTAAATGCCCACATGAGAAAGCAGGAAATATCTAAACTTGACACCATAACATCACAATTAAAATAACTAGAGAAGCCAGAGCAAACACATTCAAAAGCTAGCAGAAGGCAAGAAATAACTAAAATCAGAGCAGAACTGAAGGAATTAGAGACACAAAAAACCCTTCAAAAAACTAATGAATCCAGGAGCTGGTTTTCTGAAAAGATCAACAAAATTGATAGACCACTAGCAAGACTAATAAAGAAGAAAAGAGAGAAGAATCAAATAGACGCAATAAAAAATGATAAAGGGGGTATCACCACCGATCCCACAGAAATACAAACTACCATCAGAGAATACTACAAACACCTCTACGCTAATAAACTAGAAAATCTAGAAGAAATGGATAAATTCCACCACACATACACCCTCCCAAGACTAAACAAGGAAGAAGTTGAATCTCTGAATAGACCAATAACAGGCTCTGAAATTGTGGCAATAATCAATAGCTTACCAACCAAAAAAAGTCCAAGACTGGATGGATTCACAGCCAAATTCCACCAGAGGTACAAGGAGGAGCTGGTACCCTTCCTTCTGAAACTATTCCAATCAATAGAAAAAGAGGGAATCCTCCCTAACTCATTTTAGGAGGCCAGCATCATCCTGATACCAAAGCTTGGCAGAGACACAACCAAAAAAGAGAATTTTAGACCAATATCCCTGATGAACATCCATGCAAAAATCCTTAATAAAATACTGGCAAACCGAATCCAGCAACACATCAAAAATCTGATCCACCATGATCAAGTGGGCTTCATCCCTGGGATGCAAGGCTGGTTCAACATATGCAAAGCAATAAATGTAATCCAGCATATAAACAGAACCAAAGACAAAAACCACATGATTATCTCAACAGATGCAGAAAAGGCCTTTGACAAAATTGAACAACACTTCTTGCTAAAAACTCACAATAGATATCATCTCACACCAGTTAGAATGGCAATCATTAAAAAGTCAGGAAACAACAGGTGCTGGAGAGGATGTGGAGAAATAGGAACACTTTTACACTGTTGGTGGGACTGTAAACTAGTTCAACCATTGTGGAAGTCAGTGTGGCGATTCCTCAGGGATCTAGAACTAGAAATACCATTTGACCCAGCCATCCCATTACTGGGTATATACCCAAAGGACTATAAATCATGCTGCTATAAAGACACATGCACACGTATGTTTATTGCGGCACTATTCACAATAGCAAAGACTTGGAACCAACCCAAATGTCCAACAATGATAGACTGGATTAAGAAAATGTGGCACATATACACCATGGAATACTAAGCAGCCATAAAAAATGATGAGTTCATGTCCTTTGTAGGGACATGGATGAAATTGGAAACCATCATTCTCAGTAAACTATCGCAAGAACAAAAAGCCAAACACCGCATATTCTCACTCATAGGTGGGAATTGAACAATGAGATCACTTGGACACAGGAAGGGGAATATCACACTCTGGGGACTGTGGTGGGGTCGGGGGAGGGGGAGGGATAGCATTGGGAGATATACCTAATGCTAGATGACACGTTAGTGGGTGCAGCGTACCAGCATGGCACATGTATACATATGTAACTAACCTGCACAATGTGCACATGTACCCTAAAACTTAGAGTATAATAAAAAAAAAAAAAAAAACTCTCAATAAATTAGGTATTGGTGGGATGAATCTCAAAATAATAAGAGCTATCTATGACAAACCCACAGCCAATATCACACTGAATGGGCAAAAACGGGAAGCATTCCCTTTGAAAACTGGCACAAGACAGGGATGCCCTCTCTCACCACTCCTATTCAACATAGTGTTGGAAGTTCTGGCCAGGGCAATCAGGCAGGAGAAGGAAATAAAGGATATTCAATTAGGAAAAGAGGAAGTCAAATTGTCCCTGTTTGCAGATGACATGATTGTATATCTAGAAAACCCCATCATCTCAGACCAAAATCTCCTTAAGCTGATAAGCAACTTCAGCAAAGTCTCAGGATACAAAAATCAATGTAGAAAAATCACAAGCATTCTTATACACCAATAATAGACAAACAGCGAAATCATGAGTGAACTCCCATTCACATTGCTTCAAAGAGAATACAATACCTAGGAATACAACTTACAAGGGATGAGAAG
This sequence comes from Homo sapiens, assembly GCF_000001405.40. Classification (NCBI taxonomy): domain Eukaryota; kingdom Metazoa; phylum Chordata; class Mammalia; order Primates; family Hominidae; genus Homo; species Homo sapiens. Next base: position 61,002,071 of record NC_000012.12, on the reverse strand, counting down.
GACCTCTTCAAGGAGAATTACAAACCACTGCTCAATGAAATAAAAGAGGATACAAACAAATGGAAGAACATTCCATGCTCATGGGTAGGAAGAATCAATATTGTGAAAATGGTGATACTGCCCAAGGTAATTTATAGATTCAATGCCATCCCCATCAAGCTACCAATGACATTCTTCACAGGATTGGAAAAAACTACTTTAAAGTTCATATGGAACCAAAAAAGAGCCAGCATTTCCAAGTCAATTCTAAGCCAAAAGAACAAAGCCAGATGCATCACGCTACCTGACTTCAAACTATACTACAAGGCTACAGTCACCAAAATAGCATGGTACTGGTACCAAAACAGAGATATAGATCAATGGAACAGAACAGAGCCCTCAGAAATAATGCCACATATCTACATCCATCTGATCTTTGACAAACCTGACAAAAACAAGCAATGGGGAAAGGATTCCCTATTTAATAAATGGTGCTGGGAAAACTGGCTAGCCATATGTAGAAAGCTGAAACTGGATCCCTTCCTTACACCTTATACAAAAATTAATTCAAGATGGATTAAAGACTTACATGTTAGACCTAATACCATACAAAACCCTAGAAGAACACCTGGGTAATACCATTCAGGACATAGGCATGGGCAAGGACTTCATGTCTAAAACACCAAAAGCAATGGCAACAAAAGCCAAAATTGACAAATGGGATCTCATTAAACTAAAGAGCTTCTACACAGCAAAAGAAACTATCATCAGAGTGAACAGACAATCTACAAAATGGGAGAAAATTTTCACAACCTAGTCATCTGACAAAGGGCTAATATCCAGAATCTACAATGAACTCAAACACATTTACAAGGAAAAAACAAACAACCCCATCAAAAAGTGGGCGAAGGATATGAACAGACACTTCTCAAAAGAAGACATTTGTGCAGCCAAAAAACACATGAAAAAAATGCTCATCATCACTGGCCATCAGAGAAATGCAAATCAAAATCACAATGAGATACCATCTCACACCAGTTAGAATGGCAATCATTAAAAAGTCAGGAAACAACAGGTGCTGGAGAGGATGTGGAGCAACAGGAACATTTTTACACTGTTGTTGGGACTGTAAACTAGTTCAACCATTGTGGAAGTCGGTGTGGCAATTCCTCAGGAATCTAGAACAAGAAATACCATTTGACCCAGCCATCCCATTACTGGGTATATACCCAAAGTATTATAAATCATGCTGCTATAAAGACACATGCACACGTATGTTTATTGCGGCACTATTCACCATCGCAAAGACTTGGAACCAATCCAAATGTCCAACAATGATAGACTGGATTAAGAAAATGTGGCACATACACACTATGGAATACTATACAGCCATAAAAAATGAAGAGTTCATGTCCTTTGTAGGGACATGGATGAAACTGGAAACCATCATTCTCAGCAAACTATCACAAGGACAAAAAACCAAACACCGCATGTTCTCACTCATAGGTGGGAATTGAACAATGAGAACACATGGACACAGGAAGGGGAACATTACACTCCGGGGCCTGTAGTGGGGTGGGGGGAGGGGGGAGGGATAGCATTAGGAGATATACCTAATGCTAAATGAAGAGTTAATGCATGCAGCACACCAATATGGCACATGTATACATATGTAACAAACCTGCACATTGTGCACATGTACCCTAAAACTTAAAGTATAATAATAAAATAAAAAAACATTGTGAATATCCAAAAAATGCATGTAATCCATGCATAAAGCAAGTACTTATTCAACACTAAACAGCGATACCAAAATTAATATTAATGATAGTAGTAGCTATAGTGCCAGTAATAATACTTTTAGTAGTTAAGAGATTACTAACCTTCTACAGATAAGGCCCTATTGATGTGGTCTGGCTCTACGTTCCCACCCAAATGTCATCTTGAATTGTAATCCAAATTGTAATCTCCACGTGTCCGGAGAAGGACATCATGAGAAGTGATTAGATCATGGGTGTGGGTCCCCCATGCTGTTCACATGATAGTGAGTGAGTTCTCAGGAGATCTAATGGTTTTATGAGGGGCTTTCCTCCCTTTCACTCTGCACTTCTCTCTCCTGCTGTCATGTGAAGAAGGACATGTTTACTTCCCCTTTGCTATGATTTTAAGTTTCTGAGGTCTCCCCAGCTATGCTGAACTGTGAGTCAGTTAAACCGCATTTCTTTCTAAATTACCCAGTCTCAAGTATTTCTTTATAGCACCACGAAAATGAACTAATACACCTCTATTTAGTCCTTCATATAAATTATGTAATGTATCAAAATCAAAATAAAAAGCTATCAAATGGAGAACTCTAATAATCTATACTTTACATGTGAGGTGAATAAAGATCATTGAGGTTGAGTAATTTTAAGCTCACACAATGTATACAGGAAAAACTGGAAATAAAATCAGATTTGTTTAACTGCACCTTTGTATATAAAACTAGAATTTGATTTTGTGTATTTCCTACTTACTTGTTTGTAAGCCTGTGACACTAAATGTAAAGTGTCTTATGGGGAAACAGCAATATCAGATACAAACAAAAATGGTGATTGATATCATTACGAAGAAACTGAGTTGATTTAATCAAATTCATATATTTTACATAATAAGTTATGTATTTTATTAAGAAATTAACAAGAAAAAAACAATAGAGTGGATCTTCTTTTGCTTGATAGCCATTTGAGAAAAATAAAGGCCATCACACACAATATTTGAAAAAAGTCTTGACTATGTAAACAAACAACACAAAGTTAAAAAATAACAAATGGTGTTTTTATTTTGATGTCTTTCATTTTTATAAAATATATTATCTTGTTTGATGTGTCCACACAACAGATATCTTGATTTAGGGCTTCTGGTCCAGAAAACTTCAGGGTCATCCTGCAAGCAAGTTTTGACCTTGTCATACAGGAGGTGAGTTTTATATTAGAAACTGATCACAGAAGTGCAAAGGCAGTGTACTGTTTAAACTGTGCCTGGGTTATGGACAAGGCAGTAAAGAATAATGTTTTAATAGTATTTTTCTATTTCTTCTCATTCTAATACCATTAGCTGTATTTATTAATACATAGACTTTTGTAGGTAAACCTGTACTGTGCTCTAATTGTGTCAATATTCTTCATATTTCTCAGTCTTCCAAGAGAGTCATTTACCTCCTGCAGTTATCAGAGCTTTAGAACTAACCAGTCTAGTGTTATGTTTTTTCTTTTTCTTTTTTGAAATTCAAATGATATAACAGTCTTTTAGAATACTCTGAAGACTTGGTGTCCCAAGTGTGATAATCTGATACAAAATATTAATTCAAATCAGTTTCTCACTAGTTGACCCCTAAATATCATGGGGAAAGACATAATATCCTGGTAATCTTTATTTAGTGCCATTCCACATTGTTATTTGTGCTGGTTGCTTGTTCAGAGTCTAGCTGTCAGCAATAAATAAATTACCCCCTAGCTAGTAAATCACAAAACTCTCCAGAGCTTCTCAAAGAAACAAACCAAAAGGATGAATTTGTAGCCTTAAGAGGTTTGTTTATAAATATCCATTTTGTTTAAGGCATTTTGGGTCTACTCAATGGAAGACCAGTTTTCTTCCATAAACTGGTAGAAAAAGTGTTAATCCAGAAAGAAACACAAATGTTTATTTTCTGATCTCCAGTAAATTTCAAGATTTTTAAATAAAATTAACACAGTATGGAAAGAAAAATTTGGCTTATGTTTGAGTGGCAAAAATGAGAGCAATATTTGAAAATCAAACCAAAAGAAATGACCTCCTCCCAACAAAAATGGAGAGATCCTTGATCCTCTTTCTGTCTTTCAGCTTTTCCCACTTGAAGAAATATTCCCAGATTTTCTGGGAGAGGAATAGCTCTTATTTGTTCACACTTGAAGTGAAAAATAGAGAAAGTACTGCTAGTCAGAGCCATATATCTTAAGTGACACAGATAATAGTTTTAGTAAGTGCCTTTTTCTTTAGAGATTCAAGCCCAGACTGGGAGCAACTAAAAGCCTTTCGTCACTGACAATGTCTGGACTCACCAGGGAAATATATTCTGTCACTGTGAACTTATTCCTAAGTGGGATAAAATTTTCTGACTAGTATTCAACTGCTTAAAATTCAGTTGACTAGATACAATATTTTATGATTGCAAAGCATAAATCATGTCAGTGTGGCAGCCCTAGATATTACTATATTAGCTATTTTCTGAATTTTTAAAGAGGTGAAACTTGTGGGAAAAATTACAACAGATATTTTTACAAGGAGTTTGTTACAAGTCCATGATATCTATATGTACAAATACTTAGAAATTGCTAGCTGTATAATATAAAGATGATATGAATTAATTTGTATATTACATAGCCCAGTGACAATTTAGAGCTAACTAGTTTTATGCTGAAGACGTCATCCCAATAATACTTAAGTGAATTATAACTAATGCATTTCTATAAGTGATTTTTTTAAATCTGAAATATTAATATTTTATGTTGACTTACATTAAAATTGATATTTTATTTACCTTAGTGAGAAAGGTTACAGAGAAAGGAAGCAAAGAACCACATGTGACATTTATTGTGTATATTGAAAGTATTCTAAAGGAAGAGAAATGTGTACAAATTAAGGACAAAGAAAAACTCGGTTTTGGGTCCTTGCATACGTATAGTTCTGTAGATCTTAGTTTCTATTATCTGTGAATATATACTTTGTTCTATGAAACAATATTGATGAGGTGGTAGTTTTGTTCTTACATAAAAAAATTTTGTATTTGCAGAATTCTTGGTTATTTATTTTTTTGATTTCACCTCATAAGGTGAGTGACAAAAGCTATTATTTTCATAAAGAAAAGGCCACTGTCAGCTCTAACTCAAGGTCAGCATGCTTTATTCATGGTCACTGGGGTTTATGTTTCCATAACAGCATTTTCCTTAGAACGTAACTGAGGAAGGCATGTCAGAATTGAAATCCCAAAACTCAGTTAACCACTAGTAATTCATGTAATATCAAACCAAATATCCTAGGAGCATAGGAAATGCCATTCTGGGTCTGACAAAGACCCAATTATTTTGCCAAGAGAGTTTATTGGGCCCTTAAGAAAAAGTCATAAAATTAACAAAGACATGGTCTTGCCCTCCTGGAGTTTGTCTACAGTGGGTTGCACCCTGGTTATAGATTAGAATCACCTGAGGAGCATATAAAAAATACTGATGCCTAGCTACTTAACAAGAATTCAGATTTGCCTTGTGTGCAAGCCAGGCTGAGAGCTATTGGTCTAGAGTTTTATACCTGAGTGCACACATGAATCATTTGGGGATGTTGTTAAAATGGAGAATCTGAGTTAATAGATGTGGAGTAGCTCTCGATATTCTACATTTCTAACGAGCTGGTAGATGACATTAGTCAAGAAGAAAAAGAAAGGTCAAAAAGATAAATACATATATATATATATATATATAAAACATTTATAAACATTTATAAATACATTTATATATATATAAAAGTTCCCAGGCTCCAATTAAATAAACATAAGCAAACCTACATCAAATGTAATTATGTCCTTACCTAGTGAATTTTTTTTTTTTTTTTGAGATGGAGTCTCAGTCTGTCACCAAGACTGGAGTGCAGTGGTGCAACCTTGGCTCACTGCAACCTCCACCTCCTGGGCTCAAGAGATTCTCCTGCCTCAGCCTCCCGAGTAGCTGGGACTTCAGAGGCACACCACCACGCCCGGTTAATTTTTGTGTGATTTTTACTAGAGACGGGGTTTCACCATATTGGTTAGACTGGTTGCGAACTCCTGACCTCGTGATCCGCCCTCCTCGGCCTCCCAAAGTGCTGGGATTACAGGCCTGAGCCACCAAGGCCAGCCTTGTGAACATTTTAAAAATGAATAAAAAGTGAGATACAAAGGTTCCTTATTGTTCTGTAATTGGTATCAGAATAAAAGGCCACATAGGGAATCCAGAGTGACTCAAAAGAACAAGACAGTTCCACAGAGGAACAAACAAGGTGAAAAAATAAACAGATGGAAACATTTTTTAATTATTGGGACTTCATATTTAAAATAACACAATTATGAATTAAGACATCTTTTTAAAGAATATAGTCAAAAATTACTAGTCACTTAATCTTTAACACAAAAATATATTAAGAATAGATTTTTGATGATAGTATTTCTTTGACAAAATATGTGATGGTACAATAAAAAGGAATAAATTTTACTTTTTATAATTTTTATAGCTGGCTATCAAGTTGATCAGTGTTAAAAACTATTTCAACCATTTTACCAGTGAATTCCCTTAATTTTTTGATAGTCAAACCATCTTCTTTTGAAAAGGTATCCTCATTTGTATTCACTGATCTTAACTTCAATTCTTATCTGATTTCATCACCAGATCTTCATGAGTCAAAACATCTAGGTGAGGTATAATTTGTCTCTGACGTCATCTGAATAAATTTCAAGATATTCCCAATCCTTTTCAGATATTTGCAGTTTCACTGTGCAGCTATTTTTTATTAGTATACTTTCTCCACTGCACATTTCTGCAGTTTCTTCAAATCAATGAGAGAATGGAGCAATACAAGTTATTTGGAAAGCAAAGGTAGATTTCATCATTAAAAGGGAGGAGACATGATTGAGAAGGGATTTATTTAATACATAGTCCAGTCCCTAGGAAATATTTTTAGTGTTATGACAACTTTGATCATCTCTGCATTGGTACTTGCATATGATCAGATATGCAATGAGTTCATTTCTGCCTCAGTGTTTCCTTATTCACACTCACTATTAACCCCTTACACTGTGAGTTCACTTGCTGCATTGAGCCAACTGGAAGAAACCAGTGTATTAAGATCCTGCCGAGTAACAGAAGCTAGAGGGTAAGAAAAGAAAAGGATATCTATCCTTGGCCCAATCCAATCAGGCCTATTTCATGAACTCACTTTGTCCTTGTTTTCCACCCTTGATGGCTTTGCAACTGAGTAAGCTTTGACCTCTGTTCTGTATGTTATATGCTTTATCTGAAAATACATGGATGTCCCTAAAGACTACTGCCGCTATCTAGTAAGATAAATGCTAATGTAATCCTAATGTAATCAGTTAGACTCCCAGAAATCTCCATACCTGCATTTCTGCATTTGGCACACCTGACCATTGTCATGTGCTATCTAACTTCTTTAAGACTAATGGTCACTGCTCCTGTAATTAATCTTAGGTTCTCTTCATTTTACTGATTTTTGGGGAAGCAAGTTTAGTATATGTTTGCATAACTGTGGAATTAAATTATACAAGGTGGTATTAAGAAAATATTCCTTAGCTTGGCAGAGTGGCACTCATCTGTAGTCCCAGCTACTTGGGAGGCTTGAAAGGCTTGAGCCCAGGGGCTTGAAGCCAGCCTAGGGAATATTGTACGTCCCCATCTCTGAAAAACAGAAAAGTAAAAAAAAAAAAAAAAAAAAAAAATTGATATTTTCTCTTTCCTAATGGCTTTTTCACTGACCAAACAATTGTTTTTCTAATTACTCGGAATATTCCCCTGTATCTTCATTTCTAGTAAATATCAACATTATATTATACATTTGGGAAGTAATAAATGCATTCTAGAATGTTAGAACAGTATAGATAATCTTCTTCTTAGACTACAACAGTAAAAATGAAGTCATCTGAAGAAAGCAGAGAGGCTATTGTCTTTAACTTTTTCTAGCCAGATAGCTCTATTTTATAATGTGACAGAAGTACTAAATATGTAGCATTTTAATGAACCTTTACTAAAAGAATAGTATTATGTATTCACATACAAAAACATAAAATAATTGTGCAATATTAAAATATTGGTTACTTTTGGAGTCATTTTAATGTTACACAGTGTTTTGATTGTTTTTCTATTTCAATTAAGAAAATGCTATCCCTTTAAGAGTTATTACAACTTTTTCCAGGTGCAGCACACAAATATCATTTCTTTAATTTCTAAAAGATATTAAATAATATTTTGAAAAGCATTTTTGTTTGTCCAAATTCCATATATTTTGAGTCAATTAAACTTCTTTTCTTTATAAATTATCCAGTCTCGGGTATTTCTTTATAGCAGCGTGAGAATGGACTAATACAATGTATGAATCTTTTGTTACTAGTTAAAATGACACAAACGTTTCTAAGCTCATGATTTTGACATACTTTCATTAGCTGTTTATCATTTAATTAAAAAAACCCACATATTTAAAGCTTGCAAAGTTTTATAATACTATGTTTAGTTATACCCATAATTGTCTTCTGAATATAACTCTTAGCTCTCACTGAATAACTCAGAGAACTTTCATCCCTCTGACTTCTGATTTCTTGTCTCATAATTTAAATTGATTACATTTTAGCTGTAAATACTAGAATCCTAACCGGTCTGGGGGTTCTCAGAATCTCACCAACAAGGAGAAGAAGAGAAGTATCCTTGGCCCAAACCAATCAGGATCTTAACTGCAGTAAACTACTTCCTGACTGAATTTCAGGAGTGTCTTTTCATCTGATGGACCTGTTTGTGAGGCCTGCATTTGTTGTTATGCTATCAATTATATATGTGGTCTCCATCTTTAAAATTGCAGGGGAAGGAGTTAGTGCCTGAGAGCCGTAATTAGATTAAGAAGTTGAAAGGCATAGGACCAGAACAGAATTCTAATAGCAGGGAGAGGAGTCCGCTGACTCAGCCCTAATCCATCCACTTTCTCCGCATGGTTTCATCTAACGCTGTTCAGTTTTGGCACAAAGAGATTCCCTTTAGGTGAACTAAGAGAATAGGGAAGTCTCTTTATTTCTTTCAACCGAGCTAAATATTAGAAAATAAACCAAGATGATAGAAGTAATATTTCATTTCAAACCTTTAATAACTCTTTATATTGTTTTCAATTTTTGTGGCTACAGTTAGATTTGAACTATGTATGGCTAAGTGAAAGAATCTAGATAGATTTGTGAAACTGGTTTCCTTTTTGCTATAACCTTCTGCACTAAAATGGAATAAGAATTAAAATTATTGACAAGGGTGATATTAATACTTAAATATAGTTAAGTAGCATTACAGGAAATATTGGTGTCAGTATTAAAAAGGCTGAGTCTTAATCCCAATTACAAAATGAGTCTTTACTCAGTGAAAAGGTAATCAGTTGACTTTAGTGCCTAAAATAATTACAAAACTTGGAAAAAAATGACAACCACAACTTGGATTAAGATCAAATTTCTATTAATGCATTTTTGCATTGAGTCTCAACGCATTCGTTATTGAATGACAATATCATGGGCTACTCTCTTTTTGCACTGAAATAAAAACCAAGAACTATTATTTCACAATTGGATAAAAATGAGAGCTATAAAGAAATCGCTTCAAAACCTGTGATATTTTTAAAGTTTTAAAAGAGGTACTTTCCTCAAATTCTGTATTTGTTGTTAGGACCTAAATCTTTTAATACAAATGTTTTTAGATATAAAGACAGTTCTCTCCCCAGTTCAAGTTTTCACAAAAAGACAAAGTTGATTATGGCTAGTTTTAGGTGATATTACTTAAACATTAGAGCTATTTGATAAATTACTATATGCTGAATTTTTTTTTGCTAAGATAGTGTCGTATACTACTTGTTATGTACTTCTTACTTGTCTGAAATCTGGGTAAACAAAATTACAAGTATTTTCTCATGTTATCTGGATATTTTATTTCAAAATACTAGTATATTTATATTATTTTTCCTCCTATTTTGAAAACCCTGTAGCAATCTTAAGTGCTGAGTCAGTTTTTATTAGTAATGTGATTATTTTCTCTGACAAAAAATTTTACAACTGTCCCTTGAATTGATTTCATGCTGAAAAACTACTGGCTCTTTTAGAGAATAATTTTTAAGAAATCTTGTGTACAGATTTAATTTTAGCTAAATATTTGGGTAACGATCAAGTTTAGGATTTAGGTTAGTGTTAGCATCAAGTTTAAAATTGAGTGGGTGAATTTACTGGAATACTGTATGTTAGGAACCTTCTTTGAGGCTTGCTCATACCACCTTACATCTTTGAGTTTCATGTTCTTTCTCTGAAAAATAAAAGTGGGTTGAAATTATCTTTTTAATCTTCAACTTAGACACTAAAGTGAATTTTAGGAGGCCAAGCTTTTATCAGCATGACAAAAATCTAAGTGCACAGGATTTAGAGTAAAATAATTTACTTATGTGTTCCCATTTCACTGCTTAAATACTAACTGAACCAGAGAGAAGTCTCTGGCTCTCTGAATCTCCCCTTCTTCAGCTTTAAAATGAGAATAGTAAATGAACTTTAATTAATAACTCTGAGGTTATACCTGATGGTGTCTTCCAATGTATTTTGTACAATTTTAAGTATTAGTCCATGTTGGTCCTATTTGGTCTTACTGTGATTTTATCATAATAAATTTTATCATTTGTTAACAAAAATTACCTTGTTATTTTGTAATGTTAGATAAAAATCTATCCTATTTCAGTTTACAAATATAAAAACAAAAAGTAAAAAAGTAATTAATGATATGAGGCAGATCAGGATATATATATAAGATTGTTGTGTTAGTGTCTTAAGGTTTTATTTTCAAGTCAGTTTTAATGTTACATACTTCACCAGTTCGTCAAACAGTGATTAATTGGATGCTACAGCAACCTAACATAGTAGAAATTTGTAATTGAAGAGGACCACTTTCGTTTTAGTCATGTGAGCACCTGTAAGCATAATACATAGTTTTCAAGATTATATAGCTTTCAGTATGTGTTGACCACAGCCAATCTGTACCAAAACTTATTTTTGCCATCAAAATAAATAATATTAGTTTAGTGTTAACCACTAGTACTACAGATAGCTAGGTATGTAGGAACAAATACACATATATACTTATATAATGTAATATATATTTATATATATATAACATACAAACTCATGTGTAATTAAATATTATACAGAAAAATACTAATGCTTATAGAGCCTTTAGTAATGTCAAATACATGTTCATTCTACATGGTTTCTTACTCTATCTGTCTGAGATGATCATAAGATTGAGCAAATGACTTCTGAGCTCTAGGGAATAACCAGGCCACAAGATCAAAGGAGAATATATGAATATTGACATGAAAGCTGGCCCCCAAACAGAAACATCTGTATTGGATTTCACGTGATCCAAAATAAAGTGGTATTTTTTTAAGCCACTGACAGTTGGGACTTTGTATATATTACAATTTCTTTTTAATTTTAGTTCTATGTCAAAACAAGTAGAACTGCTCAATTCCCCACTCCAAATCCCAGCACTTTTTCACTCTGAGAAAATACCCTAGGTTTCCATTTCTTCAGCCATAAGAAAGATGATTATTTTAAATAATATAAATGTCTCCTTCCAGGACTAATGTTCTGTGATTCTATTATTTTATATAAACACAATTAGTTTAACAGATGGAAGCTGTGGGCAGAGCCTTGTTCTAGCATCACTATTACCCATTTTCACATTCAAAGTTCTTATTTTAATACAGAATTAATTGGACTTAAAGTCTACGAAGACATTAGCTGAACTCTTGTTATCTGAAAAATCATTATGATGGGTAGCTACCACTATAGAAAAAAATCAAAGTCTATAGATAAAATAAAAGAATAAAAATAAAATACTACTAAAGCTGGATAAACAAAATGCACTTCATGCCCCTTACTTGAACCTACTGAATATCTATATTTTTGAATACAGGTAGTAAATCTGACTTGCCACAGGTTTGGTGAAGAGATTATAATATGCAATTATTAAAAACCATGTTTCTACTTTAAATAAATTCCAAGTTTCAGGTACTATATATTTAATAGACTCAGGCTATATAAACTTAGTAGCACATTTTAAAATTATACAACTACTATATTATGATATAATTTTATTTCTGGTTGCATATAATAAACTAAAAAGCCAAGACCTAAATATTATATTATTGCATTGGAAGATAGAAACAGAATGAAAATGAATTATGAAGCTGTACACTATGCATATTTTTCTCACTTACTCTGAGAGAGGGAAAGTAAAAAGGAAAGAAGAGAGAGTGTTCTTATTCTGTTTTTTCATGCTGCTATTACAAGACCACATTACTTTTAAAAACAGAAGAAAAAGAAAATGAGAGTTAACTAGATAACTTTGTACTTCATTTTATTTTTAAGATAAATGGGCCAGATGCAGTGGTTCACACCTGTAATCCCAGCACTTTGGAAGGCCAAGGCAGGAAAATCCTTGAGCCTAGGAGTTTGAGGCTGCAGTGAGCTAGGACTGTGCCACTTCACCCTAGCCTGCGTAACACAGTGAGATAATGTTTAAAAAAAAAAAAAAAGACAATATTAAATCATAAAAAATTCCTTCTATTCTGCAAATTCACCCTCACTGCCTGCTCTATGAAAATTCAGCTGATTCTTTTATTTCTTTCTTTATGTTTCTAGTTTGCATGGTGTTATGCTTTATTTGTAAAAGGTACAGAAAAGATGTTGCAGAAACAAGAGGGTTCTTCTTGGTTCTGGTGTGTTTTATCAGCTTCTCTAGTACCCCTGTAGCATCTAGCTCCTTCAGTGCTTATGTCTGCCCAGCACGTGATCTTGAACCACACAGAGCTTCTTCAGTGCCAAGTGGCTACAGTGTACGCAACTTCTCCAGCCTCCATTTCCTAAAGTGTGTGTGCTTTTGCAAATGTCGTGTTCAAGCAGCCCAGGCAGCTTTTCCAGTAGTGATCTCTTACAGTGTGTGAAGGACAGCAGCCCATATTGGCCAGCACCTGTCCCAGCTTCCCTTTTGGATAATTACATAGTACCATAGTGGTGTACCTCTAGCAAGATACCTAGACCACCTTTAGAGTACGATGTTGAACAAGACTGATAAGGAATCACCAGAAGCCAGTAAGAGGTAAAGAAAGAATCTTTCCTAGAGCCTTCAGAGGAAGCATGGCCCTATTGACCCTTGACTTTGAACTTCTAGCCTCCAGAACTTGAGAGACTACATTTCTGCCATGTAAAGCCACTCAGTTTGTTGTAATTTATAATAGCATCCCTAGGAAACTACTACAGATACAAATATTTCCTATCTTGAAAACAATGATCTATAAAAACCTATATTCATACTTAATGATGGGAAACTTGATGCTTTTATCCTAAAATCAAGAATAAAGCAATGATATCTCTTCTTACCACTCCCATTTAACATTACACTTGAATTATGTGCTATGGCAATGTAACAATAAAAAAAAATACAAGGCATTCCAATTACAAAGGAAGAAATTAAAATGTTTTTATTCTCAGTTGCATTAATTGCCTCTGTAGACAAAAACACAAAAATTACCAACAAAAAACAAAAAGCTTTTGCAACTAATAGCAAATATAGAATGGTTGCAGGATATAAGGATTAAAATGGCAATACTTTTGTGAATAATTACCCCTCCCCATGCTTAGGTATAAAACTAACAAAATATCTACATGATATATATGTAGAAAACTAAGAAAACTAATTAAAAATCAAAGAAACAAATAAATGGAAATATATTCTATGTTCATGGATTGGAAGACTCAATATTATGCTACTGTCAATTATTCCCAAATTTATTGATTGATTTGATAAAATCCCAAATAAATTCTCAGCAAGGTATTTTATAGATATCAATTAAATGGTTTGAAAATTTGTATAGGATGGCATAACCTATAGTGGCCATCACAAACTAAAGAACAAAGTTGGATAATGTGTACTTCCTGATTTCAAGACTTAATAAAGTTATGGTAATCAAGACAGTATAGGATTGCAAAGGAATAAATATATTGAGCAAAGGCAAAAATAGAAACCTAGAAATAAACTTACTGAGGTATACTCAACTCGCTTTTAACAAAAATTGCAAAAAAAAAAAAAAACTATTCAATAATGAAAGCGTAGCCCTTTCTTTTCAACAAATGATGCTGGAAGAATTGAATGACTGTGAAAAAAAAAAAAAAAAGAAAGCCCTACTAAGACATAACTTACACCTTAAACAAAAATAACTCAATATGTATTTTAACCTAAATGCTAGCTGCAAAACTTCAAAATATCCAGAAGTACAAACCATTAGAGAAAGTCTATGTGACCTCTGATACCACTATACATATATATAGTGGAATGGAGGTAAACGAATTCATATGGTAAAAAGCATATTTTCACTGTTGGAGTGGGAGGTCACAACAAAGAGGGGAGAAAGCTGGAATGACTCACAAGGGAATGAGTTTGAGTTGCAGATATCAGTATAAAATAATGTATGGTTTAATATACATATAAGTGGATACAGGTATATATGTGTATATATTATGTATCCATATATGTAATTTATTGATATATAATTGAATGACAGTAGGCAATTTAATGGTGAAGTACTGTAAGATTTACAATTGATTCAAACTGGAAAGAAAGAATATATGATGCAGGACCAAATTAAAGATCTAAAATTACTGAGAGTAGATTATATTATTTATACAAGGGTGTATTTTCTTCCTCTTTTCTCTGATAATTTGTGTTTACTGAACTCTACATAGTTTATAATAAACATTTAAATAGATCTTTGATGGGTCATAGCTATTAGCATGTTAGTTTATGACTTGGAAATTTTTTGTGTGCAGTTTTAAATTTTGTTAGTATAACAGTTTAAATTAATAGCCAAAGGAAACTCAGAAGAGATGTGCAGTGTAATTTATTGACATTAGAGAATTAACTGATGGAAGTACTGTAATCTTTACAATCCTCTTCAGGGAAGTGAAGCATGTGGTTTTGAAGATACTTGGACAACAAAACAGGCAACAGCACTATGGGACTAAATTATCCCTGGTCCCTAGGGTTGGGAGATTGTAACTCTAGTACCTGGAGAGACTTTGGGGGGTAAAAAAGCTTACCACCAAGAAACAACAAAGGGCCCAAGGATTTCTGGTCTGTGTAAAGCATGAAATTGAAGTACCTTTTTCTATCATCACTAATTGATTTGAAATTGAAAGAGCCTAACAAATTGACTTGAATATTGATTCTAAAAAGCTTCTGGGGAGGCCTCGGAAAACTTACAATCATACAGAAGGCAAAGGGGAGGCAGGCACATCTTACCATGACTAGAGTAGTAGGAAGAGGAAGGGGAGGTGCTACACACTTTTAAGCAACCAGATCTCATGATAACTCACTCATTCGCTATCATGAAAACAGCACCAAAGAGATGGTGCTAACCCCTTCACGAGAATTCCGCCCCCATGATCCAGGCACCTCCAACCAGGCCCTACCTCCAACACTGGGGATTACAATTCGGGTGGGAACATAGATCCAAACCATATCACCACCAGTAAGGTGATTTCAGTTTGTTGCTGTTATTGTTGTTTCAATAATAAAAATACAGTATTAACATTAATGTGGGTAAAAAATTATTTTCACAAACTACTGATGGTAATAAAAAGTTGGGGCTGGGCACGGTGGCTCACACCTGTAATCCCAGCCCTTTAGGAGGCTAAGGTGGGTGGATCACAAAGTCAGGAGTTCAAGACCAGCCTGACCAACATGGTGAAACCCCATCTCCACTAAAAATACAAAAGTTAGCTGGACGTGGGGGTGCACACCTGTAGTCCCAGCTACTTGGGAGGCTGAGGCAGGAGAATCACTTGAACCTGGGACACAGAGGTTGCAGTGAGCCAAGATGATGCCCCTCCATTCCAGCCTGGGCAACAGAGCGAGACTTCATCTCAAAAAAAAAAAAAAAAAAAAAAGTTGTAGAGTTTTCTGGGAAAATAATCTAGTAAAACCTACTAAAATTTAAAAGCCACATCTTCTAAACCTATCCAAAATACTCCTGTATACATACATTTTATATAACAATGATACACTATATAAAAAACAAACAGGCATACACATACAAACATACAAGAACAATGATAAAATAGTTCATTGCTTATTTGTTTGTAGGGTTAAAATGTCAGAATAACTACAAAACAAGAAAACAAATGATTTGGTTTGGCTATGTTGCCACCAACATCTCATCTCATAGTTTCCATAGTTTCCATAATCACCACGTGTTATGGGAGGGACCTGGTGGAAGGTAATTGGATCATGGGGACAGTTACTCTTATGCTGTTCTTGTGATCATTAAGTGAGTTCTCATGAAATCTGATGGTTTCATAAGGGGCTTTTCCCCCTTTTGCTTGGCACTTCCCCTTGCTGCTGCCATGTGAAGAAGGGTCTGTTTGCTTCCTCTCCTGCCATGATTGTAAGTTTCCTGAGGCCTCCCCAGCCATGCTGAACTGTAAGTCAATTAAACCTCTTTCCTTTATAAACTAGTCAGTCTCTGGTATGTCTTTATTAGCAGTGTGAGAAGGAACTAATACAACAAACAAAAATGTTACTGAAATAAAACAAAATAAAACAAATTGCAAAAATAATGTTATAGATTACATATTCACTCTATTGATTGTTGCTTTTGCTTTGGGGAAGCTTTTTATATTGATGTAATCCACTTGTCTATTGTTGCTTTTAGTTGCCTCTGCTTTTAGGGTTATATCCAAAAAATCATTGCCAGATAATGTCATGAAGATTTTATTTCTATGTTTTCTTTCAGTAGTTTTATTGTTGCAGATCTTATATTGTCTTTAATCCATTTTGAGTTTGTATTTGTATTTGGTATGAGATAAGGAACTAATTTCATTCTTCTGCATATGTGTATTCAGTTTTTCTAATCCCATTTATTTAAAAGACTGCAATCAATAGAATGCAATTGATTGGGAGAAATTGATTTGAATGGAAGAAAATATTTGCAAACCATACATCTGATAAGGGGTTAATAAGCAAATAGATAAGGAACTTGAACAACTCAATAGCAAGAAAACAAATAACCCAATTTTTAAAATGAGCAAAGGACCTGAATACACATTTTCAAAGAAAAAATACAAATGGCCTACAAATTTATAAAAAAAAAATGAATATAATTAACCATCTAGGAAATGCACATTAAAACCACAATGAGAGTTCATCTCGCACCTGCTAGAACAGCTTTTATTTAAAAAGCTGAAAAATAACAAGTGTTGGTGAGGTTGTGGTGCAAAAGGAGCCCTTGTACACTACTGGTGGAAATGTAAATTAGTACAGCCATTATAGAAAACAGCATGGAGTTTCCTCAAAACACTAAAAAAGAGAAATACCATAGGATTCAGTAATTCCACTGCTGCGTATGTATCCAAAGAAAATGGAATCAGTGGCCAGGCATTGTGACTCACACCTGTAATACCAGCAATTTGGGAGGCTGAGGTCAGTGGATCTTTTGAGCCCAGGAGTTCAATCCCAGCTTGGGCAACATGGCAAAAACCTGTCTCTACAAAAAATCAGCCAATAGAGGTGGTGCATGCCTGTAGTCCCAGCTACTGAGGAGGCTGAGGTGGGAGAATCATCTGAGCCAGGGAAGTCAAGGCTGCAGTGATCTGTGATCATGTTACTGCACTCTAGCCTTGGTGTTGGGGTCAGACCCTACCTTAAAAGAAAAAAAAGAAGAAAATGGAATCAATGTCTTGAAGAGATATCTGCATTCCATTACTTGTTGCAGCACTATTCATAATAGCCAAAACCTGAAGTTAAGCTAAGTGTCCATCAACAGATGAATGGATTAAAAAATGTGGTGTATATATACACAGTAGAATACTATTTAGCCATAAAATAGAAGGAAATTCTGTCATTTTTGACAATATGAATAAAACTGGAAGGCATTATGCTGAATGAAATCAGCCAGGCACAGAAAGATAAATATCACATGATTTCATTTTTATGTGGAATCTAAAAAAATTGAACTCATAGAAATAGGAAAAATGTTGAATTCACAGAAGAAAAAAGTAGAATAGTTGTCACTGGGGCCTTTTGATCAAAGATATCAAAGCACTAATATTGAGAATCTGCAAGGAACTAAAATCAGAAAGAAAAAACAAAATAATCTCATCAAAGTGGGCAAAGAACATTAATAGACATTTCTCAAAAGAAGATATACAAACAGCCAACAAACATGAAAAAATGCTTAACGTCATTAATCACCAGGGAAATGCAAATTAAAACCAAAATGAGATATCATCTTACTGCTGCAAGAATGGCCATAACTAAAAGTCAAAGAACAATAGATGTTGGCCTGGATATGGTGAAAAGGGAACACATCTACACTGCTGATGGAAATGTAAATTAGGTACAACCACTATGGAAAACAGTATGGAGATTCCTTAGCAAACTAAAAGTAGAACTATCATTCAATCCGGCAATCCCACTACTGGGTATCTACCCAAAGGAAAATAAATCATTATATGAAAAAGACACATGCACACACATGTTTATAGCAGCACAATATGCAACTGCAAAGATATGGAACCATGTATTTCATATTGAAATGCCCATAAACCAACAAGTGGATAGTGAAAATATGGTCTGTATACACCGTGAAATACTACTGAGCCACAAAAGGAACAAAAAATGACTTTTTTAGCAACTTGGATTGAGCTGGAGGACATCATTCTTAGTGAAGTAACTCAGGATTGAGAAAACCAAATATATGTTCTCACTTATAAGTAGGAGCTAAGCTATGAGGATGCAAAGGCATAAGAATAATATAATGAACTTTGGGGACTCGGTGGAAGCGTGAAAGGGGAGTGAGGGATAAAAGACTACCTACTTGGTACAAGGTACACTACTGAGGAGGCAGGTATACTAAAATAGCAGAAATCACCACTAAAGAATTTATCCATGTAACTATAAACCACCTGTACCCCCAAAATTATTAAAATAAAAATAAACATTAAATATTAGAAAAACAAAAACAGAAGAAACAAGTCAAAAAGCATGTATAAATATAATAATAATTTCTGTAATTGTTCATTACAGGAACTTAAAGAATGCTCCATCCACTCTTCAGTGGAAACTTAGAAATAAAATAAAACTCTACGCCCCCCACCCAACTGAATGGACTCCCTCTTGGCCAAGGAGACCTCAGAAAAACCTAGAAAAGTGAGCTCCTGACATGCTTCATTATACCCTCTACCTCACCAACCACCATTAGGCTTTCTTTCCTAAGCGTTAAATAGAAACCAGCCCCGTGGAAAGACTCACTCCACCACTGATGCTTCCCCTTTGATTTTGCAGTTTTGACACAACTGACTAGCATTCCGTCCTGATAAGGGACCACTGACTATGGAGTGGTTCTGGCCAGACTATGGACGATGGGCACTGAGTACCTTCATGTCCTCTGCTTCACCTTTTGACTTCACAGGGTTGAAAATTCTACCTTTGGATCATGCTAAAGCTGCTATTTGACCCATGGAAAGAGGATGGAGCTCAATTGCACATCTTCATGTTTCTCCTTTCACTAAAAATTATGACTCCTCTTATAGCTTATTGAATGCTTATACTCAGCCACGCCATTCAGCATCAATTCCCATCTTATCTTTCCATGCCTGAAGTGCCTGTTTCTGGCTTCCACCCAGAGGTTATGCTTCCCAGCCTATCACAATAGCCACCATGCAGGCTGCAACTCTACATGAGAAATAAAGCTCTCCTTTCCAAATTTATGAACTTTGTCTTTATTAAGTTGACAAATGCATAATCAGACAGGTCATGCCCTAAAATCTTTTGAATCTCTCACCTCAAAATACTCATCTTGCAGTTTTCACTGATCCCGTTGTTGATCATAGTTGACTGCACTGACTGCCCAATCAAGTCCACCCTTCTCTTCACATTGAGAGATCCTCCTTAAGCCAAGCTTCCACCTCTCAGTAAATTCAGACCTTGTCTTTTTCCCTTCCAGACACTGCCAAAGCTTCCCAGAAGTGGTGTTCTCCTTTACCCTTATAAGCAATTAGCTCAACTTTATCTTAACGACAGGATATTTGATGATGTTTGGTGAGCCAGCGTTCAACAATTATATGGCAATTTGGAAAAGAAACCAATAAGATATTGCAGGATATTTATCAGAGGCCAAAAAGGAATATGTCAGTTATGAGAGAATAAAAAAGAAAAGTACGAAAAAAGTGCAAGTTTTCCCTGTAGGAGAGGAAAGATAATTTTTTCCTCAACCCTCAAAAATTCTTACAATGGACCCCTGGAACAAAAGACAGATTAACAAGAGAAGAACAAACAGAATATTATTAATACATATGGTTCATATAGTCTACATGGAAAATAACCAGGGAATGAGTAATTCTCAGAGAGGTGGCTTTACATTTCAGTTTACAGTGACAACTGACAAAGACAAGACCCCCCCCAAAAAAAGAGCTTTAAGTCTCTAGGGGTGGCAAACTGGGAGAACGCAAACAAATGGCAGATAAGTTAGCAAATCTCATTAAGTAGATTCCACTGATGTGGTCTCTAGGCTGATAAAGGTTTAAACGTGTCTTCAGAGATCATCCTTTCTCTTCCTTGGTGCAAGGTAGGGGTGATACTTTTTGTCATTGTTAATCTATGACCTGCTGTTAAGCAAATAGATTGAGTGCCAAGAGCCTTCCTGCATATGCTACTCCTGAATTTATTTCAGCTCAAAACAATCCTCATGCCAAAGAAGCATATTTTGGGGTGGCATATTCTGGTCTCCCTCATCACTAAATGAGAGTATAGACTTTGCTGTCTTTACAAAGCCTTGATTGTAAAAATATTCTTAACAGTAGCAACTACTTATTAAGGATTTAAAAATTGCCATTTTTGTTACTTTTATTTAGCTTCAGATTTTGTTACCATAAACAAGTATGTTGTTTAACTCAGATAAATTATATTCTTTAATATTAACAAGTAGGAAACACATAATCCTAAAACATAATGGGACAGCTTCATATGGATATTTAATTCCTCTTTCGAAATCAGTTATTTTCAAATCCCAATGAAAACTATGAGATATCTTTGTTTTGCAAAATATTAAGCATTGATACAGCATATACTGGTATCTTCTTAGGTGTTTAATTATAGACTTTTTTTTATAAAAGTCTCTATGGGTGCATAATTTTAAATGACTGGTCAACAAGTTAAAATGTTAATAAATCTTTACACTTATGAAAGTTTTTTTTAAGGCATTCATTCCTTGTTTTGATTAGATCTGTCTAATTTTAAATATAGAAGCATACAAAACAGTTATGCTACTTCGAGGCATGCTTTATCATAGGAGAAATAGAAGGAGCAAATTCACAAATGGTATTCACAGAAACAAAGTGGGAGGTTTGGGGATTAGAAGCAGGAGGCTTATTTTTATCATTGGCAATTAGTAGGCATTGTGAATTGAGGGTACCCAGTTAATGCCTATTTGTTCTCAGGAAATTACAGCTCAGAAGGAAAGCTGGCACCTTTGGTTTGCTAATCTGCATGGTTTTATGTGCTCCAGTCTTTCAGCCACAATCAAATACTTATTTCCTTGTGTTTGTCTTCATTCACTTCCTGCCTCCTCCTTAGATTTAGCTATCAAATGTCCTTTGCTTTTGACCAGAGGCTCTTCAACAAAAATACTGTTCCTGACATCATTATTCTTTTGTAAAGAGAAATGCCTAGGCATATAGTAACCTATATAGTTTCTTTTCCTTGATCACACACTAGTATTCAGGTTATTGTGCCAGCATTCTTAAATACTATAAATCAGACTTCTTTCCAATATAATATCGTAAAGGCATTTAGAAAAACAGGATCTCTAAACAGAAAATTGTATTGTAAATAATATATTTTTAACATTTCTTTAAGTCTGGGATCTTCATTTACTTTTAGGTTTTTGTTTATTTTTTAAGGCAATCTATAAGATATATATATATCTTATATAAACATATTTGTACATATACCCATATATATGTACGTATTTATCTTTCTATTTATTATTTTAAATTATCAGTTGTATTAAGGTTTTTTGCTGGTAACAAGGTTTTTTTTCTGTAAATATCCATTTCTTTTCAAGTCACAGTCTCTTTTTTGACAACAATCTCTAAACCAGAGAGGGGTGTGTTTTAAAAGTAGTGTGTAGGAGGTATTAGCACAAATTCTGTTATACATGAACAGAATTTTTGCACATAACTTCTTCACGGTTATTTAAAAATGTACCCTTTTTTTGTAAAAATATCTGCTTGGAAGCTAACAAACCAGAACAAACTATTTTTGGCTTTTATAGGTGCTGTCTTGTATATGCAATTCAAATTAACCTTTCCTGTTACTCGCCCCTGAAAAATCTGTAGGCTAAGGATTGTATGTGTATGTGCATTTGTTTATTTTTATGTTTATTAAAGTTTACAAAAGTAAAGTTTGTTTTCAAAAAAAAGTAAGTGCAAGTATAAAATATTTTATTTTTTTTGTATTTATATTGTGTCTTGCAATAAGATTAATTAATTAGAAGTGCTCCCAGTGCTTCATATTGTCAGGCCTCTGAGCCCAAGCTAAACCATCATATCCCCTGTGGCCTGCATGTACACATCCAGATGGCCGGTTCCTGCCTTAACTGATGACATTCCACCACAAAAGAAGTGAAAATGGCCTGTTCCTGCCTTAACTGATGACATGGTCTTGTGAAATTCCTTCTCCTGGCTCATCCTGGCTCAAAAGCTCCCCTACTGAGCACCTTGTGACCCCCACTCTGCCCACCAGAGAACAACCCCCCTTTGACTGTAATTTTCCTTTACCTACCCAAATCCTATAAAACAGCCCCACCCCTATCTCCCTTCTCTGACTCTCTTTTCGGACTCAGCCCGCCTGCACCCCGGTGAAATAAACAGCTATGTTGCTCACACAAAGCCTGTTTGGTGGTCTCTTCACATGGACGTGCATGAAACATATATTTTAGAATATGAGGAAAAATTTACTTTCTTTCTTTTGGACAATTACAAAATGAAACCAGGTTTTACATCACCTTAATATTTTACATGTTTTGAGAGACCTAGGGGAAACATATTTGGAAATATTTTCCAAAAGTATTTACATTTTTAACAATAAGATGAATTGCAATATCAGAGAACATTTATGGAATAGCCCACCTGCTATGGTGGGTATGGCTACACAGTAGGTTTCAACGTCGGAAAATTGTGATCTAGATTAGATTTTTATACTCTGTGTAATATTGTCATTATAAACAAATAATACACTGCGGAAGCTCGAGGAGGATGGGTTGCTTGAGGTCAGGAGTTTGAGGCAAGCCTGGCCAACATGACAAAACCCTGTCTCTACTAAAAATACAAAAATTAGCTGGGCATGGTGGCATGCTCCTGTAATTCCAGCTACTCAGGAGGCTGAGGCAGGAGAATCGCTTGATCCCGGAGGCGGAGGCTGCAGTGAGCCAAGATGTGCCACTGCACTCCAGCCTGGGCAACAGAGCAAGAGAGACTCTGTCTCAACACAAGCAAACAAACAAACAAATAATGCAGTTGACATTGATAAAAAATGAATGATTTTTGCCAGCTGCATGACAGAAGGAAAAATATCCCCACAGCAATGCAACCAATAACGGAGACTTATAAATATGAGCCATATTATAAATCTGTATTACCTTTGCTAAGGTGAAGTGACTGAAGTATAGAATCTTTTAGAAATTAATATTTAAAGTGAAAGCAAAATATTCAACCATCGATGAACAACGTGGTGAAGTGAAAAATGACTCTGCAGAAGATATCTGGAAGCTATGAATGTCTCCTTTTTGGAAAAAGGGTATTTACAGATGTAATTAAGTTAAGCATGTTGAGATAAGTTCATCCCGGATCCTCAGGCTAGGCTCTAACTCCAGTAAGTATCCTTATAAGAGACACATACAGAGAACTGACACACGGAGGAGAAGGTGGTGAAAAGACAGAAGCAGAAATTGGACTCATGGAGCCAAAAACCAAGGAAAAGAATGCTGACAGGCACCAGAAGCTGGACAAAACAAAGAAGGATTATCCCCTGGAGCCTCTGGGGGCAGTGCAGTTCTGCTGATAATCTTGATTTCAGGCTTCTGACCTACAGAATAGTCAAAGAATACATTTGTCTTGTTTTAAACCACCCCACTGTGATCGTTTGTTAAGGCAGCTATAGCTAACAAATATAATCAGGAAAGCCAATTTAGGATGCCTGAAATTACCATTTAAGAAATATTCCATAGGCTGGCAAGCCTTCTAGTCTTATGGGACCCTCCATCTTAAGATTCCTTGCCTGGAAATGGTATATTCTTGTTCATTGTTACTGATAAATATGATGATGAACAAACATTAACTATAATTTATAAATTAATGGTTTGCAGGACACAAAAGTACTATTCTTAATTGTGTTCTTTCTATTAAACTTATTTTATACCTCTTTAGATAGAAAATATGACTCGAGCATACGTTCTACAGATAGAACATGTGCTCAATTTGTCTTGAACATGAGTTCCTAAAATCCAGCAAGAAGATAAGAGAAAGTGTTTGCCAGCTCATGAAATATCTCTTGCCTAAATACCTGACTGATCCATATTGGAGGTGTTGGTCCTGAACTTTCCAACCTCAATCAGGAGTAATGACATAGTATATACTCTTTGTCTTTTTGCACACAACATATATTTTATATATTTTTCTTTAGGACAGAACGATATGGGGAGGGAAATAGTGTGAAGGTAAAAATTCAAAAGTGATTGCTGAAGCTGTTTTTTAATTTTTCTAGAACATTTCAAATAAGTGCAATGACTTTAAGCTAGGGTTTCTTAACCTTGATATTGTTGGCATAGATCAGATGTCATGTAAGTTTGGATGAGGCAATTCTTTGAGCAGGGGCTGCCTGTGAATTGCAGTATGTTTGGAAGCATTCCTGTTCTCCTATCCACTGGATGCTAGTAGCATCTCTTCCTCCAGTGTGATCATCAAAAATGTCTTCTGACATTCACAACTATCCCATCTGGGGGCACACTCAGTAAAGAACAACTGAGTGAGTTAAGCATATTTTTTTTCCGTATCTATTGACATTCCTGTGTGGAGTTTGAATTTTCACAATGACTATATTTAGAAAAACACTTATGTTTCATTTTGTTTTCACTAAGGAAATAATAGTGAGCAACTCATCCCCAGTTTCTGACCTCACAATGCTTAGAGTCTCATGAGGAAGACATACAGAATTATTATGAAAACAGATGTATGCTGATAAATGATGGCAGACAGGGTTATTTGCCAACCCATAACTATTTCTTCCTTCTTTCCTAGGAGAACTTGAACTTGTTCTGGGTGACAAAATACCTAATTTGATAATGACACATATTCTTCTTTACCAGAAATTAATTCATTACCTCATTTGCATTTTAATTTATTCATTTGTTGAATTCTATTGAATGAGGTAAAAGGAGTTATGTACTAGGCATTTTATAAATAAATATTTTAGTCTCCACTATAAAGGAAGCTAATTTTTTTTGCCTAGTGGCCCCTGCTCTTTCCCCCAACTTTTGGACTTGTAAAAAGATGCGATGCTAAGTTGTGAAAGCTATCTTGTTATGTTGAGAGATAAACCCAGAGAACCTAAGAGCTGTGGACTTAGAGGACTCACCTAATTAAAATGCTAAGCAAATCATAGTAACTAGTATTATAACACAACTGTAGTCTTTTAAAAGTTGCTTTTAATTAGCTATTTTATCTCATGAAGCAAAAATATCATTAACTAATTTACAAATTGTGGTTATTTGTGGTGAGACCTGAGGTGTGAGTAGGCATTAACTAAGGGCAAATCGTAGTGTAAAGTGTGCTGGGCAGAAAAAGGATGGTGCAAAGGCCCTGTGGTATAATTTCAAGAATTGCAGAAAGGCTTCAGTGAGAAGAGTTTGAACAAGAATACGAATGTCACCACCAGGCCTGCCCTACAAAAGCTCCTGAAGGAGGCACTAAACATGGAAAGGAATAACCAGTACCAGCCACTGTAAAAAAATGCCAAATTGTAAAGACCATCGAGGATAGGAAGAAACAGCATCAACTAACGAGCAAAATAACCAGCTAACATCATAATTCACACATAACAAATTCACATATAACAATATTATGGATCAAATTCACACATAACAATATTAACCTTAAATGTAAATGGGCTAAATGCTCCAATTAAAAGACACAGACTGGCAAATTGGATAAAGAGTGAAGACCCATCAGTGTGCTGTATTCAGGAAACCCATCTCATGTGCAGAGACACAAATAGGCTCAAAATAAAGGGATGGAAGAAGATCTACCAAGCAAATGGAAATCAAAAAAAGGCAGGGGTTGCAATCCTAGTCTCTGATAAAACAGACTTTAAATCAACAAAGATCAAAAGAGACAAAGAAGGCCATTACATAATGGTAAAGGAATCAATTCAACAAGAAGAGTTAACTATCCTAAACATATATGCACCCAATACAGGAGCACCCAGATTCATAAAGCAAGTCATTAGGGACCTACAAAGAGACTTCGACTCCCACACAATAATAATGGGAGACTTTAGCACCCCACTGTCAACATTAGACAGATCAACGAGACAGAAAGTTAACAAGGATATCCAGGAATTGAACTCAGCTCTGCACCAAGCAGACCTAATAGACATCCACAGAACTCTCCACCCCAAATCAACAGAATATACATTCTTCTGACCACCACATCACACTTATTCCAAAATTTACCACATAGTTGGAAGTAAAGCACTCCTCAGCAAATGTAAAAGAACAGAAATTATAACAAACTGTCTCTCAGACCACAGTGCAATCAAACTAGAACTCAGGATTAAGAAATTCACTCAAAACCACTCAACTACATGGAAACTGAACAACCTGCTCCTGAGTGACTACTAGGTACAAAACGAAATGAAGGCAGAAATAAAGATGTTCTTTGACGAATGAGAACAAAGACACAACATACTAGAATCTCTAGGACACATTTAAAGCAGCGTGTAGAGGGAAATTTATAGCACTAAATGCCCACAAGAGAAAGCAGGAAAGATCTAAAATTGACACCCTAACATCACAATTAAAAGACCTAGAGAAACAAGAGCAAATACATTCAAAAGCTAGCAGAAGGCAAGAAATAACTAAGATCAGAGCAGAACTGAAGGAGATAGAGACACAAAAAACCTTTCAAAAAATCAATGAACCTAGGAGCTGGTTTTTTGAAAAGATCAACAAAATTGATAGACTGCTAGAAAAACTAATAAAGAAGAAAAGAGATGAGAATCAAATAGATGCAATAAAAAATGATAAAGGGGATATCACCACTGATCCCACAGAAATACAAACTACCATCAGAGAATACTATAAACACCTCTAGGCAATCTAGAAAATCAAGAAGAAATGGATAAATTCCTGGACGCATACACCCTCCCAAGACTAAATCAGGAAGAAGTTGAATCCCTGAATAGACCAATAACAGACTCTGAAATAGAGGCAATAATTAATAGCCTACTAACCAAAAAAAGTCCAGGACCAGACGGATTCACAGCTGAATTCTACCAGAGGTACAAGGAGGAGCTGGTACCATTCCAATCAACAGAAAAAGAGGGAATCCTCCCTAACTCATTTTAGGAGGGCAGCATCATCCTGATACCAAAGCCTGACACAGACACACACACACAAAAAAAGAATTTTAGACCAACATTCCTGATGAACATCGATGCAAAAATCCTGAATAAAATACTGGCAAACCGAATCCAGCAGCACATCAAAAAGCTTATCCACCATTATCAAGTGGGCTTCATCCCTGGGATGCAAGGCTGGTTCAACATATGCAAATCAATAAATGTAATCCAGCATATAAACAGAACCAATGACAAAAACCACATGATTATCTCAATAGATGAAGAAAAGACCTTTGACAAAATTCAACAGCCCTTCATGCTAAAAACTCTCAATAAACTAGGTATTGTTGGGAAGTATCTCAAAATAATAAGAGCTATTTATGACAAACCCACAGCCAATATCACACTGAATGGGCAAAAACTGGAAGCATTCCCTTTGAAAACGGGCACAACACAGGGATGCCCTCTCTCACCACTCCTATTCAACATAGTGTTGGAAGTTCTGGCCAGGGCAATCAGGCAGGAGAAGGAAATAAAGGGTATTCAATTAGGAAAAGAGGAAGTCAAATTGTCCCTGTTTGCAGATGACATGATTGTATATCTAGAAAACCCCATGGTCTCAGCCCAAAATCTCCTTAAGCTGATAAGCAACTTCAGCAAAGTCTCAGGATATAAAATCAATGTGCAAAAATCACAAGCATTCTTATACACCAATAACAGACAAACAGAGAACCAAATCATGAGTGAACTCCCATTCACAATTGCTTCAAAGAGAATAAAATACCTAGGAATCCAAACTACAAGGGATGTGAAGGACCTCTTCAAGGAGAACTACAAACCACTGCTCAAAGAAATAAAAGATGACACAAACAAATGGAAAAACATTCCATGCTCATGAATATGAAGAATCAATATCATGAAAATAACCATACTGCCCAAGGTAATTTATAGATTCAGTGCCATCCCCATCAAGCTACCAATGACTTTCTTCACAGAATTGGAAAAAACTACTTTAAAGATCATATGTACCCAAAAATGGGCCTGCATTGCCAAGACAATCCTAAGGCAAAAGAACACAGCTGGAGGCATTATGCTACCTGACTCCAAACTATACAAGGCTACAGTAACCAAAATAGCATGGTACTGGTACCAAAAGAGATATATAGACCATTGGAACAGAACAGAGCCCTCAGAAATAATACCATACATCTGCAACAATCTGATCGTTGACAAACCTGACAAAAACAAGCAATGGGGAAAGGATTCCCTATTTAATAAATGGTGCTGGGAAAACTGGCTAGCCATATGTAGAAAGCTGAAACTGGATCCCTTCCTTACACCTTATAAAAAATTAATTCAAGATGGATTAAAGACTCACATATTAGACCTAAAACCATAAAAACCCTAGAAGAAAACCTAGGCAATACCAGTCAGGACATAGTCATTGGCAAGGACTTCATGTCTAAAACACCAAAAGCAATGGCACAAAAGCCAAAATTGGCAAATGGGATCTCATTAAACTAAAGAACTTCTGCACAGCAAAAGAAACTACCATCAGAGTGAATAGGCAACCTACAGAATGGGAGAAAATTTTCACAACCTACTCATCTGACAAAGGGCTAATATCCAGAATCTACAAAGAACTGAAACAAATTTGCAAGAAAAAAACAACCCCAACAAAAAGTGGGCAAAGGATATGAACAGATGCTTCTCAAAAGAAGACATTTATGCAGCCAAAAGACACATGAAAAATTGCTCATCATCACTGGCCATCAGAGAAATGCAAATCAAAACCACAATGAGATACCATCTCACACCAGTTAGAATGGCGATCATTAAGAAGTCAGGAAATAACAGGTGCTGGAGAGGATCTGGAGAAATAGGAACACTTTTACACTGTTGGTGGGACTGTAAACTAGTTCAACCATTGTGGAAGACAGTGTGGCTATTCCTCAAGGATCTAGAACTAGAAATACCATTTGACCCAGCCATCCCATTACTGGGTATATATCCAAAGGATTATAAATCATGCTGCTATAAAGATACACGCACACATATTTTTATTGCGGTACTATTCACAATAGCAAAGACTTGGAACCAACCCAAATGTCCATCAATGATAGACTGGATTAAGAAAATGTGGCACATATACATCATGAAATACTATGCAGCTATAAAAAAGGATGAGTTCATGTCCTTTGTACGGACATGGATGAATGTGGAAACCATCATTCTCACCAAACTATCACGAGGACAAAAAACCAAACACTGCATGTTCTCACTCGTAGGTGGGAATTGAACAATGAGAACACATGGACACAGGAAGGGGAACATCACACACCAGGGCCTGTCATGGGCTGGGGGGAGCGGGGAGGGATAGCATTAGGAGATATACCTAATGTAAATGACAAGTTAATGGGTGCAACACACCAACGTGGTGCATGTATACATATGTAACAAACCTGCACATTGTGCACATGTACCTTAGAACTTAAAGTGTAATAAAAAAAAATACGAATGTTGTGGCATTGACTGGAAAACTAGGCACGGCCCTACAGAACATGGAAAGGATTTTGCCTTTACCTGAAAAGCACTGAGGTGTCATTCAAGGGTTTAAAATCAGAAGTAAGATGATCAATCATCAAGTAAGATGATTTTGTATTTTTAAAGCAAACATAGAAGAGTGGCACAAGAGCAGATGGTGAGATATTAATTTGAAAGATGTTACAATGAAGCAGGATGGAAATGCAGGTGGCTGAGACTAGAGAACTGGAAATGGTTGTGGGACTCACTTTTGATGTTCATCTGAAAAAAATATTTGCTTAAAAAATAAAGTTTTATTTTGGGGAAAAGTTATATGTAAAGCCAAGGTTACAGAAGTTCTATAATCATATGCCAATATAAAGAAATTTACTGAAACAGAAAATTCAAGTTTATATTACAGTTAAGGAACTTATATTTATTCTTTCTGGTAAAGAAATTATCCTGGCCAATGCCATTCTGGATAATATTTAACTCAGACCCTACCAATTATGTGAATATCATGTATATTTTTTCAACATTGTCTTTACATATTTCTTTAGTATAAAATAGGCAATACATATAGAAAATTAAATTAATTAATCCTAGGTTGGTGTGAAATTCATTTCAGTTTTTGCCATTAAAAGTAATTAAAAACAATTAAAAGTAATGGCAAAAACCACGATGAATTCTGTACCAACCTATAATATAAATGTCATTAATAGAAGCAACAAGAAAAATAATTGAAGCCAAAAAAATAAAACCCTTGTGAAGGTGAAGTTTACATACCACAAAAATATGCCTATTATATATGCACAGCTCAATGATTTTTAGTAAATTCATACAGCTTCCCATTATACATACATTGGCATGTCTGATGTTGTTCCACGGGTCTCTGAGGCTCTTTTTGTTTTTTTTTTCTATCTGTTATTCTAATAGGATAATTTATATTGTTCTTCCTACAATTCACCTATTCTTTATTCTGCCCTCTGAAGTCTGCCTTTGAGCCTATCTAGTGGGTTTTTTATTTGTTGTATTTTTCATCTCTAGACTTCCTTTAAATTTAATGTGCTGAAATTCTTTATGTATTGTGTCATCATATTTTAATTGTTTAAAAAGCTCTTGTAATTTTTTGAATATAGTAATAATAACTTATTTGAAGTTCTTGTTTGCTACGTCCAATATCTGGACTCAGAATTAGTCTATATTAACTATTTTTTTTCTATGTGATAAAACTTCCTGTGGGTTTTTTGTTTGTTTGATGATTGTATGCATTTCCTGACATTTTTTCTGTTGAAACCTGAATATTTTAGATGGGATGAGTTATAATATACCAAATTCAGAATTTTTTTTTAACTTGCCTTGTGTTAATCTCAGGCATCTGGTTCCTCTGTTGTAGCCACTGATGTTTCCGCTCAGATTTATATATATTATTTTTATTTTTTTAGCTTAGCAACCTAAAGAGTGTCCCATGTGCTTGCATTGTTTACTGTTCAGCCAGTGATTTGGGGAGAGGTTGTACTCAAATACTTTGAGCTGAGCCTCTAAAGTTTTCATACTCTGCTGATAGCTCTGTTTGTGGACTGAAAAGCCATTAACAGTTCACCCAGGATTCAAGTATGCCTTGACTTTTCCTTTCCACGGGACCCTACCAGGTCTCCCTGTGCATGAAAGCAATTTCCTAGCCAGAGATGTGTGGGCCACTTATATTGCTGGAGTTTCTTGGGTTCTCTCATTTCCAGATCTCCCCATTAAAATTTTGGCCGATTTCACTCTGCACACCAATGTGGACAGCTACTTTAGGATAACAGAGCTTCCGGCTTTCTCCATGATTTCCTGTGATATTTATTACTTTTACTGACAATGCTACCAATCATGAATTTTCACCTTCAACCCTGAATCGAGTTTGTCCTTCTGGCAGTGGCACTGCTGGTTTTCATAGCAGGGTGATGAAACAACAGAAAAAATTGGGTTTGGATAAAAAGCAGCAGCCTAAGCAAGAAGGCTACAGACTCAGCTTTTATCCCAAAAAGTTTTAATTGCTTTTCCATGAATAAACACTTCTCAACTTACTGATTATTTCAGCAATACTCAGAGCCTTGAAATGATTATTTGGGTAAAATTTTGTCTCGTATATTTGTTTTGGGGAACATGATTTCTGACCTGTTTGTGCACTATTAAGTGGTTGCTTTTTAATGATCTGCTTTATATGCACACATGTTCCAGAATGACTTATTTAGTATACCTATAATAGTTGGAAAGTATAGTATTTTCCTTTGAATTTCTCATCTACAGCCCTTTAAGTCTATCTGTTTTCATTTGTCTGTTTTTCCTAATAAGTGTTGGGACTCAGAGGATGATAGTCCAAAGTATGGCACATGGTGATGCTGAGTACTTTGAACTAGAGGAGATTGGAAAGGCCTCAGAAGGAAGGCCTTTCTGAACTTCTCCTGACTTCTTATCGCCCACCCTTCTTTGTCCTCCAAAGCAAGCCATCAAACCTAGGAAAGTCACTTTCTCTCTTCCTCCTTCTTTCTTGAAGGCACTCATTCCCATTGGGGCCCTGCCCCATACTTGCCCCATCCCGGAGAGGAATGCTACACAGAGAGGCCAAGAAGAATCAGAACAGACAAGCTTTGCCCAGCTTGTCTGAGGGGGGCAGCCCTCAGTCTGTTACCATTAGATTATGCCCTTTTGTCTGATCACATTTCTACATGGCTGTTTATTCTTCAACAAACCTAAGCAGAAAAATAGATAGTTTTTCCTTGGTCTTTCATGCTTCATTTCTGAAGGCTCCCTGTCACATAAAATTTTAATTAAATAAAATTAATAAGCATTTCTGTTGTTCACCTGTCTTCCGTTGAAGGAGTGTCAGCTGTAATCATTACGACAGGTGATGAAAGGTATCACACCTTTCCACATCTACAGAAGCAAAAGTTTGAGCACTACAGGAATGATTCTAATTTTCAACACCCCCTAAAAACAGTCTATGACTCAGGAATATTTTTGTTTCCTATTAAATTCTTTTTTTTAGGTTATAGTTGAAATTATTGGTGTTATTACCGAATTTGGAAATCTACATGACAAGTTTAAAGGCTAATTTTGCTTTTATAATACCCTTTTTATTTTTAATTTGTTTGTTTCTGTATTTTTTTGTATTTCCATTTGAACAACTGGCAATGATGGGCTTTCACTTTTGATATATTCCGGAGTCCCAGATAATAATGAATGTAGTAGACAGAGACCTTTTTATTACTATTGAATACCTAAATATTTTTGTTATTTCAATGAAATTTCCACTGGGTGACTTCAGGAGTAAGACTTATTTCTATCTAATCCCTGACAACTAAAACGTAAGCATCTGTCCTGGGCCCTGATCTTCCAAGACCATGAATCCAGAGGAGTGATACAAAGATGCAGGACAATTTTAAAAATATTCATTTCAGAGTTTGGTAATTAAGTATCCAATGAAAAAAAGTACAATAATCATATAGATTGATTTATTGGCAGCCTATAATTTTATTTCTTATCAATTTCCTGAGACTTGTTTTTTTAATTCCTGACAATTCTGTGAACCACCTAATATCCTTCTAATGAAGCTTATTTTAGCCAGAGCTTGGAATAATGCAATAAGTAATTTTGAGGTTGAGCCATACTTGAGCCTAAGGCAAAAGGAAAAATTAATAATATTGATAATGTATTTATTTGATATTTTGTTCATCCTGTTTTTTTACATTTATTTTACTTTTTAAAAAATCTATTAAAATATTTACCTTATTTTTTTCGAAGTTACTTTCTTTGTATGGGTGAATGCAAAGATATTCTTATCATGCTGGCTCAGGTTGACTGGGCCCCTTATGATTGGTTGCTGTGAATCTGTTTTTGGGGAAAACTAGCCTGTTTTAAAGTTCAGTTTGATTACATGGCATTGAGCATGAGTGACTCTATTCTGGTTTGATCTGGTCTGTTGGGGCCTAGTGCAGCAGCTTAGTACAAAACAATGACATCTCATACATTTTATTTAACATCCTTAAAGATAAAAATGTTCATCATACACCAAATTAGTTCATACTATTCAATATATATTTTCAGCATTTCAGAATCTTATTCTAAAAACATTAGTCACTTCCCTGTGTTCAGTTTACCTGGCAGGAAGCCTGATTACATGCATTTTCTTCCCTCTCTCCCTCTTTTTCCTGTCTTTCTCCTTTTCTCCCTCTGTCTCCTCTCTATGCCCCTTCCTTCCTCCCTTCCTTCCTTTCTTTCTTCTTAATTTTTCTTTATTTTGTGTTCTACAATATAAATTTGTAATTAAGTAACCGCCTATCTGTAGGCAGGTTTTCTCATTTTTGTGTTTCAGTTTCTTGGGTTACTTAGGTTGGCTACATTGTATATTGAAGTATTATTATATTGCCATGCAGCCTTAAGTATAATATTTTTCCTTTTAAAACTAGAATAATTTTTAAACAAGATTTGGTCTGAATACAATGTGCAAAACAATAAAATTGTTTAAGCCAGACCTTACAAATATTTCTCTGTTTTCCACATATTTCTTGATAAATACAAAAAGTAAAAATAAAAATACACATGAAAAAAACCCAAAACCCACCTATATATTCTTGTCTAACCATCACTTTATTTCTGACTTGTAAAATTTGGCATGCTTATCACCTAACAGCTGAAAAGGAAGTATCAAAGGATACAATCAGGACATTGGGTAATGATCTCTTTTTTCTTTGTACAGATAAAACAAAACTCACAGTTTCAATTCAGTTATTCAGTTTCAACCACCATAGGAAAGGTTCTGAATTGAAATTTTGATAAAGTAGAGCAACATCTGTATTATTTGAAAGATATAGTCTTCTTAAAAATAAAAAATGGGCTTTCTGGGGGCCCTCTCAAAACAATATAACATAGAGATTAATTCTATTCCCTAAACCAAAATATAAAACTCTTGAGTTAGACTTGTTCTCCAATCCTGTAATATGGAATACTAATTAAAAGCATTTGCATAACAATATCAATCTCACAAGGAAGTTTTGTTATTACCAATAAAAACAATAGCTACAACTTACTGAGCTTTTATAATATGCTAGCTCATGTGCTTATTTCTCTATACATGATATTTAATTTTAATTCATTTTAGTTTCCTTGTGAGTAAGATGATAGAATATTGTTATTACTATCAAAAAGTAAAAGAAACTAAGATTTAGTGGCTTAAGTATATAACTGAAGGTAGTGTAGCAAGTAAAGGTACTAACACTTGAAATTAAACTCGACTTCTAATGCATTGTTCTCACTATTACTTCTTCGAAAGGGAGAAGTTATTATCTGTGTGTTCCTCTGGAATCTCAGTGACTTAGTGCTTAATATATGATGGGGAAAAAAGAAAGACTTCATTTAGTGTCCTTTTGGGAATATGAAATGTGGGAATACGCTTTTCAACTCTGTCTTCTTTGAAGGGAGAGAAATTTCATGATGAATAGTGTTTACAAACAAGTAAATACCTACCACTCAATAGATTTTGTTCTATAAGAATGGACTTTCCTCCTTTAAACTAGGATAGGATGTCATTGGATGAAGCCATGATTAATAAGTTATAGCCTACTTGTTATCATTCATTACACTCTCAAAGGATGTCTCAAGTTAACCTCTCCCCTAAGAGACATATAGTTCTTCCAAATTAAGAAAGACAGTTTGAAGTTATAGAAAATACCTCTTGAAATTTGTTGATTTAAATGTGTTTTGTTTATTAATTTAGCTAATTCTTATCAAGTTCTTACAACAGCTAGGGGAAAGGGTAAGCGTGCTCTCAATATTTTTTAATTTCAATACAACTATTGCACTTGCATAAACATTAAATAGCAATTAAATGATTACATATGATATTATTAGTAATCACACATTTACTTACAACCTCTAATTAGTTTCTTACTGTAATCATAAATATCACCTAATGTTTGCTACCAGCTTTTACTAAATGGTCTCAAATTTAAAGAGTATGATAAATGTAAGCAAATTTGAGTGTTACGATGTAAAGCAATTAACCTTCTGATTATCTTTCTCATTAATGTGATCCTATCCCTTAATGTTGACAGTTTTGTTGACTTCACTTTTCAGATGAATATCTTAGCTTCTGGCTTCCTCCCTTCTTCTATTTTAATGACTATTTTAATTCATCTCTCCTATTTACTTACATAGTTAATGTTGGATTTATTCACTAGAAACTGTGGAGTCTAAAAATTTTAAAACCCTGCTCTCCTGCCAGGGTGATTGATTCTCTGAACTTGTGTATTCTAGTAACCTACGAATGTAACACAATGCCTTTTAATGCATTGAAACCACCAAATTCTAATTATCCAAAGCCTCTTTCTGGATTTTTATTTGTCCAACCAGAATAACATAATGCATTATTATTATTATTTATTGAAATAGACTCAATTATATTCATTGGAACATGATCAATTCCCTTCCCCCTTCTGTCTCCATCCTACTATCTTGGAAAAATCAAAACCTGGAAGAATAAACATCTTCTTTATATGTGCAGTGCAGCAGCTGATTATTTTTGGAAAGATAAATTAGGTATTACTCCCTTATTCTTTTCAAACCAATTTCAGATTTTCAGTTCTCTTCCACATCACGTTTTCTAACAAATGTCACCTATGTATCCTCTCTCCTTTTTGTCACTTAATGCACAGTGTAGAACTTTCTGTTCATTAGTTAAGTGTTATCTAACCACGTTTATCAGAGTGTAAGATCCATGAGAGCTGTCTTGGTCATACAAGTCATGGTTTACACCCAGCACCTAGTACATAGCAAGCCCATCATGAATCAGAGACTTGAGTGAACTCTCCAAATTCATGCCATTTCCATTGGTGTCCACATTTAATATTTTTAAAAGAGTAGTCTTTTTTCAGTTCTTTGAACATGTCAATATTTGTTGACATTAGGACTTTTTCATGTTTATTCTTCTTTCCTCAGGGCTCTTCTCTTTCTTATGAATGGTATCCCCTTCTGAACTTTTTTTTTTTTTTTTTTTTTTTTTTGAGACGGAGTCTTGCTCTGTCGCCCAGGCTGGAGTGCAGTGGCGCGATCTCGGCTCACTGCAAGCTCCGCCTCCCGGTTCACGCCATTCTCCTGCCTCAGCCTCCCGAGTAGCTGGGACTACAGGCGCCCGCTACCACGCCCGGCTAATTTTTTGTATTTTTAGTAGAGACGGGGTTTCACCGTGTTAGCCAGGATGGTCTCGATCTCCTGACCTCGTGATCCGCCCGCCTCGGCCTCCCAAAGTGCTGGGATTACAGGCGTGAGCCACCGCGCCCGGCCGAAACGTCTTACACTGGCAACTTTTTTTTCATTCAGTAAGTGCTAATTGAACACTTACCACGTTCACAGCCACTGTTCTGCACAATAGCACAATAGGGATGTTATGGTAAGGTAAATACGATTTCTACTTTTATTAGGTTTATAATTTTCTGACTTTTACCTGAATATTTATTACAAATATGACATAAAGAAGACAGAATAGAAACCATTAAGTTTGATAAATGTAAATATTTATAGTATACATTTAAGCTATAATATCCACACGTTTCTGTGAAGACAAAGTATGATCTGTACTGTGACATTACTAAGAATTACTTCACTATATCGATACCAACTGACTACTTTATATTTTAATTCTATGGGAAATGTAGAAAACACTATGGCTAAAGCATAATGAATTTCCATCATATGTCGCTTTGGTTAAAGACATTCTGGAGAAATATTTTCATGACCAATTTTATTTTACTATATGTGGTTATTGTTAGCTTATTTTATGTGTAGATTAGATTAAATGTGGAAACTAAAAGAGGACTTCCTCCATGTAATTTTTAATGACATTATCTCAATTTGTTGGCTATATTTATGATCTTCTATTTCTTTTCTTCCATTTTCTCTTGAACCCAGTTCAATCAGATATTTGTTCCCACACTTCCACTGAAGCTATTCTTAAAAAAATATCAATTACCTTGTGACTAAAAGACAATAAATCCCATAGTTCTCATCTTATTCTAGCTTTTGATAGAGTTGACCACAGTTGACTATGCCATCTTCCTTGAAACTTTTTCTTCACTGACTCCCAGGGAATTGAACTTGTCTGATTTTCCTCTTTGCATTAAGACCACTCCTTTCTTAGGCTCCTTTTCTGGCTCCTTCTCATATCCCTAATCCCTAATCCTGGGGGAGTCCAGAGCTCAATCATTTTACCTTTTCTTTGTTTCTGAATACCTCCCTCATCTGGTCTCATGGCTTAATTACAATCTACATGCCAATAATTTCCACATTTATCTAGACAGCCCAGGACTCTCCCCTGAGCACTTAACTGTCTCCTTGACATCTCCCCACTTGGATGTCTACTAGACTTCTCAAACTTAACATATCCAAAAGTTAACTCACTCCAGATATTTACCCACCAAATAGCTTGTGTCCTCAGCTCTGCATAATTTGCATCCTCATCCCCTGTACTAGTTCCAATGGCTGCTCCAACAAATTACAACAAACTTAGTGGATTGAAAATACAAATTTATTTTCTCACAGTTCTGGAGGCCAGAAGTCTCAAACCAGTAATATCAAGCCAAAATCAAAGTGTCAACAAGATTGCACTCCCTCTGGAGTTTCGAGGGGAGAATTCATTCTTGGCTTCTTCCAGCTACTGGTGGCTACTGGCATTCTTTGGCTTGTAGTTGCATTATCCAGCCTCTGCATCTGCGGTTATATTACTTTCCCCTCTTTTGTTTATGAATACAATCACTTTTGTTTCCTTTCTAAAAAACATCCACAATTGCATTTAACATTTAGGGCCCAATTGGCTAGTCCAGGATAATCTCTCCATCTCAAGATCCTTCATTTAATCACATCTATATGTGTGATCACTCTCTTTCCCACCTTCCCTTTCTTTCTTCTTCCTTTCTTTCTTTCTTGCTTGCTTTCTTGCTTTCTCTCTCTCTCTCTTTCCCTCCCTCCCTTCCTTCCTTCTTTCCTTCCTTCCCTCCTTCCTTCTTTCTTTTTTTCCTTTTTTCTTTCTTCCATAAAAGGTAATATTAATAGTTTTTAGGGATCAGGACATGGGTATCTTTGGGGGTGGGGGGTTGGGGTTGGGTGGTATTTTTTTTTTACACTATCACAACCTTTTTCAGGTATCTGCTAAAATGTCAATGTTTCTGCAAATCCTTCTTTAAACATATTATTTGAAATTTCCCACCCACTACTACCAATGCCCCTGAACTCACTGTTGCTGTTTCCTTTATTTTTTTTATCACCATACCCCTTATCATAATTTAAGATAATTATATATATATATGTTTAAATTTGTACTAATTTTTCAGGGTCTTGAATTTCTTTATTTATTTTTAACTTTTATTTTAGGTTTGGTTGTACATGTTAAGGTTTGTTACATAGGTATACTTATGTCATGGGGATTTGATATACAGATTATTTCATCACCCAGGAATTAAGCTCAGTATCCAGTACCCAACTATAAGTGAGATCATGCGGTATTTGGTTTTCTGTTCCTGGGTTAGTTTGCTAAGGATAATGGCCTCCAGCTCCATCTACGTTCCTGCAAAAGATATGATCTCATTCTTTTTATGGCTGTGTAGTATTCCATATTATATATGTATCACACTTTCTTTATCCCATATACCATTGATGGGATCTAATTAAACTAAAAAGCTTCTGCACAGCAAAAGACACTATCAACAGAGTGAACAGACAACCTACAGGATAGGAGAAAATATTTTCAAACTATGCATCTGACAAAGGTCTCATATTAACCTGGTCACTTAAAAAAAAAAGACATACATCTAGCCAACAAGAACATGAATAAAAGCTCAATATCACTAACATTAGAGAAAGGCAAATCAAAGCCACAATGAAA
Source organism: Homo sapiens (assembly GCF_000001405.40). NCBI lineage: Eukaryota > Metazoa > Chordata > Mammalia > Primates > Hominidae > Homo > Homo sapiens. The sequence continues at coordinate 60,962,144 of NC_000012.12, read as the reverse complement.
TACCATCTCACACCAGTTGGGATAGCTACTATTAAAAAGTCAAAAAATCACAGATGCTGTCAAGGTTGTGGAGAAAAGGAAACAGTTATAGACTATTTGTGTGAGTGTAAATTAGTTCAACTGTTGTGGAAAACAGTATGGCAATTCCTCAAGGAGCTAAAAGCAGAACTATCATTTGATGCAGCAATCCCATTCCTTGGTATATACCCAGAGGAATATAAATCATTCTACCATAAAGACTCAGGCATGTGAACGTTCATGGCAGCACTATTTACAATAGCTAAAACATTGGCCTCAACTGAAATGCCCATCAGTGACAGGCTGGGTACTTTTCTTACTATAATTGTAAACTCCACAGAGATAGAGATTTTTAATACTGATCCTTCATGGGGTGTGGTGGTTTGTGCCTGCAATCCCAGCACTTAGGGAGGCAGAGGCGGGAGGATAGCTCAGCCCAGGAGTTTGAGACCTGCCTGGGCAATATAGTGAGAACCTGTTCTCCACAGAAAGAAAAAAAAAAAGAAAAGAAAAGAAAAAGAAAAAAAAGCGTAACTGATCTTTAGCCCATAGATTAATATTTTGTACACCTTAGCTAGCTTAAAAAATATTTAGAGAACTAATTTGTTGAATGAGTTGTTGTGATCAAGTAGTCTACAAAAGTAGGTTACTGTAGTGTTAGAAAATTTTTGTTGTGATACCAACAGAAGTATTCTCACCTCAGTGCCTATCTAAATAATAGTTGGGGATACCTCTATTTTTAGACTTTTTTTCTGAATTATATTGAAATATTAACAGTAATGTAAAACCTTAGATTTCTTATAAAGACATGGCTAACAAATTTGAGAAAAATTGGTATTATTTCACCATGATTATTCCAACTGACATTATAGTGAGATAGAAACAAATTTCTGAGGTTTATAAACTGTGAAATATTAAAAATTTACCTTCTCTAAGAGGTCTTCCTTGGGCAATGCATTTGTACAAATATTCTGGTTAAATTACAACCTTTGTAATATAATTTTTATTGATATTAATTAATTAAATATGCATATCACATCTACTCACATATTTATCTTTGGAACTGTCACTTTTTTTAATGTTTAACATTAGATAATTTTTTTATTATTATTATACTTTAAGTTTTAGGGTACATGTGCATGGAACTGTCACTATTATGGCTTAGTCAACAAGTTATAAGATATACTTTTTAAATTTTAATAGGTGCTGCCAGATTATTTTCACAGATGGCTGTATCAATTCACATTACCATGAGAATTGTGTAAAAGTAAGTTTTTACCCATATTATTGTTATATTTTATTGCACTCTTCACTCTTTAATTAGGAGCATACTAATATTTTTATCTGTGAACGGTGTTTTATATTGTAGTCTTCGTGATTGTTCCTCAAAGCCTTTCTAAGTTCTTAGCATTTCCCATTAATTATTGTGTCCCAAAATGGAAAGGATGTTTCTGGTAGCTTGAAGTATTACTAAATTTTGGATGCTTATCTCATAGATCTTCATTACCAGTCTTCCATTTTTATTGTTTGCCTATTGTCTTCAACTGTTTTTCCATACTACGTTGAATGAAGAGTTTATTACTTTGCATTCTACTTTATTCTATAGAATCCTTCAAGAACTGGTTCATTTTTAATTGAATTCCGCCCTGAAAATATCTGCCGGCTCTGTTATCTGCTATAATTATGTGATATTATCTTTTATGATCAGTGTATTAGTCCAGTCTCACACTGCTATTAAGAAATACCCGAGACTGGGTAATTTACAAAGAGAAGAGGGTTAATTGACTCACAATTCTGCATGGCTGGGAAGGCCTCAGGAAATTGACAATCATGGTGGAAGACACTTCTTCACAGGGTGGCAGGAGAGAGAATGAGGGCAGAGTAAAGGGGAAATCCTTTATAAAACCATCAGATCTACTGAGAACTCACTCACTATCATGAGAACAGTATGAGGGAAACTGCCCCCATGATTGCATTATCTCCCCTTGATCCCACCCTTAACATGTGGGGATCATCACAATTCGAGGTGAGATTTCAGTGGGGACACGGAGCCACACTATAGCAGTCACTATCAAAAAATTGCTGGATACATACTTCAAAACATTTCTTGAAACTCCTAACTAAAAGCTATAATGTTTTGCATGATTGACACTAACCCAGAAATAATCTAACAAATCTCTGTTGGTTACAGATCTATCTATCTTGCTGCACTCATTTTGTTGTCTATTATTGCTTATCATTGGCCTGGTAACAGTAAATTAAATTTCTTCTATACTTTCCTATAACTGGTTTCTAAAAGATGGAAAATGTGTGGATGGAAAGTATGAAATTTACATGAATAGAGATGAAACTGCATGCCAGATCTGAAATTCCCTTTAAGGAAAAGAAAATTAGGGATAGATCTATAAGCACTAAGAAAATTCTGATCTAAAGTTTTCAGAATTCTGGGTTCTACATTATCATGATTTCAAATTGATGAAAATTGAGCCTTACTATCTTACAAAGCAGTACCCTTTCTATTATAGTTTTGTATTTTCTTTGTCTTTAGATAGTAATTTTATTTTTATACTAATGATTGGTTAATAAAATTCTTTCCGTTGGTAAATATAGAGAAATTTTCATTTTAAAATCATAGTATTTAAGTATTTAAATATACTCAGAAAACAAGTAGGAGAGTGTTTTACTGCATTTTAACTTTCCTATAAACAGAGACTGGACATTTTCAGTCACCATATTCTTATGCATATATAAAAAAAGAGCTTCAAGTGAATTAAGACAAATTTTTATGCATATAGAATGTTATTTAATCTTTACAATCTATTTGTTATCCATCAAGATATAACTATGTGTAAGTGCATTAAGTAAATTTGCTTTTTACAGCTTAAAGTTTGAACCTTTACTATAAGTTAGGGTTTCTCAACCTTGGCACTATTTATATTTTGTGCAAGGTAATTCTTTGTTGTGGAGCTGGAGCATTGTCCTTTGCATGGTAAGATATTTTTCAGCATCACTAGCTTCGATATACTAGTTGCTAGTAGCCTCCTGGCCATTCCACCATTATAACAACCTAAATGTCCCAGGCATTGCAAATATCCCTTGGCCAGAAGGCAGGGGATTTGTCTCCAGTTGAACTCCACTATCATAAATTAAGAAATGTTACTACTGATATTATTATGTAATATTATTTCTTACATCTTGGTACTTGTAGATTATATTTTAATTTTGTAAGGTCACAATCATTTTTACATACAATTAGAACATTCCGATATGTAATTTTTTTTTTTAAACAGAGTCTCGCTCTGTCGCCCAGGCTGGAGTGCAATGGCGCAATCTCGGCTCACTGCAAGCTCTGCCTCCTGGGTTCATGTCATTCTCCTGCCTCAGTCTCCCGAGTAGGTGGGATTACAGGCACCTGCCAACACGCCCGGCTAATTTTTCTGTATCTTTAGTAGAGAAGGGGTTTCACTGTGTTAGCCAGGATGGTCTCGATCTCCTGACCTCGTGATCCGCCCGCCTTGGCCTCCCAAAGTGCTGGGATTACAGGCATGAGCCACCGCACCTGGCCCCATATGTAATTATTAAGCACTGCACCTCATATTAACTGCCAGAGGTAAGAATAAATAAATATATCTTCAATAGATATAATACATTATAGAACATTTTAATAATCCTCTCAATGCATATCTAATAAGCATTATTTCACTTACATATTTCCATACTATGTGCCTCTCATTTAAATATGAACAAATTAAAGTAATAAATAGTTTATACAATCACTGGTCACTCATTATTGCTAGTAAATAGTGAGTCTAGAATATGTGTTAGATATGTTTCGTGACTTGTCATAGTCAAATAGAGAGTTGCTGCTCTCTATTATTTCACTATTCTGCATCTTCAAATTTATTAAACAAAAAGGGGTATCTTTTCTGCTGTATTCATTTTACATTTGGGTATCTGCCTCCATCAGAGTTCTAGTTTAATATCTTGATTATTATTAATTTAAATAATGCTACATCTAAGTACACAGCAGTAGTCAGTCAATCCATAGTGACAAAAACAGTTCACACGTTATCAAAATAAGAGGTGAAGGGTTAAATTATACTATAGGTAAATTGTGGCTGTTTTGATTCAGAGTAAGTGAGCAATTCATAATGGATAGCAATTCTAAATTAATGTCAACCTCGTGTTCTTCTTTTGTTCTATGTCAAGTTCTTTCTCCTCAAATTGAACAGAATTGCTTCTTTTTCATGACTTTACCTCTAAGAACTTTTGTTTCACCAACTTTTTTCTCTCTTTATTCCAATCCATTCTGTTGTGACCAGAGCAATTTACCCTTATGTATTAGGTGACTGTGTCATGCTCTTCAATAGAAAATCATCAGTGGCTCCTAGGTGTTAAATTAAGTTAAATTTGGCTCAAGCTGCCTCTATAAGTTGTGGCCTGTAATCTAACTTTATATGTAAACAAACTGCAAACCAACTTGAGAGAATATTCTTGTAACACGTACGTCAGGCCTCTGAGCCCAAGCTAAACTATCATATCCCCTGTGACGTGCACATACACATCCAGACGGCCAGTGCCTGCCTTAATTGATGACATTCCACCACAAAAGAAATGAAAATGGCCTGTTCCTGCCTTAACTGATGACATTATCTTGTGAAATTCCCTCTCCTGGCTCATCCTGGCTCAAAAGCTCCCCTACTGAGCACCATGTGACCCCCACTCCTGCCCACCAGAGAACAACCCCTTTGACTAATTTTCCTTTACCTACCCAAATCCTATAAAACAGCCCCACCCCTATCTCCCTCCACTGACTCTCTTTTCGGACTCAGCCTGCCTGCACCCAGGTGATTAAAAGCTTTATTGCTCACACAAGTCTGTTTGGTGGTCTCTTCACATGGATGTGCATGAAATTTGGTGCCGTGACTTGGATTGGGGGACCTCCCTTGGGAGATCAATCCCCTGTCCTCCTGCTCTTTGCTTCACGAAAAAGATCCACCTACGACCGTGGGTCCTCAGACCCACCAGCCCAAGGAACATCTCACCAATTTTAAATCGGGTAAGCAGCCTCTTCTTACTCTCTTCTCCAACCTCTCACTATCCCTCAACCACTTTCTCCTTTCAATCTTGGTGCCACCCTTCAATCTCTCCCTTCTCTTAATTTCAATTCCTTTCATTTTCTGGTAGAGACAAAGAAGACATGTTTTATCCGTAGACCCAAAACTCCGGCACTGGTCACGGACTCGGGAAGGCAGCCTTCCCTTGGTGTTTAATCATTGCAGGGACACCTCTGATTATTCACCCACGTTTCAGAGGTGTCTGACCACACAGGGACACCTGCCTTGGTCCTTCACCCTTAGAGGCAAGTCCCACTTTTCTGGGGAAGGGGCAAGAACCCTGACCCCTTCTCTCCCTGTCTCTACCCCTTCGCTGCTTTTCCGGGGGGCAAGAACTCCCCGATCCTTTCTGTGCCCCTACCCCTTATCTCTGCACCCCGATCCCTTATTTCCATGCCCTGACCTCTTATCTCTGCACCCCAACCCATTTCCGTGCCCCGACCACTTTCCTGCTTTTCTGGAGGGTAAGAACCCCCAAATCCCTTCCCTCCATGTCTCTACTCTCTCTTTTCTCTGGGCTTGCCTCCTTCACTATGGGCAACCTTCCACCCTCCATTCCCCCTTCTTCTCCCTTAGCCTATGTTCTTAAAAACCTAAAACCTCTTCAACTCACACCTGACCTAAAACCTAAATGCCTTATTTTCTTCTACAATGCCGCTTGACCCCAATACAAACTCGACAGCGGTTCCAAATAGCCAGAAAACGGCACTGTCATTTTTTCCATCCTACAAGATCTAAATAATTCTTGTCGTAAAATGGGCAAATGGTCTGAGGTGCCTGATCTCCAGGCATTCTTTTACACATCAGTCCCTCCCTAGTCTCTGTTCCCAATGCAACTTGTCCCAAATCTTCCTTCTTTCCCTCCCACCTGTCCCCTCAGTCCCAACCCCAAGCATCACTGAGTCTTTCTAATCTTCCTTTTCTACAGACCCATCTGACCTCTCCCCTCCTCGCCAGGCTGAGCTAGGTCCCAATTCTTCCTCAGCCTCTGCTCCTCCACCCTGTAATCCTTTTATCACCTCCCCTCCTCACACTGGGTCGGCTTACAGTTTCGTTCCATAAGTAGCCTTCCCCCACCTGCCCAGAAATTTCCTCTTAAAAAGTTGGCTAGAGCTAAAGGCATAGTCAAAGTTAATGCTCCTTTTTCTTTATCCCAAATCAGAGAGTGTTTAGGCTCTTTTTCATCAAATATAAAAACCCAGCCCAGTTCATGGCTCGTTTGGCAGCAACCCTGAGATGCTTTACAGCCCTAGACCCTAAAAGGTCAAAAGGCCGTCTTATTCTCAATATATATTTTATTACCCAATCTGCTCCCGACATTAAATAAAACTCCAAAAATTAAATTCCGGCCCTCAAACCCCACAACAGGACTTAATTAACCTCATCTTCAAGGTGTACAATAATAGAGTAGAGGCAGCCAAGTAGCAACATATTTCTGAGTTGCAATTCCTTGCCTCCACTGTGAGACAAACCCCAGCCATATCTCCAGCACACAAGAACTTCCAAACGCCTGAACTGCAGCAGCCAGGCATTCCTCCAGAACCTCCTCCCGCTAGGAGCTTGCTACAAGCACCAGAAATCTGGCCACCAGGCCAAGGAATGCCCACAGCCCAGGATTCCTCCTAAGCCACGTCCCATCTGTGTGGGACCCCACTGAAAATCGGACTGTTCAACTCACCTGGCAGCCACTCCCAGAGCCCCTGGAACTCTGGCCCAAGGCTCTCTGACTGACTCCCTCCAAGATCTTCTCGGCTTAGCGGCTGAAGACTGACGCTGCCCGATTGCCTCAGAAACCCCTAGACCATCACGGATGCCGAGCTTTGGGTAACTCTCACAGTGGAAGGTAAGTCCATCCCCTTCTTAATCAATACGGAGGCTACCCACTCCACATTACCTTCTTTTCAAGGGCCTGTTTCCCTTGCCTCCATAACTGTTGTGGGAATTGATGGCCAGGCTTCTAAACCTCTTAAAACTCCCCAACTCTGGTGCCAACTTAATAGTCTTTTAAGCACTGTTTTTTAATTATCCCCACCTGCCCAGTTCCCTTATTAGGCCGAGATATTTTCACTAAATTATCTGCTTCCCTGACTATTCCTGGGCTACAGCCACACCTGATTGCTGCCTTTTCCCCCAGTTCAAAGCCTCCTTCACATCCTCCCCTTTGTCTCCCCATCTTAACCCACAAGTGTAAGACACCTCTACTCCCTCCTTAGTGACCAATCATGCATCCCTTACCAACCCATTAAAACCTAATCACCCTTACCCCGCTTAATGCCAATATCCCATCCCACAGCACGCTTTAAAAGGATTAAAGCCTGTTATCACTCGCCTGCTACAGCATGGCCTTTTAAAGCCTATAAACTCTCCTTACAATTCCCCCATTTTACCTGGCCTAGAACCAGACAAGCCTTACAGGTTAGTTCAGGTTCTGGGCCTTATCAACCAAATTGTTTTGCCTACCCACCCCATGGTGCCAAACCCATATACTCTCCTATCCTCAATACCTGCCTCTACAACCCATTATTCTGTTCTAGATCTCAAACATGCTTTCTTTACTATTTCTTTGCACCCTTCATCCCAGCCTCTCTTCGCTTTCACTTGGACTGACCCTGACACCCATCAGGTTCAGCAAATTACCTGGGCTGTACTACCACAAAGCTTCACAGACAGCCCCCATTACTTCAGTCAAGCCCAAATTTCTTCCTCATCTGTTACCTATCTTGGCATAATTCTCATAAAAACACACGTGCTCTCCCTGCTGATCATGTTCAGCTGATCTCTCAAACCCCAACACCTCCTACAAAACAACAACTCCTTTCCTTCCTAGGCATGGTTAGATACTTTCAACTTTAGATACCTGGTTTTGCCATCTTAACAAAACCATTATATAAACTCACAAAAAGAAACCTAGCTGACCCCATAGATCCTAAATCCTTTCCCCACTCCTCTTTCTGTTCCTTGAAGACAGCTTTAGAGACTGCCCCCAATCTAGCTCTCCCTGACTCATCCCAACCCCTTTCATTACCCACAGCCGAAGTGCAGGGCTGTGCAGTCGGAATTCTTACACAAGGACCGGGATCACGTCCTGTAGCCCTTTTGTCCAAACAACTTGACCCTACTGTTTTAGGCTGGCCATCATGTCTCCGTGCAGCGGCTGCTGCCGCCCTAATACTTTAGAGGCCCTTAAAGTCACAAACTATACTCAACTCACTCTCTACAGTTCTCATAACTTCCAAAATCTATTTTCTTCCTCACACCTGACACACAAACTTTCTGCTCCCTGGCTCCTTCAGCTGTACTCACTCTTCGTTAAGTCTCCCATAATTACCATTGTTTCTGGCACGGACTTCAGTCTGGCCTCCCACATTATTCTGGATAACACACCTGACCCTTATGACTGTATCTCTCTGATCCACCTGACATTCACCCCATTTCCCCATATTTCCTTCTTTCCTGTTCCTCACCCTGATCACATTTAGTTTATTGATCGCAGTTCCACCAGGCCTAATCGCCACTCACCAGCAAAGGCAGGCTATGCTATAGTATCTTCCACATCTATCATTGAGGCTACCACTGCTCTGCCCCCCTCCACTATCTCTCAGCAAGCCGAATTAGTTGCCTTAACTCAAGCCCTCACTCTTGCAAAAGGACTGTGCGTCAATATTTATACTGACTCTAAATATGCCTTTCATATTCTGCACCACCATGCTGTTACATAGGCTGAAAGAAGTTTCCTCACTACACAAGGGTACTCCATCATTAATGCCTCTTTAATAAAAACTCTGCTCAAGGCCTCTTTACTTCCAAAGGAAGCTGGACTCATTCACTGCAAAGGCCATCAAAAGGCATCAGATCCCATTGCTCTAGGCAATGCTTATGCTGATAAGGTGGCTAGACAAGCAGCTAGCTTTCCAACTTCTGTCCCTCACGGCCAGTTTTTCTCCTTCACATCAGTCACTCCCACCTACTCCCCTGCTGAAACTTCCACCTATCAATCTCTTGTCACACAAGGCAAATGGTTCTTAGACCAAGGAAAATATCTCCTTCCAGCCTCACAGGCCCATTCTATTCTGTCGTCATTTCATAACCTCTTCCATGTAGGTTACGAGCCGCTAGCCCGTCTCTTAGAACCTCTCATTTCCTTTCCATCATGGAAATCTATCCTCAAGGAAATCACTTCTCAGTGTTCTATTTGCTATTCTACTACCCCTCAGGGATTGTTCCAGCCTCCTCCCTTTCCTACACATCAAGCTAGGGGATTTGCCCCTGCCCAGGACTGGCAAATTGACTTTACTCACATGCCCTGAGTCAGAAAACTAAAATACCTCTTAGTCTGGGTAGACACTTTCACTGGATGGGTAGAGGCCTTTCCTACAGGGTCAAGAAGGCCACCACAGTCATTTCTTCCCTTCTGTCAGACATAATTCCTCAGTTTGGGCTTCCCACCTCTACACAGTCCGATAGCAGACCGGCCTTTATTAGTCAAATCAGCCAAGCATTTTTTCAGGCTCTTGGTATTCAGTGAAATCTTTATATCCCTTAGGGTCCTCAGTCTTCAGGAAAGGTAGAACGGACTAATGGTCTTTTAAAAACACACCTCACCAAGCTCAGCCACCAACTTCAAAAGGACTGGACAATACTTTTACCACTTTCCCTTCTCAGAATTCAGGCCTGTCCTTGGAATGCTACAGGGTACAGCCCGTTTGAGCTCCTGTATGGATGCTCCTTTTTATTAAGCCCCAGTCTCATTCCAGACACCAGACCAACTTGGACTGTGCCCCAAAAAACTTGTCATCCCTACTATCTTCTGTCTAGTCATACTCCTATTCACCATTCTCAACTACTCATACATGCCCTGCTCTTGTTTACATTGCCGGTTTACACTGTTTCTCCAAGCCATCACAGCTGATATCTCCTGGTGCTATCCCCAAACTGCCACTCTTAAGAGTGGCTGGCAGGACTATGCTGAATGTCCTTAGGCACTCTCTAATTAGATGTCCTGGGTCCTCCCAATTCTTAGACTTTTAATACCTGTTTTTCTCCTTCTCTTATTCCATTCAGTTTTTCAATTCATACAAAACCATATCCAGGCCATCACCAATAATTCTAAATGACAAATGTTTCTTCTAACAGTCCCACAATATCACCCCTTACCACAAAATCTTCCTTCAGCTTAATCTCTCCCACTCTAGGTTCCCACGCCGCCCCTAATTCCGCTCGAAGCAGCCCTGAGAAACATCGCCCATTATCTCTCTATACCACCCCCAAAAATTTTCGCTGCCCCAACACTTTACCACTATTTCATTTTATTTTTCTTATTAATATAAGAAGACAGGAATGTCAGGCCTCTGAGCCCAAGCTAAGCCATCATATTCCCTGTGACCTGCACGTACACATCCAGATGGTCCGGTTCCTGCCTTAACTGATGACATTCCACCACAAAGGAAATGAAAATGGCCTGTTCCTGCCATGATGACATTATCTTGTGACATTCCTTCTCCTGGGTCATGTGGCTCAAAACCTCCCCTACTGAGCACCTTGTGACCCCCACTCCTGCCCTCCAGAGAAGAACCCCTTTGACTGTAATTTTCCTTTACCTACCCAAATCCTATAAAATGGCCCCACCCCTATCTCCCTTCACTGACTCTCTTTTCGGACTCAGCCCGCCTGCACCCAGGTGATTAAAAGCTTTATTGCTCACACAAAGCCTGTTTGGTGGTCTCTTCACACAGATGCTCATGAAAAGGTAACCAAGCCTCACCCAATCATAGCAGCTAAGCTTTCAGCCAATCACAGGTTACAAACTGCTCGAGTAAGTTCAAATAAGGCAAACCCCTAGCTGTAACCAATTAGGCTATTTCTATATGTCACTTCCTTTTTCAACTACAAATACTGTCTGCCCATATTGCTAAGTGAAGCTCTCTTGAACATTTACTGGTTCAGGATACCACCCAATTCATGAATTATTTCTTTTCTTTAATAAACTCTGCTAAATTGAATTTGTGTTAAGATTTTCTTTTAACCCAGGTGTCTACTATATAGACTTTCAAATTTGATTTTTTATAACTCCCAGTGTTCTTTGTAGACTGCTAGAACATATTAATAAGTTATATTTTAAAACAGCTTAAACACAGGCCATCTCATGAGTTAAATGTTTTAATTTTTAAAATAAAATAAATAATTGAGATAATCTAATTCATTTGTACTTTGCAGAGAACTTGTAAAATGTTTATAATTATTCTCTCCAAGTGGTTAAACACATTATTCTCATATTCTATAGAAACATAGAATTTTTAGGATGAAAGAAAAACTGCCTTAATATTAGCTTTTTATACATAATTCATCTTAGTCTTCTTTGCAAATTATAATATCCTCAAGTCAAATATCTGAAATTCCTGGGGAATTTCCTATTGTCATTCCATGCTTTGGTCTTGATCTTCCTGATACCGTGTCTTTGCCCACTGCTTTATCTCAACATGTTGAATCTCGCTGTTCTTTCATGACCCAAATTATACCTGTTCCTGATCATTAAAACAGACTTCTCCCTCTTGTGCTCTAGTATAATCCGTTGTTCAGTTCCCTTAAGTACTACACACAGTCTTAAATATATTATAACTCAGCATTTTCATGCATCATCTAGATAGTAATCTTGGTACAAAGAGACTTTATTTATTTTTCATCCTCCTTACTACCCTACTCATAGTAAATGTTCAATAAATACCTTGTGCCTAAAGAAGCAGCTTTACTTAACAATTGGATACTTTTATTTAAAGAGCAAAAATCAGAACATATTTCGTATAGTGTATTTTTTATAATATGTATATTTCTTTATATAAAAGTATCTGTAAATGATTTTAAAAGAATCTAACTGTTATAAAAAGTGACCTTTATTTAAAAATAACATTATATGAAATTGTAATCATCCTCAAAAACTCTAAATAAATATTATACTGCTCACTGTGGGAAGCTGATACCACTTTTCTGTCTTGTCAATGCTCATGTCTTAAAAAATTATATTTAACTTACTCTAGAAGTTTTACTTTTTAAAATCTCCAATGAAAGCAAAATATATATTTAAACCAGGTTGTTGTTAGTTATACTAATAAGGCTTAATTATGAGAGAAGTAGCCCATTCTCATTAAAGGATGGAAGTATAATGTTAAGGAAAAGTACCAGAAACAAGGAGATACAAACAAAAGGATGCCTGTGTGTCTACTGAATGTCATTCTAGAACATTGCCTAACAGACCCACTCAAAGATTATTTAATTGTCCAGCAAAATTTAGCTTTGTTTGACTTGCTATTTATCATTGATTAGGGAACCGCTACTATGCAGTTGTTGATTTTAGTCTGTAGAGGTTCAAATAATTTCTTTCTGGTAGAAAAAAAATGACTCCAAGTTATTTACGGTTCTATTTCCCTGGGGTTTCTAACTGGCTCTTAATCTAACTTAATGATCTCCTTCTTATATTCTTTCTTGAGTGTCTAACTACTACATTCTTCAAATGGCCTTTGACTGCCACGTTTTCCCATCCTTTTTGTTTCAATTTTGAAAAGTATGTTTTTACAACAATTACCTTTGTTAGAAGATTCTAAGAGTGTTTCAAGTACACAGATACCCTAAGTACGCTGGCCTGAAAATCCGGCTGATGCTAGATTAACCTTGGTTGTAAATGATATTCTTGGAGAAAGCACTAAAAGACCATTATAAAAGCGTATTTGGTTCCTGAGAGGAATGTGGGTCAATTAATATTGATTGAACTAGGGAGGAGGAAAGAAGATGATGGTGGGGTGGAGAGAATTAAGAAGAGCAGAGAATAGAGTTTATTTTGTATTGTTTACAGGGATGGATTCTGATAAAGTTAAACTTAAAATCAAAGAAGAAATCACTAAAGTTTGTGTGGTTTTAATTTGCTCATGGACTTTAGGTCAGACAGGAAAAATAATGAGATTCAAGAGATAGAAAAACCCTCTTGCACTACTCCTGTGGGAAGAAATAACTTATAAGTGTGAGAAAAAAATATTCATACTTAAAGCATGTATCTATTTACAGCTGTCACATTTAGGAGTATCTCACTTAAAAAGGAGAAAATATTTGTATTCTATTTAAGATTGTAAAGACATATTTTTACTCCACATTTGTGAAAGAAGTTTTATTTCTCAGGCAGTCTTGAATGCAAACCAAGTTCAGCATTTTAATACAAAACAATTTAGGGCTATTATGAGCACAAATAACTGGGGGGGAAAAGACAGCTAGAACTGAAAGATATCTAGCTGATCAATTGGTCTGGGTAATTTGGATCTTCTAATGGCTTAATAAAGCTTTAAAAAATCACCTCTGGGCTTAGAAATTCAAACCTAACACTTTATTTTTGGAGACTCAGTAATGAATAAAGAACCACTTTACGGTTGTTTTGTCAGCAGTATGTGATAAATGGTTTATTTAACTAGCTAATTCAGGCTCTGGATGGGGCACAGATATGGGAAGATTTATATTAGAAATAATCAGAAAAATCATATACTTCTGTGTACATACATTTTTCATCAAACTGGTTCTTCTAAATAGGGTCCCTCAGTAAATTAGCAGAGTGTTGTGTGGCATAGAACCACAGTCATGGTGCATGATAGCAACACTGAAGCAAGTCATTGGCTCATAGTCTCCATTCACTTCTTATTTTTCTTTTTTGAGACGGAGGCTTGCTCAGTCTCCCAGGCTGGAGTGCAGTGGCCCGATCTCTGCTCACTGCAAGCTCCGCCTCCCGGGTTCACGCCATTCTCCTGCCTCAGCCTTCTGAGTAGCTGGGACTACAGGCGACCGACAGCATGCCAGGCTAATTTTTTTTTTTTGTATTTTTAGTAGAAACGGGGTTTCACCGTGTTAGCCAGGATGGTCTGGATCTCCTGACCTCGTGATCCACCAGCCTCGGCCTCCCAAAGTGCTGGGATTACAGGCGTGAGCCACTGCGCCTGGTCCATTCACTTCTTTATGACTCAAATGCACTTATGAAATGCTTCAGGACTGTCATTCTCATTCATCCTTGTGTGGTTAGACTCTCCATGATGGACTTTCATATATAAGCAATATATGAAGCCCTACCAAAATTCCTTGTGCGATGCAGGCACTGGTATCACCAACCCTTCTATTACTACTCTCTCTATTCAGGGCAATGTTATTCCATTCATGGGCGTCTTCCACTTTGAAATAGGAACAGGATACTCTCAGAGCTACACAATTCAGGCACAATTAGTGAGCATCAAGATAGAGTCACATAAGATCTATTGGCACCATGCCAGATATTCAGGGCCTTTGAAGATATCTCAAATTATTATGTACTTATGTTCCACTTAGAGTGTTTTTGAAGAAAAAAAAAATCTAAGAACCTAGATATGTTTATATATCATTAATATGAAGAGTCTGTAATAATAGATATGCTATGACTGGTGATTTTCTAAGCTGAGACAAATCACACTGAATTTTGAAACCAAATGATGTTGAAATAGCACACTGTAATAGCTACTGGAGTTTAATATGGTGTGGTGTCATGTAGATCTAGATAAGACAAAACTCATTTCTTACTATTTCTACCATGATATAAAAAGAAAAACAGATATTTATTAAAGACTTAAATCTATCCGCTTTTTTCTAATAAAACCACTGTGACTTTGGATCACAGTATAGTCAAGCATATAGAAATAATAAAATTACATAAGGAACCCTTCTATTCTTCATTCTTAAAAAAGTAGTAATGGAGAACCAGCAGAACAGGACACTGAAAAGCACAGATTCAAGTTAGACAGCCGGTTTTAGAATTTCTGGTTCACTGCTTGTTAGTGTGTGTCTTTGCAAATTTTTGCTTCAATTTTGTCATCTGTAAGGTAACAATAATATAAAGCACTCATACCATAGGGTTGTTGTGAGAATTAAATAAATTCATATATGTATGCAAATATTTACAACAGTATGTGGTATATAGTTAGTTAAAAAAAAGTTTGATATAATTATTATCATTATGCAGTATGGAATGTTTATTGAGAGACACTGTATTTCAGTGTAAATAAGTTTTTTCTTTTTCTGTTTTCTCCCTCTGTAGAGGTGGAGAAAAAAACATTCTTACAGAGTAAGCAGAACACTTCTGTGGCCCCAAATGCGTGAAGCTTGTTTCTTCACACACCAGTCAGTTCTCAAGTGGACATCAGCTGGGTGTCCCATAATTCAATTCAGTTCTGGTACTATTTACCTGTGATGGTGTCAGACTTCATAGGTTGAGTACACAGTCCCACGAGACTTCCCTCCATTTTTCAGATGCCAGTTGCAAGTAGATAGTGACATGTGCTTGTCTAACCTGCTGTCCATGAATTGGGGTTCATAAGACCCCCTCTTTGAGTTCAGTTAATTTGCTAAAGCAGATCCCAGAACTTTGGTAAACACTTTACTTACATTTACTGGTTTATTAATAAAGGATATAATAAAGAATACAGATGAACAGATAGATGAAGGGATACACAGGGCAAGGTCTGAGGTGGCTCTGAGTCCAAGAGCTCCCATAAAGTGGAATTGGGCGCATCATCCTCTTTTTATAAGGATGTGTTTGCCAACCTGGAAGCTCTTCAAACCCAAATTCAGAAATGTTAATGGAGTCTTCATCATGTAGGTATGATTGATTATTAATTTCATTTCCATCCCTTCTCCCTCTCCAAAGAATGGAGGGTGAGAATGAAAGCTCTAAGATTGTAATCATAGCTTTGTCTTTCTGGTGACCAGCTCCTATCTAGGAACCCACCAAGAATCACCTTATTAGAACAAAAGATGCTTCTATTACCCAGGAAATCCCAAGGGATTTAGGAATTCTTTATCAAGAACCAGGGTCAAAACTAAATATTAGAATAAGAGATTATTCTAGTAATCTTATCTTCTACAGAATTTGGAGTTCTGGCTCAGGAACTGGGACAGAGACCAAATATTAGAACAAAAGATTCTTCTATTGCTTTAGTCATTTAGGAAATTACAAAATTTATAAGAGCTGTGATCCAGGAACTGTGGACAAAATCTAAAGTATGTATTTCATAATATTACACACTCTTTTTTTGGCAGAGACTGAAAAATCCCACCACCAGTATCCACTCTCCTTTTTTTTGTTTATTTATTTATTTTGAGAGAGGGTCTCACTCTGTCACACAGGCTGGAGTGCAGTGGCATGATCCCAGCTCACTGCAACCTCTGCCTCCCAGGTTCAAATGATTCTCCTGTCTCAGCCTCCCAAGTAGCTGGGACTAGAGGAACCTGCCAGCACGCCCGGCTAATTTGTATATTTTTAATAGAGACAGAGTTTCACCATGTTGGCCAGAATGGTCTCAAACTCCTGACCTCAGGTGATCCACCCACCTCAGCCTCCCAAAGTGCTGGGATTACAGGCGTGAGCCACTGTGCCTGGCCCACTCTCTCTTTTTTAAATAAAAGAATGTCTTTTACATGATAGAATGTTTTCCATGCCTAATCAAACTTTAGCAGAGAACACGCTGGAGACTAATTTCTTTCAGATTCCTTTAACAGAGAAGTAATGCATGAAGAAACTTTTAGGTAACTTTCTTTAAGGCTTGCCCTCCTCTCATTATATCCCTTTTCCTAGAGCTGGAATACAGATATGGTGTTGGTAAGTTGGTATCAACCATACAAATAAAACAAACATTAGGAGATTGTAAAAAAATATGATTGAAGAAAACTGTGACTCTCTGGACGATTTTGTGAATCTAAGCCATGCACTGACCCTTGAATAACCACATATGTTTTGCTTGAAAAATGAAGGAAAAATAGACTTTAATCGTGTTAGAGCATTTTGGGATCTTTCTTCCACAGCAACTTAGCCTACACCCTAAAAGAGCAAATCACCTGTCTTTATCTCCATTTTTCCAGTAGAAGATTAAAGATAATTAGTTTACATGTAGGGCTGTTACAGTTATCAAAAAAGAATACATAAGAAAAATGTTTAATATAGAATCTGATATATTATGTTGTGTTTCTGATTTAAAAATATTCATATTATCATTAGATTATTTGACACTGTATATAAAATATTCTGCATAAGAGCTTTCTTTTCTGTAGGCTTTTTAGTCTTTCACAGGAAACTCCCCAAAAAAGAATAAATGAAATTGGCAATTATATGATATGTAATGTAATTTGTGTGAATTTTTAAGATTGTTTAGTCCATTTCTTACAAATGGTTCTTGAAAAAAAGTTTATGATTGAAATCAGCTTATAAAATTTTATAAACACTTTACCCTCATTCTTTTGAAATTTGCAGTTCTCATTATCATATTAAGGTTTAGAAAATTTCTACAAAAAGAAATCTGCTTTACTATTTGATACATTATGTGCTAAACACAATGTTTGACCTATGAACACATTTTCTTAATGTAACACAAATTAATGTCCCACAAGAGAGTATATTATTAGGAGCACAGTTTAAAATGAGATTAGCCCAATGGACATCTGGAGATATGTGAAACATTTTACTTTTCTGTTTGTCCATTTTGACTAGGTAGGTAGTTGCAATGACATTTAGTGGGTAGAAGCATCAACATACTGAAAGAGGGACATTGCTACACAACAATCTCCTCCCTCCAATCCCCACCTCCTAATTACCAATACTGTGTCCATTGAGATAGATGAATTTCTGGTTCACTTCTTTTAGGAATTTTGTGGACATTTGCGGTGCATATTATTGATAAAGGGCATTTGCTGGACCTTGAGCTTGAACCCAAATTGGACTCGTTATCTGGTCCTCTCTCAGGATCAGATTTTCTTACATAAAAGTTGCCATGCTGAGTAATGCATACGTCATAAGTAAATTCTAAGATTCCTCATGATATTCCTCATGACATGAATTCACATTTTACAAAGTTATATAATTCCCCCATTATTATTTTTTAGTTTTTTTCCTTGTGATATATTAATTATGAGGCCAGATATTAAACAAAAGTGGAACTGAAATAAAAGGAAGCAGAAAATATCAAATGTGAGTCCGTTGCCTGCCTACTGCTGGAGATATTACAAGGCAAAATAATTCTTAATAATTCTCAGTATTTGGAGATCTGTATTTTGGTTTGTTTGTTTTTTAACTGGGCTGCTAATGGAGGTAGAGTGCCTAAGTTTATCTAAATGCTCCTAGAACTTGAATATTTGTAGCATACTATCAACATGATAGAAATTCAGCATTCTTGAGGTTCAGGATTGAGGGGCAGATAGTCTAAGAGGCCGAGATCTTCAGTGTTTAGGGAGATTCTGAAGATCTGATAGTATTAAGAGGCTGCCAATGTATGACAAGATCTTGAAATCTCTCAACTAAGGGCAAAGGTGGCAGCTGAAAACTATTTACTGTTCTATTTGCCTGAAATGCTTTTTTTCTGAGTGCTTGCTGTGATTATTGTATTCTCACAGAATAGAATAATTCAGATCTTGGTTAAATGTAATGTTGGAAAGGATATCCACGAACATAGTCCTACGGGTACAATCTAATTCTCCCAACTCACTTTCTATGATAGTATTCTGTTTTAGTTCTTCCTCACTTCACTTCATTCTATTTGTAATGTATTTGCTTAAGATAGTACTTAAATGTGTATTTTGTCATTATCTGTCATATTATAGTAAGATAGCTCAATGGAAATGACCTTGTTCATTCCTTTCCACCAAAGTGAACAATGTCTCTTTAGTACATTGTTTTGAATGAATGAACATCTCATGTAATAAATTTACTTATAATATTGGTAAATATAATAAGCTGCCTTATAATATTAACACTAATAACATTTTGGTGAATTCATCTCTTGCTATTTCATGTTTGTTCAGGGGCTTTGCCTCTCAAGATATAGAGGAAATGCTATGTAAATATTCTAATACCTATGTCCAAAATGTTCTGTATCTTGATTCTTTGTTGTTATGTTCCTAAGGTAGAAGTTTGGACTATAGTCATTGGTCATAGGAGAGAGTGAGTTTGGAGTAGAAAGAGGAGAGAATATCAGCAATGTAGCTATAACAATTTTCATCAACCAGCAGAAATGTCAAGCAATAAAAGATTTTATCATCATATTTCTAATTTTTCAGACATAATTCAAATTTATGTATACACTTGATTTTTACAAAGGAAACAAAATATCTTAAATATTTGTATCTAAGTTTTTCTTGAATTATGTGATTATAAACTGATATTAACATTTATATGTAAAATTATTTCACAAAACCTAGGATGGCAAATAATAACTTTGCAATAATTCCTCAGATAGCAATGACTTTGCTATGACTCAATGACAAAATGAAATGTCTTGTCTGATGAAGCATCATAGATTCTTCACCTTCCATAATGTTATATATGCCTGCAAGCTTGGTTCACCCCATCACCCTTCTCTCTACAACATAAAACCAACTGACAAGGTAAAGGAATGATGCGCCTATAAAATGTCCCGAAACCCTGCTTATCATTATTAATAGCAAATGATTTCTTTTGAAATAAAAGGGGATGTCAGGCTATTATTGGCTATCCTTAAGTCATTTTAGTTCTCTTCTAGAAAGATGGTTTTCAGGGCAGGTTATTAATTAAAGGGCTTGAGTATTTTTCCTTTCATAAAACATATCAGAGAAAATTTCTGTGAGCTATACTTCCTAAAATTATGAATTAGTGAAACTTTTACACTGCTATCATTTATAAATCATAATTTCAGGTAATGCAATATCATAATTTTAAGCAAGGATTAAACCTTAGTAATGAGGCCTGTAAAGTACTTAACTTTAATTGAGACTGTTCTTTTGACCTAGGGCCTCAAGCCATTTCAAAGTCAAAATGCATATCAGTTTCTCCTGAGTTGTACGGATGAAAACATTTTATTACACAAAGTGGAAGGTTGGAGATGTTTCTATTGCTGTACTGTTTTATCCCCAGTGAGGTACTAATTTGTCTAAAAATAACAATCACCAAAACAACAGCACGGTTATTATACTGACAGATTCACGCCACTCAGCCTCGATCTATGGCCTCTGTAGTCCTAGGTAAACTTGCTTTTAGTGCCCTCACACTGATCATTTGCCTGTCTCAGTTGTCGAGATGGGGTTCAAGTTTATTGTACATTATCTGCTAAACAACAACTCAGTTACTTGTTAGGTGGGGAAACTCAGGCTCTCACGAATTGCAGAAAGGACAGTGCAATTGGGAATGTGTAGCAAAAATTACAACATACAATTAAATTGCTTATTTTCCATTCTAAGAAGTTTGGTTTTATTATCCAATATCATAATCTTGCATTTCTGTCTTCCTCAGATATCTGTCATTAGGGTGAAAGGAAAAGTTAAATTCTTACAGATTCACTCATGACTCTTCCATTTGTAGAACCTCATGACAGAGGGACAAATTTTAACATAGAATATGAGGTTTTAATTTAAGAGAATTAAGAAGAAAAATCTGCCATATATACTTTCTCTTACTATGAACATTTATTCTCATGTCCTCCTTTTTCATAATCTGTCATTATGTTGAATGTATGCCACTAAATGACACACCAAGAACTGTTAAAAAATGACAGCACGGGAATAAATAAATTATATTCCATAATATGAAGCTATTAAAGTATGTTAGAAAATGGTGTTCAACTAAATATAAGTGCATAATATATTCTGGGCAATTTATAACACTGCAATAGGTATACTAAGCATAAGTGTCCATAAATTTCTTCAGTTAGAAATGTAAAATATTAAAAATACTTATTGTAAAATGATAAATTATAATTTTTGTATTCACGTAGCCATTACGAACATTTGGGTTTTTTCTTAGTTGGATAGGTTAAACATAGGAATGGAAAAAGTAGAAGTATAAATGGAAAGATTCAATCATTTAAACAATTTATGAAATGACTACTAAAGGGTTAGTTTACTTAAATTGTTATAAGATTTATATAATGTTGAGGGAATCTGAATAAAACCTGCAATGAACAATGCAAACAGCAAAACATTTATTTTTTGCTGAAAGAGAGATTTTAATGCAAAGATTTATGACAGAGGTCAGCAATGGAGGAATTGAGTTTGTCCAGGAACCCTATGCTTCATGACTCTACAAATAAGGGAAGTGTGTGTGGCAAAGTGTTTATAAGTAAAGATGTAACATTTATTTTAAGTGCAGTGACAATTGCTACTCAAGCCTTTGGGTAAAAAACATAGTCATTTACTCATTTATAAAATCATACATAAAAGTAAAATGCAGTTTAAAATCATTTTGGAAAAAAATACATTATACTAAGGTTATGATTCATAATTTAAAAATTCAACAAACAAATTTATTGCAGATACACATATACACACATATTACCTCATTTTAAATCTCAAAATAGTCTGATTTACCTTGGAAAGCATTAATGTCATGCAAAATTACTTTCAAAGGGATAATTTATTGAGTAAGCTTTAATTTTTGCATTTAGATATTTAGGAGACCTTATGCTCCCCAGATGACAATTGCAGGGAGAGGTTTCTGGTAATGGAGGTGACCACTTATATCACTTCTAGTTGAAATCTATGGCTCCACCTCATTACTCCATGGTTAATTCGGCCATTTCTCTTTAGTTCTAATTACTGATTCCTAAGTAATATTGTTGCACTTCTGGCAGTCAGTTACTTTCCACTTGTTTCCCAGTGCTAAATATGTTTATGCATTTAGTTTTACAAGACCTGATGATGTCTCAAACTCATTACCTTTATGTAGATAACTACACTCAAAAGATCTTCAAATCAATTAATTAATCAATAAATATGCATCAAGTACTAATTATATGCTTGATATTCTGCTGAGCAAAACAGAGTCAAGGTGAGAATTGATGCAAAGAGGAAAGATTCATTTGATTTGCTGTTGTATTCTACATGCTATATGCCTTACTGCTTACAACAGATACCCAGGCAGTGCATATGGTGTTGCAGATACAGTACTACTCACAAGAGACAAAATAATGAATAATACAGCTTCCCTCTATTTAGGAATGCACATTCAGCAATTGAAACCAACAGCACATTTATAGCCATAGTGGTTAAATACAAGTATCATTATAATTGGACTATATACAAGGTTCTATGAAAATGTTTTGTGGAGAGACATAACTTATTCTATGAGCATGGGGATACATATGGTCTTACTAGGAAAAATAAAAGTGGATGTGCTTCTTGAGTGTTGGGTAGGGGAGATAGAAGGTAGAGGAGAGTTTATTGGAGATAACAAACCATACTTTTTTTTACAACTAATAATTTTACAAGTATTTATTTACTTTCTACTATGTATCAGCCACTGGTCTAGGCACTGAGGACACAGCAATGAAGAGGAAAAGAATCCATGCCTTCATGGGAGTAATACTCTAGTCAGCAGATATATTAGTCAGGGTCCTCTAGAAGGACAGAACTAATAGAATATATATATACATATATATATATGTATGTGTATATATATATATATGTATATATATATGTATGTATATATATATGTGTATATATATATGTATGTATATATATGGGTATATATATATCCATATATATTTTATATATGGGGAGTTTATTAAGGAGTGTTAAACTCACATGATCACAAGTTTACACAATAGGCCATCTGCAAGCTGAGGAGCAAGGAAGCTAGTCTTAGTACCAAAGCTGAAGAACTTGAAGTCCTATGTTTGAGGGCAGGAAGCATCCAGCCTGGGAGGAAGATGTAGGCTGGGAGGCTAAGCTAGTCTAGCCTTTTCATGTTTTTCTGCCTGTTTTATATCCTGGCCACACCAGCAGCTGATTAGATTATACCCACTCAGATCAAGGGTGGGTCTGCCTTTCTCAGTCCACTGCCTCAAATATTAATCTCCTTTGGAAACACTCTCACAGACACACCCAGGATCAATACTTTGCATCCTTCAATCCAGTTGACACTCAGTATTAACCATCACAGCACATATGTATAAAAAATCAACTATGCGTTTACGAAAGACCATCACGAATACTACAGAGAAAAAAACCAAGCAGAGAATAGTTGAAGAAGTGGTGGGGGAGTTGCTATATTAAATAGTGTGGTCAAAGAAAGATACAATGACAAGGTACCATTAGAATGACTAAAAGCAAGTTAGGGTATAAGCTATGTGTGTAACTGGGGGAAAAATATTTCAGGCAGAAAGTACAGCTAAGTTTTCAGGTGGAAGAAGCTGCAGGGTAAAAAGAGGCAAAAAGGAGTCAGACTGTAGTTGAGTGAGCTAGTGGAAAAGCAGAAGGAAATGAGATTAGATAAATCATAGGGGATCAAACTATGCATGGCCTTTGAAGCCATTTTGAAGAGTTTTTTTTTTTTTTTTTCCAAAGTAAAAGACAAAAGAGAAGCAGGAGACTTTGTGAAGCTCTGAGCAGAATAGAATCTTTATCTGACTTACACATTAATAGTTTTAGTCTAACTGCCCTGTCAGGTGTAGGCTATGGTGAAAGGGAAAGGGGGAAGGACAAGGAGATTAATGAGAAGGTTATTCCAGGAATTCAGGAATAATATGACTGTAGCTTTTATCAGAGTGATAACAGTAGATGACAGAGTTGATGAGATGAATGTAAAAAGTTGAAGGTACAAGAGAATCTGACTTATACACAAATTTGAAAGAAGGCTTAAATATCTGGCTCCAATACAGCAACAGAGAAGCTAGTAAGAGAGAAGGCTGCAGAGAGGGGCAAAGCTTACTTTATGAAGACCTTTATAGGCCGTGCCAAAGATTTTATGCTGAGGTTGCTGTGAACCCACTTAATACTTTAAACAAAAGATTTAAATAACTTCCCCTGTCAATATATCATATATTTATTATTTCACATATTTCATGGATCAGG
Source organism: Homo sapiens (assembly GCF_000001405.40). Classification (NCBI taxonomy): domain Eukaryota; kingdom Metazoa; phylum Chordata; class Mammalia; order Primates; family Hominidae; genus Homo; species Homo sapiens. Next base: position 60,938,148 of record NC_000012.12, on the reverse strand, counting down.
AGTTCAAACTTTGCTTTGCTGGTTCCTCTCTGATCAGGGTCTCACAATGCTACAATCAGAATGTTGGCCACACTTTGAAACTGGGGCTAGAGCTCTTCTACTCAGCTTATTCAAGATGTTGCCAGAATTGAGTCCCTCAGAGTTTTAGGACTGAGGCCATTAACTCCCCGAAGCTCTCAGACTACTGCGTCATTATAGTTTATAACATAGCTGCTTGTATCTACTTGGCCAGCAAGAGAGTATCTGTCTTTTAAAGGGCACCTGATTAGTTTAGGCCTAGCCAAGGTAATCCGCCTGCTATCATCCTATAGTAAACTAATGAAAAACAAAAATTACACATGCAAAATCCCCTCACCTTTGCCGTATAATGTTATATCATGGAGTGGTATCTCATAGTTTTATCATGTTTAAAAGAAAGATAGAGGTATCACTCACACTCAAAGGGAAGAAAATTATACAAGGCATATACACTGGCAGTGGAAATCTTGGGGACCAACGTAGAATTCTGCTTACTGCATGGATAGATCTACCACCTATGCACTGCAGAAAATGCCATGGCCTTTCAGTCATTCTGGTTTCTATTATTTTATAGAGAGTAGATAGGAGGGGAGCAGAAGGGAATATTAGAATATTAGACAAGTTAAAAGGCGATAGTTGAGACAGGCCTTAGATGTTGGAAATTATTAACAAGATCACTGAGACTTCACGAGTAAAGAAAAGAAGCAGAATAAAAAATGGCCCCTAAGCTTCTGACATGGCAACTATGTGTTAGTTATTATATGATCTAGACTATATATCCTTTTCTTTCTTTTTTTTTTTTTTTAAGATAGTGGATTGGAGGCTTTGTTAGCATGCCTCATCCACTTGGAAAGAGCAAAATAGTGTGTAGAGATTCACGCTGTCTCAACAGAAAAAGCAAAAGAATCTCTGGATACTTTGAATGGTCTGGCGGGCACCAGCCTTCACTGGGGTTTCAGTGGAAAAGTGCAAGTCTTCAGAGCATGAAAAGGGGGGAGAGTCAATCTCCGTGATACACATTCCCACTGGGGAACGTGGTGAACTGGGCCACATGGGAGCTCCTCAATCCTACCCAGTGCTGGATCTGACTTGGTGAGGGGAGGCGAGTCTGTGAGAAGAGGCTCCAGGGGATGTTTTGTGTGCACTGTCAGACCCTGGTGCCAATAAAAGGAAGCCATTTCTGATTCTAATTCATGGAGGACTTCACAGAAACCTGCCGGCCAACTAGAGCAGCGGTCACAGGTTGGGAAAGGCTTCCGACTGAGATTTGCAGCCTAATCTCGAGCAGAGATGAAGCCCCGTGGCCAGAACTGAGAGGTGGTGTGGAGAGTGGGCTCTTGCTGTGGGTGAAGAAATTGGGCACCCCCATTTTATGAACATGGACCAGTAGACATGTGATCTGGGAGCCGCAGGGTTTTTTTTGTTTTTGTTTTTGTTTTTTTGCTTTTTGTTTTCCCTAGTATGTGAGTCTTGTGACTTTGAGCAATATTATGATCTTAGTGTGGGCTGCTCGGGACTCCACTGGCTGCTTCAGCTTGCTGCCAGCAGCAGTCCACTGGGTCAAGGTCACAGGAGTTGGGTGGCTGTCACTATTGCCTGCTGGAGTGTGGAGCTTGGGCTGCCCCTCTCTCTCTGTGGAGGCTCTTTCGGCAGTGAAGGTAGCTCCGCTCCTCCCCGGAGCACTTCATTCGCAGCCTAGAAGCCATCCTATGATTCCCCCTTGGGGTCCAAGCTTGTGCTCACCATTGGAGAGCCTGAACACAGGCTCTTTGGACCCAGTCCCACCCAGTTTTCTCCCCACCCTCTTTGTTGACAGAACATGGGACAGATACCCTTGGGAGTTCCCTAGCCCTACCCATTGCCAGGGACATCGGAGCACTTCACCTGGTTAAGCACAAATCTCACCACCTCAGCTGGCTCTTTCCTGAAAGTGACACCTGCTGGCCAGTAGTTCAGTCTGCATAGCCCATTACAACATTTGCAGACACAACCTCGCAGTGCTCAGGGAGGAGACAAGCATTGTATGACAGCAGCTACTACCATCCCCCAAAACACTCCACAGATTCAGGAAACCCTGAGCCTGCTCACCCAGCCAGTAGATAACTACTGCAACTGGATTTGGAGAAAGCTACCACACTGCTATCAGAGTATAACAGTAGATGGTAGAGTTGATGAGATGAATGTAAAAACTTGAAGGTACAAGAGAGTCTGACATATAAAAATTTGAAGGAAGACTTAAGTATCTGGCTGCAATGCAACAACAAAGAAGCTAATTAAGAGAGAAGCTAGTAAGAAAGAAATAGTAAGAGAGAAGCTAGTAAGAGAGAAATAGAGTTTTACCAAATAAATAGTACAGAGTCTATGGCACTCCTCTGCCACCTCCAACAGGGCTGGTGCTTGCACCCACCATTGGAGGACTGAGGGTGGGTCAGTGTGGAACAGCTCTACCCAGCTTTACCCTATCTCAGGCTGAGAATGGAGCCCAGGCCGCTGTGAAATTCATTGGCCTGAGGAGCCTAGCCCATGGCCTGAGGAGTCAGAAAGCTTCTCCAAGAAAAAATAGATCAAACGTATACCTCACTGTTACCACTGCAGCTAGCTCTTACTTGCAAGCACTACCTACTGGCCTAAAGGTCAAAATGCACAACCCAATACAAAATCTACGGACTCAAGTGCACAGTGGTTGGGAATGAGATGGGCTTCCTCAAGACTCTGCCTTCCTATGCATAGGTCTACTATACCATGACCACAATCAGCATTTGAGAAAACAACCATACCCAAGCTATCTATAACTTTAGTGAATAGATTCCAAGGAATTCATACAGAGACTTCTCCCCTTGAAAGTACCCAGAAGCAAAGCCAAACATCCTTGCTCAACATACATTACAGTCATACCCTCAAGGGAAAAAACAAAAGTCTCATTCAAATGAAAGTGAATTCAAAAATGGGAAGTGATGCTTCTTCAAGTCAGAAAGAACCAGAGTAACCATTTTGGCAGTATGAAAAAGAAGGTATTATGACAGTTACAAAGGATCACACTATCTCTCCGGGAAGGCATCCTCACCAAATATGTTCTTGAAATACCAGATAAAGTAATCAAAATATGGATTGTAAGGGAACTCAATGAGATCTAAGAGAAGTTGAAAACCAACACATATATATCAGAAAAATAATTGATGATATGAATGAAAAATTTACTAAACAAATACATATTTGAAAAGCAAACAAACAGAATTCTGGAAATAAAAATTAATTGAAGGGATTACAAATTACAGTTGAAAGCTTTAACATAGACTAGAACAAACAGAAGAAAGAATTTCAAAGCTTAAAGACAGATATTTCAAATTAATTCACTCAGGCAAAACTAAAGAAGAATTTTTGAAAATGAACAAAGCCTTTGAGAAATATGGGATTGTATAAAGCATCCAAATCTATGAGTCATGATATGTCTGAGGGAGAAGAAAAGGTGAAAAAGTTAGAAAACTTATTTGAGGGAATAATTTAGGAAAACTTCCCTGGTCTTGGTAGAGATTTAGACAAATAGATACAAGAAGCTACTGGAAGATATATAGCAAGGAAAACTTCACCAAGGCATATAGTCATCAGACCATCTAAAGTAAATGTGGAAAAACATCCTAAAAGTAGCAAGAAAAAAGTGTCTAATTAGCTGTCAAGGAAATTAGACTTTAACAGCAGACTTCTCAGCAGAAACCTAAAAAGTCAGAAAAGATGGGGGTCCTATTTTCGGTATTCTTAAGGAGAGAAACTATCAGCCATGAGTTTTGTGTTCTGCTAAACTAGGCTTCATAAAGGAAGGATAATTAAAATTTTTCCCACACAAACATATGCTAAGAAAATTCATCAACACTTGACCATCCTTATAAGAAATGCTCAAAGGAGTTCTAAATCTGAGAAATGGAAGGTTAATACTCAGCATCATAAAAACATGAAAGTATAAAACTCACATGTTTTATAAAGCAGTTCCACAATTGAGAATACTAATCAATGAGGAAACAATTAGTATTATGACAAAAACACAATCTTATATATCAATATTAACTTTGAATGCAAATCAACTATATGCTCCACTGAAAAGCTATAGTTCGGTAGAACGGATGAAAAAAGGTTCTAACCACACACTGTTTACAAGAAGCCCACTTAACTGGTAATCAACATAGCACTGGTAGTCCTAGCCAGAGCAATCAAGCAAGATAAAGAAATAAAAGGCATTCGAATTGAAAAAGAGTAAGTCAAATTATTTCCGTTTGCTAATGATATGATCTTATACCTAGAAAATCTCAAAGACTCTTCCAAAAGATTTTTAGATTCAATAAATGACCTCAGTAAGGTTTCAGGATACAAAATCAATGTTCAAATATCAGTAGCATTTCTATACATCAATAATAATCAAACTGAGACCCAAACAAAGAACTCAATCCCATCTACAACAACTACAAACTAAAAAATCCCAAATACCTAGACATACGTTTAACCAAGGATTTGAAATATCTCTACAAGGAGAACTACAAAACACTGACAAAAAAATTGTAGATAATTTAGATAGATTATTTAAATTATTTAAAGTGTAGATAATTTAGAATTGTAGATAACTTCCAATCCTCACTCATGGATTGGAAGAATCAATATCATTATAAAGAATATACTGCAAAAATAAATTTGCAGATTGAATATACTTCCATCAAATTATTAGCATTATTTTCATAGAATTACAAAATAATTCAAAAATTCATATAAAACCAAAAGAGCCCAAATAGCCAAAGCAATTCTTAGTAAAGTGAAAAAATCTGGAGACATCACATTACCTGACTTCAAACTATAATACAAAGCTATGGTAACCAAAACAGTAAGTTCTAGTACAAAACAGACACATAGATTAATGGAACAAAATAATGAACTCAGAAATAAAATCAAATGCCTACAATAAACTGAGCTTTAACAAAGTCAATACAAATATTCACTAAGAAAAAGATACCTTATAAATTGAATGGTGCTAGGAAAACTGGATAGTCATATGTAAAAGAATGAAACTGGACTCCTAGTTCTCACCACATACAAAAATTAAGTCAACATTATTTAAAGACTTAAATCAACTTAAGGCCTCAAACTATTAATATCTTGGAAGAAAACCCAGGAAAATCTCTTCTGGACATTGGCCTGGGCAAATAATTTATGATGAAGCCTCAAATAAAAATTAAACAAAAAATAGACAAATAGGACTTAAATAAAAAGCTTTTGCACTGCAAAAGAAACAATCAACAGAGTAATAGTACAGCATGCAGAATGAGAGAGAATATTTGCAACCTATGCATCTGACGAAGGACTAACATTCTGAATCTACAAGAAACCCAAACAACTGAACAAGATAAAAACCAATAGCCCCACTAACAAGTCAGAAAAATGTTTCTAATTTTTATATTCATTGTATGTTGACTAGATAGCATTCTTAAATATATTGAGCTAAATAAAATACATTTGTTAAATTAGTTTCACCCATATTTTTCTAGCTTTATTGTGGTTACTAGAAAATTTTAAATTACAAGTGGGGCTCAAATAATATTTAAATTTGACAATGTGCTAATCTACAGAAATAAACTTCATATTTTTGTTGCCTGTATAATATTCAGTTTTTAACTTTTGTAATGCTGTCATGACCCATTGTTTGCTTCACTTTAAGAATATAAAAATAATTTTATTCATCTTGGAACATAATATTTTATTCCCTTTCCAGTCTCCTCAATTCATTCACCCTGATGTGTGAGACATGCTATATAATCATTCTTGCTTTATAAATCTCCAGGTAGTTCAGACCGTGTATTGTGTAAAAGAGACACAGCATACTAAAGTGTGAGTATTTCCACCCATTTTTCTTTACGTTCTGTGGTAATTTAAACTGTTTTTTGTTTGTTTGTTTTGCTACTCCTCCTGTTGAATGATGGAGTGCAATTCTTTTTACCCTGAACTGCACTGATCTTAGTGACTTGCTTGACCAATAGAATAAGGCAGAAGTGACTTTTTTTGGATTTTTGTAGTTAGGTTGTAAGAGGCCTTGAGCTTCCTCTTGAATCTCTAGAAACACTTGACCGTAAATTCCTGAGTTGACATTTAAAGAGTTGACTTCCCAGCTAGATAGAACAAATGAAGAGGCCCTGAGAAGTAGAGGATTTCAGCTCAGCTGAGTCTTCCAACCACTGCTGCTGGGGAACCACGTATATGTAAGCAAAGTCTTCCTAGACCCTACAGACTACACTAAACACCAGCAGAATATCACTGTGTAGCCTCCAGGTGGAAACTCATGAAACTAAAGAATCACCCAGCCAAACCCTGTCTGAAATATTGGTCCACACAATGTATAATTAAGTAATTATTGTTTCAATTCACTAAGTTTGGGGGTAGTTAATTATACAATAGAAAACCAGAACATCATTTTCTAAGGAGGATACTGTTCTGCTCAGCTACTATGTTTCTATTTGCTTGGGCGGCCTAGTGGATAGGCAAATAGAATTTGAGTAACTGAGAGACCTCATGTTTCTGTATGTGAGAAAAGATAAAAGAGAAATAGAGGGAAAGACATGGAAGAAACAAGTATATCTGACAGAAAAGGCAAGCCAATGGGTAAGGTTAAGTGAGAAGGGAAGATGGAGATCAGAGAGAGTTAAGAGGCTGCCATAATGGGTGGAACTTGGGTGAGTAGAGAAAATGTTTAAGAATATTTTTTAAGGAGTTATGATGTGTGATGTGTTGTGTCATCTTCTCCTTAGTGTATTGACAAAACTTCAGTAAAGGTTTCTATAGTTTTTCAGTACTTTTGAAAGAGGGCACTTTTTTACATGGAAGATATGCTGAAACTAGATTTAACACGAGAGCAAGAAGACAGTTTTATTTGGGTTATATTTAATATCATAAGGTAGGATAATAAATAATCTGAAACTCAAGCATTCTCACAAAACACAGAATTGTAAAGTGATACTAGAATTTAGAGTCAGAAACTCTTTAAACAACTGTACTTACATTTAATTTATTCATCAGAAGTGCTTAGCTTACTTATTGTCTTATATATCGTGGAAAATTTTCATACATATATGCATGTATGTACATACACATATGTACACATAGCTATGCGTATATATACATATACATGTACAGTTATACATATATTTATATGTGTGTAATATGTAAACATATTTATGTGTATATATGTAAAAATGTACACATATTTATGTATATATATGCATATCTATGTGTACATACACACATGTGAAAATATACATACATATACATATGCGTGTATATATAACATTTTTATATATGTATACATTTACCTTTAAATATGTACATTGAGTACATATAAATATTTCAATTGCATTTAGTGTTTTCTTTGAAAATTTTCTCTTTCTCAACTTATGACCCTAGTGAGATTTTAATTATAATTTTAAACAGAATAACAATTACAAATAACAATTACAAATACTTAAATTACAAATGTTATTTAAACAAATAACAATTACAAATACTTAAATAAATATTTAAGTTTTGTCTTTAGTCTGATTTCTCTTTTTCTATATTTTAACATCACTTTTACTTTACTTTTATTCAACTTAATTTTGACCTACATTTTCCTTCTTATTATGAACACATGAAGCAAAGGGAAATGGATTCCTTCTAGTATTCCACTGGTTAAAACCTTGTTCATGTCTCCTGTTCAGCTGTCATGGTTCTTCCTTCTTCTCCTAACACACATTCATTTGCTGCCAGCTTATCTTGCAGAACAGCTTAACTCTCCTTATCTTACCTACAAACCTTGCCTTTGGGCTCTGTTCTTTGCTTATCCCCATTTAACTACATGCCTAATCATCAGGAAGGTTATACATTTAAACCAATTTTTCTAAAAGAATAAATAAATAATGTATACTTTCAACCTGTCAAAGATAACTCTAGCCATAGGAATCATGAAGAGAAACATACACACACAGACACACACACACACACAAATACACACTTACAAATTCAACAGTATACTGTTTATGCATATTGCTATTTTGACCTAATAATTTTCTGGATTTTAACTACCTCTAGTTTTAAAACTTGGGTATCTGTCTGTTTGGATGGCTTTTATCTTGTGCTTTCCTACTCCATCAAAATAGGAATTAGAGTTCTTCAAAAATAATAGCTTCTCACTACCTGCTTCGTGATAGGTACACTGATTAAGATTTATGCTTTGAGGAAAATGGGATGTTTGGAATTTTGGAGAAAAATGGCTATAGAAAAATACTTATGAGATTTTTCTTAGAAAATCATAATATTTGAAATCCAAATGATAACACGATTGTCATATATTACCAGCTCTACATATCTCCCTAACAAGAAAATTATCCGTGTTTATCTCAAATAGGTATATGTAAAATCCTGTACCTGAAAACTGTCTCAAGTATCTATTTCCTGAGGCTACTCCAGTATGAACCACGGTTTCATTCAGGATCCAGACAGGTTCAATGATAGAAACTACCATTTGGCAGAGATGTAGTCAGTTAAGACAGCAGCAAGAACACTGGAAAGGCATTGTCATGCCTAGGGTGGAAGGAACGAGGGGAGATAATTGGATACAAAAGTCCACTGAAAACTGAAGCAGTGGAAACAAAGTGCTCTGGTGGAAAATTTAGTTTTTAGGGAATAACTTCTTTTTAGAAAGCCACTGAGACAGATACGTTGAGACCTTTGATTTTTTTTTCACCTCTCCTAAATTAAGTCACAAATTTCAGGTGGTTTTCTGCGTAACTAGCTTTCTTTAAAACAGATTATTTGTTGAGCTATATGAAATAGTTGCGTGAGAGTAAGATCTAGATTTTGACATACTAACATCATTTCATGTAACTGGTAAATAGACCTATAACAAAATTAATTACTATGGAAGATTTTTCCCCTTTACTGGAAATATTGGTAAATATTTCAAAGATATGCATTTTTTATGTGTAGTAGAGTCACACTTTTATCAAGACATTGCAAAATAGGGTGGCATAGTATTTTAATTTTCACATCAAATAGAATGTATTTGCAGGGATTGGCCCTATGTTGATTTGCAAAAATAATTTTAATGATAGAAAGGAATGAACATTCTCAGGAACTCCTCTTTCAATTCCCTTGGGACAGAGGCCTTTACAAATGAGATCAAAATAACTGTCCTATCACTCTTTCACTCTTTTGGAACACAGTAGGTACACTGAAAGAAAAATCAGAAATACTTAAAGAAGGCACACTACTACAATATATAAATTGCCTTGCCTCTCACAATCCAAGCATCTGAAAATTGTACTTTTTGATATTAACTGATCCTCACGATGTTTTTGAAGCATGAATGCCTACATTTTCCTATTAAATAAATCAAAAAATGAAAACTATTTTTTTCAAACTGTGAAATAAACGTACAATATGTTCTAGATAAACTGTATTGATTCTGAAAAAGCATTGAATTTTAGCTCACCTAACTTATTTAACTCACTTTAGGATGAGAAGGAAAAACACAAATATTTTAGTCAATAGTCACACTTGCCTAACAGAGAAAAACTTTAAAGTTGATAATTAGGAGAATAATTGTACCCAATCTTAAAAGTTAATTTTCTGTTTCATTCTTTTCTTTTTTGTAACACGCACCCCACCCCCGGCCACACACACACTTTGACTAACACATCTTATTCAATCTAATTACTCGGTGATTTGTTCAATATTTCACATTAAAGACAAAGGTTATACTGGTCCTTATTAACAAGTATTTTTAAGCAGCTTTTATATACCAAGCAGTGAGCTGGTTATCAAATGGGAAGGACTATTCTATTAGTCCAGGAGTTAATTCAATTATCATAAAGTGAAGATGAGTTCATGTGTATAATATCCCTAGAATACTACAATTTACAGAAGTCTTTTTTTCACATGTTTACATTCTTCTGTTTTTCTATTAGTATTTCCAGAAGCTCATCTACCTAATGTTACTTTACCTAAAGTTACTTTACTTCTCATATTCTAGCACTCCATGTTTACCAGGATCTGATAGATAGCCCTCTGGACAAAAGTAGAGCTTTTAGCTCCGTAAACTTTTTAGAGAAACTTTCTTATACCCGCAAGTTAACAGGTCTGAGAGCCATAGGAGTAAACTGATGTTTGATTTCTCACTTTCTCTTTTGACTTTGTCATTCAGTCCATCACAATCCTGTCACTCTGCCCTTTGGGACATTGTTGAGGTCCACTCATTATTCACACTGCCACAGTCTTTATCTAGAATACATTTACCTTGTGCCAGGGCTAATGAGACAGCCTTCAAGGTAGAGCCCTGTCTTCAACCTCTCTCCTATCCAATTTATTTAACTCTAAGCAACTGGAATTATTTCCTTCAAAGCAACATGACCTTCTTTGTCATTATACTGAAGCAGCTGCCAATTGTGTTTCTCCTGAAGTCTAATCTTTTGATCTTTGCCTTCAAGATGCTTGGCCTTTAAGTCCACTATTACCTTACCTATTTCATGCTTGCTTATGTGGTCAGCTGTTTCAGGACAGGCTTAACATACTAACCTCTAGACACCTACTCACTTAGTAAGGTATTTGGGTGTTCTTTTGAAATTGGCTCCTGGCTACTAAACTTTATCTTCTCTTTTCCTTTTTCAACATTCTTCCCCAAGTGCAGTTTCTTCATGTTGCTTTCCTCCTAAAGGTTTATTTAGTTAAATAATTTATTTTTAATTTTAATTTTATATGTGTCTCTAAAAAGCTGATTACTAAATGTCTTTTTTTAATATACTGAAGACACATATTAATAAATGGAAGTGAAATTGGTATGGGAAATCTAACTAGATTTGTCAAATTCTAAACAGCTATTGCTGTTGCCTCATGAAATGTTTTATATGCTCTCATTTATCTCTAAACTGTAACTATACCCTAATAATGTTGGATTACTTAACCTACAATTTCCCCTTCTTTCTATTTGTGAAGCTATTCTTAATTTTAGGCCTTCAATCCTAGTATATTACCTAACAAATATTCTTGTATCTTGCTAAGTCTGGGATTCCCCTGGTTGACTCTGCAGTTTGGGTATTAAGCTCCAGACAGAAGGTTAATATTTTAGATATGAGCACATGAGATACCTTCTCTTACGAATGCTTATCTTTGTAGAGTTTTTCAGGGATAATACATGTATAAAAATTATGTAGAGGTTCCTTTGTCTACTTTTGTCTACCTATTTATACCTGCTGAGCTGTACTAAAATCCTCTAAAACTGCAGTGACTCAGGTTAGGTATTGAAAGTCTTCTACAAATTTGAGGGTCTTACTTGGCAATTCATCATTTCTTCACCTCAGCCTCTGATTTTAGGTTTCTAAAACAGCCTAGAAAATTGAATAAGAACCCTTTTATTTTCTCTGTAGTATAAGGCGATCATACAGTTGGAAGCAAAAAATGTGAGAAATGTTTTTCCCAAGGAACTGTATGTTATATTTGTCTGTGAGTAGCTGACCAGAGTGTTTTGAGTAATAATGATGCTGATGATAAGAACAATAACTACCATCTATCACTCACTTTCTGTACATGGTTGACTTCCCATAGAGAGTTTTACAATGAAGGTTTCTGGCATTGCACTATGTGCTTTGCACAGATTACTGCATTTAATCCTTATAAAACTCCTAATGAGGCCATTTAACAGGCAAAGAAACTGGAGTGTTGAAAGGTTAAATAAGATTACTTAGAAAAGATTACAATGTAAGTGCTCGAGCCAGGCTTATCTGACTTAAAACCTTGGGCTCCTAAATAGTATACTATAAAGCCAAAATACTGGACTTCTCTGGACATGATGATTTGGGGGGGAATAGATAAAATTCTTGAAATTTTTCACCACTGGATATTCTTAGCACTTGGTAGCAGTATCTGAATAGCAGAGCAATAAATACAGAATAATTGTGGGTTTGAAAGGGTGGAAATACAGCAGAATTAAACAAAATTAAACAATGGTTTAATTTGTTACCTTTTCCAGGAATGAGACCTTTCTTCATATTGATATAGATACACACACAGCCAAAAATATGTAAAGTTTCTATAATACATTCGAAGAATATTTGTTTCTTTCAGGAAAGTAGCCCATGTCTGCTGCTTCTTTGAAACAATATAACATTATTTCAGCGACATATTGAGTACTCAGTTACACTCTGCAAATATTTTATTGATAATGACTGATGCTCAGAAATATATAATTCAGAAAAATGTGAGAATATTTTATATCCATGTGAGCATTTGGCTTGATATTTGCTGCCAAGGGATATTAATGAAATGATCTGCATTCTTCTTCATTATTTGAAAGGCTATATTTTTAAGTCTTTTATTAATACTGCCAGAATAATTAAGTATCTTATAGGAATGACCAGGAAGTAAAAGTGACCAAAAAAAGAGTAAAAACATTTATCTCAGTGTTACTTTTTCTATACTATAATGAGAAATGAAACTAACCATTGCATTTAATTACAATACAGCCACTCTATGTGAGTCAATTCTGATGTGACCTATGTACAAGTAAAGTAAAGCTTCTACATTATGTTTTTTTCTCTTATGTCAGACTTTCAAAATGAACCAAAACCGTTAAGTGCACAAGGAGTGATCCTGAATTCTTTGAAGCTTAGAGATGATGTATGATAAAATTATTTGCAAGCTTAAAATTGGTAATTTCTCTTCTCATCTCATCTCTGTGAGTACTCATTCACACATAGAAGTACAAAATCTATAGCCATTCGAAAATTATCTCATGTATTATAGTAATAGAACTTGACTTGGTTTTACATCCCTTAGTTGGACACTGTTTGTATTTCTGACTATCTGAGTAAAGTTTTAAAGTCAAAATTGATAGTACTTCTTTTAAATCCCTGGATAAAATAAACCTATCTATTATGATGAAAATCTCTCCTTGTACTTTCTCTCTCCCCTCATTCTTTTCTGTGTTTTTACGTGTATGTGTGTTTAAACAAGAACAAGACCCAGATTCTACAGTCATAAAAATATGTCTTTCTTTGGTTAAAAGTAGTTCAACAAAATAACCCACTATAGTGACAGGGTTATATCAAAGTAATACAGGAGCCAACTGAAAGAGCTCTCAATGGACAAAGCTAGAATAATTTGAGCAAGAAAATGAATGCAATGATAGTATAACCCAGAGTATAAAATAAATATAATGAGTTCATTCTAATATAAATAAATAATTGAATAAATTACTAAAGGAAGAAGAGACCAATATCATGTACAAAAGAATTTCAAATAAATTATGTAGATATTGTATCTTAATTGGGTGGGAGTATAGCTCCCTCAATCCTTAAATGTAGGCTGCAATAGTGACTTTCTTTCAAAGAGTACAAGCTGGAAAGGGCAGGAGAGAATATAATTTTATCGTGAAGAAACTGGACAACCACTATGTCAGCCAGATATCAGAGTCAATATTAACAGTCGTAAATCACATTAATAGTATGTACCTTATATATGACATGATGAAATTGGCATTTTACCTCTATTATCTTCCTTGCCTAAACCCATATTCCCAGTTCTAATAATGAGAAAAGCATCAGACACATTCTAATAGAAGGCCTTGTACATAAGATATGATCCAGCATAACTAAAAACTCTCAAGGTCAACAAAAATGTGTAAGAGTGTGAGAAATTATTACGGCCATAATGAGCCAAAGAAGAGGTAACAACTAAATGTGGTAGCATATACTAGATAGGATCCAGAAACTGAAAAAGGAAGTCTAAGTAAACTATGGACTGTAGTTAATAACAATGTATCAATATTGGGTCATTAATTATAACAAAGGTGCCATACAAAAGTAAGATGATATTAATAGGTGAAACCGTAGTGGAACAGGAATTATCTGCCCAGTTTTTGTGTGAGTATTGAACTGATCTAAAAAATAAAGCCTATTAATATGAAAAAGGAATTGCTTAGTAATTTGAGGCTACTTTTTAATTTGTATTTTATTTTCATTTTCACTATAATGGTATTATGGTTTTGCCACTATAAGAATAAAAATAATTTAACCAGTGTGAAATTTATGTAACTGATAAACTTAGAACAACAGAGTTTGAAGGCCCCTGACATTCATCTAGCCAAAGGTTTGCAATGTGGAGTCCATATTGGATGTCCATAGATTTTATCAGATTCATAAAAGATTTTGTTGATCCATAAACTGTTTGGAACTATTTAGTTAGCTTGCAATGCTAAGATTTGCCCCCATATTTTCCTTGATTAGTTATTAGCTAACATATTTTTTATATATAAAAGTATTAAATCTTCTAAACTAATTCATAAAATTTATGAACTATTCCAAGCAGTAAATTAGTGTGGAAATATGTTCTTTCAAAAAACTGGATACAGCTACCATCTTACTGAGAAAACACTGTGGTGTAAATGCCCATAGTATGCCTCTTTGGGAAGGGTGTATGTGTGGAAAATTAGATATCCTTACTCCCACCAATGACATGAACTTGAAGGAAGCAAAGAAACAGAGACAGCAATAACCCATTAACCAAATCTTTAAATTGAGAGAATAAATAGCAAGATGAAGAAAAAGAAGGGAGTCAGAAAAGAGTAAGAGAGAAAGAGAGGGAGAGAGAGAACACGTGAGCAGGCCTGGCATTCTGGGCTGTAGCATATGTTAAATGCTTGCTGAGAAATTTTCAGGGCAGGGTAGACACAGATCTTTCAAGAAATGCAATACTATTAATATTTGTATCACTATGGAAAATATTTTCTATTTTCATGAAGCTTCATCACAATTCTGCTGTTATTGGAAGTGGAGAAATTGGAATGTTGTCTGGTAGCAGGTTATCTGTAACGACAAACTCTACAAATCATATTCTAAAGATGTAATTACTTACTGGCATGTAACCACTTATATCTGTTAGACATTCTTTTAAAATTCAACTTATTTTAATGATACATATTGAAGATAACTAAAGTCCCAAAATCAATACGTTCAAATTTACCATATTGATGTGATAGTTGATGCTTCACTGAAATTTAATCACTACCTGCCCCAAGAATATGATATGGTCCCAAAGGTATACGTGTTTTTTGAAATATTCATATGTCTACAGTTGTATATTGAATTAATTATATGACTGCTTTTCTGCATTCAAATTATCAAAAATTCTTTATTCACTTAACATTCCATGGTATTATTTAGACTTTTTTTAGCTGCATCATTTGTTAGATTAAGTTCACTTTGCTTTTTTTCTCTTTTTTCCACAACAGTTATAACCACTCAAAACATTGTGGTCCTATAGATTTCTTTGCAAGATATCAAAATTTAAAAAAAATGAAAAAGGAAGGGAAAAGTGTAAATGAAAGCTGCCAAGCACATGAAAATTGCCTTTATGAACTCTGTCTCTTCCTCTAAGCTTTGAAGTTTATCACACTTCTCATATAATTATGGGATTTCGTTTCAGCTCTTCTCAGCGTAATCAATAAAATGTCAAAAAATTGTAGTTTTCACTTCTACATACATATTGGAGTTACAATAATTCAGTGAATTATTATAACCTCAAACACTACTGTTTCCATCTTAAAAAACATTAACTACATAACCCATAAATAAATGTTTCTTTAATGACTACGGTTTTGTTCAGATTTGCCTTTTTAAAATTTCAGTGTTGTAGTTCTACATTAACTTCAGAGGTTCTGTTTTGTAGAATGTAATGGAAATAATTTCTTTGTAATCTCAGAACTGAGCACAAATATAACTTTCTTAGCATTCTTTAGTTGCAATTCCATGAAAATAACAAAAGATAAAGTACATAAATATCTTATTCTGGAAGGCACTAGCCATATTCTATAAACATAATTATTATTCTTTGATCATTGTTGATTTAAAGTCTGTTTTATCAGAGACTAGGATTGCAACCCCTGCTGTTTTTGGTTTCCATTTTCATTATACTTGTATCTGCTAGACATTCTTTTAAATTAAATCAATTTTAATAATATGTATTAAAGATAAAAAAATTTTAGATTATTTACATGTCCTTTATTCTCATTCATGGAGTACCTTAATATTTTTCCTGCATATTATCAAATTGTATGATATTTATTCTTATGTTGCTATTTTTAAAACTTCTAGGATTCTCATTTTTAATAAACTTGAAATTCTTTAAAATTGAAATGCTTATTACAAGAACAAATATTAATATTTTGAAAAATTATATTCTTATACTTTTTCAAATTATAAATGACATTCAGAACTCATAAAGTTGGAAACCATAATAGGGCAAGGAGACACCTTGACTCCCATTTCTTAGATTTTTCCTTTCCTGTTGACCTTTTCAGGAAAAAGAACGTGGAACACGTTCCATTCTAATGATGTGTCCATTTCAAATGCTGTAACCCCGTGATCAGTAACTATTTTAAAAATAAAGGAAGTACAGCATGTTCTTTAACGGAGAAGAAAATGCATGCTAACATATATTCCTGTCTTAGTCTTGATATTTTTTCTACTGGAATCACAACCATTATTACAAAGGTGTGAAATTGTGCACACCTGGTTTATATTTAATGAGGAAAATAAGTAGAGTTTCCTCTTAACAAATACTTCACAATAAAATAAATGAATTATAGAAAATGAAGATGAAAAATAACTTTTAGTTAAATAAACTTTTTATTTTATGGTAATTTTTAGAATACAGATTTGATACTTTATATCTTTGCATCATGATATGACACTAAGAATAAGCTTCTGAGAAGGCATTTTCTTCAGGCATGCTCAAAAGCATACATGTGTAGACATGTCAGAAATCTTGTAAACAAAGTAGCTGAGTGGCACAAATGTGTAAGGCCTCCTAATTCCTAC
Source organism: Homo sapiens (assembly GCF_000001405.40). NCBI lineage: Eukaryota > Metazoa > Chordata > Mammalia > Primates > Hominidae > Homo > Homo sapiens. The sequence continues at coordinate 60,921,256 of NC_000012.12, read as the reverse complement.
TATGACATAAGCCAAGTCTTGTTTTATGTCTTTAATTTTTCAACAACTCAGAATCTGATGTTTTGCAATATTTTGATGCAATGTTTACTGAGTCAAGGATTTGTTTTACTCATTTTTTAATGCATTTGTAATTTCTATGCATTTAATTTACTTTAAAAAATCCTTTAAAAAATAATTACAATCTACAAACAGAAAAGTGCACAGTCATGCTCCTTCCCAGTTACTTCACTCTCCAGACATAACCGTCATCCTGAATTACCTCACCATGATTGTTTTCTAACTTTATCAAAAATGCTTTAACACGAGATATACATTTGAGTATGGGTCTTTTCTTTAATACATGTGTGTGAATTTTATTCTTGTTGTCTGTAAATATAATTTGTTATTTCTTATTGTTATATACTATTTCATGTATGAACAAACCACAATTTATATGTAGCAGTACCTACTTTATCTGATATTTTGCATTCTGCAGTCTCAGTTACGTGTGGCCAATCATGGTCTGAAAATATTACAGTATTTAAATAGAGAAAAACGGAGATGATATTCACATAATATTTATTACAGTATATTGTAATAATACTTCTATTTTAATTATTAGCTATTGTTGTTAAGTTCTTATTGTGCCCAATTTAAAAACTAAAGTTTATTATAGGTAAAATCCATATAGAAAAAAACATAATATACATAGGGTTTAATACTATCCATGGTTTCAGGCATCCACTGGAGGCATTGGAACATATCCTCCATGGAGAAGCTGGAACCACTGTATCCCTTCTGTAGTTGATGAACATTGAGAATGAACTAATAAATAATGTTGCTATGAAAATTCTTATATCTATTTCATTTCTTTTAGTGCACTTGTACATATTTATAAATATAAATACAGTCATGCATCACTTAACAATGAAGATATGTTCTGGGAAATTTGTCATTAGCTGATTTTGTCATTGAGTGATCATAGACTGGACTTACACAAGCCTAGATGGTATAGCCTACTATACACCTAAGCTATATAGTATAGTCTATTGTTCCTAGGTTACAAACCTCTATGCATATTGTTGTACTGAATATTGTAAGTTGTAGGCAATGGTAACAAATAGTAAGTATTTGTGTATCTGAATAGATCTAAACATAGAAAAGAAACAGGAAAAACATAATATTATAACCTTTTGGGATGACTGTCAAATATGCAGTCCATCATTGACCAAAATGTCATTATGTGATATATGACTCTCTATATATAATATATATAATTTTTTTATTCATAGGGAAGGCATCTGCCTTAGTGGATACTGTCAAAAAGTTTTAGTAAGTGATTTTACTCGTTTATAGTTTTACAAATAGTATACGAGAGATAAAATTGGTTCACAACTCACCAATGCTTGTTATACATAAGTATAAAAAAAGGTTATGAATACCTTTTTATATACTTATATATTTATATAAATTTATGGGGTACAAGTGCAATTTCATTACATGCATAGACGGTGTAATGGTCAAGCCAGGGTCTTTAGGGTACCCATCACCTGAATAATATGCATTGTTCTCATTCATCAATTTAGAATATCCTCTTAAAATAATTAATGTTCAAGTGTTTGCTCATTTTTTATAGAGTTCCCTGAGACTTTCTTATTGCTCTATAGGAGTTATTTACATATTCTTCATAGTACTCCTTTGTCATAGATAGGCATTACAAATAACTTTTTCTCTGTAATACCATCTCTTAATGGATCTTTTGATTAACAGAAGTTATTAATTTTATTAAAGTCAAATTAATCAATAGGTTCTTTTGTGGTTAGTACATTTTGGGTGATGTTTAAAAAATATTTGCCTTCCCTAAGAATAAAAAGATATTCTGGGTTTGTTTTGTTTTTTTTTTTTGCTTTTTTGTTTTTTTTTAGAAGCTGTATTGTAACTTTTGAACTTAGATTTATGATCTACCTGGATTTCTTATATGTTAGGAGTCCAGATTGTTTTTTCCCTCACTTTGACTATTGTTATAGTCTGAATGTCTGTCCCCTAAAAGACTTATGTTGAAATTCAATTGCCATTGTTACAATATTAAGAAGTTAGACCCTAAAGACATGATTGAGCCACAAGGGCTCTCAGCTCACAGGTGGGAATGGTGCAGTTATAAAAGGGCAAATTCAGCATTCTCTTGCTCTCCCTTGTCCTTCTATCTTCCACCATGGGATGATGCAGCAAGAAAGCCCTCACCAGATACTGGTGCCTTTATCTTGGACTTCTTAGCCTCCAAAAGTATAAAGAAATAAAATTTTATTCTTTATAAATTACCAAGTTTCAGGTATTTCATTTTACCAACACATATGGGCTAAGACATTATCCAACTGATTCAACAACACTTACTCAAAGACTACACTTTTTTCACTGCTTTACTAGAGGACTGTACTCATAAATTCAGTGACCATATGTGGGTTAGTTTTTGTATTCTCTATTAGGTTTTACGCCCATTTGTTTCTTTTTGACCAATAGCATCTTGTCTTTATTACACTACCTTTATAGAAAACTTTAATGTAGAAGCATAAGTCCTAAGTTTGTCATACTTCTTTAAAACTAACTTATATATTTTTGTCCTATGGCATTCCATGGAAATATTTAAATCAGTTTGGCATTTTTCATATATCACAAAGCCTGAAGTCTTTGGGAATATGTTCATTACATAGTTCAATTTGAGAAAAACTAACAACATCTTTGTAATATTGAGTCTTCTAGTCTATATAGATGGCATATACTGCTATGTATTTGGATCATTTTAATGTTAATATTGCTTTTAGAAGTTGTCCTACACACTAATCATAAATATTTAACCTATTACAATTTCATTTAATTAGTATCTTTTATATCTTGTTGAATGATATAAAGATGTTAGAATACTATATCACTATGTAGATTATTTTTCAGAAGTTTTGTGCATCATTTGTTAGATGTATTCCTACATATTTGGTGTTTAATGATGCTACTTGATTATACCCACCTAGATTCCACAGATTAAAAATAAAAAGAATACTACAAAATGCCAACAGAATAAATAAAAGGGAAACTAAAGATGAATACATCATAGTGAAACCAGAAAATACTAAATATAACAGTGATATTAACATTAGCCAGAAAAAAACGGTATTATTTTCAATCAGTGGCAAACCAAAAACTGACACCTCATCGGAAACCATGAAAGCCAAATTATGTGATGTGATGTTTTCAATGTTCTCAAGGAAAATAATATGCCCTGTCATTTTCAGACCCTAAAATTTAAGATAGTTTTATACAAGTAGATTCTCATTAATGGATATTATTGACATGTAATTCAAGAAGATTATCTCAAGTCTAAGTCCTGAGATGCAGAAAGAATAAAGAGCAAGAAAGTGGTAAGTGTACCTAAATAAAATTAACCAAAGCTTTGTAAACAAAATTAATAATACAGTAAAGCAATAACAAACTTAGTGAGATTTAAAAGTAAGAGTTTTAAAATAAAATAATAATAGCACAAAAGTCTTTATGGAGTAAATGAAGTATTCTAGCATCTTTATATTATTCAACAAGGCATGAAAGATAGTAATTAAATAAGGTCTTAATAGGTTAAATATTGATGATTAGTGTGTAAGACAACTTCTAAAAGAATGTTTACCTACCAATTGAATACAAGGAAATGTGTGGAATAGTTTAAAAAAATACAAAATAAAGCAAATTAGCAGTGGGGAGAAAAGTTAAAGAACAAATTGTAGACATCAAAGAATACACTGGTGTTACATTCAACTATATCCATAAATAAAATACATACAATATGTGTGTAATGCTTCATTTACAAGATAGATTGTCAGTCTGGCTAAACATATCTAGCAATATAAGGAAAACATTTACAATATTAAGAAACAAGAAGAGTCAAGTAAAAAGGTAAAAAATAATATTCCAGGCAAATTAAGTATAATTTTTGTTATACTTAACATTGATAAGCCAGCTTCAAGTATAACAAAAAATATAAGGCAAGAAAATTTAATTATATAGATGGCCAATTTATATTGATTAAAGGTTTAATTAATGAGAAGTATATAATAAATTTAATTTGGTTTACACTTAATACATTGGCTTCAATTTTGTATTAAATTGAATTTGACAGAATTAAAAGGAAAGGCATACTAAATTATAAATTTGATTTTTGTTGTTCACTGAACAAAAAGCTAAAAGTTAGTATTTATGTAGAATATTTAAACAATTTACTGAATATATTTGACTCACATGATATATAAAATACTGCATAAATGATGTGCAAAATATTCATTTTAAACACATGGAACATTAACAAAAACAGACCAAATAATGAGCCATGAAGAAAATGCAAAGTTTCAAACATCAAAATATTATGGAATATTATCTGACCAAAATGTAATTGTTATGACTCAATAACATAAAAATATTTAAACATACAAATGTTAAAATGTCAACCATTTTGAAAGTATACTTTGAAGTAACCTGTGGGTCAAACAAGAAACTATAATAAAATTAAGAAAATATTTTAAGCTAAAAGTTAATAAAATATAGCTCATACAAAATCATACTGGATGTGGAACAATATGGAATAGATTGCAATAGCCCAACCATCCCATTGAAAACAAACAAAAATCTGGACAAATTAGGAAAATTATTTATTTAAAGGCAATAGATTGCCAAAGCATTAATGAAGATTTAGGCAAATAAACCTCCATAGAAGGAATGGGGTGGTGTACTGTAGCTTTCTTTAGAAGCAATCTGTCTCTTTTTTTTTTTTTCTTTGCTAGTGATTTTTACTTTACTGCAGCCAAAGTCCTATATTAGTTAACCAAATATGTGGATTTGTAATTTCAAACCTACCAAATGCATTTATAATACAATTGTGTGCTTATAAGAAATGCAACACATATTTCCTTCTTAAATTTGCTAAAACCACAGGGTTGACACTAGTTTTCTTCTTTTTTTTTTTTTTTTTTTTTTTGCAGAACACATCCTAGGAAAAGATACGTTCTTTAGGTAGCTATAAAATTTAAACAATTTCAACCAAATTTACTTCCCAGGTATTTACATTCACAAAAAGCTCTATGTAAAAGGATAGGTAGATAGTATCACTGTCCATTTGGATTTGGTATTTATGGAAGGTTAAGTCACTATGCCCATATAAAAACTTTTATTTATATGGAAAGAAATTTCAAGTTTCTGTTCTGCCTGTTCTAATGGTCTGTTTTGATTATTGGCCAGAAGCTGCGAATCTAAGCTGGGCCCAGGCACAGGGCCACTGAGAGGAACAGAGAAACCAGTCAAGATTTGGGGGGTCATACAAGGCAGGAGTGATATATTGAAGAGTTGAGGGGCCTAAAACAGTTGGACAACTTCCATATCATTTAGGACTGCCAGGAAAAAATCAAGACATTGAGTTACATTTTAAATTTAGACAATAATTTTAAAAAATCATGCATGTGTCGAATACCACATGGGTATTTATACTGAAAATGAATTCATTATTTATCTGAAATTGAAATTTTAGTGGGCCTTTGGTTTTTGTTGTTGTTTTTCCCCTTTGCTTAACCTGGGAACAATAATCTTAAGACTTTAAGATTTGCTACATCCCCAAGAGTTGGGGAGACAGAGAAACAACAAATGGATAAATAGAAAGCACCAAATAAAAAAAAATGCAGTAAACAATTATTTGTAGTATATGTTGTAATGTCTGAAAAATTTGACATTATTTACGAAATAGGAATAAAATGAAATAGGAGAGCAAGAAGAAGTCACTAATCATTCCACAAGTCAAAACGTATGGCAATACTTTCGTCTTAATAAGCACATGCCAGTAACCATCAAAATTAGCCACAATAAAGAAAACACAGTGAATACATCTGAAGGAAAAAAAAGTCTTCTAAAAATCCTGACAATAAGGCTAATGAACTAAAACAAATACTGCTTCACTCAATATTTTGCTATTTACTTAATCCTATTAAATATCCAAGATAAATATCTTCACTAACTTGCAAATAAATTTTAAAAATTGAATATTTGTTTTTATTTGAATATAATTTTTAGCATAGAAAGCAACTTAATAGAAATGAAATGAAAGTAGTAATATTTATTTGAGACAAGAAAACATCTGATTTCTATTATAAAAAATGTTATCCTCATAAGGTTTTGTTTTTCTCATTCTCTAAGTGCCTTACATGTAGGATTCCATTCCTCTCTGTAATAGGTGAAAGTGTATCATGTTTAGGTACTTTTAGTAACTTTTCTATGCTATCTGGCATCTTCTTACACACACACACATGCACACACACACACACACACACAGAAAAATATAATGGCACAGAAACTGCCAAGTAGGAACCGACTATTCCAAATGATTTTGAACTACCCTTTAACCATAGTTCTCACAGATTTACAGAGATCGACTACTCAAATTCCCAATGACAGTTCTAGAAAACAAAACCATAGTTCATTTATTTAAGCTAAATTTGAAGTTGGAAGATCGTTTGACTAGCTTCTGGGCATTTGATGTGGTTTTGTACCTGGCATCAAAAATAAGTATGTAACAAATATTATGTACTAACTAGGTTTTCAAGAACCATGTATAATATTCAGCACTAGAAGCTGATGAGTAACATGTAAAGTCAAAGAGTAAGGAAAATTGACAAATTGGATTGAAAACTGATAAAGAGCCAAAGATTTTAAGAGATGAAGGTCAAATTTCTAAAAACAACTACCCTTGAGCATAGTTTGCCTGGGAGGGCTGAAATTTATAACATATAGTGTGCAATTATAATGTCCAAAATCACACTGATATCAATTAGCCATGATTTATGCAACCTAAGAAAGATTACCTATAATATTCCTGAAGGACACTCTATAATACAAATTCCATTTATAGCTTCTTCTTATAACTCTTTTTTGTGGTCCTCTTACAAGTGAGGCCCTGTTGTGTGTCCTGAGATCACAACAGTAAAAGTCAGAGAATGTTCCTGTCTCCATGGGTCTCTTCTCAATGAAGAGAGACAGACATCAAACTCTTGCACAAGTGACTGTAATTGACAATTCCAGCAGTGAAGAATATCAAGAAGAAAATGAAGAGTTAAATGAGATAAAGCCCTGAAGGTGGGGCAGGTGTGGGGCATTACTTTAGATAATGTGTTCAGGAACACTCTCTCCAAAAAAAAAGTAACTCTGACGTTGAGTCTTAAATAATGACAGGTGCTCAGCTATGAAAAAATAATAAAAGAAAACATTGTGGGGCAGAAAGCTGGTCCTTAGGCACAGGAGTTGCTATGGTCTTGATATCAAACCACAACTGTTCTACCTTTCCACCAGGATTTTCACTTATGTATATTCACTTCTGATAGTTATTACCATTTTATTTTAGATAAACTTTGTGGACTCATGTCTCTAGAAATACAATTATAACTCTTGCAGTGGCAGTTGCCTTGTCTCTCCTGCTATTCATCAGCCAGTGTGTCGTGACTTGGTGACTGATTGAATTGGAAAATGTTGGGAGAGACTTTTTGTACTAAAGAATCAGAGAATATCAAAATTAATTTCTATTTTTTTAATATAATGGTGTTTCAAGTTTGAAAGAAAAGAAGAACATTTACATTTACAAAAATGAGAGATTGCGGCCAGGTGCACTTTGGGAGGCTGAGGCAGATGAATTGCTTGAGCCCAGGAGTTTGAGACCAGCCTGAGCCACATAGCAAGACCCGTCTCTACAGAATTACAGAAATTAGCCAGGCATGGTGGCACACGTTTGTGGTCCCAGCTATCTGGGAGGCTGAGAAAGGAGGATTGCTTGAGCCTGGAAGGAGAAAGTTGTGATGAACGACTTTGTGCTACTGCACTCCAGGTTGGGTGACAGGCTGAGACCCTGTCAAAAAAGAGAGAGAGAGAGATGGCAACCTATAATTTCAACCTGTAATTTATTAAGACAATTTTTATTTTATAACTTATTCTATCCTTTGTTTCTCAAATACCTCTATTTTTAAAGATATTTCTTATTTAAAACAAATATATTTCCCATTTCTTATAGACATGATTATTTAATACTAGAGTTCATTTTTATTTAACTTTCACTTATAGGCCTATTGGGAAATTCATCCATAGACATAATGGACAAATCTATATAACTGACACAATATTTTTCAATGGAAGTTAAGTTTAAGAATGGAAAACAATGACAATAATTTTTTTAGAAATATCAACAGCCTCATATTCTATATATCCTCCAATCTTATTTTTAGTCAATAAATTTATTTAATCCCTGACTCCAATGTTTCTAAGGCAAGAAAAAATAATTACAAGTGATATAAAGGAGAACATTTATTTAAAATTAGTCAGAAGTATAAAGAAATCTGAAAAAATTATCGTATTTTGTATTACATAATATAAACAAGTGGAAAAATCATTTTCCTGAAACTCCCTCAATGCCACTCATATATAAGAAAAAACTACAATCAATAATGTGTAGGGATTCTTTAGCTTGTCAGTTTTATTGAGAAAGTTGTCAGCCTTGAAATTTGTTTTCTCTCACTTCTCATATATGATTATCAATTTCCTAATATTTTCTTCTCCTAAATTTGTTTCTTTGTCACTTTTCCTCTATCTTTATTCTAATTGCACTTACTTAGAACTTATCATTTCTCATCTATTTGTCATCAAGCTGCTGGTGTTGTCGTATCAACTCCCAATTCCAAATCTGTTCTCCATAGCACTAGCAGAAGACTCCCTCTGTATAAAAACCGATTATGTTCTAGTCCTGCTTAGATTTCCTCAGTAGTTTCACCGACTCCACAAATTGAAATCCAGGACTTTTACTGTTAAATGCAAGGATACTCCTAATTTGTAAAAAACCATTACCTAGATAAATTATTTTTCCCCTCAAATCATAACCTATGGTCCCCTAAGCATTCACAGGTAAATTAGCAGAGGTCCACAAGATCCAGGAGAGTAATAAATTTTCTAGATGACAACTGAAAACCTTGCATTAACTAGAAAATTTAATGTCTTAACTGTGTGCCAGAGGATATAATAATGACATCAAGTTAGTTCCCTAAGGAAATCAAATCCCATCGGCACCTGACTCTAAAGATCTAAACAGCCCTCCGATCAGTATGGGAACCCCAAATCCCACAGGGCAAGATGTGGAGTCTGTGTCTGCCCCCGCCCCCACCACCACGTCTTCTCTCCTCCCCATTCTCAAAGTCCCAACTTCTCTCCAGGCTGTTTCTTTTTTTTTTCTATGACTGTAAACATAGATAGTGATTTATTTTGTTAATAGTAAGATAATGATGAGTAACTTAGTAGCACATTTCTCCTGTTTACACTCGGGGATTTTTTTTTGTTTTCTGATAGCAGAATAAAGACAGATCATTTCAGAAAATAAAATTATAACAATGACATCAATGATGGGGTTGGTAAAAGTATTATGGAATCACAATTCTTTAACTGATACTTTAGATTTAAGAAATCAGAGAAGATTTGTGGAGAAGTCATATTTAAGCAATAATTTAAAAGATATATTGATACTAGGTAGAAAAAGTAAGAAAATGGTGGTATGATGCAGCACATTCTAAAAAAATAAAACCATACTTTTGAATAAATAAGAATACACCGTTATGTATGTGTACAGATTGTTTTTACGCTTCTCTCTATAAGTGTCTTACCTTATAATAATTTATATTAATGTTACATAATTATAAATTAAATGTTCAAAATTTCAAGCATTGATTAGAGAAAGGATATACAAATTCTAGATGGAGTATAGTAGTCTTCTTTGTAAATTAGGATAACATTATTGAAGGCTTCTTAAAAATACATTTCTATATAAAATTTCATAATAATTAAATAAGATAATATACTTTAAAACATTTTAAGATTAAGACAAATTTTTAAAAATATATCATATTAATAAGCAGAGCAATAACATTTTACAATATGTCAAAACTAAAATTATTTACTCTTTTAATAGGAGAAAATTTATATTTTCCCAGTAGGTTATTATATAAATACCCCTTTAACTTTGATTTCTATATACCCATCTTAATATCTCTACAACTTTTCAAAATTTAATTATAGTAGTTTAGTAGCTAAGTCGTCAGTAAATATTTAGAAAGAAATGCAACCTAGGGAAAGGTAAACATAAAAAGTAAAAATATTTGCTGGTGAGAAGATATGTTTAAAATGAAAAATGAAGAAAAGTCAAAAACTGTTAAACTGGACTTCACCTTTGGATGGATACAGGGTTTGATGAAGATGGTAAAAACACAGAGAACTACAAATGGAAAAGAAAAAAGACAAAAGGGATTTGTAAATCAACTAATTTACTTTTCAAATGAAAACTAATTTATTTTATTTAAAGTGTTCAGGCACCTTTATTCTACTGGTATTTGTTTTTCCAGCTCATTAAGTTTCTGAATGATTAATCTTTGCTCTCTAAGGGGAAAGAATAAGATTATTTAGTGAAGTGTGGGAGAGCCGAACCCCTCAGGACATAGCTTAATCCAACAAAAGGGAACTCAGAGCTAAGTTTGTCATGACATTCTCAATAACAAAAACAATTATAACATTTCTCATTTATTTTTAGTGTATTATAAACATAGAATGAGACATGCCATTTATCTAGTGATCTGTAATATACACATTTTTTTCAATGTAATATACTCTATTGGTTCATTTTGAATTGGAAAACCAAGGCAAACTTCTTCAAGAAAATAGATCAGAATTAACATAACATAGTTATGCTTTATTTATGAGGAAAAATTAGGAAGTTAGGTTCTTCTCAAAAGGGACATGTTCGGGTAATTGAGGCCTAGATCTGTAAGTGCCATATAAAAATACAATTTTAAAAAGGAATTATTCCTGGTATATTATAAATTAATGCACCTTATTTGACAAATCATAGTCAATAAGTCAAAATGCATTGAATTATCAGAAGTCAATGTCTCCCTACATAGTTAAGGCTTATTTATATATAGTTATTTTCTTACCACTAAGGTTATAGGGATATGAAAGAATAGAGAAACTCTTAGCTAAATACACATTTAGCTGCCACCTTCAAGATATTCAAGCTGAGAGCTTTTTTCTTTCCCATAATGATTACTACCACTTCTTTAAGCCAAGCCATTTCTCAAATAAACAGTAGACTCTATACAAAATTTTCCACTAAATTGTTGTGGCTCAAGCATAAGGATGGCATAGGATTCAAGGATTTTTTTTTCTGTAAACTGTTAATATCCAAGAAGAAACTAAATTTCTTGAGATTTGTAATAGATTGTTATATATGTTTGAAAAATCATTAAGTGCCAGAAACTTAATCAATTGTTTTATACAAATTAACTCATTTGTTAAGCACAAAAAATCTATGATAAAGATCTAGGCGACATTCAAAATTTTTCCAACTGCTAGAATATCAGGTAATGCAGCTGAATGACGCACAGACCATCTAGAACAAGAAGTAACCATAAAGGACTGGTGAGAAGTCATTGGCTTACTGGTCAGATATCCACTGATGGTAAGTACTAGTATTATCCCCACTTCAGGGATAAGAAACTGAAGCATAGAGAGATGATGATGTATTTTACCCAATGTCAAATGGCTGGCAAGTGGTAAAGCCGGAATTCAAATGAGACAGTTTGATCCATGAGCTTGTGCTCTGCACTCCCATATCAGCCCTGTATTCACCTTTCTAGACCTAGCCAGCAGAGGCAGAGGTAGAGTTAGGCACTGTTTAATATCCTCCTAATGTATAAAAAGTATCTTGTCTGTATGAGTTTTGTTGACTGATAGTATCTTTCCTTACTGAATAAATTAATTTAAAGAGCACGAAGGGTAAATCAGAGACATTAATATGCAATATATTGCTTGTATAGTCCACATTTTTGCTCTGCTAAATTATTGCAATAAACAAGGGTGCTTCAATTATACAAGAATGCAAGCGCACGCAAGAACACAAGTACACAAAATCTAAGCTGCCATATTTTTATCTCTTCTGATTTGTTTTCCTCTAAAACGCTTATTTATGTATACTCAACAATCAAAAAATGTACTGTGCTGCAATTATTCCTTGCCCCATTCTTCAGTTCAATGGTAGGAAAGTTCTTATAGATTAAATCCCAAAATCAGAAATTCCGTTTTGTCCAGAAAAAAAAAATAGTTGTTTTGAGATGAGATTTAGTCAGTTCAATTTCACCCATCAGATCGTCACTGTATCATTATAATGTATTTTTATATGTACAAGGAAGTCATTTCAAGACATGTTGAGACCTATTAAGGGACTCTAAAACAAATTTTCAAAATACCCCTCACAACTGGGCCTATTTCTTGCCTTGTTATAGGTGATTTTTTTTAATGCTCCACTTTTTGATACTTGACACATGACATCATAATCATTGTCAATAATGTTTCAGTCAGCAGAAGTATAACATATATAGCAATATGAACAATAGAGAGCCTTTACCTCTAAATGATGCATGACAAACTCTGCTTTTGGAGGAAAGTAGAAATTAAACTCTTCAGAAGATTCCAGAAATACACACACACACACACATACACACACACACACACACACACACACACACACATATATATATATACACATATATATATATGTGTATATATATATACACATATATATATGTATATATATATATACACATATATATGTATATATATATATACACATATATATATGTATATATATATATACACATATATATATGTATATATATATATATATACATATATATATGTGTATATATATATATATATATTTTTTTTTTTTTTTTAAGGTGGAGTTTCGCTCTTGTTGCCCAGGCTGGAGTGCAATGGTGCGATCTCGACTCACCGCAACCACCGCCTCCTGGGTTCAAGTGATTCTCCTGCCTCAGCCTCCCGAGTAGCTGGGATTACAGGCATACACCGCCTCACCCGGCTAATTTTGTGTTTTCAGTAGAGGTGGGTTTTCTCCATGTGGGTCAGGCTAGTCTCCAACTCCCGACTTCAGGTGATCCCACCCACCTCGGACCAGAAATATTTTTAAGTTTTTGAGAAACTTCTGGGTGCTTTAAGCTTTACAAATGCAGGTTAGGTTTCCTTCTGTGACTATATTTCATGAATTCTAGATTATTTCTTTTCTTACCCTAAGGACCACAGCTCATTTTTTAATGGGTTATAAAACTGGAATTAGGATTCAGTAGAATCTTTCTTAGGATTCGATGGAATACAAGATTAAGAAAAAATGGATGCAATGACAAATTTAATCAAATATTTATCATATTTCTTACACCATTTCTTCTGTTGTCCTTAAAGGACTTATTTTGGAAAAGGATATAATTCTTCTTCATGGTCTGTTCTTGACTTTACAAACATGAGGAAAGATCCTGTATTTTTCCCGTTATGCTACCAGATCAACCTGGATGTTTTTACTGTTGATGTCAATAGTCAAAAATTTTAATATTTTAAAATTTACAAGAACCTTGGAAAAGATCTAGTCAAGAGCTTTCTGGTCAGTGTCTTATGACATGATACATCAGTTGGACTGTGACTGGTTTCCAGAGATGCCTGTAATGTTGATTCCTCCTAATTTTGACACTGTAGGTGACCAGGAATAGCCAGTGGCTCTATGCCAGGTCTCTCTTACAGAGAACAGCCTTGTCTGATTATCTCATTTTTCTGTGTACACATTCATATTTTCTGCATGTGCCATCAGATGAAAAGGACTGAGAAGCACCGTCTGCAAAATCCCCTATTTATGTGATGAATTTTCTCTAATCTGTTTGGATGATTTTAAAAGCTATGTTACGCATTGATCATGAATGCATGAATTTATATACATCCCTCCGAGTATGTTTTAATGATAATGTTTTTATATACATTTGTTTTTCACTTTCTAGTATTCATTCTACTTCTCTAACATTACATTTGGGCACAATTAACCCAATTCTTACTCTCTTTTATATTTGTTTGGGATTGTCGTCAACTTATCTCTAGGGTTGTGTACTGAATGGTGTAAAGTTAAGCAGATTATCACATCCTTATTGTCACAGTAATAACTCCAGGGTGACTATGCAAATAAAGTCCTCCAATTAGGGTGAACTTGAAGAATTTTATGGGAAGTGCTGGTGCATGGATCTCAGATGTTCTGTCACAAATGTCTAAAGACATATTTGCTACCATTTGAGAAGACAGCCTGAATAGCAGAAGACATATTAGAAGCAACGACAGTTATATGAAGCTTGAGCCCTAACGTCATGAACCTGTAGCCCAAACCATAAGATAAAGCCAATCTCAACTGGCAATTTTCAGTTACTTGTATTGATTAATTTATTTTTTACCAAAATCGGTTTATTTTACATTTCAGTTCTTTGCAACCAAAATACACTAAATATGTAATTTTTGATTTTCTACTATTTAAAGCAATCTTTTTCTTCTATTATCCTAGAGAAAGTTCTGGTAGGATTAGTGGATGACGCTTTTATTAAGGGTTGTTTTTAATATAATATTGGGCCAATATTCCTAGAAATAGGATTCTCATACTCTGAAGAGCCATCCTTCCTGAGCAGTCCAGAGATGAAACTGAATGCCCTAAGAATCTTATAAGGTATGTTAGATCAAGTGAGGGATCTTTTATGTAATTAATATTGCTTAAGATTTATCTAATGTTCTTTTTCTGTTCTGGGGGTCCACCTAGGATTCTAGATGACATTTAGCTATCAGATATCCTTAGACTCTTATTGTCTGTGATATTTTCTCAGACTTATCTTGTTTTTGAGGACTAACAGTTTGAAGAGGGCTAGTCAGATATTTTGTAGAATTCCTCTTAATTGAATTTTCTCATTGTTCATTGTTTTTGCTCATTGTTCAGCTGAGGCTCTGGATTTTTGGAAGGAAGACCATAGAGATAAATTGCCAGTTTAATTATATAACAAGAGCATATACTATCAACATGCTTTATCACTGTTAATGAGAAACTTAATTACCTGGCTTTGTTTCTTTAGGTAGGATTTGGGTTGTTTCCATTACCTTGGATTGTTTTCCATATCTTTCCATATCTAGTGTAAATAATGTTGCAAAGAACATGAGAATACAGATAACTCTTTGAAATGCTGATTTTATTTACTTCGAATATATGCTGGAAGTGAAATTTTTGATGTGGGATATATACTTACAACACCTGATACAATGTCAATGCTACATAAATAGTTGTTATACTGCATTGTTTAGGGATAATGTCAAGAAACTTAAGTATGTATATGTTCGGTACAGATGCACTATCCTTTGGTTAGAATACTTTTGATCCATGGTTGGCAGAATCCAGGGATGTGGAACTCATGGATACAAAATTCCTGGATATGGAGGGTTGATTTTATTTAATAATATTGCATTGCATAATGGGACTTTGGTAAAAGGCAGATTTTGGATACTTTTACCATACAAGCACACAAAGAAATGTAAGTATGTGAGATGATGAATATGTTAATTTGCTTGACTATAGTAATAACTTTACTATATATATACACATCCAAACATGTTGTACACTTCAAATTTATATAATAAAAAACTTATTCTATTGTTACTTCAATTGCAATTACCTTTCCATATATTTTCTCTGTATTAAAGCTGACTGTACTGAGTCAGCCAGCTTAGTGCACCTAGTATACAATTACAGATGTGGAAAATTCTTCCTTTCTTCCCTTTCCAATTAATAAGGGATATCTGATTGTTAGGACTTTTCAGGGGAAGAGTACATTTGAAACATCTTGACATATGGTAACATCTGTCTTGTTCTGTGTCACAATTTGTTTCCTATTGTCTTAGATTTTCTAAGTTTGTTAAAGGACATTGTACTGAAAATATATGTAAAGAAAGTAATAGCAATAACACCAAGCTGACTTGAGAATACAAATATCTGCCTGTCAGTACGAAAGTAATTTCACAAAAATACAGGAACCAGTAAAAGAATTCAAGCCCTGAAGATTAAATATAGTTGGAAATGAAGATGCATACTCTTCATAGTAAAATGCAAGTTTCTATGTCATCTATCCCCATGGTATTAAAAAATCACAAGACTTGTTTGGGTTCCTTAAATTTTGAAGGTAACATATGTCTCAATTGGATGTTGCACTCCATTGATCCAAAAGATTTTGAGTTTTGAACTAAAACTAAAAAATTATCTTTAAGGTAATCCCAAACTGTAATTCAAGCTGTCTTGTCCCTTGACTTCTATACCAGTAAATTAAATTGTTGGATAATCTTAGGTACTTGCAGTCAACAGTATATTTGACTAATAAAAATATTGTTCAAGGATAAATTGATGGACCTCTTAGAATCGGTCCAGAATGTGATAGTATTGTGCCTCATGTGAGTATACACAAAAGTGCCTCCACTTTGAGGAGGCTCTCAATAATTGGGTGTTACTCGCTGTTACTATCAATTCATTTCTATTCTCTGAGTGTTGCTTCATGTACTAATGAATAATAATTGTCAACCATCACTCAAATGGAATTTATGCACAGGCTCAATATATTACTTCTCAAAAAAAGATCACATTCTGAGCCAGAAATTTTCTTCCAGATTACTACAGAGAAATAATTTTTCTTTTACCAAGTGGGGCAAGGAGTTACAGAAATGAAAACCACAGGATCTCCCAAGTTACTGCCTGATAATGTTGCCATATCCAATAACCAAAGTGAATGGAAAACTATTATCATTTCATAAAGTAAGGAAAAAAAAAACAAGAGAAGTCTACCTCTTAAGAATAAAGTTTCATTTATTCTCTTCATATGTAAAGTAATGATATCACTGATATATTGGCTGAAGAGAATTCTTTAAAAAGTAGTAGAAAAAGAAAGTTTCAAATACCTGTGAATGCCATAGAAAGAGCCTTAGAAACAAGAAATGTTCAACATATTTATCTTGTCATTTTTTATTCCTTGCTGTGCTAGAATCATATGATTTTATAATTAATATATCTTCTCCATTTGGTTTAAACTTTCTCCTCTACACCCATTTAATAGAGGGTGACTTGACTACACATAACATTTATTTAGTCAAGGGTGACTTGACTACACATAACTTTAACATTTAGTTTATAAACTGTTAATCTTTAATGTAATTGTAAGAGTTCCAGATGAGGCAATGATTTGACCCAGATTTCATGAACTCAAACCTGAATATGGTAACTAATAATATTTCAAACTGACCTTTTTGTGGAGAGGAATGAGCTTATTTAGTTGTAAGAGAGACAAGTCTTTATGATACAAAGCTTTTTGTTAGAAGTACAGGAGTATTTTGTCAAGAACTGTGAAGATGCTATGACGTCACCCAGACTTGCTGTTATGTACTCTCTCTCTCTCTCTCTCTCTCTCTCTCTCTCTCTCTATATATATATATATATATGAATACTACAGAAATATGAGTCACCTTGATTCTTTCTTTTTTTCTGATAAATTCAGATCAACAGCAAGAGTAACAAGAGTAGCATGGCAGCATTGATCTCCACTCCTAGATCCCCACGAGTGACAGGAGAAGGTAAATGGGAAATTTTTGTAAACAGGAAGTTTTGCCTTGCAGAGACAGGAGGAATAATAATGGATTTTCTCTGTTTTTACAAGAGAACTTGGAAAAAGTTTGTGGAAAATGGAATTAAAAGCTAAAAATTCAAATACAAACTATTTATCTACATGAGTTCCATTGAATTCAAGACATTTTTATAGGCAACGATATCAGCCATTTAGTCCACCCCTAAAGAACTGAGGATCCTGGAAGTTTAACCATGTCAATGTGCTCTTTTTTACATTATTAAGTGAAGAAAAATGTTTTTTTTTTTCAGAAGAGAAAACAAAAAGAGCCAGAGCAAGTCAAATCAGGATTGTAATTTAAATATATAATGATTTCCCATCAAAACTCTGGCAAAATTGCCCTCGTTTGATGACAGAATTGAGCAGGACTCTCTGGTAAAGGTTTCCTGAGTGCTTTTCTTCTAAGGCTTTGGCTGATTTTCTCAAAACACTTTCATAGTAAGCTCATGTTATTGCCTTTGACCCCCTAGAAAGCCAACAAGCAAAATGCCTTGAATATCCAGTAAAACTTTTGCCATGACCTTTGCTCATGACCTGTTTGTTTTTATTTAATTGGACCACATGTGTGTCCGGCTTGCCATTACTTTGATTATGCTTTTTCTTCAGGATTGTAGTGGTAAAGTCATGTTTCATCTCCTGTTCATTCCTTGAAGAAACGCTTCAGATCATTTTTTTGTAATTTTTATTTTTTGTGAGTACATAGTAAGTGTATATATTTATCAGGTACATGAGAGGCTTTGATACAGGCATTCAATGTAGAAGAATCACATCATGGAGAACAGCGTATCCATTCTCTCAAACATTTATCCTTTGTGTTACAAACAATCCAACTACACCCTTTACTTACTTTAAAATGTACAATTAAGCCATTATTAATTATAGTCACCCTGTGTGCTATTAAATAATGGGTCTTATTCATTATTTCCAGCTAATTTTTTGTACCCATTAACCACACCCACCTCCTTGTAGCTCCTGGTAACTATCCTTTACATTAGGCTCTGGTAACCATTCTTCTACACTGTCAATGAGTTCAACGGCTTTGATTTTTAGATCCCATAAATAAGTGAGAACACGTGATGTCTGTCTTTCTGTGCCTGGCTTATTTCACTTAACATAATAATCTCCAGTTCCATCCATGTGTTGCAAATGACAGGATTTCATCCTTTTTTATGGCTGAATAGTGCTTCATTGTGTATATGTACCATATTTTCTTTATTCTGTTGATAAACACTTAGGCTGCTTTCAAATCATCACTGTTGTGAACAGTAGTGCTGCAACAAACATAGGAGTGCAGGTATCTCTTTGATATACTGATTTCCTTTCTTTTGTGTATATACCCAGCAATAGGATTGCTGGATCATATGGTAGCTCTAATTTTATTTTTTTCAGGAACCACCAAACTTTTCTCCATAGTGATTGTATTAATTTACATCCTCACCAATGGTGTATAAGGATTTCCTTTTCTCCACATCCTTGCTAGCATTTGTTATTGCCTGTATTTTGGATAGAAGCTATATTAACTGGAGTAAGTTGATATCTCATTATAGTTTTGATTTGCACTTTACTGTTGATCAATAATGTTCAACACCTTTTCATATACCTGTTAGGTATTTGTATGTATTCTTTTGAGAAATGTCTAATTAAATCTTTTGTCCATTATTTAAAAACTTTTAGGTTCAGGGGTACATGCACAGATTTGCTATATATGTAAACCCACGTCACAGGGGTTTACTGTAGATTTTTTCATCACCTAGATACTAAGTCTAGTACCCTATAGTTATTTTGTTTTTCTGATTTTCTTCCTCTTTCCACCTTCTGCCCTCAAGTAGGCCCCAGTATCTGTTGTTGCCTGCTTTGTGGCCATGAGTTCTCATCATTTAGCTCCCACTTATAATTGAGAATATGCAGTAGTTTTCTGTTCCTGTGTTAATTTGCTAAGTATAATGTCCTCTAGCTTCAACCAAGTTTCTGCAAAAGATAGGATCTTGTTCTTTTTTATGGCTGTGTAGTGTTCCATTCATATATATGTACTACAATTTCTTTATTCAATCTGTCATTGATGAACATTTAGGTTGATTCCATGTCATTGCTAATGTGAACAGTGCAACAATGAACACTTATGTGCCTGTACCTTTATGGTAGAATGATTTATATTCCTCTGGGTATATAGCCCATAATGGGATTGCTGGATCAAATGGTAGTTCTGTTTTTAGCTCTTTGAGGAATGACCATACTGCTTTCCACAATGGTTGAACTAATTTATACTACAACCAATAGTGTATAAGCATTTTTTTTTACCCCGCAACCTTGCTAGCATCTACTTTGACTTTTCAATAATAGCCATTCTGACTGGCGTGAGATGATATCTCATTGTGAGTTTGATTTATATTACCCCAATAATCAGTGATATTGAGGTTTTCTTCATCTGTTTGTTGCCCACATGTATGTCTTCTGAAAATTACCTATTCATCATTTACCCACTTTTTAATAGGGTTGTTTTTCTCTTGTAAATTTGTTTAAGTTCCTTATAGAAGATAAATATGAGACCTTTGTCAGATGCATAGTTTGCAAATATTTTCCCCCATTCTCTAGGTTGTCTGTTTATTCTGTCGATAATTTCTTTTGCTGTGCAGAAGCTCTTAACTTTAATTATATCCCATCGTCATTTTTTGCTTTTGTTGCAATTGCTTTTGTCATTTTCATCACAAAATCTTTGCCTGTTTCTATGTCCAGAATGATATTGCCTTGGTTGCCTTCCAGAGTCTTTATTGTTTTAGGTTTTACATTTAAGTCTGTAATTTAACTTGAGTTGATTTTTGTATATGGTCTAAAGAAGGTGTTCAGTTTCAATCATCTGCATATGGCTAGCTAGTTATCCCAGCACTATTTATTGACTAAGGAGTTGCTATGGTTTGTCTTTGTGTCTCCACCCAATTCGCATCTAAAATTGTAATCCTCAAGTGTCAAGGGAGAGATCTGGTGGGAAGGGATTGGATCATGGGAGCAGTTTTCCCCATGGTGTTCTCAGGATAGTGAGTGAGTTCTCACGAGATCTGATGGTTTTATAAGGGGCTCTCCCCACTTCCATCACCACTCTCTTTCCTGCCTCCATGTAAGATATGCCCTTCCACAGCCCTGCAAAACTGTGTGTCAGTTAAACTCCTTTTCTTTATAAATTACCCAATCCCTGGTATGTCTTTATAGCTGTGTCAAAATGGACTGAAACAAGACTCCTCTTCGCATTGCTTGATTCTGTCAGCTTTGTCAAAGATCAGGTGATTGTAGGTATGCAGTATTATTTCTGGGCTTTCTATTCTGTTCTAATGGTCTACGTGTCTGTATTTGTTGCAGTACTATGATGTTTTGGTTACCATAGCCCTGTAATATGGTTTGGAATCAGATAACGTGATGTCTTCAGCTTTGTGTTTATTTGTTTGTTTTACTTAGGATTGCCTTGGGTATTTGGGATTGTTTTTGGTTTTATATGAATTTTAAAATAGCTTTTTCTAGCTCTGTGAAAAATGCTTTAGATAGTTTAATAGGAATACCACTGAATCTATAATTTGCTTTGAGCAGTATGGCCATTTTGATGATATTAATTCTTCCTATCCATGAGCACCTGATGCTTTTCCATTTGTTAGTGTCATCCATAATTTTTTTGAGCAGTGTTTTGTAATTCCCACTGTAGAGATATTTCACCTCCCTGGTTAGCTGCGTTCCTAAGCATTTTATTCTTTTTGTGGCAATTGTGAATGGAATTGTGTTCCTGATTCAGCTCTTCTTTGGCTGTTGGTGGTGTGTAGTAGTTGCTATGAAGAAATACCCAAGACTTGGTAATATAGAAAGGAAAGAGGATTAATCGACTCACAGTTCCACAGAGCTGGGATGGCCGCAGGAAACTTACAATCATGAAGGAAGGGGAAGCAAACATGTCCTTCTTCACATGAAGGCAGCAAAGAGAAGTGCCAAGCAAAATGGGGAAAAGCCTTATGAAAGCATCAGATCTTGTGAGAACTCACTATCACGAGAACAGCACAGAGGTAACTTCCCCCATGATTCAATTACTTCCCACCCAGTCTCTCCCACGACACATGGGGATGATGGGAACTACAATTCAAGATAAGTTTTGGGTGGGAACACAGCCAAACCATATCATGGTGTATAGGAATGCTAGTGATTTTTGTATGTTAATTTTGCATCTGAAACTTTAATAAAGTTGTTTATTAGCATATAATGCTTTGGGGCTGATACTATGGTGTTTTCCAGATATAGGATCATGTCATCTGCAAACAGGGATAGTTTGACTTCCTTTCCTCCTATGTGGATGCCCTTTATTTCTTTCTCTTTTCTGATTGCTGGGCCAAGGAGTCCAATACTGTGTTGAAAAGGAGTGGTGAAAGAAGCCATCCTTGTCTTGGACCAGGTTTCAAGGGAAATGCTTCCAGCTTTTACCCATTCAGTCTGATATTGCCTGTGCATTTGTCATAGGTGGCTCTTATTATTTTGAAGTATGTTCCTTCACTACTTAACTTATTGAGAATTTTTAACATGAAAGAATGTGGAATTTTAACAAAAGCCTTTTCTGCATCTATTGAAATGATCATGTGGTTTTTGTCTTTATTTCTGTATATGTGATGAATCACATTTATTGATTTGCATAAGTTGCACTAACCTTGCAACCTGGGGATGAAGCCTACTGGATCATGGTTGATTAGCTTTTTGTTGTGCTGCTGGATTGAGTCTGAAAGTATTTTGTTGATGATTTTTGAATCAATGTTCCTGAAGGATATTGGCCTGCAGTTTCCTTTTTTTATTGTCTCTGCCAGGTTTTAGTATCAGGACGACGGTGGTCTCATAGAGTGAGTTGGGGAGAAATCCCTCTCCTTAATTTTTGGAATAGTTTCAGTAGGAATGGCACCAGCTCTTCTTTGTGCATCTGGTAGAATTTAGCTATGAATCTATCTGATTCTGGGCTCTTTTTTGTTGGTAAGCTACTTATTACTAGTTTAATTTTGGAAATCATTATTGGTCATTATTGGTCTGTTCAGGATATCAATTTCTTCTTGGTTCAATCTTGGGAGGGTGTGTGTGTCCAAAGGAAATATAGCCATCCTACTTATTCATATATATCCAAAGGAAGTACAATCAGTGTCTAAAAGAAATACTTGCACTTACTTGTTCATTGCAGCATTTTTCATATTAGTCAAGATATGGAAACACCCCAAGTGTCCATTGATAGATGAATAAAGAAAATGCGGTATTCAAAATGGAAAACTATTCAGCCTTATAAAAGAAGGAATTCTGACATCTGTGACCACATGGATGAAACTGAAGAACATTATACTAATTGAAATGGAAAACTATTCAGCCTTACAAAAGAAGGAATTCTGACATCTGTGACCACATGGATGAAACTGAAGAACATTATACTAATTGAAATGGAAAACTATTCAGCCTTACAAAAGAAGGAATTCTGACATCTGTGACCACATGGATGAACTGAAGAACATTATGCTAATTGAAATAAATCAAGTACAGTAATACAGTAAAACAAATACTACATATTACTTATATAGAGAATATTTAAAAAGTCAAACTCATAGAAATAGAGAGTAGAGTTTGATTCCCATGGGACAAGGGGCAAAAAATAGAAGAGAAGTTGGGAAAATTTTCTCCCATTTTGTAGGTTGCCTGTTCACTCTGATGGTAGTTTCTTTTGCTGTGCAGAAGCTCTTCAGTTTAATGAAATCCCATTTGTCAATTTTGGCTTTTGTTGCCATTGCTTTTGGTGTGTTAGACATGAAGTCCTTGCCTATGCCTATGTCCTGAATGGTAATGCCTAGGTTTTCTTCTAGGGTTATTATGGTTTTAGGTCTAACGTTTAAGTCTTTAATCCATCTTGAATTAATTTTTGTATAAGGTATAAGGAAGGGATCCAGTTTCAGCTTTCTTCATATGGCTAGCCAGTTTTCCCAGCACCATTTATTAAATAGGGAATCCTTTCCCCATTGCTTGTTTTTCTCAGGTTTGTCAAAGATCAGATAGTTGTAGATATGTGGCGTTATTTCTGAGGGCTCTGTTCTGTTCTATTGATCTATATCTCTGTTTTGGTACCAGTACCATGCTGTTTTGGTTACTGTAGCCTTGTAGTATAGTTTGAAGTCAGGTAGTGTGATGCCTCCAGGTTTGTTCTTTTGGCTTAGGATTGACTTGGTGATGCGGGCTCTTTTTTGGTTCCGTATGAACTTTAAAGTAGTTTTTTCCAATTCTGTGAAGAAAGTCATTGGTAGCTTGATGGGGATAATATCCAGAATCTACAATGAACTCAAACACATTTACAAGAAAAAAACAAACAACCCCATCAAAAAGTGGGCGAAGGTCATGAATAGACACTTCTCAAAAGAAGACATTTATGCAGCCAAAAAACACATGAAAAAATGCTCACCATCACTGGCCATCAGAGAAATGCAAATCAAAACCACAATGAGATACCATCTCACACCAGTTAGAATGGCAATCATTAAAAAGTCAGGAAACAACAGGTGATGGAGAGGATGTGGAGAAACAGGAACACTTTTACACTATTGGTGGGACTGTAAACTAGTTCAACCATTGTGGAAGTCAGTGTGGCAATTCCTCAGGGATCTAGAACTAGAAATACCATTTGACCCAGCCATCCCATTACTGGGTATATACCCAAAGGACTATAAATCATGCTGCTCTAAAGACACATGCACAAGTATGTTTACTGCAGCACTATTCACAATAGCAAAGACTTGGAATCAACCCAAATGTCCAACAATGATAGACTGGATTAAGAAAATGTGGCACATACACACCATGGAATACTATGCAGCCACAAAAAATGATGAGTTTATGTCCTTTGTAGGGACATGGATGAAATTGGAAATCATCATTCTCAGTAAACTATCACAAGAACAAAAAACCAAACACCTCATATTCTCACTTAGGTGGAATTGAACAATGCGAACACATGGACACAGGAAGGGGAATATCACACTCTGGGGACTGTTGTGGGGTGGGAGGAAGGGGGAGGGATAGCATTAGGAGATATACCTAATGCTAAATGACGAGTTAATGGGTGCAGCACACCAACATGGAACATGTATACATATGTAACTAACCTGCACATTGTGCACATGTACCCTAAAACTTAAAGCATAATAATAAAAAAAAAGAGAAGTTGGTCAAAGGGTACAGATTTGCGTTTATAAGATGAATATGTTCTGAAGACCTAAGGTGCAGCATGGCGACTATAGTTAACAATAATTTATTTTACAATTGAAGTTTGCTAACACTGTAGATCTTACGTATTCTCACCTGTTCCCTCTCCAAAAAAGGTAACTATGTGAGTAACATACATGCTAATTAGCTCAATTGTGGTACACATTTCCACAATGTATACATATATAAAACATCACATTGTAGTTTTAAATATGTCATTATATATCTTAATTTTACTAAAATAAAGGAGTACCTAATACATTGTGGAAGGAAAAAAAGAAGAGCACACAATTATTTAAACAAATCATAAATCAGATAACACAAAAAACATATTGGCTAATTTTACTTAAGATAACACCATGCAGTTTCCCCCATGTCAATAGCAAGATTTTCTCATGTGTGTGTGTGTGTGTTTGTGTTTTAGGCTTAATAATATTCAATTGTATGAATATAGCAACTTTTATTTATCCATTCTTCCATGAATGGGCACTTGAGTTGTTTTCTTTTCTTGGCTATCGTGAATAATGCTGATATAAACATGGAATTTTGACTTCCATCCAATTAAACATACCAAGAAATGAGACCTACTGAATCACATGGTAGTTCTATTTTTAATTTTTTGAGAAATCTTTATACTGTTTTCCACAGCAGCTGCACCTTTTTCCATTCCTACCAACAGTACATAAGATTCCAGTTTGTACATAACCTTGCCAACACTTATCTATTTTTAAATTGATAATAGCTGTCTGAATAGGTTTGAGATTATGTCTCGTTTTATTATTGATCTGTATTTCCCTGTTACTAATGAAGTTGAGCATCTTTTCATATACCTGTGGGCCACTTGTACGTCTTGTTTGGAGAAATATCTGCTAAGTGAAGTTAGCCAGTTATAGAAGAACAAATACATATTATTCCATCTATATGAAGTATGAATAATTTTCAGACTAATAGAACCAGAGAGTACAATAGTGGTTGTCTGAGATGGAAGAGTGGATGAATTGGGAGGTTGCTGTTTAATAGGTATAAAGCTTCAGTAATCCATAATGAATAGGTTCTAGAGATCTGTACAACATAGTACCTATTTTAAAAATACAATATTGTGCACTTCAGAATTTTTTAAGAGGATATGTTTTGTGTTAACAGTTCTCAACACCAAAACAAAGAAATAAAAAACAGAAGAATACAAAGAAGCTTTTGGAGGTGTTGGATGTACTACATGTTTGATTGTAGTGATGGTATCATAGGTATTTGCATATATCCAAACATCAAATTGTACACATTAAAAATGTGAAGCTCTTCATACATTGATTATATCTCAATAGACCTGTTTAAAAAAAACACACGTTGAAATATGTTTCTAGCTTAGAGACATAAAACCCTGATTATGTAGCTGAATTAATGTAATGTCTTTCCTAATTACTTACTGTTCTCTTGAAAAGAAATAAATAAGAAGAAAATAAGTGACTAAAATTCCTTTCACTGAGGAGGATTATTAGATGAGCTTCTTTTTTTTTTTTTTTTTTTTTTTTTTTTTTTTTTTGAGGCAGAGTTTTGCTCTTTTTGCCCAGGCTGGAGTGCAATGGCACGATCTCAGCTCATTGCAACCTCTGCCTCCCAGGTTCAAGCAATTCTCCTGCCTCAGCCTCCCAAGTAGCTGGGATAACAGGCACCTGCCACCATATCCATATCCAGCTAATTTTTATATTTTTAGTAGAGATGGGGTCTGTCCACGTTGGCCAGGCTGGTCTTGAACTCCTGACCTCAGGTGATCTGCCCACCTTGGCCTCCCAAAGTGCTGGGATTACAGGCATGAGCCACCATGCCCAGCCTTTTATTTTGTGTTATAGTGTGAATGGAGTGAAAAGAGAAAAGGGGTTCTTCTTTCCTACCTTCAGATAGTGGAACTAAAAGTCACCCCCAAATACCAAGCAAATGTAACTATAGTGTGTTTGCATATATTTTATTTGTGTATTATCTTTAGTTTTCATAGAGTTTCTTCAGATACTGTGAAACAGAAGACAGTAATTCACCAAGACTATGAATATTCACAGATATATTTTATGTATTCTATATATTCCATTTTTAACTGGGTGTCACCAATAACTGTCTTTTAATTTAGGGAATCTCAAAATTATTTGGGTATTTTCCTAAGTGGCTTCTCTACTTATTCAACTGGTATTTGTGGACTATCATTTTTCTCTGAGGGAGAGGAGAATGGGAGGATGGCTTATGAACATTCCCAGTCATCATATAGGTAGTTCTCCAAATAAAACTACAACCAGAAAAGGTTTGCAGTATAGATAAGAGTTATTCTTCCCAGAAAACTGGAGGTGGTAGTTGATGAATGATGAATGTCCTTTTCATATACCACTGGGTGGCTGGATTGGTTTAGTCCTGGATACAGATCATGTAGTGTTTATATCCATGGCAGCTAGGCAGTCAGTGGCAATTTCATAGCTTTGTTCATAGTCAGTGATAATGTCTTCTGTTTTTCACAGAAACTTTAAGCTTCTGGTTTTTACATTTTTCTTACAGTGGTCTTTTGGCAAAACCATTTATCTAGCTAATCCTAGGTCACTAGCTGCCTCACTTCTCCCCAGAGTTGGCACAAAATTCCAATAATAGATAAATTTATTACGTACAACTGAAAAACTAGAGATTGTGGAAGCCTTAATTTTCCAAATCTCCTAGGAGTATGGAGAAAATTTTGCATTCGATTTTAACAATGCAAGGAGAAGAAAGAAATATACTTGTTAAATTTTCATATTAGGACATTCATATTCTGTTACACGTCCATATCATTAACTTTAAATCCTCCTAAAGTATCTCTTCTCAAAGTACAACATAACCATAGATGTTAATTTTTACATGTATGTATTACTTTCTCTAAGCCATAAGAAGCAAAGAAACAAAAGTTAATCTCCATGTTTTCAGCCAATATGAAGCAGTGAAACTTTTTAATTTTTCCTTGACAGTTTTGAAGCTCAGAGATTATTTCTGTGTAAAGAACAAAAAATGGAAATGCATGTTTATTCTATTACACTGTAAGGAATGACTCTGTTTAAAAACTTTTTCCTGTGATTAGACATACAAAAATGCATATCTACTACTAATGAATTAAAGTCTCCTAATTATAAAAATATTTTATGAGGTTATAATGGATATTAAAAATTATCATACATTGTTTCCACATGCAAATACAGAAAAACAAAACAAAATAACAAAGTTACCTAGTAAATCTAAATTGTTAAAACATATTATCATTTTTTCCTTTTTTATTTTTTTGAGACAGTCTCGGTCTGTCGCCCAGGCTGGAGTGCAGTGGCACCATCTCGCAATCTCAGCTCACTGCAACCTCTGCCTCCTGAGTTCAAGCGATTCTCCTGTCTCAGCCTCCTGAGTAGCTGAGATTACAGGCATGTGCCACCACACCCAGCTAATATATATATATGTATGTATTTTTTAATAGAGAAGGGGTTTCACCGTGTTAGCCAGGATGGTCTTGATCTCCTGACCTCGTGATCCGCCCACCTTGGCCTCCCAAAGTGCTGGGATTACAGGCGTGAGCCACTTTGCCCAGCCATTAAAACATATTTTAATGCCTATTTGTGAAATAAGGAAATACAATAAACTCAGTTATAAATTGTGCATAATTTAGTCTTACATAGGGAAAGTAGCTACCAGGTCAGTGGTTCTGACTTCATTAACCATTTTTATAGTCTTTTACATGAATGTTTACTTCTCCATTGAAAAGAATTAGTAGAGGCTAAAGGAGGTTATCAATAATTTAAAAGAGAATTTGCCTTGTTTATATGTTTGTGGATAGACTGAAGCTAATAAAGTCAATTTGAGTTCTTCTTTTCTGTTATGCCTTGCATATTGATTTTGAACAAGAACACCTATAGGAATTGAGAGCAGCCTTTCTAGTAAATATAAGTAAATTAGTTTCAGGCATAAAGTCAGTGAATTTTTATTTAGGCATGTCACATCATAACTGAAAGTCAGGCAGCTAGCAGTGGGATGCATATCAACAATTGAAGACCGTATTCTCACCCAAAATACAAAGAGAACGATCTTTATTTTTTTGAAAATCTGTTCTCCATTGTTTTAATTATTAAAGTTACAAGCAAAAATATCTAAAATATTTTTAGATTTGATTTTTTAGATTTTTTAGATAAAGTAAGTGTCTAATAATAACTGTGTCTTGCCTGAGGTCCATCAGACACAATTGCTTTTAAAGTATTTTGTAGAATGTATGTAAGTCATATAAGCCATACCTGAAATATGAAGTATTTATGTGTGTGTAAACTATTACATTCACAAAGCAAATCGACATATATGTGACATGTCATCATGTGATTAGTACTTTTCTGAACCTTCAATTTTTTTTTAAATGAAGGAGAAACCAAATAATGTTTATTATAGTAACTGATCTGACTTTTGTAAAGACAAATGCTTGAATACTGCTAAAGATAAAAATGGCAAAATGCTAAAAAAAAAGAGTAATAACAACGTACAATAAACACTGTAAAATATATTATTTAACTCATTATGGAGGCAATCCATATGCTATTATATATTACAACTGGCCAAAGGAAAATTAAAATATCACACGTATGTTGGCAGAAAAGAAATATTTACATGAACATGTACATAGGTACAAACATGTTCACAGGGCAATAAGTATTAGATTGGACACAACTAATTTGCTTTTCTGTAGACGTAACATTATTTTCAATTTTTCACAAAGTTACAGGGTTGTAAAGTAGATCAAAGACAATGAAAGGTGCACATAACCCAGACTGTTTCTAGGTACCCTTGAAAGCAGTTAGTTTTCAAACAAAATGCACCAAATACTTCTTTGAACGATTCCAAAATCTGTAAAAATTTTTTCTGACAGTAAACAAAAAATATGACTTCTTTACAAAAGTCCAAAATTTTATATACTTATTTTGCACTAAACAGCATCTTTTGTTTCCAAATAAATTTTTTTTCTTTTTAAAAAATGATTATTATGTGTACTTCATAGTTGTACATATAGCATATAATCTGGATTTGAATATCCACTCATTGGTCTTAGTTTTTGATATTTTTCAGTGTATTTTGAATTATCAGATCCTGTTGACAAATAAAACTATCATAAAGACAACTTCATAATAGATACCTAAAATTATAAGCACAAAACAACTTTCTCCTGAATACATCTCACTTGAAAATACTGCTTCAATAACCAGGCTTGCTGTCCAATGACAGTGTGAGATATTGGACATTGGAAACCAATGAGAACCAGAACAAATCATAGCTTTGCCTCAGAATGAAGATAAAATTTTGATTGGTAAACATCTGCAGAAAGATACAGTGGACCTTCTATGAGATTTCAGAACTTTGGCATTCATTAATCCTGAAGTTGCAGATTAACTCAATAGTAGTTCTGTAGTTCTGTTCTCTGCTGTCTCTGGATTCTTTTGTAATCCCTCTACCCAAGCAAGTCTTCTTCCAAACCCCTTGATTTCTGCTTCTGTATATCTCTTAAAGAAGCTGGTTTTAAAATTTAGCATGAGATTATTTTGTGGATTTCAAGATTATGCTGTCAAACTTATGGTACTCCTATACAGAATGCCTAGATTTAGACTTCACCAGAATAGCTTGAGGGGTTTGAGTCTCAAAAACATTTTACATATTATCTAAACCAATGACTTTATGTAACAGAACAAAAGCCAAGGCCAGTATAATATGAGTTGTTCCTCAAGTTTTATGTTTTACCTTAAGTCTTCTAAATTTCAGTTTAATTTCCACTATACAAATTCAAATTGGAAGAATTCTTATTTGATTAATCATAGAATATTCTACAAGCCATGTGTAAAAAGAATATCCAGATGCTGTACTAAGTTTGTCCAGTTTAAACATAATTTCAATCTTATACTTCTCTTCATGCAATTGAAAAATATTTATTTTGAGCTCAATAATTAAGATATGTAGTCTAGGATATAAAGTGAATCAGAGCATATGGGTGAAACAAAAATAATGTTATTGAATTAACGGAGAAGTCTGTATTTTCTGCTATAATTTTATAGAGTGATCAATCTCTTATTGAAATAGGGTTATAGAAAATGTATCTAAAGTGCAAGAACATCATTCGCTCTTATTAAATTTAAAGTGTGGATATCAATAATTGTATTGATTCCATGGGTCATGGTTTTCACCATTAATTTTTCTGTGTAACTTATTTATTTGAGCATGTTTGGTTAATAATTTTGAAGACTCAAAATAAAAGAATAATTAATTTTTTGGAGGAAAGTCAATAAACAGAGAACTCTAGAAATAATGAAATCAAATGAATTATTTATTTATTTTTTCTGTTCATTTAGAATCTACAATCCATTTAAGGTAGAGAATTTTGTCAAGGTATTTAACCATTTTTCCCACACTTAGAAAATTGCCTAGCACATAATAGGTGCTTGATAAAATTTTGTTGAGTTAATAACAGGATTTTAAAATAATTATTTAATAATAAAATAATTATTAAATAATTTAATTATTTAATTGTTTTTACTAATAGAGGACTCAATTAACTTATCTCAACTTAAGTTTCTTTACCTGTCTACTGTAGTATTTAAAAATCTCAAACAATTTTGAGAAATCTGAAAATATAAAACATCTTGATTTCCTCAAAATAAAAGCAATATTGGAATCTCAGGTATTATAAATAAAATCTTTATTATTGGGGAAAATGGCGGATAGGAGGCAGGGCTAACTTGCAGCTCCCACTCGGATACACAGAGCAGCCTGTGGAAACTCACATCGTGAACTTTTGCTGCAAGAACTACCACAGGAACATATCAGGAAAGCTGAGAGCATACGCAGACCCTTTGGAGGAGGTGGATTGCCACTGCGGGCTTCGTGGGATAGCCCAGGAACTGTGAGACAGCTTGCTTTCTCAGGTGGGAGGCTTGTAGTTTGAAGCAAGTTCTCAGCCCTGCTCACTGGCTGCCTGGAAATAAACTAGGTGTTGTTGGTGGAAGGCACAGTGGAAGTGAGACTGGCCTTGCCGGCTGCAGGCTGCATGGGAGCTGGGTGAGGCCTGTGGCTGCTGGCTTTCCCCTACTTCACTATTGACCTAAGTGATGCAGCAGAGGCAGCAATAATCCCCCTGGAAACAGCTCCATGTGTCTGAAAACCACACCTCCATCCCCCATGGCAGTTTCAGCAAGCCCTGCCCAAGAAGAGTCTGAACTCAGACATGCCTAACCCTCTCCCCACCTGATGATCTTTTTCTACCTGCCCTGGTAGCTAAAGACAAAGGACATAATCCCTTGGGAGCTCTATGGCCCCGCCCATTGCCTGAACCTAGGGCAAGCTTGAATCCTCTCCATACAACCGCAGCTATTACGCTCTTGAAAGAGCCACCTTTTGGCTGGAGGCCAACCAGCACACAACCAAATTACATCCAAGGACCCTCAAAGACTCCACTTCGCTCCCCTGCTACCTGCACTGGAGCAGGTGCTGGTATCCATGGCTGAAAGACCTGAAGATGAATTACATCACAGGACTCTTGGCAGACACTCCTCAGTACCAGCCTGGAGCCTAGTAGCTCTGCTGCATGGCTAGATCCAGAAAAGAAATAAACATCATTGCAGTTCAGCTTTTAGGAAGCCCCGTCCCTAGGGGAAAGGGGACATCAGCACATCAAGGGAGCACCCCATGGGACAAAAGAATCTGAACAGCAGCTGTTAAGTCCCAGGTCTTCCCTCTGACTTAGTCTACCCAAATGAGAAGTAACCAGAAAAACAATTCTGTTAATATGACAAAACAAGGTTCTTTAACAGCTCCCCAAAATCACACTAGCTTAGAAGCAATGGATCCAAACCAAGATGAAATCTCTGAATTGCCAGAAAAAGAATTCAGAAGGTCAACTATTAGCCAATCAAGGAGGCACCACAAAAGGTAAAGTCCAGCTTAAAGAAATAAAAATTTTAAAAAAAGAGAGATACAGGAAATGAATGGAAAAATCTCCAGTGAAATAAATAGCATAAATAAAAAACAACCACAACTTCTGGAAATGAAGGACACACTTAGGGAAATGCAAAGTGCATTGGAAAGTCTCAGCCATAGAACTGAACAAGTACAAGAAAGAACTTCAGAGGTCAAAGACAAGGCTTTAAGATTAACCAAATCCAACAAAGACAAAGAAAAGGAATTTTTTAAAAATTGACAAAGCCTCCAAGAAGTTTGGGATTATGTTAAACGATGAAACCTAAGAATAATTGGTGTCCCCAAGGAAGATGATAAATCTAAAAGTTTGGACAACATAATTGAGGGAATAATCAAATAATACCTCGCTGGCCTTGCTAGAGATCTATACATTCAAATACAAGATGCTCAAAGAACACATGGGAAATTCATAGCAAAAAGATCATCGCCTAGGAATGTAGTCATCAGGTTATCTAAGTCAAGATGAAGGAAAGAATCTTAAGAGCTGTGAGGCAAAAGCAACAGGTAACCTATAAAGAAAAATCTATCAGATTAACAGAATTTTTCTCAGCAGAAACCCTACAAGCTAGAAGGGATGGCAGTCCTATCTTCACGCTCTTCAAACAAAATAATAAAGAGCCAAGAATTTTGTATCTAGCAAAACTAAGCTTCATAAATGAAGAAAAGGTACAGTCTTTTTCAGACAAACAAATGCTGAGAGAATTTACCACTACCAAGCCACTACTACAAAAACTGCTAAAAGGACCTCTAAATCTTGAAACAAATTATTGAAATACACCAAAAGAGAATCTCCTTAAAGCACAAATCTCACAGGACCTAAAAAATCGCACAATGAAAAAAAAAAACACACACCAAAGTATTCAGAGAACAAATACCATGATGAATACTACCTCACATCTAAATACTAACATTTAATATAAATGGTCTAAATGCTCCACTTAAAAGATACAGAATAGCAACATGGATAATAATTCACCAACCAAGTATCAGCTGTCTTCAAGAGACTCACCTGACCCATAAGGTATCACATAAACTTAAGGTAAAGGGATGAAAAAAAAAAATACAATCCATGCTAATGGACATCAAAAGCAAGAAGGATTAGCTATTCTTATATTAGACAAAACAAACCTTAAAGCAACAGCTGTTAAAAAATACGAAGAGGGATATTATATAATAATAAAAGGACTAGTCAAACAGAAATATATCATAATCCTAAATACATATGCACCTAACACTGGAGCTCCCAAATTAATAAAACAATTACTACTAGACCTAATAAATGAGATAGATAGCAACAAAATAATGGTTGGGGACTTCAGTACTTCACTGACAGCACTACACAGGTAATCAAGACAGAAAGTCAACAAATAAACAATGGACTTAAACTATACCCCAGAACAAATGGACTTAACAGATATTTACATAACTTTCTACTCAACAGCTGCAGAATATACATTATATTCATCAACACGTAAAACAGTCTCCAAGATAGACCATATGACAGTCCACAAAACAAGTCTCAACAAATTTAAGAAAATTGAAATCATAGCAAGTACTCTCTCAGACCACAGTGAGATAAAATTGGAAATCAGTTTCAAAAGAAACCTTCTAAACTATGCAAATACATGGAAATTAAATAACCTGCTCCTGAATGATTATTGAGTCAACAATAAAATCAATAGGGAAATTTAAAAATTCTTTGAACTGTATGATAATAGTGACAAAACCTATCAACACCTCTGGGATACAGCCAGGGTTGTGCTAAGAGGAAAGTTAATAGCCTTAAACACCTGCATTAAAAAGTCTGAAAGAGCACAAATAGACAATCTAAGGTCTCACCTCAAGGAGTTATAGAAACAAGAATAAACCAAACCCAAACACAACAGAAGAAAGGAAACAACCAAGATCAGAGAAGAACTAAAGTTGAAACAAATAAAAATACAAAAGATAAATGAAACATAAAGCTGTTTCTTTGAAAAGATAAATAAAATGTATAGACCATTACCGAGATTAACCAAGAAAAGAAGAGAGAAGATCCAAAAAAGCTCAACTAGAAATGAAATGGGAGATATTACAACTGATATCACAGAAATACAAAAGAACTTTCAAGACAGCTATGAACACCTTTATGCGTATAAACTAGAAAACCTGAAGGAGATGGTTAAATTGATGTAAATACACAAACCTCATAGATTAAACCAGAAAGAAATAGAAACTCTGAACAGACCAATAACAAGCAGTGAGATTGAAATGGTAATTAAAAAGTTACCCCCAAAAAAGTCCAGGGCCAGAGGATTCACAGCTGAATTTTATGAGACATTGAAAGAAGAATTGGTATCAATCCTATTGAAACTATTCAAAAAGAGAAAGAAGAAGGAAGTCCTCCCTAAAACATTCTGTGAAGCTGGCATTACCCTAATACTAAAAACCATGAAAGGACATAACAAAAAAAGCAAACTAGGCCGGGTGTGGTGACTCAAGCCTGTAATCCCAGCACTTTGGGAGGCTGAAGCGGGTGGATCACCTGAGGTCAGGAGTTTGAGACCAGTCTGGTCAACATGGTGAAACGCTGTCTCTATTGAAAATACAAAATTTAGCTGGGCATGGTGGCAGGCATCTGTAATTCCAGTTACTCAGGAGGTTGACGCAGGAAAATCGCCTGAATCCAAGAGGCAGAGGTTGCAGTGAGCCGAGATCGCACCACTGCATTCCAGCCTGGGTGGCAAAGGCAAAACTCCATCTCAAAAAAAATAAAAAATAAAAAAAAAGAGCAAACTACAGAACAATAACCCTGATGAACATAATAAAAATAAAAATTAAAAATCCTCAACAAAATACTAGGTAACTGATCCCAACAGCATATCAAAAAAGTAATCCACCATGATCAAATGAGTTTCATACTAAAGATGCAGAGATGGCTTAACATCCACAAGTCAATAAATACGATACACCACATAAACAGAATTAAAAACAAAAATCACATGATCATCTCAATTGATGCAGAGAAAGCATTTGACAAAATCCACCATCCCTTTATGATTATAACTGTCAGCAAAATTGGCATAGAGGAGACATCACCTTAATGTAATAAAAGTCATCTATTACAAACCCACAGCCTACAATATACTGAACAGGGAAAAACTAAAAGCATTCCTTCTGAGAACTGGAACAAGACAAGGAAGCCCACTCCTACAACTTCTATTCAACATAGTACTGGAAGTCCAAGCCAGAGAAATCAGACAAGATAAAGAAGTAAAGGGCATCCAAATTTGCAGAGAGGAAGTCAAACTGTCTTTTTCTGCTGAGGACATTATTGTATACATAGAAAACCATAAAGAATTATTCAAATGTAGAACTGGTACATGTACTCAGTAAAGTTTCAGAATACAAAATTAATGTACACAAGTTAGTAGCCTGGCTCTACACTGACAGCAAGCAAACTGAGGATCAAATCAAGAACTCAACCCCTTTTACCACAGCTGCAAAAAATAAAATATTTAGGAATATACTTCACCAAGGGGGTGAAAGACCTCTACAAGGAAAACTACAAAACGCAGCTGAAATAAATCATAG
The DNA here is from genome assembly GCF_000001405.40 of Homo sapiens. Lineage (NCBI taxonomy): Eukaryota > Metazoa > Chordata > Mammalia > Primates > Hominidae > Homo > Homo sapiens. The sequence continues at coordinate 60,884,843 of NC_000012.12, read as the reverse complement.
ATGATTTATTTCAAACAAACAAATGGAAATATATCCCATGCTCATGAATGGGTAGAATCAATATTGTGAAAATGACTGTACTGCCAAAAGCAATCTAAAAATTCAACCTAATTCCCATCAAAATACCACCATCATTCTCCACAAAACTGGAAAAAAAATCCTAAAATTCATACAAAACCAACAAAGAGCCCGCATAGCCAAACCCAGCCTAGCAAAAAGAACAAACCTGGAGGCATTACATTACCCACTTCAAACTATAATGTAAGACCATAGACACCAAAACATCATGGTACTGTTATAAAATCAGACATATAGACCAATGGAACAGAATAGATAATCCAGCAGTAAAGCCAAACACTTACAATCAACCGATCTTTGAAAAAGCAAACAAAAACATAAAGCGGGGAAAGGCCACCCTATTCAACAAATGGTGCTGGCATAATTGGCAAGCCACATGTAGAAGAATGAAACTGGATCCTCATCTCTCACTTTATACAACAATCAAATCAAGAGGGATTAAAGACTTAAATCTAAGACCTGAAACCATAAAATTTCTAGAAGATAACACTGGAAAAATCCTTCTAGACATTGGCTTAGGCAAGGACTTCATGACCAAGAACCCAAAAGCAAATGCAAAACAAACAAACAAACAAAACAGATAAATAGATGAGAATTAAACTAAAAAGCTTCTGCACAACAAAAGAAATAATCAGCAGAGTAAACAGACAACCCACAGAATGGGAGAAAATCTTCACAGTCTATACATCTGACAAATATCTAATATCCAGAATTTTCAAGAAACTCAAGCAAATCAGCAAGAAAAAATCAATCCCATTAAAAAAGTGGGCTAAGGACATGAATAGACAATTCTCAAAAGAAGATATACAAATGGTCAACAAATATATGAAAAATGCCCCAAATTTCTAATTATCAGGGAAATGCAAATCACAATGTGATACCACCTTACTCCTGTAAGAATGGCCATAATTTAAAAAAATGGATTTTGGTGTGAATATGGTAAAAAGGAAACACTTTGACACTGTTGTGGGACTGTTAACTAGTACAATCACTATGGAAAATAGTGTGGAGCTTCCTTAAAGAACTAAAAGTAGATCTACCATTTGACCCAGCAATCCCACTCCCGGGTGTCTACTCAGAGGAAAAGAAGTCATTATAAGAAAAAGATACCTGCACATTCATGTTTATAGCAGCACAATTCACAATTGCAAAAATATGGAACCAGCCCAAATGCCCATCAATCAATGAGTGGATAAAGAAATACACACACACACACACACACACCACGGAATACTATTCAGCCATAAAAATGAACAAAATAATAGCATTTGCAGCAATCTGGATGGTATTGGAGACCATTATTCTAAGTGAAGTAACTCAGAAATGGAAAATCAAACATCATATATTCTCACTCATAAGTGGGATCTATGCTATGAGGATCCAAAGGCATAAAAATAATATAATTGGCTTTGGGGACTCAGGGGAAAGGTTGGGAGGAGGGTGAGAGATAAAAGACTATATACTGGGCATAGTGTACATGTACACTGCTCACGTGATGGGCGCATCAAAATATCAGAAATCACCACTAAAGAACTTATTCTTGTAACCCAACACCACCTGTTCCCTTGAAAACCTACTGAAATCAAAATATTAATAAAATAAATGAAATTTTACAGTGTCAGTTACACTCTGCCAACTAAATTTATTTAAATTAATCTCAAATTGAGGTAACCAGATGCAGCGCACAAACTATGTCACAATAGCTCAACCTGTTTTCTTCAAATAAAATAGTGAATACCTTTTCATGCCAGTGTTTTTCCTGGAGACATAGTGAATATTTGTAAAACACACCAAACATTCAGTTCAAATGTGGCTAGCACCAGCCTCATAACACGATGTGTGATAAGAATGTTTCCCATTGTGCCCAAAGAAAGCAGCCTTATGAAAGAAAGCAGAATGCCTATGGCTATAGACTAAGGATTTTCTGGAAGAAGGCTAAACTACAAAGGGATTGTTGTGAAGTTTACTGGCCACTAATATACATGAATGTTTTGAACAAAGACACAAGAGAGAAAGAGCATCATCCAGTTTCAGGGTCATCTTTTATTTAAATGAAAACAATGAAATTATGAGATTTTGTTTAAAAGATATGGTATATAAAGTATATTCAGTAACTATTTGAAGGCTCATTTTCTATGAAAGAAAAAATATTCTTAGAATTAAAAGTATAACCAATTATTGTTCTATAACCAGAAAAAAAATAGATTAAATGAATAACTTTAATAGCTATTAGAGTCTGGTTTAGGTGATGTAAAATTACATACATGTATATTTTCCTTTAAAATTTTTAGGTTTAAATTTTCACCTTTTGTGGGTAGATAGTAAGTGTGTATATTTATGGGGTCCACGAGATATTTTGATATAGGTATGCAATGTGAAATAAGCACAATATGAAGAACGAGTTATCCATCCACTCAAGCAATTATCCATTAAGTTGCTAACAATCCAACTATATTCTTTAAGTTATTTTAAAATGTACAGTTATTATTGACTATAGTCACCCTGTTGTGCTATCAAATAGTAGGTCTTATTCATTCTTTCTAATGAATTTTTTGTATTCATTAACCATGCCCACCTTTCCCCAGCAATACACTACACTTCCCAGGCTCTGATAACCATTCTTCTACTCTCTATGTCAATGAGTTCAGTTGTTTTAATTTTTAGATGCCAGAAAAAAGTGAGAACATGTGACGTTAGTCTTTCTGTGCCTGGCTTATTTCACAAACATAATGATCTCTAGTTCCAACCGTGTTGTTGCAAACGACTGGATATCATTCTTATTTTTATGGCTGAGTAGTACTCCACTGTGTATATATACCACATTTTCTTTATCCATTCATCTAGTTATGGACACTTAAGTGACTTTCAAATCTTAGTTATTATGAACAGTGTTGCAACAAACATGAAAGTATAGATTTATCTTTGATACACTGATTTTCTTCCTTTTGGGTGTATTCCAAGCTATAGGATTGCTAGATCATATGGTAGCTCTATTTTTAGTATTTTCAGGTACCCCCAAACTGTTCTGAATAGTGATTGTACTAATTTACATTCCCACCAACAGTGTATGATGGTTCCCTTTTCTCCACATCTTCTCCAGCATTTTCTATTGCCTGTCTTTTGGATATAGGCCATTTTAAGGGTCAGTTAATATGTCAATTTAACATGTATTTGAATTTCTCTGTTCATCAATGATGTTAAGCACCTTTTCATATGCCTGTTTTCCATTTTTATGTCTTCTTTTAATGTCTATTCAAATCTTTTGCCTATCTTTTGATTGGATTATTAGACTTTTTTTCCCTATGGGGTTGTTTGAGCTTCTTATATATTCTGATTATTAATCCCTTGCCAAATGCATAGCTTGCAAGTATTTTCTTCCATTCTGTGAGTTGTCTCTTGGCTTTGTTGATTGTTTCCTTTGCCATGAAGAAGTTTTTTACCTGATGTGTTCTCATTTGTCCATTTTTGCCTTGGTTGCCTGTGCCTGTGAAGTATTGCTCAATAATTTTTGCCTTGATTAATGTCCTGGAGATTTTCCCCAAGGCTTTATTGAAGTAATTTAATGGATTGAGGTCTTAGACTTATGTCTTTAATCCATTTTGATTTGATTTTGGTATATGGCAAGAGATTAGGATCTAATTTCATTCTTCTGCATATGGATATTCAGTTTTCCCAGCACCATTTATTGAAGAGATTGTTTTCTTCCCAGTGTATGTTCTTGGCACCTTTGTCAACAATGAGTTCACTCTAGGTGTGTGGATTCATTTCTGGGTTCTTGATTTTGTTCTGTTGGTCTACGTTTCTGTTTTCATGCCAATACCATGTTGTTTTGGTTACCATGGCTCTATAGTATAAGTCAGGTCATGTGATTCCTCCAGTTTTGTTCTTTTTGCTCAGAATAGCTTTGGCTACTCTGGGTCTCTTGTGATTCCATATAAATTTTAGGATCTTTTTTTCTATTTCTGTAAAAACTATCATTGGCACTTTGATAAGGATTGCATCAAATCTATAGATTTCTTTGGGTAATATAAATATTTTAACAATATCGATTCTTCCAATACATGAACATAAAATATTTTTCCATTTTTGTGTCCTCTTCAATTTCTTTCCTCAGTGTTTCATAGTTTTCATTATAGAGATGTTTCACTTCTTTGGTTAGGTTGATTCCTAGTCATTTAATTTTATGTATTGCTATTGTAAATGAGGTTTTATTTTCACATTGTTCACATTTGCCATATAGAAACGCTATTGAGTTTTATATGTTGATTTTGTAATCTGCAACTCTACTGAATTTATCAGTTATAATAGTTTTCTTGTGGTGTCTTTAGGTTTCTCCAAATATAAGATCATATCATCTGCAAACAGGGATAATTTTACTTTTTCCTTTCTAATTTGGATGCCCTTTATATCTTCCTCTTGTCTGATTGCTCTAGCTATGACTTCCAGTACTATGTTGAATAACAGTGGTGACAGTGGACATCCTTGTCATTTTCCAGATTTTAATGTAAAGGCTTTCAGGTTTTCCCCATTCAGTATGATATGAGCTGTGGGTCTGTAATACATGGCTTTTATTATGTTGAGGTATGCTTCTTCTACCCTCAGTTTTTTTAGGGTTTTTATCATGAAGGGATGTTGAATATTATAGAATACTTTCACAGCATTAATGGAAATGGTCATGTGACTTATATTTTTCATTCCATTGATTTGATGTATTACATTGATTGATTTGCATATGTTGAGCCATCCTTGCATTTCAGGGATAAATCTCACTTGGTCATGATTAGTAATCTTTCTAATGTATTGTTGAATTTGGTTTGCTAGTATTTTGTTGAAGATTTTTGCATTAATATTCATCAGAGATATTGGCCTGTCATTTTATTTTATTTTATTTTTTGATATGTCTTTTTCTGGTTTGGGTATCAGGGTAATACCGGCCTTGTAGAATGAGTTTTGAAGTATTTCCTCCTCTGCTATTTTTTGTAATAGTTTGAGTGGGATTGGTGTTAGTTATTCTTCTAATGTTTGGTAGAATTAAGTAGTGAGGCCATCAGGCCCAGGGTTTATTTATTTTTTCTTTTTCCTTTTTTCCTGGGAGACTTTTTATTATGGCTTTTATCATTACATGTTATTGGTCCATTCAAGTAAGGATTTTTTTCTGGTTCAATCTTGCCAGGTTGTAGGTATCTAGGAATTTGTCCATTTCTTCTATATTTTCCAATTTATTGGCAGATAGTTTCTGATAGTAGCTACTAAAGGTCCTTAGAATTTCTGCTACATCAACTTTAGGGTTTCCTTTTTCATTTCTTATTTTATTTATGTGGATTATCTCTTTTTTCTTAGTGAGTCTGACTAAAGGTTTGTCAATTTAAATATTTTTTAAAGAAACACCTTTTGGTTTATTAATATTTTGCATTTTAAATTTCAATTTTATTTATTTTTGCTCTGAGGTTTATTATAACTTTTCTTCTACTAATTTTGGGTTTTGTTTGCTCTTGCTCTGTTAGTTTTTTTAAGATGCATTGTTAGATTGTACATTTGAAGTTTTTATTCTTTTCTGATGTAGACACTTATACCTGTAAACTTCCCTCTTAGAACTGCTTTTGCAATATCCCATAGGTTTGGGTATGTTGTGTTTTCATTATCATTTGTTTCAAGAAATCTTTTAATTTTATTCTAAATGTCTTCATTGACCAGCTGGTCATTCAGGAGCATATTGTTTACTTTCTATGCATTTGTAGTGTTTCCAAAATTTCTCTTGTTATTAATTTATAGTTTTATTCCATTGTGGTCAGAGAAGTTCAAATATACAGACATAGAGAATGAAACAGTAATTGTGGGTGGCAAAATGGGTGGCAAAATGGGAAGGAGAAAATGAGAAGATGAAGCTCAAAGGTTACAAAGTGGTACATATGCAGGATGAACAGGCCTAGAGATCTAATGTACAACATGAAAACTAAAGTTATTAATATGGTATGGTATGTTATTCAGGATTATTGCTAAATAAAATTTTAGCTGCTTCTGCCACATACACAAAAAACGAGTTAACTATGTAAGAGAATGGCTATATTAATTTGCTTTGATATAGTTAACATTTTACTATCTATACGTACTCCATAACATCATGTCGTATACTTAAAATATATACAACAACATTTATTTTTAAAAAGGAGGGCAAAAAGTTTCAGTTTTATTAAGTTTAATTAAACAAAGAGTTTCCATTAATAATAAAAATACATTTTTTCTTTATGTATTGATATTCTGAATTTCTGCCTTATGATGAATAAAGACAGAGATGACTATAAAACATAAAAGGAACAGAGAAATTATTATAAAGGACATGACAATTGAATGATAAAGGTAATCAACCAAGAAAATAAGAGAATTGAAAGAGGTAAATACAGTAGCTAAATTATTATACTAAACGCAAGTATTTAGCTAAAATATCATAAAAGTTACTCTCTGTTATATAACAATAGAGGAATGCAAAGTTAAAAAATGAAAAGAATCAAAGATATTTTATCACCCTATAATTCAAGTAAATGAAAATTCAAAACATTGGCTTTACATGCTATTCCACCACAAAATTACGTACATGAATTTGCCTATGCATAAAAGAATATGCAAGCACATAATAACTTATGTTATATTGTTTTAATTTAATTTTTTAACCTGTAGCTTTCCTCTCACTAAACAGGAAAGCTTTCTGCCATTATTAGAAACACTAACTATGCAGATGCAAACTTTGTCTTCATTATTTAAGAACATTATATTAAAACCCGTCTCACTTAAAGCAAAGAAAATAAGAGCAAGTTAGAATACTAGTGATAACCTGATATTTAAGAAAAGAGATGATGCACTTATGACTTCATAAATTAAAGAAAAAAAGTCAGAAGAAGGGTAATAAATGTCAAAAGGTGCTATTAAACAAAGGCTGCCCTTTATGGGTCTCATAAGATTAAAAAAAAATACCAAGTGGTGTGTCTACTATCATCCCTGGAATGATAATTGCAATGTAATATCTATCTACAGACTTCATTTTTTTTTGATACCTACATTTACTTCTAAAATGCAATTTTCAGTAAAATAATACAAGCATACCTCATAAATTTTGCAGGTTTAGTTCATAACCACTGCAATAAAGTGAGCCACACGAAGTTTTTGGTTTACCAATGTATATGAAAGTTGTTTGCACTATACTGTAGTGTGTGACAGCATTATGTTTAAAAAATAGTATACATATCTTAATTTTAAATAACACCTCATTGCTAAAAAATGCTAAAAATCATGTGAACCTTCAGTAAGTTATAATCTTTTCGCTGGCCATGCCTCGATGTGTGTGGCTCTAATTGATCAGGGTGGTGATTGCTGAAGCTTGGAGAGGCTGTGACAATTTCTTCAAGTAATAACAACAGTGATGTTTGCCACATCAACTGATTCTTCCTTTCACAAGAGATTTTTCTGTAGCATGCAATGCTGTTTGCATTTTACTTACAGTAGATGTTTCAAAATTGGAGTCAAATCTCTCAAACTGTCTTTGCTTCATCAATTAAATCCTTTGTTGTAATTTTGAAAACGTTCACAGTATCTTCATCAGGAGTAGATTCTACCTCAAGAAATGACTTCATTTGTTTATCTATTAGAAGCAACTCCTCATTTGCTGAAGTTTGATAGTGAGATGGCAGCAATTCAGTCACATCTTCAGGCTCTACTTATAATTCTAGTTTTGTTACTTTTTTCCACCACATTTACAGTTATTTCCTCAGCTAAAATCTTGAATCACACAAAGTCATCCATGAAAGTTAGAATCAACTTACTTCTAACTCCTATTAATGTTGATATTTTGATCACCCCCCATGATATCACAAATGTGCTAAATGGCATCTAAAATGGTAAACCCTTTCCAGAAGGTTTCCATTTGCCTTTGCCCGATCCATCCGAGGAATCATGATCTCTGGCAGCTATAGCCTTAATAAATGGATTTCTGAAATAAGGAAATTTAAAAGTAGAAATTACACCTTGATCCAAAAAACTGCAGAATAGATGTTGTGGTAGAAGAAATGAAAACATTAATCTCCTTGCACAGCTCCATCACAGCTCTTGGGTGACCAGATAAATTGTCAATGAACAGTACTATTTTGAAAGGAATCTTTTTTCTGAGCAATATGTCCCAATATACTTAGAATATTCTATAAAATATGATGTAAACAGATGTGTAGACACTCAGGTTTCATTTTTCTATGTATAGAGCACAGGAAGATAGAGTAAGCACAACTCTTAAGGGCCCAAGCCTTTTTGAAGTAAGTTAGCAACAGCTTTAACTTAAAGTCACCAGCTTTAAGAGTTTTCATTAATATTTAAAATACTTTTATTTTAAATGTTATCCCTAACAAGAGAGTCAGCTTGTCCTTTGAAGGTTTCTTAGGTTTTTTTTTTTTTTTTTTTTTTTTTGACAGAGTCTTGCTCTGTTGCCCAGGCTGGATGAAGTGCAGTTGTGCAATCTCAGCTCACTGCCACCTCCACTTCCTGGGTTCAAGCAATTCTCCTGACTCAGCCTCCTGAGTAGCTGGGACTACAGGTGTGTACCACCACGCCCACCGAATTTTTTTTTTTTTTTTTTTTTAGTAGTAACGGGGTTTATTTGAAAGAAAGTCACTGTGTACAGCCCACATTTAAGGAATAAAGAGTTATGCTCCTCCTCCTTGAGGGCAGAGTATTAACATAATTTATTTGGAGTCCTTCTGCAAGAAAGATTTGTCTATTCTCCACATTTACTTACTTATTCAATTTTACGTTGAATAAGTAACACATGGATTCGTTTATATCTATTTTAAACTTTGGGCTATAGTCCAATGCTACTTTATTTATTTTGTTTCTTAACTTGTTCCACCTTTGGCTTTTGGGAGCCCTTTCTTTGAATTCTTTTGATATATCACCACCAAGATTATGGATCATTTCTTTTTTTTTTTTTTTTTTTTTTTGACACTTCTTTATTTTATGGAGATAAAATGTGCTCCAAGCTCAATCTTGTATGTTTCTTATCCCAACCAGTCCAAGAATCAGCCATTTCTCCAAGGAGCCCTTGTTCCTTTTAACAGAAGTTTAGATCCAGCCCGAACTGCAAACCGTGTGACTAAGAATATTTTAAACATTTTATCTATCCTGACACTCCAGTAGATACCTAGTGAACTTGGTCACACCACAGTCTGAGAAGTGAAGAATTGGTGCTGTTTTGAGCCAGTAAATTTTTGATAATATATTATACAGCAGTAGAAAATTAAAATAGTATACTCCATTGAGATTTATTTTTATTCTCACTCCTATTATTAATATCTTTCATTATTTAGATAGTGTACGGTACAGAAAATATTAACAATATACCTAAGAAATGTCTCAATGTTTACTTCACTTTAGATTATACTTTAAAAAATACATATTGACTTTGAGGGCAAGCATTGCACAAATTGCTAAAAGCATTTTCTACAAACAAAAATACACTGACTCTAAGAATGAGCATTGTTCAATTTCCTATGCTATTAGAAATAGTTTACTTTTAAGCCTCTGGCAATAATAAATGTTCTTAAATTGGAAAAACTATTTGTTATGGATTAGTGTTTGGACTACGAAAAGATGCAAACATTTACTAGAGAAAGCTCCCTTGATGTTTAATGTCTTTTGAGACATCAAAAATAAACTCTAAAAACTCTCATGTTCTTTATTCATGTAACTTACGTAGAGCTGTATTATAGAATAGGGATTACATGCATATTGCCTTGAACTACAATTCTTGGTTTCAATCTTGGCTCTTCATGTCTTATTTGTCTCATCCATAAAGTGGTAATAAGAGTTGTGCCTATTACATAGGATTACTAGGAAGACAAAAGGTATTAACATGGGTAAACTGTTTACAACATTAAGCATATAATATGTGCAATATATTTGTTATTTTTGCACATATTAATATTATACATATTTCAAAGTTCTACTTGTAAAATATATGCACACATTTGATTATTATTATTTAGGATCATATGCTGAAAATCACTTAAAAATCCAGCTGTCCATTCAAAAATTGGAAAAGAAAACTTTCTCAAATACAGAAATATTAATTTAGGGCCTCTAATCAATAATATTAATTTCATATAGTTTTTAAATATAAACAATCTGATTAACCTTCAACCATTTAAATAACTTAATATCTCTTTTAATTATTCAGTAAAAGTTTTTGATTAAAAACATACTGTGGGCTTAGGGTCTATTGCTTAATGTGATTTTGGAGTGAATTATTTGTTTTTAACAAAATTTAATTGGTTAGTATATCCAAGTTACACATGTAATTTGAAATTTTATACCCTCAATGGATCTTGTCTGTGAGTTAATTTCTTTAGATTGTCCTTAACAGGTAATAAGGTATCATCCAAACCAACTGAAATAAAATTGATTACAACATATTGTAAAAATTATATATGATGTCATGTATACTGACAAATATTTCATAATAAAATTACAATTATAATCTGCATATTTCTATAATGATGGAAGAATAACTTGGTTGAGCATTGGGTCAAAGACCATTTATTTAAATCTATAAAACCTGTACACATGAAAGACTATTAAGCATACTTCCCTGTAGAAGAGTTCCTTGAACATTTGGCCTCTTAAGCTTAGAAGAATATTCCCTGAATTATTTCATGTACCTCTCAGGGTTTTGTCCTTTTTCATACATAGAGGAAAGATATTAGGAAACAGCTGAAAACGGTGGAAGCAGAGAAAAAGATAACAGAGATGGAAAAACCCATTAAAGCAAGTGCTTTGATCCCCAAGGGAATATAACTGATCAAGAACAAAACGCGGAAAGAGAAGTAGGATGGGGTAGAAATAATAAACATTTGCACAAAGCCCAGTCAGCTGGTAAAATGTTCAAGATGGCACATTCCAGAGCTAAAATCAATGTTCATACAGGTTGATAGGCATAACAGTTATGGATCTGAATCACCACTTGAGACAAAATCAGAGAACACTTTAGCTTTAGGTTTTAAGACATGTTGTTTTCACTTGCGGGCAGAAATAAGCTCTGTGTAACTGTACTGGAGGAAATGACCAGTGTGTTAATTCATTCGGATATGCTCATGCATTTATTTCTAAGCAACTGCCAAAAGAAGGCAGCTGAAAAAATTTAGTTGTTTAGATATGTTGTTGAAATTGATGAGAGCAGCTGGATTGATACCATCTGGAGTGGCCCCTGCCATGAGGCTGGCTGCAGTAGAGGTGAGGTCACGACTGTGCACTCCAGGAATCCGGTAGGAGCAGGGAACAGGCTGAAGCCCCGTCCCCTTCCACGTTGGAGGGGCGGGAACCCTGCCCTCCTGAGTACAGCTGCAGCTGCCAAGCCACAGCTCTAGACCCGGGCATCTCTGCATTCTCAGGGGCCCGGGAAGCTCCTTTGTCCCGGCAGGCTCAGAAGTTTCTGCTCCCACTGCCTGGCCTCTTCTCAATCCCAGTGCCTACTCCAGTTTTTGAGCAAAGTTGCGGGCGAGCCCGGGTGCTGTCACAACTGGGCTGGGTGTGCATGCCCTCAGGTGGCTTGGCATGGGCCTGCAGGCACCCCTTGGCACAAACAGCCTGGCTGGTTAATGACAACAGGTGGCAGACAGGGTCCTGGTCAGAAAGGGATGGATCTGCAGTGAAACTCCACCTTCAGGCCAGGGATGGCCTGAGGCCTGGGGGCCAGGCAGCCAGTCTGTGGATCAGAGTGAGAACTTCTGGTGCTTTTGCCAGGCAGCTTATGGCTGTCCATGGACCAATCAGCACACACTTCCTCCCCTCTGAAGCCCACAAAAACCTCAGGACTCAGCCAGACTCTGGCAGGATAACCTGCCTGTGGAGAAGAGCTAACCAATGTGGGTCTCCTCTGAGCTGTTTTGTCACTCAATAAATCAACTCTTCACCTTGCTCACTCTCCACTTTCTGTGTACCTCATTCTTCCTAGACGCAGGGCAAGAACTTGGGAACTGCCAAATGGTGGGGTTGAAGGAACTGTAACACAAACAGGGCTGAAACACACCCCTTGCTCGCCACGTTGTAGGTGATGAGAAGGAGAGAAGAGAGAAGGAGAGAAGAGCTGAGGCCCTTCAGGAAGCCCCGACTTAGGAGGTCCCCAAGCCAAGGCTGTGACACCCTCTTTGACCGTCTGCAGTTCCTGACATCTCCAAGCTTCTGGTTGCCACCACAATCCCTGGTGCCAGCTGTGAAAGCTGCTTGCAGTTCACCTGTTCCAGCTACAGCCTTGCAGGAAGCCAGCACCCGTGCCAGCACCTGGAGCTGCCCATCCCGCTGCAGCTGGCATGCCTAGGTATGCACAGTTGGCTGGACCCCACACTCACTCACTCACACACCCCTCCCTGCTCTGTGTCTGGCTCGCCCTTGGCGGGCATAGGATTCAGGCCAGTATCATGAGCAGAGTACAGCCTGCCAGGCCAAGGGGGCAGAACGAGCCCAGTGGGCCCAAGCAAAACCCAGGCAAAGGCCCACTGGCCACGGAAGTTTCTGGACATAAAAGCAACACCTCAAGTATCCTGTGACAAAATGAAAGCATTTTACTAGTTGTTTACATATTTTGTTGAAATCAAGGCATTTTACTAGTAATATACTTTTTCTATTCTTTAACATTATTCAAATTGCAAGCATTTAAAAGAGTAATCGCAGAATTCATTTATACCGTCTAATTATTTTTAACTCTAAGTTCTTCAAAATGTACTAATTTTCTCCCTGCTAACACAAATCTCTATTTGTTGTATAGCCCAATAAGTCCTTTTAAAATATGTATTATGAAGACAGTAATGTATTATGTGGTGTGAGTAAATGATGAATAGGAACTGCATCTACCCACACTGTATTTAAAATGTAGCGGTGAAGAAAATAAAACTAATTATAACAATAAAATTCCATTAATATAACAAAATATAGGTAGTGACAAGACTTTAACTAGAGGTTCCTTGCCTAGTCAAGAGTAGTTTCCATAACTGACTCATTAATCATTATTCAGGCTTATTTTTCATGTTAAATTTGATAATATAAGCAAAATACTTGAAGCATTTCCTGACACAAAGTAAAAGCTCAATATTTGTGAGAATTACCGTTAGCTAAGCTGTGAAGCATTGATAAAGATAGGGATTCGTCCAGAATGGTATTTGTCTTCCAGGGTTTCTATAATTTTGGGTGACATTGAATTACATAATCTCTTCATGTCTTAGTTTTCTCATCCATAAAGTGGTAATAAGTGTTGTACCATTCTGTACATAGGAATGGGCAAAGTTTAATGACTAAGATACAAAAAGCAATTGCAACAACAACAAAAAAATTGACAAATGGACTGTAATTAAACTAAAGAGCTTCAGCATACCAAAAGACATTAAGAACAAAGTAAACAGACAACCTACACAATCTGAGAAAATATTTGCAAACTATTTTTCTGATGAAAGTCTAATATCCAAAATAGATAAGGAACTTAGATTTACAAGCAGAAAACAAACATGAGAAATTGTGATATAAGTGTAGAAGAGGATAGGAGGAGGTTAATTCCTCATCTCCATATTAGGAAGCCTAGAGAAAATGTCTGTAATGGAAACAAATGAGGAAATAATAATATGAGCATGTTTTGTAGCAGTGAGGAGGTAAGTACCAGAAGACAGCTCAAGTGCTCAAAGCATTTCTTTTTGGAGAGTGAGACCCCAAGGTTGGGATGGTGGGATAGAGGACTGCAGTTTTTCATTATAAGCCTTGTGGAACTATTTGTCTCTTATGTACACATATTACTTTATAAAATTTAAATTTAGAAAAAAAAAAGAAAGCAAACAACTCCATTAAGAAGTAGGCAATGGATGTGAACAGACAGTTGTCAAAAGAAAACATACATGCAGCTGACAAGCATATGAAAATATGCCGAATGTCACTAATCATTAGAGAAATGCAAATCAAAACCACAATGAGATACCATGTCACACCAGTCAGAATGGTTATTAAAAAATAAAAATAATAACAGATTCTAGGGAGGTTGCAGAGAAAAGAGAATGCTTATACACTGCTGATGGGAGTGTAAAGTAGTTCAGCCATTGTGGAAAGCAGTGTGGCAATTCCTCAAAGAACTTAAAATAGAATTAACATTCAACCTAGCAAACCCATTACTGGGTGTACACCCACAAGAATATAAATTTTTCTACCGTAAAGACACATTAATGGATATGTTCATCGCAGCACTATTCATAATAGCAAAGGGATGCAGTCAACCTAAATGCCCATTAATGGTAGACTGAATAAAGGAAATATGGTTCATACACACCAAGGAATACTATACAGCAATAAAAAAAGTACATGCAGCAACGTCCTTTGCAGAAACAAGCATGGCGCTGGAGTGCATTATCTTTGACAGACTAACACAGGAACCAGTAAACCAAATACTGTATGTTCTCACTTACAAGTGGAAGCTAAATGATGAGAACACATGGACACATAGTGGGGAACAACAGACATGGGGCCTATTAGAGGGTGAAGGGTGGAAGGAGAGGAAGGATCATGATTAATACCTGGGTGATGAAATAATCTGTACAAAAACCCCATGACAAAATTTTACTCATATAACAAACCTGCACATGTACCTTTGAACTCAAAATACAAGATAAATTAAAAAAAAAAAAAAAAAAAGGGCCGGGCGCAGTGGCTCAAGCCTGTAATCCCAGCACTTTGGGAGGCCGAGGCAGGCCGATCACGAGGTCAGGAGATCCAGATCATCCTGGCTAACACGCTGAAACCCCGCCTCTACTAAAAATACAAAAAAATTAGCCGGGCTTGGTGGCCGGCGCCTGTAGTCCCAGCTACTCAGGAGGCTGAGGCAGGAGAATGGCGTGAACCCGGGAGGCGGAGCTTGCAGTGAGCTGAGATCGCGCCACTGGACTCCAGCCTGGGCTACAGAGCGAGACTCCGTCTCAAAACAAACAAACAAACAAAAAAGAAAGAAAGAAAGAAGGAAAGGAAGGAAGGAAGGAAGGAAGGAAGGAAGGAAGGAAGGAAGGAAGGAAGGAAGGAAGGAAAGAAAATCAATCACTCTATTTTCAGAACCATACCTAGTAGTAAATTTGTATGGTATTATGTTATTTTAAATAGAGTGAGACTTAAGTATCCTCCCTCCGGGGGCTTAGGGAGTGGCGAAAGAAAGAAATGTGGCAGCATTTTTGGCTATTACAGTAAATGTGATGCACTATGGGTATTTTATCCTTAGCCCAGGGTGCTAAAGATTCTGCAATGAACTGAGCAAATGTGCACAACTCATACTTTCAACCAAAAGACAATAAATCAATGTTATAGAATAGTAACTAAATAAAATATTGTAAATCTATAAAAAGATGAGGATTTGGGTGAGGCAAATGAGAATAAATTTAGGAAGGGGAAATGTCTGATATTTTCACTTTGCTTACAGAGGTAGCATTTATGAAAACTTATGATATCTTTATTTAGAAAGTAGGAATGACATATATATTATTTTTATTCCCAAATAGACCACTTTAATATATTCAGGTACACAATATATTCCTTAGCACAAATCTATTGCTGGAGTTCCTGAGTAAAACTTTTTAATGGGATGCTGTCATACATCTTTGATCACTTCTAGTTCTTTTTCAATGTTTACAGATGAAGCATTATCAGTAGGCCATTTCCTGAATCTTTTACTGCTCTTCTTGATGAGTTGACTCCACATTTCATATCAGAGAGCATCACTAAGATCCTCAGTGACACTGAATTTGGCCAGGCAGCTGCTAATAAGGATATTGTCTTAACTCCAGTAATCAGAATACCATACACACAAATCCTAAATTACCAGAGCTTTAGCAGAACCATTATGGCATTTTAGAAATTAAGTTTGGAAATGTCATATGTTTAGAAATCTATAACCTGATTTTATTATTTTAATGTCCATGTGAGGAGAAATTACTCCGCCTTTTTCTTTTTGTTTTTAAAGACTAAAACCCCAGAGACAGACAGAGCTGAATTATCTAGAAATGCCAGAGGCAAAACGTGTATTACATCCTGGATCAGTAATTAAAATTAAGGAGGAGGTCCATTGGGTTTAATCTCAGGGATAAATGGAGACCAGTGCTTAAGTTTCACTGAAATTCTACATCTCATATCTGATTCAAAAAGCTTATTCTGTGAAAATGAGACAACTTTGTTTTTAAAAGAGAAAAGTGATAAGTTAAATAGGCTAGCTCCAATTATGGAAATGAGACAATTAAATCTCATCTTACTAGGGCCCAATCATGTTGGTTATCTAAGACTAATTATAGTAATGAGGCTGTTAAAACATAATTAGAATTATCACAATATACTCTTTGATGATTTAATTGAATTATTATTATTTTATGATTTAATGAAATGCTCAGCAATGAACTATAAAATTACATTGCTCTATACTATAAAAAGAAATACCGTCAACTTGGTACCAAAACATCTGTGTGGAAGGAAATGGTTCAACCCAATCTGCTTGGAATGTTGCATATATTTCATTTAATCACCAAACTATGAAAACAAATTTTTCATATTCATATGCATGTATGATTAAGCATGGGGAATAGGAGGGGTTTTGTTCATTAGATTAAATTATAGATATAGAAAACATTTCAATGAATGAAGTTAGTTGTAAAGTCATAGCTTGCTAGTTATTTTCTCAAACATGTATTTAGATAATTACAAAGCTTAATATGCCTACAAATCCTGCCTTTTATTTATAGTGTTAAGATCATACTTATTTTGGATTTTCTGGATTACAGTTTTGATCAACCAAATGAACTCAACCAATGTCCTTTCTCAATCTCTTGCAAGAGATCCTAGTGACCACATGGTTTAATATAAATAGCTTTTTTTTTTTTTTTTTACTTTATATAGTTCAGCTTCTCAGAAACTTCACTGAAGTTGTTGATTGTTGTGCTTTGGTGGGCTTAATGACCATTGTCTACTATGTGTGCATATTAACTACATAAAAGCATGTTTCTCCTTGTTCCACAAGTTATGTTATCAGGTGATGTCAACAAGAGGTGGTGAATATTTTCTGGTGGTGGATATTCTGTTATGAAACTGTAAATTATTAAGTGGTTTCTAACGAGGGGAAGATTTGAGAAGTGGTAATTTTGTCTACAAGATAATGGTGTTTTTATTTTTGGATTTTGTTTTGTTTTGTTTTTTCAGGTAAAGCAGAGTAAGTAGGAAGTATTTCAAGGTTTTGAAAATCAGGATACTCAGAGTTGCCTAAAACCTCCTGAAGTATTCAAGACAGCATCGTGTTCTACTGATTATTGTTCCTCTTCTTTGACAACTAGCTTTCTTAAATAAAAATTTACATGCTTTTATCTTTATTTCCTCCAGCTGACTTCTTACAAGAGAACACTAGTCCCCTTAAAAAGCTACATTACTATAGGTTCCAGAAATGTATTCCACAATATTCATGTTGGATCTCCTCAAACACGCAGTCTGGAAAGCCTTGTGTGACTTGGTCCTTGCTTGTATGTCTGCTTTACTTCCTATAATTCCCCTTCTTACATTCTACAGTTTACAAATCCTACACAATTTATACCTCATAATTATCCTGGTCTTTCTCATTCATTCTTAACAAATCTTATAACCTATAAGTATAATGTCTTCTAATCCTTGCCCACGTGGCAAAATTCTGACTGATTGTTCAAGAAACTCCTCAATAACTGCCTTTTCTGTGAAGTTCCCTCTGAATTCCCTAGCATTACAAAGCAGTCTTTCTTCTGTGCTCTATGATAGATGCATTATTTAGTTTTCCAAATTTCATTTTTTCATTAGCTGTTCGTTTTCTTTCTTATAACATTCACTTTATTATATTTAAGTTCTTCAACATTAGGGTCAGGAAATAGATTATTATATTTTTATCCTTAGTCTGAGCAAATTATCTGCACTTCAGTACATACCAATAATATTTTCTTGAATAAAGAAATGGATATATAAGAGTAAAAACTTGCCAACATATTTCATCCAAAAAAAGAAGTATAGTTGTCTTTTGTAAGCACATAGCCTTAAGGTCAATCTTAATAATAAATTCATCTTTTTTATAGTTGCTTTATTACCATTACCATTATCATCATAACAACTCATCTCATCATATACTTGGGTATATTACTTTACATATACTCAATAAGGCAATATAAATTATTTCTGCCATTTTAAAATTTTGGGACATTATTAAAAAATTGTTCTATTTTTGAAATGCAAAGAGAAAATAAAAGGGAAAAAATAGTTGACAATATCCAAGAACTGTTGGACAATTTCAGTACATGCAATTGGAATACCATAACTAGAAAAAGGTCAGAATAGAATAAATATTGGAAATAGTAATGGTCAATAATTTTGCAAAATTAGTGACAGACACAAAACTATAGATCCAGGGAGCTCAGAGAACACCAAGCAAGATTTATATGCACACATTTGTATATATAAACTTTGTACTCAGGCATATCATATTCAAACTGTAGAAGACCAAAAACAATAAGGAAAACTTTAAAGCGGCCAGTGACTAGAAGAACAAGGATGAGAATTACATTGAACTCCTAATCAGAAACCTTGCAAGAAAGGAAAGACTAGGGCAAAATTTTGAAAGTATTTGCTTATTTATTATTCTATACCTAACAAAATTATCTATAAAAAGTAAACGATAAATAATTGCTCAGACAAACTAAAACTGAGGAATTCATCAACAGTGGATCTTCCTTGAAAAAAAAATATGAAAAGAAGTTTAAAACCTATATAAAGACAGAAAAAAAACTTTTCATACTAATGTAAATACATAGATGAACATTTTAATGAATGATGGAGAAGACACAAATTGTCAGTGTAGAAGAAGTACAAATAATTTCTGTGGATATTCCTCCCTATATGAGGTATAGCATAACTCCTGCTTCTTAAGTGTGGGCTGTGCTTACTGACTTCCATGTACAGTAGAGTATCACGGTTAGATACCACAACAATTAGTAACTTTTTTTTTTTTTTGAGACAGAGTCTTGCTTGGTCACCCAGGCTGGAGTGCAGTGGCACAATCTGGGCTCACTGAAACCTCCGCCTCACGGGTTCAAGCAATTTTCGTACCTCAGTCTCCACAGTAGCTGGGATTACAGGCATGTGCTACCAGGCCCAGCTAATTTTTTGTATTTTTAGTAGAGACAGGGTTTTGCTCTGTTGGCCAGACTGATCTCAAACTCCTGGCTTCAAGTGATCCACCCACCTTAGCCTCCCAAAGTGCTGGGATTACCGGCATGAGCCACCATGCCTTGCCAACCATCAGTCATTTTAAAAAATCTATTCATGCATAAGACTAGATTATGAGTTACGTATAGGAAGAGGCTATATTTATGGGTAACTTTAAAGTAGAGAAATCTGCAAAATATTACCTCAGCCAGGTGATCAAGGTCATCATCAATAGCCATAAATCATGTTAGTAGTATGTTATCTTGATACGGCATGATGGAAATGCCACTTTACCTTGTTATCCTCCTTCCTAAATTCCAGAAAACCAGTCTGGTAGTGAGAATAACATCCAAAAATTTCAATAAAGGGTGATCCTAAAAAATTCCTGAGCATTATTAATTGCCCAGACTGTCAAAGTCATGAAAAATAGGAAACATTGTTATGAAATGTCACAGTTTAAAGGAACACATAAGGAGACGTAAAAACTTAATGTAATATTGATTCCTGGAATGGAGTCCTGGAATGGAAAAAGGACATTAGGTAAAATACTAAGTATGTCTAAATAAGGTATGGGCTTTTGTTAACAATAATGTATTGGTATTGGTTAATTAATCATAAAAGATATACAGTGGTAATGGACAATGTTGATAATAGGGGAAACTAGGAGTGCGGTAGATGGAAACCATCTATACTACCATCACAATTTTTCTGCAAATATAAAACTATCCTAAAGATAAATTAGTCAAAATTAAAACCCAGTTTTTAATCATGCAATTATCTGTTTAAAAGATTTATTTAAAGTCAAGACTTAGAAGCTATCAAGTACTTGATAAAAATTAACACCAGTTATCACTAACCATGGTGTCATGTACTTCAGTCTGACTCCTATTATAAGGGTTCATTCAAATTTTGGCAGAGATGGTAAATGCCAGTTGATATCTGAAGCAACTTGAGGTCTGCAGATTATTACTGGCCTTTGATGAAATATTGCACTTCCCACTAGCCTAATAGCATGGTAAATGATCTCACTTCCACCCTAATGAAGAAGAATGCATTCATCGTTTTCGGTTTTAAAATCCATTCTCTATGAGCACTTAATTGACAATTAGTAGGCATTAATAAGGAAATTATGTTGTAAACTGGCAATTAGCACTAAACCATAATTTTATAGTGTCAAAAATCACAATATTTACTGCCCTTGTAATTTAAAATACTAAAACGTATACAAGCATTTTTGTGTCCTAACACCAAAACCCAATGTGGTGTTGATCTCATCACAAAAGAGAGATAGACATGTGGGAATGGGAGAAATACTGAGGACATACTGGAAATGAGAAGGTACTGTTATCTAAGTTTCACTCATAACTTCTCAGAGGCTTGGTGAACCATGTTCTTCATCTTAGAATAACTTTTATACAATATATCAGATCTTGAAAGCAGAACTGAATTTCTCATATTCTAAGAACACTTATGATTAGATAGACCAACAATCAGTAATTTTAAAGTTCCTTTTATGCATAAATCGTTTACCATGCTGGACTATAGGTTACATAAAGGAAGAGGTTATGTTTTGGTTCTCTTAGAATTTCTTAAAATGTCTAGGACTACCAAGTAATTAATTTTTTTAAATCATCATACTGCAAAAATTGCTTTTT
The DNA here is from genome assembly GCF_000001405.40 of Homo sapiens. Lineage (NCBI taxonomy): Eukaryota > Metazoa > Chordata > Mammalia > Primates > Hominidae > Homo > Homo sapiens. The sequence continues at coordinate 60,863,862 of NC_000012.12, read as the reverse complement.
AAATTTTCTGTCCCTTCATCCCTCATCTTATCCTGATGTTTTTAAGAGATCTTTCTACTTGAAGAATCTAATTATCTCAGTATCTAGGTCCTTCTGCCTATAAATACATTTTCTGAAAGATACATGATTTACCGACACACTCCTTAACTCATAACCTGCCTAGAATATCCATCACCCTACTCTTCCTGCCTGGGCTTGCTCCTATTTGAGTGCCATTTGACAACTACCTAAAAATGTGTGACTAAATATTCCATCATCCTTGCCTCAACCAATGTTTCTGGTTAAGTTGTTTCTCAAAGTTGGCTCAACTAAATACTGAGTTTATGAGGAGATACTATTGTGAAATGGACAAAACTCTATAGAGAAGAAATCTATTTTCCTCACCCATCACAAGGTTCACTGCTGACACCCTTATAGCAAACCACAGGTTAATGGAAGAAAGGCATATAACATTTATTTAGCCAAATTTTTACATGACCCAGGAGCTGTCAGAAATAAAGGTCCAATAACTCAGGGAAAACTATTTTAAGCTTATATTCAATGAAGACTGGAGAATTGTATAGAAATATGATTGGACAAAAGGAGTTATGATCTAATGGTAATAAACAGAGAAACTTAGCAAGGCCTGTCTATTCAAATTCTTCTTGGTATCTCTGTGCTTTCATTTCTTTCCTCTGGATATAGGGCAGGACATCTGTCACATGAGTGTCTTATGATGAACTTTCAGTGGAAGTAGGTCCGAGAATTCTCTATGGCCTGTCTTCACACAGACAGGTGGAAGAAAGTAACAGAATGATCTTTCTGCTTCTGTTGTTTCCTCAATTTCCTTCAGCTTAAAATACCAAATATGTAAAAATGCCATATTTTTGGGTATCATGTTCTGAGTCGTCTAATCTCTGGCTTCAAATTGCCTGCATTTAAATTCTAGTTCTACCTCTAGTGATATGACTAGAATAAGCTGCTTATGTATCTAACCCTCGGTTTTCTCATATGTACAATGGAGGTAATAATAGTTCCTATTTCATAGGATGATGTGATTTAATGGTATGATGCACGAAAAGCACTTAGAATAATTCCTGGAACACAGATCCTATGTTAGTTAAGAACATCATTCTCATTAAATGCCTCATTACTCTAAGAAGTGTGCCTAATTTGCATCCCAAAGTGGTAAATGTCTCTTCTCACCATACTTTTCTTCATACTACCTATAATGCTAAAGGTCTGTTTTTTGGATACTATTTCCCATGTTGCTTATTGCTGAACTAACATTATTCCAGATAATGGTATATGCCTTCATTTTTATTATTTGGTTAGCTTTTGGCTTCTGTCAGTGTTCTATAACACAATATTATCATGTACCAGAGTTGTGGCCTAACTCTGAAGAGAAATATTCTTACGGCATCTGATATGTTCTTTAATAATATCTTTCCTCATAGAAAACTTATGATCACGCATTTTGGCTAATGTTTCAGTTTTAGATGTTAACTCATTTGGGTACTCTAAAAGCGTCATGTTAAAAGCATATTTATTTTTTATTGCTTGCAGGTATGTATTCAGCTATTACTTTAGACTACCATCAGTCTAAAACCTACCTGTACTCATGGCATGTAGCACTGATTTGTTTTCAAATCCTGAGTGGGGGACATCAAAATATAACCCTTTCGGCTGGGCACAGTGGCACACACCTGTAATCCTAGCACTTTGGGATGCCGAGGCAGGTGGATCATGAGGTCAAGAGATCGAGACCATCCTGGCCAACATGGTGAAACCTTGTCTCTACTAAAAATACAAAAATTAGCTGGGAATGGTGGCATGCGCCTGTAATACCAGCTACTCTGGAGGCTGAGGCAGGAGAATTGCTTGAACCCGGGAGGCAGAGGTTGCAGTGAGCCAAGGTCGTGCCACTGGATTCCAGCCTGGCGACAGAGCGAGACGCCATCTCAAAAAAGAAAAAAAAAATATATAACCCTTTCCTTTGAAAATACTTTTATCAGGACATTGAATTATCCAACTGTATTAGTCCTCCAAAATGCACACAATTCAAAATTTGAGTCATCAGTAGTATAGTCATTATTTTTTTGTTTTCTATTCTTATATAGAGGGGTTTTGAATAGATTTTGAGCAATGACCACTATTTTCCTTATTATTATGCCTAAATTATACAATTCCATGAAGATAATATAATGGAAAGGAAGCTTAATGGCCAATTCAATCTTCCAATGAGGCATTAATAACCACTGAAACTTAAAGTCCAATTCTGCAATGAAAGTTTTCTAATATTCTTTTTTTATGTCATTTTGCTGATTTTAGGTAATTTTTAGAGCTTAAAGTGAAATATAGTGTGGAAATGAGAAAGATATAATTTATCCAACATTCAAAAAATAAAAACTAGGATATAAAATCTGTTTAGTATTTAATATGAGTTAGAAGAATAAAAGAAAATGGGGCATAATGAGTGGTAGTTTAAATATTCTCTTACTTTCCTCCGACTTGGTGCCAAAATAGTATCTTAAGGATAAACATAAGTTCTAAAGAAGTTTGTTATTTTACTAATTTCTTTATTGCATTTTTTCCAGCTGTGAAATTCCTCCAAGAAACAAAAACTCTCTTAGAAGGCTAATCAATATAAACCCTGAGTTCTAGAAATAATTCTAAAACCAATACTGCCGATGCATTTGTAACACGCAGGAAGCTAAGTTCATGGGTAGCAAAGACCAAATTGTAAATGAATATATTGCTGCTACAATGCATAATATTTTTGAATACTCAGAAAATTCTGAACAGCAACTTACTCATATCCTATTGGGACCTCAAAATATCTTATATCCAGCATCACATTAATCCCTATAATGAATAAGCTGGTGTAACGAGAAGAGAAAAAAATTAGTATTTCCTGGGAAATAAAGCTAAGTGTCAAGCTGCTTACCAAATAATATATTGTACTAGAAAAGTGGAAAAAGGCTCATGTTTTCATTGTTAATATTGTGCTTCTATGTATAAAACTACATTTCATTCCAGGATAGTTATTACTATGGCTTAGCAAATTTAAAATTATAACTTAAATGTAAATATTTTAGAATTTTGGAAATTGATTAGTCTTAGTGTGTTAGAATATTCTTTAGAATATTTAAAATACATATTTTATTGGTCTGAGTTGGATTACTTTTAAATTTCTCATTGGGAAAACAATCAATATCCATGTACATGTTATTAAATTTCTCTAACATGCATGTTAATTTTAATTAAAATATTTAATACATGATTCCAAAAATAGCTTAATGTTTTAAACATTATATTATGGCTGTGTTTCTGTAAATTAGCAAATAATATATATGCAGAATAATGTGATTAAATTTATATTACATAGCAATTCAATAGAAGATCAAAGAGAATAAGTTGTGCTTGTGATTGTAATCCTTTTTGGTAGCAGTTACTTTAACCTACATGTGAATTGTTTCTATTATTTAATTATTCCAAATTAATACCTAATATGTTAACTTTCAACAGTAATATGACAAGGATAATTATTAATTTCACAATAGTTATTCATATCATTAAAATTTTAGAGACTCTTCATTGGGATTTCCACTTTACAGTAATTTTCAAACTTAACTAAATAATGCAAGCAGGGATAAGTACACCATAGATACCATACCATAATTATTATTGTATTATATGTTATTATTATTTGTTAATTATTATAAACAATTTATTATTTGTTATTGTTATTTTGTTATTTATATATTAAGAAATTTACTGGGGAATTTTTAGCAGGGCCATTTGTTGGCTAACTTAAGTATTTTAATTATTTTGCTCTGAAAATACATTGGTATAATATTAAATACAGTAGCATGTGGATCAGTCCTTTTACGGTGGTTTAAGCGTCATTTTATGTAACAAAAGCTATGGACCAAATTGGAACCTTATTATACTGTGTTTTAACAAGATGGTAATTATCATTGTAATGTGTGTTTTTATTTTTCTTTTGGCACTTTTCAATGCCCTATTTGCTCTGCAAGCTGGTTTGGGAATAGCACAGAAAACTCTGGCTGTCCCATGGTTAGTGAAGAAAAAAGGAAAACGAAACCAGGGTTAAATAACTTCATTTATTTAGAACCTGTATCTTAATTCTTTTTTTTTTTTTTCTCTAAGTATGTCAGACCTGATACTTTATCATTTCATTTGTTACCCAGGTCATCAGTCATAATCTGAATGAGGCGATAGACTAAAAGAACATTAAATAAACAAATATATGCAAACTCATGGTTTCATCCAGTCAAACCTGGACTTTGAAATACAATTTTGGTTTTCAGATAAGGATTAATAAAGATTCATTGAGTTAAGGTTGTGAAACAGCTATTTGATTCTGGTGTAAAACTAATTTATATTGAAAATATAAGTTCACATACCTAGTTAATATTGGCAATGTGTATCAATCAAGAGGAAAATTACTTTTATCTTTACCCCAATTGTTCATGATCTTTTTTTTTATTATTTGGAATAGCATTTCCAAAATCTATGTAAGTAGTCTTATTTTATATTTCTCTAAGGCATAACTGTATTATAATTTTGTGGACTAGGCTAAATAAAGTTTTCTTAGCGTCCTTTTGTCCAGCTAAGTGCTTGTGACTTTAATGGCAACTATTACTTATTACCACTAATTTGCCATTTTTTAAAACTTTGCATTTGTGATACTTGATATGTTTTTCTGTGGCTTTTGATCTTAAAAACAAAAATTAAACAATCCATAAATAAACAGGAGGAAAAAGTATACATAGCTTATATAACCAAATTAAATGTAAATTGTTTATAGCCAGTGTCTGAAGTTTATAATTTCTTATGTATCATTAATGCTATTTATGCCAAAATCCAGAAATATGTATCTGTGTAAAAACTATTTTATTCTAGTTTTATTGTATGTACCCTGAAAATAAAATTGTGATATAAATGTGTCACCAGTTGAAAATGTATAGGTGAAGTTATTTTTTAATCATGTAATTAACTATATTGAGTTATATAAAATAAATTTTCATCATAAAGTTTGATATGTTTTGACAAACATATACTCCCAATGGCTACCATTCCGTTATCAAAAAGTAAAATATTTTCAGAATCCCCAAAATTTCCTTGGGCCACTTAGCAGCCAAGTGGCTTCAGGTCCATTCAGGCTGTTAATTTATCATTGGTTTGTTTCTTTTATTGCTGAGTAGTATTCTATTGCATAGCGGTACCATCACTTGTTAATTTATTCACCTATTGATGAACATTTAGATTGTTTCCAGTTTGGGATTATTATGAATAAAGCTGCTATGAGCAGTCATACAGGATAATTTCTTTCAGTATATGGTTAGTTTATCTTGACAAATACCAGGATGTGATATTGCTGCATTATACCACAATCATGTTGCGGTATGTACTTTGCGGTACCGTATTTTGCAAAACACTAGCAAACTATTTTCTGAGGTAATTGTACCATTTTACATTCACATCAGTGATATGAGTTTTAGTTGATCCATATCCTTTCCAATATTTAATATTGTCAGTCATTTAAATTTAGCTATTATAGTGCTTATGTATCTAGTTGTAGTTTTAATTTGCATTTCCCTAATGACAAATTATATTGAGCACAGCTTAATTTGCTTACTGGCTAGTTATATGTCTTCTCTTGTGAAGTACCTTTTCAAACATTTTGCACATTTGTGACTTGGTTTTTAAATTATGACTGAGTTATAGAAGGCTTTAATATACCCTAGATGCAAGTTCTTTCCCAGACATATGTATTTTGTGTATTTTATCTCATTTTCATATGTCTTTGAATCACAGAGGTATTTTATTTGATTGTTTATCATTTTTTTCCTAAAATTTGCTTGTAATTATATCATTTAAAAAGGCTTTTTCAACTCCAAGACTATGCGGATTTTTTTCTGTCTTATTTTTCCACATACTTTATAGATAGGTCTAAGAAAAATGTTAAGATTGTGTGTGTGTAGTAAGAGTTAAGGTCCATTATTTTTTCTTATAAATAGCTAATTGTTCCACCACTATTTGATGAAAATACTATTCTTTCCCCCATTGGAAAACGTTGGTGTATTTGTAAAAAAGTAAATAAACATATTTATGTGGGTCAGTTTCTCAACTCTCTATTCTGTTCCACTGATCTGTAAGCTATATCTTTATTCCAACATACTGTCTCGATTATGGTAGCATTATAGTATGCTTGGAAATCTGGCAAATATCCTCTAATTTTCTTCCTCTGTTTCAAAATAATATCAGTCATTCTATGTTCTTTGTAATTTCACGTAAATATTAGAATCAGTTGGTTAATTTCAGCAAAAAAATAAAACTCCTAGTATTTTCATTATGATTACATTGAGTTTATAGATCAATTTGAGTGGAACTACAAACCACTGCTCAATGAAATAAAAGAGGATACAAATGGAAGAACATTCCATGCTCATGGGTAGGAAGAATCAATATTGTGAAAATGGCCATACTGCCCAAGGTAATTTATAGATTCAATGCCATCCCCAACAAGCTACCAATGACTTTCTTCACAGAATTGGAAAAAACTACTTTAAAGTTCATATGGAACCAAAACAGAGCCTGCATTGCCAAGTCAATCCTAAGCCAAAAGAACAAAGCTGGGGGCATCATGCTACCTGATGTCAAACTATACTACAAGGCTACAGTAACTAAAACAGCATGGTACTGGTACCAAAACAGAGATATAGACCAATGGAACAGAACAGAGCCCTCAGAAATAATGCCGCATATCTACAACCATCTGATCTTTGACAAACCTGACAAAAACAAGAAATGGGAAAACGATTCCCTGTTTAATAAATGGTGCTGGGAAAACTGGCTAGCCATATGTAGAAAGCTGAAATTGGATCCCTTCCTTACACCTTATACAAAAATTAATTCAAGACGGATTAAAGACTTAAATGTTAGATCTAAAACCATAAAAACTGTAGAAGAAAACCTAGGCAATACCATTCAGGACATAGGCATGGGCAAGGACTTCATGTCTAAAACACCAAAAGCAATGGCAACAGAAGTCTGACAAATGGGATCTAATTAAACTAAGGAGCTTCTGCACAGCAAAAGAAACTACCATCAGAGTGAACAGGCAACCTACAGAATGAGAGAAAATTTTTGCAATCTACTCATCTGACAAAGGGCTAATATCCAGAATCTACAATGAACTCAAACAAGTTTACAAGAAAAAAACAAACAACCCCATTAAAAAGTGGGCAAAGGATATGAACAGACACTTCTCAAAACAAGACATTTATGTAGCCAACAGACACATGAAAAAATGCTCATCATCACTGGCCATCAGAGAAATGCAAATCAAAACCACAATGAGATACCATCTCACACCAGTTAGAATGGCAATCATTAAAAAGTCAGGAAACAACTGATGCTGGAGAGGATGTGGAGAAACAGGAACACTTTTACACTGTTGGTGGGACTGCAAACTAGTTCAACCATTGTGGAAGTCAGTGTGGCGATTCCTCAGGGATCTAGAACTAGAAATACCATTTGACCCAGCCATCCCATTACTGGGTATATACCCAAAGGACTGTAAATCATGCTGCTGTAAAGACACATACACACGTATGTTTATAGTGGCACTATTCACAATAGCAAAGACTTGGAACCAAGCCAAATGTCCATCAATGATAGACTGGATTAAGAAAATGTGGCACGTATACACCATGGAATACTATGCAGCCATAAAAAATGCTGAGTTCATGTCCTTTGTAGGGACATGGATGAAGCTGGAAACCATCATTCTCAGCAAACTGTCGCAAGGACAAAAAACCAAACACCGCATATTCTCACTCATAGGTGGGAATTGAACAATGAGAACACATGGACACAGGAAGGGGAACATCACACACCAGGGCCTGTTGTGGGGTGGGGGGGAGGGGGGAGGGATAGCATTAGGAGATATACCTAATATTAAATGACGAGTTAATGGGTGCAGCACATCAACATGGCACACGTATACATATGTAACTAACCTGCACATTGTGCACATGTACCCTAAAAGTTAAAGTATTAAAAAAATTAAAAAATAAATAAATAAATAAATAAATGTTCAATTTATGAACATAGAACATTTGTTCATATATATAGGTCTTCTTTATTCTGTCAGCAATGTTATAATTTTCAGTGTACATATCTCATACATATTTTTTCAAATGTCTTCCTAAGAATTTTTCCTACATTTCCAATGCTATCAAATTTGATTTTTTCTTACATTATTTTCTCATTATTTGTTGTTTTTTTATGAACATACAGTTAAATTCAGTCATTAACTCTAGGAGTTCTTTTTTAGTTTTCCTGGAATATTCTATGTATATAAATTATGAATAGGTACGGTTCCACTTTTTTCCTCCCAATTTGTTTATCTTATTTCCTTTTCTTGATTCATTGCCCTTTTTATGGACTCTAATACAGTGTTGATGATAATTAGTCAGAATAAATGTCTTGTTTCCAATCTTAGAAAGAAAGCATTTTGTCTTTCACCATTAAGTGTGATTTTCAGTGTACATTATTTTGTATATGCTCTTTGTTAGATTAAGGTAGTTTCTCAAGATAGATGGTAAATCCTATGATTTCTTTCATCTCTATTCCATTAATATAAGCAATTACACTGATTAATTTTGAATATGAAACAACCTTACATTCTCTCTGACTTGGATGATCAAAACTCAGAGGTCTCCTAGGACTTTGTGAGCTCTGGAAATTGTTCATCTTTTAACTCCATGCTACCTGCTCTTTTCCTAGTCTGCTGAAGCCTCAACAGAGCCACATTTGGTTCAGCATCTAATCAAAGACTCGAGGTGTCCCCTACGGAGAGCTCTATCTTATTGTTGCTTCATCCTCTCCTATACTCTACCTGTAAATTCCAGCTTCCTTAGGCCCTCCACGCTCTGATCTCTGGCTCTTCTATTCAGTGAGAGCACCGCACTCAGCGTGGGTTCCCTTTCTTGGAAAGAAAGAAAACCAAATTTGTTTTCTTTTTCTCAGAGATAACAATCCTGTGCCTCCTGTTGATCAATGCTGAAAAGTTTATTTATTTTGTTTATTTTTGAAAAATTAGGATATAATGGGAGGAAAAATCTAGGACTGTTTACTTCATCATGTCCAGGAGTCTAATTTTCATGGTAATACTTAAGGAAGCTATAACACTTAAATAAAAATAATGCATTTCTTTTGGGATACTTTTTCCTCATCCTGTGGAGAAAAGTCCAAACTAACAAATGAATTATTGTTGGAATTTCTTTCTTTTTAACAGTCCAGAAGTTTTTAATATATTTACATAGTTGTGCAACTGTCACCACTATCTAATCTTAGAACATTTTTGTCACCCTCATAAGCCACCCCATATCCATGAGCAGTCACTCTCAATTCCCCTTGAGCCCCCAACCCCTGTCAAATACTAATCTACTTTCTCTATATATGTATTTTCCCATTCTGGACATTTCACATAAATGCAATCATACAGTGTGATATTTTGTGCCTGGTGTCTTTCACGTAGCATGTTTTCAAGGTTCATCATATTATAGCCCATGTCAGTACTTCAGTTCTTTTTAGAGATGAATAATATTCGATTGTCTAGTTACAGACATGCTACATTTTGTTAATTACCATCAGTTGATGAATATTTTGACTAGAATTCAGGCACCATACTTTCATTTTTAACCTTTCATTTTGAATTACTTTCACACTGTTGGAAAATTAGTGCAATTATTTCTTATACACCCTTCTCCCAGATTTCCCAATTATTAACATCTTATATAATCACAGTACAATGATCAAACATTGATACAATACTGTTATCTCATCTAAAGACCTTATTCAAATTTCTCCCTTTGTTGTACTAACATTCTTTTTCTAGCACAGGATCCAACCCAGGATCACATAAGGGGGTAGGGATAACATTAGGAGATATACCTAATGTAAATAACGAGTTAATGGGTACGGCACACCAACATGGCACAAGTATACGTATGTAATAAACCTGCACGTTGTGCACATAAACCCTAGAACTTAAAGTATAATAATAATTAAAAAAAAAGACTATGGAATTTCTATTCTGACCCATCAAGTTGTATTCTGAATAGTGTAGGGAAGAAAATTTACATATGTGAAGTTGGTTTCCAAAATCTTAGATTTTTATTTGGAGAGTGTTCAAACTTTGGTTTTGGCTAAAGCAAGACCAAAATGCGTCATATCAAATGACTACATATCCTCCCCAAACGCTCATAATTACACTTTAACTATAATTTATGGAGTATTAATTGTGTATTTCTTTCACAATCTAAATATTTATGTCAAGATGTCATTAATGTAATACATGTTGAATCTGTCTCTTTTTTTAAGAGTTGCAGACATATCTTGGATTGTGTTTAGTAGTGAGAGATCAAAGTCAGGTTTGCTTTTCACAAAACTAGGCATGTCTATTTTTTGGTAGAAATAACTATAATTTTATTAGTATAAAATAAATTTCTATATATTTACTTTTCCTTTATGGGGAAATTAGACTTAATTTTACCATTTTAATAAACAATAGGATAAAATGAAACTAAATTATTCAAGCAATATCATTTTCAAAATAACGTCACCTAAAAATTAATATATTTTAGTAGAATTGGCCATGATTTAGTGAATAAAGCATTCATCTTTTAATGGAATTGGTAAATATACCAATTATTTGTGATTGCCATTCAGGAAGACTCAATCAGAACTAACATAAAAGCTTCCCTATCTAAATGTGTCCATTTCTAATCTTTAAGAAAAAAGAAAATAAATATTTCATGTTTTTATACAGGAATATAATTTTCTTTTGGGAGACAAAATTAATTTTATTTTAGATAAAATGTCATATAAGTTTATAAGTTAATATGCATAATTATGTTCATTTTGGCATGATTTGGACCTATGAAAAATTATAGACCACCTGAATACTTTGTAGTAGGGAATCATTAAATAAAAGATGGTCACTATATACCAATATACCAGTAAAAATAGATACATATCTGTTAACAAAATTTCAAAAATATTATTAAATGAAAAATAGGGTTTCATAAAGATATTTGTAGCATAATATAATTATATAATTTGTCAGAAATCACAGAAGCATGATATATATTTCATATGAACACATATCCAAGTATTTGTGTGTGTGTGTGTATATAGATATATATATAGATAGATAGATAGATAGATAGATATTCACATGCATACACATATATAGACCTAAGATGCTTATTCACCAAATTCATGATCATGGTTGCTTCTTAGGTAGAATAGAGGTATGTGAATGAAAATAAAAGTAACCACATAGTTATCAGTTACATTTCACTTTTCAAAAAAATTAAAATAAGTTATTAAACATGTATCTTACATTATGATAGTGAATATAAAAATGTTTACTATATAATTCTCTACTTTTCTGATTATGCAAATTGCTTCCATAACAACTAAATATATTTCAATATGCAGATAGTCGTTCAGTAAGTTAACATACTTTTTCAAAAGTGCTTCAAATTAAAATTCGAGATTGTCATTTCACTTTATTAAATATCTTTTAACACATTAATACTGTTGATAATTATTGTCACTATTAAATCTATTAGACTAGTATAAGACAAATTTTTATGATAACGTATGTGAAATTCAATATAATTCATACCAAAGACAGTTAAATTATACTGTTTATTAGTTGAGCTTCTATAATAAATTTTTTGATAGAAAAATACTCTGTGAGCGTACCAGAAGATGTGTAATTTTAGAAAGATTTTAAATTAAAACAGGGAAAAACATGCCATATAAGTTAAAATGTAGTCTCCAAAAGAGATACTTATAATACCTACAAAAATTACCAATAATATCAGCTTAACCTCAAAGAGTTATTTCTTTGTGCCATATTTTAATTATCTATCTATCTATCAATCATTTTATTCTCAAAATAATGTCATGAGTTATTCCCAATTGACAGCCAGGTGAGCAAACTGAGGCCCAAAGGGTTTAAGTAATTTGCTGAAAGCTACAAGCTAGTAAGTAGTGAAAGCAGTTTAAATTAAGTCTATTTAACTTAACCACGCCATGTTTTCAAACACCACACCCTACAGACTGTCAAAATATGTCCAAGCAAAAGCAAACAAAAGAACAACAAAAAACATGTACTTACTACGTGCCCAGCTTAAAGAGAGAAACTATCTGTTCATTTCAAGCCTTCCATATGTCCTCCTCCAATCACATTTCTCTCCTAAACTTCAAAAGAAAATACCTTCGTTACTTTGTGGAACTCATTCCCTTAGTTTGATTTATGGTATTAATCTCATTTGTATCATCTCATAATAGCATGTAAGACAACAACATATATGGCTTAGTTTTATTTGAAATTTTGAATTAATTAAATCATTTCTCATGTATTCCTCTGTGATTTGTTTATTTAGGTTTCAATTTTATGTTCATTGGTGATAATGATGAATCTACAATTCATTTTTACTACACAAATATTTATTTTTGCTTTAAACAGTGTTGATGTTAAAAACATTTTTGTACACATCTTCTGTTCACAACTACAATAGTTTCTGTAATGTATTTACCTAGGTATGAAATTGCTGGTCACAGGATATGGATTATTTCAACTTTTAATGAAAATACTGAACTAGTTTCTGTGGTTGTAGAATTATTTTCACTCACAATACTATTTTTACCCTACAACTGGTATTCATCAAAATCATGAATGTAAGTAAATTCATTTGTGTGTCTCATCTACGGGCCTATTATGTGCTCCTACTTTTCTTGATTCTAGATTCTTCTGTTTAGTTAAATCATACTTTATCATGGTCCTTATGATGTGTGCTTAATTTGCATTCAGATGTATCCTTTAATTACCCGTCTTTCCTGGCTGCCTGTTAACCTGTAATATTCATTCTTTATTTAACTTAATGCATGTATTGAGTAAGTAATTTCCTATATAGAATGAGTTCAGGGACACAAGAAACAGCCTGGCGTTCCTTGGATTCCTCTTATGGCTGAAGCCTAAAATTATACAATTATATAATCATAGTTAATATTTATACCTGAAAGCTTTAATATTATAACAAAAACACCAGGGATGTTGAATAATATATATATAATTAGCTTTAAGAGGACACAGCTGAATATGCATGTCTGGGGAGATGTAAGCAGTAGAAAGTTTGTGCCCATGGAATAGAAATTTACAGCAGTTTAAGGATAAACTTGAGAGCACAATATGGGCTTTATTTTTACGCTTAATATATATGCTGAGATTGAGGGTGCTAGTGATCAATATTTGCCCCTGTATTCTACTATATAACTTGTTTTATTACTAAAATTACTATATTTTTCTGTCTTCTCTCAACTGTTTCTCCAGAAAAAAACAACTGGATACATAATCTCTCAAAATGGCAAAAAATACTGAAAAATATTCTCTGCATTTAATTTTCATAAATTTAACTATTTGATTGAAATATATTTTACCTTAAAATACTTTTGTATTAGAGTTCTCCAGGTAGACAGAACCAATAGGCTATGCATACACATTGTATAGATAGATAGATAGATGATAGTTAGACAGACAGACAGACAGACAGACAGATAGATAGATAGATAGATATAATGGGGCTTTATAAAGGGAATTGGATTATGCAATTATGGAGGCTGAGAAGTCTGACCAAAAGCCATCCAAAAGCTGAAATACCAGTGAAACTTGTAACGTTGCTCAGTCCAACTCTTAAAGTATCAGAATCAGTGAAGCTAATGATGTAACTCGCAGGCTGAGGCCAAAGGCAGGAGAACCTTGGGGAAGAGCTGGTGCAAATTCCAGAGTCCAAAGGCCAGAGAACTTGGAGTTCTGTTGTACAAGATGTAGGAGAAGAAAGGTGTCCCCACTCTGGAAAAGAGAGACAGAGAGTCAATTTACCTTTCCTCTCCCTTTGTGTTCTATCCAGGCCCTCAGCCAACTAGATGGGGTGTGTCCACATTGGGTGAGGACAGATCTTAGTTCACTGATTCGAATGCCAGTCTCTTCCAGAAACACCCTAATAGACATATCCAGAAATAATGCTTTACCAGCTGTTTGAGTATCTCTTAACCCAGTCAAGTTGACACTTGAAAACAATGATCACAAATTTCAACCAAAATAATTTAAACATGAATAGTTTAGGAGCAGAAACTGACAAGGAAAGACATTCTTTTAGGGAGAAAGAGATCTTACATATTTTCTCAAATAATGTGAAGACATTTTAAAAATTGTGTATGCTCACAAAATAAACATAATTATATTTGAATATATTTTATAAATTATCACCATTTGGTTTCTTTTGATAATGCAGTGGTTATTCTTATCATTGTTTCCGGTAACAAATGCAGTATGTCCTTTTTTACACGTTGCCTTTAAGATTTTCTTCATATCATTGAGCATCAGCAATTTGATTGTAATGTGCTTTGGAGCTGTTTTATCTCTTTATTCTGCTTGGGGTTCATTGAACAGCTTGGATATTTTGGCCTATAGTTTTCATAAAAATGTGTAACAATTAATCCTTCCTATTTTTATGCTCCAATTTCCCTATTTTCATATGCTGACACTTCAATTACATGCACATTAGACTGCTTGATGTTGTGCCATGGACCATGTTGTTTATTTTTTCAACCCTTTTTCTCTTTATGTTCAATTTGTATAATTCCTATTGCCCTCTCTTCAAGTTTATTTATCTTTTTATTTGAAGTCTCTAGTCTGCTATTAGGTAGATTCAGTGAATTTGTCATTTTTAGGAGATTATATTTTTCATCTCTAGAATCCCCTGCTGATTCTCTATTATATCTTCTATTTCTCTATTTATATCCCTGTGAGTTTCCTCATTATGTTCAATTTTTCCTTCCAATATATTCCTTTGAATATATTGTTAGTGCCTGTTTTAAAGTCCTTTGATAATTCTAAAATCTCTGACATTTCTAGTTTGTTTCTATTTATTGATTTTTGTCCTGATTATGGATCACATTTTTTTCTTCTTCCATTGTCTATTAATTTTTAAAGACATTATGGATGCTATGGTTTTTATATTTCAAGATTTTGCTTCCTTGCTCAATTAGAATATTAAATTAATTCACTTTCAGATTAGCTTGATCCCGTAAGCTTTGTTTTTTAGCTTTGTTAGAATGAGTTTGAAGTAGTCTTATCTCTAGATCTAGATTAACTCTATTTCTAAAGTATTCCCTGTCTGGGGTATATATACAATACTTGGAATGCTCAAGAAATCTCTCCATGGTCATTATTTAAAACTCAAGTGTCTCACAACCCCAGGTTGTTCAGCTCAAAGTTTCCCAATAATTGCTCTTTTTATGGTAGATGTTGTTTTTATTTTAAATTGTTCTTTGGTCCCTTGGAGCCTTGCTCAATGAATGAGCGGCTTTGTGTATGTGAAACATTCAAGAGATTGCCTATGATATTTCTGGATCTTGTTTTCGAGGTATCTCTTCTCTCTATGGTGCTCTGTTCCACAAATCCCAGAGATCAAATAGCTCCAAACTCTAATACCTCTCTTTCATAATAAAACTACCATGCTCTGAGTTTGCCTTCCTTGTGGGAAGGCGGGACCCCTCCAAGTCTGGAGGGGACCTTGACAGAAAGCTGGAGCAACTGTGACTCATTGTCAAAATCTGTGATGAGTCTGAGATTTACCCTACTTACAAGTTAGCTAGTTAACCTGCCATAGTCTCATGGTTGCTGGTAGAAGACACTATACAGGGTCAGAGACCAAAAGACTTTATATTACTCATGGTACTGCAGCATAATAAACTTTATGTGAGTTTCCCTTGTCCCTGAAGTCCCACAGAAAGGCCAATGTGAATGCTACACATGCAGTGAGTTTGTGTTACAGCTAAAGAATCCAGAGCCTAGTGAATTCCCATCTTTTTTTTTTTTTTGAGACCGAGTCTTGCTCTGTTGCCAGACTGGAGTGCAGTGGCAAGATCTTGCCTCACTGAAATCTCTGACTCCCTGGTTCAAGCAATTCTCCTGCCTCAGCCTCCCAAGTAGCTGGGATTACAGGTGCGTGCCACCATGCCCAGCTCATTTTTGTGTTTTTAGTAGAGATGGGCTTTCACCATGTTGGCCAGGATGGTCTTGATCTCCTGACCTCGTGATCTGCCCACCTCGGCCTCCCAAGGTGCTGGGATTACAGGGAATTCCGATATTTTATACTGGGTTTGCAAGCAAACCTGCCCAACCTTTTCCCAGGAGGAAGGGACTCTCTCTTCCAAGCGTGTTTGTTATATAAGTGTACTTGAAAAGAAGGATTGGGTAAAACAATGTCAGTATTTCTGCTGACATGTACAGAAATGTGAAACACCTGTGGAGGACTGACTCTCAACATTTGCCTCATTTGTTTCCCTTCTATCATGGCTCACCATCCTGTGCAGCCTATCATTCAAAATGTGAAAACAGTTACTTCATAACTTATAATTGACCCACTTTTACAGTTGTTTGAACAGGGAAAATTAGTCAGATGACAGTGACATCAAAGAAGATATTCCAGTTGATATATCTTTGAGGTTATCAATTTAAAATAAAATGCAGCTCAGATAATTAGAAATCGTTTGAAAAATATGACAAGTTGCAAGATGTTTCCAGGTATAGCAAGTATTTCTTGCATGAGTTAAAGAATTTTAAATCTATTTTTAAAATTTATTCTTTTATATATACATATATATGTATGCATATGAATGTATGCATGCATATATTTATACACACATTATACTTTATTAGACATTTGTTAATTATGCTTTATGTATACCTTAGACCTTTAAAATAGAAAATATGTTATAGACTCACTAAAATTATTTTTCCAAATCTTTTTTCTTCTGCAAAATATAGTTTACACCTAGAATGTCCTCCCTTACTTTTTAACCCAGATCACACCTTTTTGTCTTTTAAGACCAAACTTAAAGGACAAATGTGACTTTGTTTATAGAACACATAGTTTTCAGTTCCTATTCTAAGCCAGACTACAAGGATTTTAGGTAAATCTTCTGGATACAAATATTTGAGAATCACTTTCTTTATGATGCGGACTCTCTCTCTGATGTTTGTGAACAATTTTGCAATTTTATTTTTTGGTAATTTTTTCAAATGCACTAACTCTAGAGGCAATATGGAGAATGATATGGAGAGAAAATTATAGGCAGAGAGATAAATTTGAAGGTAAGAGTTGATAGGGAACTGCAGCAATGAGAATTTGATCAGTAGTAGTGGGAATGTAGTTGGCAGTGAGTTGACAACATGAATGGACATTTAAGAAAAGAGAATCAGCTGGACTTTAGGATTGCTTAGCTGTGGGCAATAATAAGAGGAAGTGTTATAGGATTGCTATTTATGAGATTTTATTTAGTTCTCCAGGTAGAAGATTATCCAACACTTTCCCAATATCTTTTACAAAACAATTTTTTAATTTTTTTTTTGAGATGGAGTCTCGCTCTTTTCCCCCAGGCTGGAGTGCAATGGCGCAATTTCGGCTCACTGCCACCTCCGCCTCCCGGGTTCAAGTAACTCTCATGCCTCAGCCTCCCGAGTAGCTAGGATTACAGGTCTCTGCCACCATGCCCGGCTAATTTTTGTATTTTTAGTAGAGAGGGGATTTCACCATGTTGGCTAAGCTAGTCTCAAACTCCTGGCCTCAGATGATCCACCCACCTCAGCTTCCCAAAGTTCTGGAATTACAGGCATGAGCCTCCGCACCCTGCTACAGAACAGTATTTTAATATAATGTATTTTATATTTCCCTTTTTCAATAAAATTTTAGGATGGTGGTAATCCTAGGTACATGCTGATGCAATCTCCAAACGTTGCTGAATGGAATTAAGTAAGCCAGACACAATTTAGTAACACATTAACTCCTTTTTTTTCCCCACTGGGTAATCATGCCAGGTGAAGAAATTTGATATGGACAGGCACCACTGAGTTACTCACAGATATAATGGAACTACGAGCTGTCACATCAAGCCCTCACTTATAACTTTCTAAAACCCAGGTCTATATCCTTTCTTTTTTTCCGTTTGTCTCTCAATGTTCACTTCTCAGCAGTGTCCCCTATTAATATCCACAGAATAATAGACTCAATTAAGTTGCATTAATTCTGCTCTCAACAAATCACGCAACTTATATGCATTCCTTGCACTAGCAGTAGAGACTCTGAATTAATGCTGACCATTGGAAATTTCTACAAACCTTATTTAGTGCATTTGAAATCATGAAAGGCAGGCTGTCAAGCAAACACATAATGCTGGATTGCTGAACATAGCTCCCAGCATATTATTTTCCTACCCATTATATCACTTCTACTCTCCTTAAATTTCCATACTCTTTTGATCTTAAAAAAATTTTGAAAAGCAAAAAAAAAAAAGTTTCTAATTATTGCCCACGCTTCGTTTCAGTGATCAGTTTTGCTTTAAACTTGTATAGAAGGTAAAGACTAAAACAAATACGTTTGTTATTTTCAAACTATTTTAAACCAAAACTACCTATTTGAATCAAGTTAAATATGAAAGTCCGAAATGCAAAATATGAACTAAGTAAAATAGAACAATATTTGGCATGGTATGAAAAATGATATTCTTAATTGTTACTCAGCTCATGCCAACTATGCAAGTTTCATTGTAAAGTAGAATATTCAGGCAGTTGTAGGAAAAGTATTTCCTAAATACACAGAAAAAAGGCTAGAGTACATGTCTCCTGTTGTTTACCTCTAGAATGTGTGTTTTTAAAAAGGCAGCACAAAATCAATACTTGGACAGAGAGGCTTTTCCAAAACCTACAATCAGCAGATGCTTTTGTCACAGGGTCCCAACTTCACTTTTCTAGCAGTCAGATATTCTCTGTGCTTGCTTCTAGTAAAAGTAAGAAATAACTGTAGGATATATTACTAGTAAATAATTACAAAGGTAACGGTATTAGAAATTGCATTATAATTTAAAGTAAACAAAATTGCATGCACACATTATATCTTGCCTTAGGACTAAAACCCTCATTTCCTTAACATTATTATAGCATTAAGAAAGAAAAAAAATGGGTAACTAATAAATTTTAAAACCTCAAAGAAACAAACCACAAAAGCAATACTAAATTTAAGAAAGCTTGAAAGTGTCAACAGTTGTATGACACAAATGGCTCACTTTACTTTTCTAAACTACACTTTTCAATGCTTCAAAGAAGAATTTATTCATATGATCTCTTAGTTTTCTCCCAAAGCTCTAGAATGCTTTGACACTGTATGACTAGATCATTTTCAGCCAGCATATTAATTCAGATTAAGAAACAATTTTAGCTACAACTTTATTTTAACTTCACTTAATAAAATTTTGACAATCTTTTTGAGTTGTTCTAATTGGCACACTTACTCTGAGTTGAAGTACTTTAAGGAAAGTTTGACAGAAAGGACTGAAACAATTAATCAATTTAATTTGGCATATGTTCTTATGTTTGAGCTACAATCTTCTGTTTCTAACAAGAACTCCTTAACTGTCATCTACTTTCTTCTATTGCCACTTTCCTTCATTTTCTAATAATAGAAACTATGCCATGTAACCATATCCATTATTAAAAAAAATTAACTTGGCTTTCAAAATATATTGCTTTGATTCAAACATAAAGCTTGCTTTATATTGTTTGCATATATTGTTTGCATATATTGTTTTGTTTTATGATGAAGTGTTAAATTTAAGGGTTCCCTGGAGAAATGTAAATAAATATTGTTAACGAAGTGATAATTATTATGAATGCATAACATTATCCTTCCTTTTATGTTTACATAGATAACAAAAGTATTTCAAGCAGTTATCATTTTTAACTTGAATAAGCATGTAGTTATAGAAGTCAAGGAATGAAAAGAAAGTCCTATATACCTAAAGCAAGCTATTCAAAAATATACATGAATCACAAAAATATACAAAGTAATTTTATTATTTTCTTTATTAATGACTAGATCGGCTTCTACCTTGGTTTATGTAAAATTCTCTAGAAAAAATTATAATATGGCATAACTTATTCTCAAATAAGAAACATTATTTTGAACATATCAATAATTTTGTATCTTTCCAAATATATTACTGTTAGATAACAGCACAAGCATTATTTAAAAAAACAGAAACAGGTGGCTAATTTTAGAAAATAAGTTACATGTAGAGAATATAACAAAATTAGGGGGTAGAATGCATGGAGCACAGGAAAAAAGGAAACTTCTCAGAAAGAAAGGAAACTCTCACCAAAAAAGTCATTGTAAATAGTAAAGACAAGTGGGATTCAGAGTCTGTATGTTCTAGATGTCCAGACTGTTCATGGTAAAGTTATCCATATGACAGTATGGATAGTACAGTGACTCTATTGAAAAGCTAATCATTTTAGAAATAGTTTATAAGATGTAGCTCTGGACCCACAATGTATATTTACAACCTAATAGGAAGCTAAAACTTTTTACATACAACATAGCAATGACTCTTTTCCCTATCTGTCATTAAAAAGCAAACAAAAAATTCAAACCACCAAATAAATTTATAATAATGTTGAATAAAGGTGCTAACTTCTTAATGATTGTCATAGGACTAGTTTTAGAAAATAGAAGATAGGGAACAAAAGAGAAATAGACATGCACATAGAGTATTTGGATTTTCATGGACAAAATAGAATAACCTGTAATGGTCAACTGCAGAGACACTATTTGTATTGCTGGTTATTAAATGCTGTAAACATTGGTTATTAATTGATAAATGGTACTAATATATGCAAATACATATATATGCAAATACACATGTGTCTACATGTGTATTAGTTTAGACTAGGTAATACCACAGTAACGAATTATCTCCCAAATCCCAGTGGCTTAATCCAACAAAGACTATATCTTACTCACATAACATGTTCATCATGGGTCAATGTGGTCTCTGCTATACACAGTGACTCAAATATCTTGGATAGGAAAGCTCTGTTACCTTGAAATTGCACCATCAGAGGTATATGACTTCTGTGGCTGCTGGAGGCTCTTGTATTAGCCAGTTAAACACTTTGCCTTAGAAAGACACACATTTGCATGCACACATTATATCTTTATTTTTTACACAGATTTCATTGGCTGGAACCAGTCATTTGGTCCTGAATAACTAAAAACAAACAAGAATAATCCTCTCATGTGGCCAGGAGAGACTAATGGATATAGATGGATGTATATTATAGTCTCTACCATGATGCTCACACTGACATTAGTTAACAATGGGGTAAAATAATGTTCAATTCCAACAGCTGTTCTTAGGCTGGTAAATCATGTAGCTAGAAATTCAATTTGTTTTGGATTATAGTTTTTAAGGCAGTGACTTTTAAAATGCAATCAGAAACATATGGAACATATTATTTTTTAAACACATGAGTTTCATCTGCTCTAAGTATAAACCTCAGTATTTTGAGAAACACTGACTCCATCAGGCGTTTGCATGTGGAAACTTTGTAATGCAAGTGTTTCTACAAATGACTAGTGCTTTCTGCTTACATAAAGTTACTCTTATTCTAATAATTTCTAGTATCGCTTTGAATGGAAATAATTTATGATGCTTGGTTGAAACAAAATAAAATTTTCCCATGGTGAATATTTAAGTTAGACATAATATATTAGAAACAACTACTTCAAAAACAAAAAGTGACTTTAATTAAACCAGGCACTTTTGGCAATGGCTCTCAGAACTTAGAAAAAAACTGACTCAGAACATCCAAGAAAATGCTTTTAAGCAAATTAGAGAGTCAGACTTTTAAAATATATCAGATTGTAATACTATTGTCTCTCAATATAACTCAGTATAATCTGGATATTAAAAACATTTTTCAATGTCATAATAACGAAGGAAATAAACCAAATACTTTAATTTTCCATAGGCAAAAACTAATTTAATATATAATAACTTAATTTAATAGGCAAAGTAACATATTTTAAATCTTTTTCTTTCCAACTCACAAACACAAATTTGATGATAAAATACTTAAATGAAGTATGCTATGCCCTGTTGCATTTTATGCAAAAAAGTCTCTGTAAATAAAAAGACAAATAATATTAATGTTTCTGGAAATCATATATTTTTAGATTCAAATTTTATATTTGATAGGTTTATAGGAAATTTGTCTTAATGTGTTTTCTTTCATTTTAACTTCAAGATTAACTTTACTGTCATAAACTCTGCTTCTCAATGTTAAGGGATTTTCTTGGATAAATGCACTTGTTTGAACATATAAATTCTACTATTCTGATCTGATATTTTTGGTATAAGATGAGTTGTGTTCACTTTTTTTTCCCTCCATTTGTCCGTAAGTATCTAAGCAGGAAAAGAGTTGTTGCCATTTGTGGATGGTTGGGGTTTTACAGGGATCTTGCTGTCTATATTCTAATTGGCTAGACAATTTGGAACTCCTGCTGGATGTGAGTCCAAGAGGTTATCATGGTAGGAGGTAGTGATTTAAGTAAGTGTGTGTGTGTGTGTATGTGTGTGTGTATATATATATATATATATATATATATATATATTTCAGGTTGATCCTTGAACAATGCAAAGGTTGGGAATGCTGACTTCAGTGCAGTAGAAAATTTGCATACAATTTTTGACTCCTCCTTCTCCAATAAACTAATGGTTTACTGTTGATTAGAAATACATATTTGTATGTTATATGTATTATATACTGATATAGTTTGGATGTTATTCCCTCCTCATCTCATGTTGAAATGTGATCCCCAATATTGGAGGTGGGGCCTAATGAGAGGTGTTTAGGCCATGAGGGAAGATGCCTCAGGAATGTTTTGGTGCCCTCCCCAGTGGTAATGGTTGGCAGTGAGTTTATGTGGGATATGGTTGTTAAAGGAGCCTGTCCCCTCCTCTTTTCTTTCCTCCCTTCTCTTCTCTCACCTCTTAGCTTTCTTAAAGTGTGACACTCCTGCTATCCCTTCACCTTCTGCCATGAGTAAAAACTTCCTCAGGTCTCTTCAGGAGCCAAGCAGATGCAGGTACCATCCTTGTACATCTTGCAGAATCATGAGCCAAATAGAACTTTTTTCTTTATAAATTATCCAGCCTCAGATATTCTTCACAGCAATGCAAAATGAACATATATATGTGTGTATGTATATATAATATATATATACTGTATTCTTATAACAAAGTAAGCTAGAGAAAAATGTTATTAAAAATCATAAGGAAGTGAAAATATATTTATTATTCATGAAGTAAAAGTGGATCATCATAAAGTTCTTCATACTCATCATCTTCATGTTAAGCAGGCTGAGGAGGAGTAAGAAGGATTGATCTTGTCTCAGGAGTGGCAAAGGCAGAAAAATGTTCATGTGTAAGTGGTTCTGCACAGCTCAATCACATGTTGCTTAAGGGTCAACTGTATGTCTATATTTATTTATAGATATAAAAATATATATTATAAAGTTTGGGATTTTTGGCAGGTGTTTAGGTCATGAGGGTTCTGCCCTCATGAACACATTAATGCTTCTGGAACTGTGAGAAATATCTATATCCATATAGATATATTTAGTAGGATATATCCAATCCTATATCCCATTGGATATATCTAATCTATATATATAGAGAGAGAACCCTGACAAATACAGACTTTGGCATCATGATCAGTTCTAGAGAAACGGAATTTTAAGGAGACATTTTCTCAATTGATTCTAGGGGTTTGAGAATTGGGTACATATCTGATTACATTTAAATATGCCAATGACTCTCTTTCCAGTAGTAAAGAGAGCACTGATAGTTTATGTCATGATCTAGCAGCAGAGATTTACAAAATATTGCAAATATGCTTATATTGGTTGATAATGAGATTGAGTGTTCCCAACGTTACTAGACAAAGTAGGAGAAGAGATTAGTGAGCTCTCTGGGCCTCTTTTGTAAGAGCACTAATCTCATTTATGGGGGAGCTATCCTAAGTACCTAACTACCTCCCATAGGCTCCCACCTCCCAATACCATTATATTGGGGGTTAGGATTTCAACATATAAATTTTGAAGGGACACTCATATTCAATCCTACCAGGTGCTGTTTCTCCCATAGCCAGGTATTGAGGGGTAGAAATGGGAGTGCCATTACACATTGTCACTGCTAGTGACCCACTAGTGAAATTTTTGCTTCTTCTTCCCCAACCTTATCTCATGTTTCCCTTCAGGTTTTGGTTCCAAAGGAAGGAATGCTTCCACCTGGAGACACAACAATGACTACAAGAAACCGGAAGTTAAGACTAAGACAACTTTGGGCACCTCTTGCTTCTGAATTAACAGGTAAAGAGGGAGTTACTGTGCTGGCTGGGGCACATTAATCCTGACTACCAAGAGGAAATCAAACTACTGTTACATGATGGAAGTAAAGAACAATATGTCTGGAATACAGGAGATCCCTTAGGGTGACTTTTAGTATTACCATGCCCTGTGAATGATGTCAATAAGAAACTACAACAATCCAACCTAGGCAAGACTACTGCTTTGGTTGAAATGTGTCCCCCAAAATTCGTGGGCTGGAAACTTAATTCTCAATGCCAGTGTTGAAAGGTGGGACTTTTTGAAGG
The DNA here is from genome assembly GCF_000001405.40 of Homo sapiens. Lineage (NCBI taxonomy): Eukaryota > Metazoa > Chordata > Mammalia > Primates > Hominidae > Homo > Homo sapiens. Next base: position 60,839,216 of record NC_000012.12, on the reverse strand, counting down.
TGTTTCTATCATGAGGGCTCTGCCCTTATTAGTAGATTAATGTCCTTATAAAAAGGGTTTGTGAAAATAGCTTTGCTATCTCTAGCCCTTCTGCCTTCTGCCATGCAGACACAGTAAGGGAGCCCTTGCAAGATGCTGCTGGCACCTCGATCTTGTACTTTCCTGATTCCAGAATTTTGAGAAATAAGTTTCTGTTCTTTATAAATTACTCAGTCTGTGGTATTCTGCTACAGCAGCCCAAAATGAACTAACACAACTACTAATGACCCAAACCCTTTCAGAATAAAGATTTGGGTCACAACACCAGGTAAAGAACCATGACCAAGTGAGGGGATTGCTGTAGGTAAAAAGAATAAAAAATGGATAGTGGAAGAAGATAGTTATATATACCAGCTGGAACCATATAACCAGTTATGTAAGTTAGAACTGTAATTGTCATGAGTATTTTCTCCTTATTTTGTTATGAATATAGGTGCACATACATATATATATGTACATATATATAGATAGATAAAATATTTTTGTTTTCTCCCTTCTTATTACCTTATATAAAATTATTACTGTCTTTATTTGATGATTAATTATGGTTTAAGGGGATATGTATGGGTGCCAATTTGACAAGTGGTAGACTTGTGATGGTTAAGTATTTTTATTATTATTATACTTTAAGTTCTAGGGTACATGTGCACAACGTGCAGGTTTGTTACATATGTATACACATGTGACTTACATGTTAGATCTAAAACCATAAAAACCCTAGAAGAAAACCTAGGCAATACCATTCAGGACATAGGCATGGGCAAGGACTTCAGGACTAAAACACCAAAAGCAATGGCAACAAAAGCCAAAATTGACAAATGGGATCTAATTAAAGAGCTTCTGCACAGCAAAAGAAACTATCATCAGACTGAACAGGCAACCTACAGAATGGGAGAAAATTTTCACAATCTACCTATCTGACAAAGGGCTAATATCCAGAATCTACAAAGAACTGAAACAAATTTACAAGAAAAAATCAAACAACCCCATCAAAAAGTAGGTGAAGGATATGAACAGACACTTCTCAAAAGAAGAATTTATGCAGCAAACAGACACAGAAAAAAATGCTCATCATCACTGGCCATCAGAGAAATGCGAATCAAAACCACAATGAGATACCATCTCACACCAGTTAGAATGACGATCATTAAAAAGTCAGGAAACAGCAGGTGCTGGAGAGGATGTGGAGAAATAGGAACACTTTAACACTGTTGGTGGGACTGTAAACTAGTTCAACCATTGTGGATGGTTAAGTTTTGTGTCAACTAGACTGAGCCACAGGGTGCCCAGATATTTTAACAAACATTACTATGTGTGTGTCTGTGAGGATGCTACTGGATAAGATTAACATTCAAATTAGTAAACTAAGTAAGGCAGATTGCCCCCCCATAATGTGGTAGGGCCTCATTTAATCAATTAAAGACCTGAATAGAACAAAATGGCTAAGTAAGAAGGAACATCTTCTCCCTGTGACTGAGCTATTTTTATTTTTCTGCCTTTGGATTCAATCTGAAAAATAAGAATTGAGTCTATAGCCTGCTGCTTTTCAGTCTAGCATTTATACCATCAATCCTCCTGGCATCTTAGTCTGTTAAGGATTCTATCAAATACTACCTAAACTGGTTGGATAATAAGTTGTTTTTCATTTGTTTTTCACAGTTATGGAGGCTGGAACATAGAAAATAAAGGCTACAGCAAATTTGGTGTTTGGTGAGATCCTCCATCTTGGTTCATAGATGGCTATCTTCTCTTTGTGTTCTCACATGGTGGAAGGGCAAAGGAGCTCTCTGTGGCCTCTTTTATAAGGACATTAATCCCATTTATAAGGACTCCACACTCATGACCTCATCTAATCCTAATTACCTCCCAAAGGCCACACCTTCTAATACCATCACATTATGGGGTAGAATTTCAATATATAAATTTGACTTGGGCAGGGGGAACATTGTTGAAGTCAAAATAAAATGTAGAGATGAATCTCCAAATTAAATGCTTTATTCAAGAATCACAGAATTTCAATTCACAGCGTAGGGACAGACTGGAGTGGTCTTTGATATGTCCGAAGAACAAAGAGAAAGTTGGAGGTTTTATTAGAAAGAGAAATGTTATGTATAGTTTTAAAATAAAGCTCATTGGCACTAGGAAAGCTTTTAGGAGCAGGCAAGCTCTAATTGGTGATGTCAGTGGGTAAAACTAGTCTTAGAGTCATGGCAGGTTGTTTCAACAGCTACAAGGGAAAATTGGTCCTAGAGCTACAGCAAAACATTTCAGCAGGTGGCCTGGTAGAAAATTCAGTTGTGGAGTTGGTGTTATGTGCCCTGAATGTTTTTTTCTACCTGACCCCTTGACTCTGATTTAGTTGGATATGACAAGAGTGGCCCAATATATATAATCAAGTTTCACAATACAAAGATTTAATCTGCAGCACCTGGGGCTCCAGTTTGCTGATGGCAGGTCCTGTGACTTCGCAGCCTCCCTTACTGCATAAGCCAATTCCTTATAATAAATCTCTCTCTCTCTCTTTCTGTGATACATATATAAAATAATCAAAGATGTGGATAGAATAAAATGGCTAAGACATATAAATATATATAATATATACATATATATGTAATATATATACAAGAAAAAAATGTCTCCTATAAAGTGTAGAGACAAATTCAGCCCCTTTTGATTTTTGACAGTAGGAACATAAACCTGTTATGATAATCTCCAAATCTTAGTTTTTACGCATGGTGTTCTGTTTTTAAAATATTGCTTAAATATTTTTAATAACCTTATGCAAAAATATATTTTACATATTAATGATAGGTTTATGGTCTCCATAATTATTTGTTTCTAACTTTTTTACTCACATTTTTTCTTATGATTCAATATGTATGGGTCCTTGCTGGAAGATCTTCCTAATTGCTTATCCTAAGCGTCAAGCAAAACTTGAAAGATATGCTGTGCTGTAATTATTGGCCACTCCGGCAACATAGAAAGGTCTGATGTAGCAGAGGACCACAGGAATGAAGTGTTAGTACTGATTATAATTTATCACCCATAGGGAACCAGGCACAGCCCTGGATGTGATCATGTATACTGTAGCTAGTATACTGGGGACTTCTTTTTGTACTTGTTCTATATTTATGGTCAGGTTATCAAAGCCAGTCTCCCTAAGGCACAAGTTTCTTCTTTACTCAGTGTCCAAAGTTTCATAAATCAGAATTTTGAAAAATGGTTGGATAAGAGGCTAGTTTTTCAGTGGGTATGTTATAGAAAAATAAAACTAGGATGTCATTTGTGATTAACAAGGAGGGAAGCGTAGTAATATTGAAACACTTTAAAACTTATCTGAGATACTACAGTAAAAGAGAAAAGAAGGGTAGTAGAGAGGAGTAAATCACAGGAAGGAATTTAGTTCATTATTATTCAGATTAAAAAGGTACACTGTCATTCACTTCAATGTGTTTTCCTTTGACCATCTGATCTGACTCAGTGTTGTTAGGCACTGAGGGAGAGAACACTGTTGTGATTTCCGCCTCTTTTTATCTCTCAATAGTTGCAGTTTCTAGCTCCTTTATTGTTGGGCAAAGGAAAAATAGAAAATTAAAGGAAAAGGGCATGGTACATTAATGGAAAGTGCTGTCATCAGAGCTTCCTGTTTGCCACATGCCTAGATATTAGTTCTTTTGTAGGTAATTTAATGATGAAGTTTCATCATTAAAACCTGTCATTTCTTTGCTTCTCCGGCGGGCTATTTATAACTCCTCACTAGGACCTGACATCTTATAGTGCAACTTTCATAGTCTCTTTTAATAGGATCATTCTCAACTTATTGTAAGTTCCCAAACAAGACTAAAGGTCTTGAAGAGTCACCCAATGATATTGCAAGTTTATATATTAGCATGTAATGAATTGCCAAGTGAATGATGAAAATAAGTGTAAATGAAAGGTAATTGATAGATTTTAAAATACAAATGTTATGAATACCTGGCAGATGATATGCCAGCTACATTTTATATTACATATTGACATTTTGTTTGAGGTTCTGTATTGTATACACTTGTTTTTCGGTATAGTATGTTTACACATCTTAAACAACATTTCTAGCTGGGGAAAGACTGCCTCTACTGAGGTTAGTTTACCTGTAGAGATTGGCCCAGCCAGGAGCATGCCTTTGTTATGCAAAGTAGTAGAAGGAGCCATACCTCTTCTATTTGGCCCTTACCCCGGAAAGCAGTATTCCCCTGCTTTAACCATCCCAGGGCCAGGCACCAGGCAAAGAGGAACCATCCTTAGTTTAGAGCCCCGCTGAAATTATTCAAATTAGCCAGTCCTTAACTCATCACTGTACTCTGCCTTGCCTTTCCTACAAAAAACCCAATGAAAGTTTCTTTAACTATCTGAATTAAAACCTATGTGTTAAATAAAATTATGATAAACTCTTGTTATTAGAGGCCTATATGAAATGCTCATAGATCATTTAAAGATCTTCAAATGAAACCTACTTATTTGGATGTGTTCTGTCTGTATACTATCAATCATTTTATGAACAGTCATGTGATATAATACAATATGACTGGTGAAATCTCTCAGGAGCAGATGTAACTGACAGAGCTTAAACTGATGTTTTATGAAAATGTACTGTGGATATGTCTTAAAAGATGCCTTTAAATGGCATCTAGCATTAACATGCTATCTTTATGGCTTATGACTTAAAAGGTTAAAAGGTTCAAATATATCTCTAGAGAAGGCAAGATCTCAAAACAAGAGTGGTTTAATTCTTTTCTGATCCCATCTTGATTCTTCTTTCTCTACATTTTCCTCTCTGATGCCAGTCATCATTTGAATTCATTTATTTCTTGTTAGCAACTATCGCTCCTTTTTCTGCTTCTATTACTTAAATGAAAAGCTAGATACTCTATACCTCACACTTATAAAAGTGAATGTGTCTTAACTGAGCTTTTGCTTTTAGCATACTTCCTCTCTTACATATTCCACATAATAAATATATACATTTACATACTACCTTGATCATAACTTCCAACCCAAAACTACAGAAAGATTTTTCATAAGTTTCCATGAACATGTTAGTTTAATAACAAAATAAAGAATCCTTTTGAGAATACAGGCACATACCCCAGCAGATGGCAGGGCTGGGTGGGATATATCTATGTATAATATATTTAGAAACTGAATTAAGCCATGGTTATACAACATCTAAGCAACTGCTTTTTCAGAAAAGTGGATATTATTGAACAAAGGGATTTTTTTTTCTCTTGAGAATATCCATGGATTTTTGCTAAGACAGTGTGGGCCTGGATATGAGTTTGAGAATTAAAAGCACTGAATTGTTCTATACAATTTAGTGGAAGAAGTCAAAATTCTAGAAACACCTCAGGAAGGGAGGCATAAGAATGAGTCCGAGTACTATGAGAAGAGACCATAATCTGCAGTGCAGAAAAAAGAGATGGGGCTGTGAAATTTAAGAATAGATATATCTCATATTTTATCTGAATTTATTCAATTATTTATGTAAAATGTTTTACTGAGCCCTAATATTGGTGAGGTACTGTTTTAGATTCCGGGAATGCTTTGAAAAAATAATAACAATAAAAATTCTAGACTTTATAGAGCCATACAAAATTAGCCAGGCATGGTGGTGCATGCCTGTAATCTCAGCTGCTTGGGAGGTTGAGGCAGGAGAATCACTTGAACCCCGGAGGTGGAGGTTGTTGTGAGCCGAGATCACACCATTGCACTTCAGCCTGGACAACAAGAGGGAAACTCCGTCTCAAACAAGCAAACAAACAACATCAACAAAAAACCTTTATAGAACTTGCATTCTAGTACAATAGGAAACTGATAAATAAGTAAAATACATAGCATATTAGATGATGACGTGTAAAAAGAGAAAAACAAAGCTTTGAAGAGGGATAGTAAGTGTTTATATACACTAAAAGTTTAAAATTGTAAGTTTGGTGGTAAGCGAAAGCCATGCTGAAAAGCTGATCTGAAGAAAGGCAGGAGTGTGCTGTGTGGATATGGTCAGAGGAAAGGCCGTTCTAGTAGAAGAAAGAGTAATTGTGAATGCTGTGAGTTGGTTAAGTGCATAGAGTAAAAACAATCATGAGGACAGTGTGGCTGTTCCAGAAGGAACAAGAGGAAGAGCGGTAATATGATATACCAAAGAGTTAATGAGTAGAGGGGATTACACGGGGCTGCTAAATTATGAGGACTTGCCTTTTACTCCACATGGAAATTTGAGATAGAAATTTATTGAGACGTTTTGAGCAGAGGAGTGTAGCAATCTTAGTCATATTTTAATAGGAACTCTCTCAGTGTTATGTTGAGAATGCACTGTGATTTTTTAAGAAGTAGAAATAGAAAGACCAGTTAGAAGTATTTTGCAACAATCCAGGCAAAATATAATACTAACTTGAACCATGGTGGTGAGAAAAGAGGTCGTAACAAGCAGTCATATACTATCTATTTTTGAAAGATAATCATCTTGCTTCAGATGCAGAAAATGAAAGAAAAGGGCCAAAAATGATTTCAGAAATTTTGGCTTGAACTACTGGAATGACGAATTTTATATCAACTGAGAGGAAGAATACTAAGAAAGAAGCGGATTGGAGATCAGTTCAGTTCGGGAGGTATAAAATCTCATCTGATGTCTAAAAAATGTTGATTATGCAATTGGACATATGAGCCTAGATTTCAACAGAGAGGTCAGAGCTGTAGATATAAAATCAGCAGTCATCAAGCCATAAGATCTGATGACCAACTGGGAAGTTATTTTAGTGAGAAAATAGTGCAGCACCTAAGCCCTGGGGTACTCATCCATTACATCGGGGAGTGAAATATTGGTAAAAAAAAAAAAAAAGAAAAGAAAAAGACAGAGGAGGAGTAGTCATCAGTAAGATAGGAAGAAACACAAACAAAGCCAAGAAGGTAACAGCCTTCATTTGGTGAGAGTGATAAACTATATGAAATGCTGCTAAAATATTAAGATTGAGAATTGATACTGAATTTTGTAATGTGAAGATCATTGCTAAGCCTGATAAGAAAGTTTGCTTAAGCAGTGGACATGACAGCCTGATTGTGATAGATTTAATAGAAAATTGGAAGAGAAATTAAATTAAAGACAAATATCAGCAAGTATTTTATGGAATTTTGCTATGAAAAGGAAAGACTGAGGCATAAGCTACAGAAGCAGTGGTATCAATAAATTAATTAATTGAGAAGATATACAATATACATAAGGCCACAAGTCTTAAGTATGTAGATTGTTTCATTTTTACCTGTGTACATTTATGTGGTCACGTACCCAGACATCATCAATTAGCCTTGCTTATTTTTGAGTTACACAAAAATAAAGTGCTGTATGATATACATTCTTTAGATTCTTATTTTTTTCCACTCAAAAATATGTCTAAAAATTTAGACATGGTATCATAAAATGGCTCATTTTCACTGGGTAGCATTACAATGTGTAACAGCACATTTTAAGATTATACCACAAATTATTCACCCATTCTACTACTGTTGAATGTTTGGGTGGTTTACAACTTAGAAATTACTGTTAGTGAAACTGTTATGAACATTATTGTACATATCTTTTCATAGATATCATCATGGGTAATTCTATGGATCACCTCACTGGGTTAAAGTGGTGGCTAACACCTATAATCTCGGCACTTTGGGAATTTAAGTTGGGATAATCACTTGAGCTCAGGAGTTTGAGACCAGCCTGGGCAACACAGCAAGATCCCATCACTACAAAAATAAATTATAAATAAATAAATAAATAAATAAGCCAGGTGTGGTGATGCATACCTATAATCCCAGCTACTCAGGAGGCTGAGGAGAGAGGATTGCTTGAGCCCAGGAGGTGGAGGCTGCAGTGAGATATGATCGTGCCACTGCACTCCAGCCTGGGTGACAGAGCAAGACCCTGTCTACAATAATAATAATAGTAATAATTAATAATCATAAAATACCCAGATATCTGGTAAAACATTATTTCTCTGTGTTTGTGAGGGTACTTCTGGAAGAGATTAATGTTGGAATCAGCATGCTGAGTAATGATTCCTCCTCACTAATGTGGCCCGACATCGTTCAATCTGTTGAGAGTCTGGATAGACCAAAAAGGCAGAGGAAGGACTTATTCACTTTCTCTTCTTCTCCTACATTTTGTACATCAGGGCTCCTGGCATGGACTGTTCATATCTTTTCCTAGACTGTAGTTTGCTTTTAATTTAACTCCCTTAATCATGCCTTTTGGACACTTGTTCTTAATTTTCTTAAAGGCTAATATGTTAATTTTAATAAGCTTTTGAGAGAATATACTTTGTTTTATTGGTTTCTCTGTTTTGCTATTTTTGAATTTATTTATTCTTCTATTTATCATTGTTGTTACTGTTACTTCCTGCCTTTAATTTCTTTGGGTTAATTCCTTTTATTTTTATAGATCTTTCGATTAGAAGTTTATTAAATCATTAATTTAAAACGAGTCTTATTTTCTTACATATTCATTTAAAGCTATAAATGTCCTTTAGCACCACTTCAACTGCATGCCATGTGTCTTGACCTGTTGTATTTTCATTATGATTCAGTATTTGTAATCTTCATTTTTGCTTCTTCTTCAAAATATGAGTCATATAGGTTTCTTAATTTTCAAATATTTTCTAGCAAATTTTCTGTTATTGAGCTCCAATTATACTTCACAGTGGTCAGAGAATATCCTCTGTATAAAATCAGTTCTTTGAAAACTGTTAAAGCTAGCCTTATGGCTAGGATATGACCTAGTTTCATAAACATACCATGTGCACGTGAAGAGGTTATCTCTACTATAGATGCACATGAACTTTAATATTTCTTCTGTTTTGTACAACCTCTGAAATCTCTGGTAGGTAATCCAGTCTTATAGTGGCTGTTCTCTGATAAGCCTCTTAGAATTTTGCCCTGTGCATACATGGAATAGGGGCCAGCCAAGGAACTGATGAGAATTCTTACACAGATTTATCAGGCTGTGTTTCTGCAAATCCTTACTCTGTGGATCTTCACCTAAGAGAAAGTTCAAAACTTTAAGGCAGCTCTGATCTTCAGTCTCTCTTTCCTCCACTCAGAAAGACAATTATGATTTGAAAAGCCTACCCTTGCTTTTATTTTCTGTTCCATGATTGTTTAGAAAATGCTCTCCTGAAGAAAGCCTGGATTAATACTTCCTTTTAAACCCTTTCCTGGTTAAAAATCACTTCCTTTATCTTCTTCATTTCCCTAATTTTATGTAATTATTTCCAATTTCTGTAAGAAGTGTTTCTATAGGATGCTAAGATGTATAATTATTAACAATAAGAAAATAAGTATGATTTTATCTACTCGTTAATGGTCATATTGGAAGGGCTTACCATGTTTTTATGTATATAGGAATACTCCAGTGATGCCATAAATAATAATAATGCAGGAGAAAGTGAAACTTTTTCAGAGCAAACTCTTTGAATAAGTGAGAAATATTGAGATGTACTTTATAGGCAAGGGGGTTGTTTCCCCCACAAAAAAAGTAAAAGGACCCAAATTAGAAAAATGTAATCATGGGAGATTTCTTCAGTAAAATAAGAAGTAATGTCATTAGTTTGATGTGATAATGGGAAAAGAAGTGCTGGATTTTGATGAAATTAAGAAATTAGGAAATAACCAACTGGGAACTTGAAAATGGGAAAGCCCCAATTCAGTGCAATCCAACTGTCAACAACGTAAAGCCCCAATTGAAGTTACTGATCATGAATTTCATACGAAAGAAGGCCACTTATTTTTCTCATTTGTGTTCAGCTGTATAAGTACATAGGAGGCGAGGGTAGATTTTTAGGTTTAACAAGGATTGCAATTTAACCCAGTGAGTACTATGAAGCCAGAAAGGATTTGAGGGCTTTATGTGAGGGAGTGACTATGATGATTTTCCTTGTGATGTTAGAAGGGCGAGGGATGTATGAAGTAGGTCATGGACAGTGAAAACCAGATAGGACCTAGGGACTAAGACACTTGCAGATTTGTTTTGAGGGTTGTATTGGGTTGTTAGAGGAAACGAGCCAGAAGACGGGAGGTAATGATCAGCAGGTACAATATTTCAAATGGAGGTAATGTAAACCTCTGCATTTTTCATTGTACTTTCACTAGAGTACACTGTACACACAATTGACTTAAAAATGGTGGTGTGAATATGTTTGTGTGTATGTGTGTGTGTGTGTGTGTGTGTGTAAAAATTAAAACAAAGGGCAAAGTTTTACAATTGGGCAAATGTGGTAGAGAATGAGAATAGCCCAAAAGTAATGGCATATGATTGCTAAATTGAACGAGTTTAGCAGAAGCAGAATTTATGAGCCATATATGATTATAAGAACATATGCCTCTTGCGAATATTCAGAAATCCTGTGGAGGGCAATGCATGTTTCAATATCACTGTAATGAAAGTTTAAGGACATTTTATTTCTAGCTAAAAGAGAATCAATCTAGCTGGTGTCTGGGATATATTTGGAATTTCCCGCTGATCTATCTCAGTGAGTCACAGTATTTTTGAACAATAAAGCCCAAGTGACAAAACACAGCTTTCATTAAAATAGTACCTTACAATAGTACTTGTATCATCTGTCAAATGGTATTTTCTAAAAATTCAAAAAGAAGTTAACTTAGCTTTGTCTACTAGTCTATACCTTTACTTATCTAAAACATAAGTCAGCATTGAATAATATTAGTGGAAGTTGTTATTCTGGACATTGTTGCCAGACGTTGTTGAATATGTTTTCCAAATTTACCATTTAATAAGATACATTCATGGTGGCTTTTAATTAATTTTCTTTATTATAATGAATAATTTAGGTTATTATTTGCATAGCATTGGATGACGGCAAACTATAGACATCTTGGCTACATGAAATATAAAAAAGCTCAATCACATTGGACACCTCAATTGGAAGATTTAAATATAAAATTAAAATATTCCTATGGGCCAGGCAGAGTGGCTCATGTCTGTAATCCCAGTACTTTGGGAGGCCAAAGCAGGAGGATTGCTTGAGTCCAGGGTTCAAGACCAGCCTCAAAACTCAAGACTCTGTCAATAAAGAAAAAAAAAAAAACTTAAAAAATTATGTGGCCATGGTGGCATATACTTGTAGTCTCAGATACTTTGGAGGCTGAGGTGAGAGGATTGCTTGAGGCAAGGAGATAGAGGCTGCAGTGAGCAGTGTTCACACCATTGCACTCCAGCCTGGGCAACAGAGGAGACGCTCGCTCAAAAAGTGAAAAAGGCCAGGCATGGTGGTTCACAAAGTACTGTAATCTCAGCACTTTGGAAGGCTGAGTTGGGTGGATTACCTGAGGCCAGGAGTTTGAGACCAGCCTGGCCAACGTGATGAAACCCTATCTCTACTAAAAGTACAAAAATTAGCTTGGTGTGGTGGTGCACGCCTATAATCCCAGCTATTCGGGAGGCGGAGGCACGAGAATTGCTTGAGCCTGTGTTGCAGAGGTTGCAGTGAACAGAGATTAGCCACTGCACTCCAGCCTGGGCGACTGAGCAAGATGCTGCTCAAAAAAATAAATAAATAAAAAATAAAATAAAATATTTATATGGAATAAGATACAATACAAAGACTAAGACAAATAATACAATGGAAATTATGTATAACACATATAGCAGGCAAAAACAGCATCACTAATAAATAGTTTCTACAAATTGATTGGATACATACCATATTACAAAATGAGCATGTTAATGATTGTAGAATTTGTGTATGTGTGTTACTTTGTTATTTTGATTCAATTTTCGTGAGTCACATGATGCTTAGCATTGCTTCATTTGTTTTTCCCTTTTGGAAAAATGCATAATCATGCTCGTGTCCAGGGACTTCTGAGTTGTTTGTGCTCTTCTTTCTAACTTTGAGGAATGTATTTTTGTATACGTTGATAATAATATGTTTTCAACTGTGTATCATGAGAATCTACTTCCAGTTATAACTCGACTTTCATTTTCATTAATACATTTTCCTTAAAGTGAAAAGTAGAAACGAACATCATTTTTCTTCATATGAAATATAATTTCTTCTACTTCCAATTATTGAAAAGTCCTTATATTTCCAATTTACCCAGCATGTCATTAATGTACGACACATGCATGGGCTTTATATTTTATTCCGTGGATCAGTTGATCTATCTCTGTGCTTACCAAACTGTCTTAATCAGATTAGCTTCATAACAGGTCTTGACATGTTGTAGGACAAGGCCTAACTTCCTAGTCTTCATTTTTCCTTTTGTTTATTTTCAATTTGTATTTTGTTTTTAATTTTTATGGGTACACAAGTATATATACTTATGGGGTATATGTGATGTTTTGATACAGGCATACAATGTATAATTATCACATCAGGCCCCGTCTTTATTTTTAGAAGTGTGCTAGTTAGCCAAGAAAACTTAACACTTATTGTCAACCAAGTTATCTATAATTCAAGGGTTCAGGGCCTAACTGGCAATACACACACACACACACACACACACACACAAACACACTATATATATATATATATTTTTATATATTTATATATATTTATGCATATTTATATCTATGTATATATATATTTATGTATATATATATATGGTGATGGTTAATTTAATGTTTCAAGTTGGTTAGGCTATGATGCTTTGATCAAACACTATTCTAGATGTTAGTATGATGGTGTCTTGCAGATATGATTAACACTTATAATCAGTTTACTATAATTAAAGCAGATGACCCTACATAATGTAGGTGTGCCTAATTTAATCAGATAAAGTCCTTAAGAGCAAAAACTAAGGTTTCTCTGGGAAGAAGGAATTCTGCCCTAATACTGTAATATCAAAAACCTGCCTGAGTTTCCAGCCAGCTGGCCTGCCCTGCAGATTTTAGACTAAAGACAGCAACATGAACTCTTATTTCAATTTTCATTCTTCTGGCCTCCCTAAACTTACAGATTCAGATTTGCCTGCCCCCACCAATCACATGAACAAATCCCTTAAAATAAATTTCTCTTTCTCCAGTATCTCCTATGTTTCTTTCTCTTGAGAACCCTGAATATAATGAATGTTAGAAATATAGATAAGAGGAAAAGGAATCTGAGGATTTACAAAGGAAGAAATGCAAATTATCAATAAATTTGGTGATAGATATCTAACTAGTGAATAAAAAAGGGAAAATAAATCCACCAAAAAGGAATATAATTTTTATGCATTCAGTGGACAAAACCAAAACCAAATCAAACTAAAACATGATGATCAATCCTAGCTAATACTGTTAGGATATGAGAAAAATTGGAAAAATAAACATTTTCCCATATTACTAGGAAAAGTGTAAATTCTTATAGTTTTATTATACATGAGCTATTGTGCCTATTTACATTTTACTTTGGCAGGGTCTATCATATCAAAAGATAAGTTGGATAGTTGGCTACTCAACTCCTGAAAAATATGTGAAGTTACAAAGTCAATAATAGTTGAATAAAGTACATCTATATATGCTATATTATGCAGATAGTGAACCTATTTAAAAAGTGTTGGTTAGGGTTTTAAGGAACATGGTAGTGAGAGTATTTATGTTTGTACTAATACATTTGCATATTTTGGACAAGTAACATTAATAATTAATTTGAAATTTAAAAGTAATAAGAATTACATACAGAATTATAAACATATAAATTCAGTATTTAAAGAGAATTAGTTTAGTTATTAATTTATTATTTAAAAAGTTGTTAAAAACATTCTGGTTACATTTTCTGTCAATAAAACCACTAAAAAATATTGTCATCTTGTGTCTGTATTTATCTTTCCTATTTCTTTCTTCTTACACTATCTTTGAAAATTCCATTTTTTGGTGGGGAGCAGTGGCTCATGCCTGTAATCCCAGCACTTTGGGAGGCTGATGTGGGAGGATTACCCTGGAGTTCGAGCTTTACCAACATGGCAAAACACTGTCTCTACTAAAAACACAAAAATTAGCCAGGCATGGTGGTGAGTTCCAGTATTCCCATCTACCTGGGAGGCTGAGGGGAAGGAGAATCACTTGAAACCATGAGGTGGAGGTTGCAGTGAGCTGAGATTGTGCCACTGCACTCCAGCCTAGGCAACAGAGTGAGACTCTGTATCAAGAGAAAAAAAAAAAAAACACACCAGAAAATTTCATTTTTTATTGCCATTTTTAGAATATAAAAATCTGTGAACTAAGGAATAAGAAGCAGAAATAAGATAACAAAAAATATGGGTTTCTCACACTGGGTAACATAGCTGCAAATAGGAACCTTATGATTTACATGTGTTTTATCTTCTCTAAGTCAAGATGGAGTATTTTAAGCTTTACGGACATGGCGAGTCCAGTGTCCATCCATCTAAAAATGTAGAGTCCTTTGGCTAAAGCTATGTAAATAACATTTCAAGAAATATTTGTTTATAAATCTTTAGGCAGAATCTTGACCAGAAAATACATACTTCATTTTTTAAAAAGTTATTCTAATTTTCTTTTACAAACCTCCCTTGTTGGATTTCTTATGTTTCAATTTACAAATCCAGTCATGTGCTACATAAAGATGATTTAGGCCACATATACAGCAGTGATCCCATAAGGGTATAATGAAGCTGTCCTATACAATATACCATTTTTATCTTTTATGCTATTATTTTGCTATACCTTTTCTGTTTAGATTTGTATAGATACACAAATACTGTGTTACAATTGCCTACAGCCTACAGTATTCAGTATCGTAACATTCTGAATAGGTTTGTAGTCTAGGTAGCCTAGGTGTGCAGGAGTCTGAATGATCTAGGTTTGTGTAAGAACTCTCTATGATGCTTGCACAATGGTGAAATCACTTAATATATTTCTCTCATCATTAAGAGACACATGATTGTATTTAATTTAATTTCCGTTATTGGGAAAATAATTTTCTTGTTTATGTTGAAACCATGTTAGCATTTGTCTTCATTTCTAATGACTAAAAGAATGTCAAAAACATAATTTTTTAAATAGAAAAGCCTGTTTGAAAATGGAAAACATGGCCGGGCCTGGTGGCTCACGCCTGTAACCACAGCACTTTGGAGGCTGAGGCAAGCAGATCACTTAAGGTCAGGAGATCCAGACCAGCCTGTCAAACATGGTGAAACCCCGTCTCTACTAAAAATACAAAAATTAGCCAGGCATGGTGGCACATACCTGTAATCCCAGCTGCTCAGGAGGCTGAGGCAGGAGAATCCCTTGAACCTGGGAGACAGAGGTTGCAGAGAGCCGAGATCGTGCCACTACACTCCAGCCTGGGCAACAGAGTGAGACTCTTTCTCAAAAAAGGAAAAAAAAAAAAAAAAGGAAAATATGAACGAGATTATTACAGTTGTTTAAGCCCTGAAAGTTACAAAAACATATTGTCTATGGTAAGATAGGCAAGGTTATACATACATACTTCAATCTTAAACAGCTTTAGCAAAACTGTGACATAATATTGTAAAACAAAATGCCCCAGTAACTAATTGTAACACATTAAATATTTTTAATATCTACCTATACTACTGTTTTGTATAAACGCGTTCTTCAGTATAAAAAGTTTTATCACTCACAGTAATATTGGTAAGTAAATATTTCAAATAAAGATATACAAATTTTAATATTTTGATGAGAAAACCATTTAGCTTTCAACAATATAAATGACCAAACTTCTAAAAGGTTACAAATGAGAAACACATAATAGGAATCTTTTGTATAAAGCTGAAACATTGCTGCTTCTGATTGATAGAGATAAGATTGATCTAGTAATAGGTATGTCCCTACACTAGAATTTATGGGAATTGTCTCTTTTTTCTTTTTCTTTCAATTATCTTATGGACAGTGTGCTACAGATAATTCTGCTACACTACCCCCAGATCTTTAGATTGTTCTTTACCACTGCAGAATCACGCTTACATGGATCTGTGTGTGCACATGCACAAAATGAGAAGACTTTTGAGGTAAGGACTATAAAAATGCAAAGCAATATGAACAATTGCACACCTGATGTTCTTTTCATCTCATGTTTTTTTTTTCCTCTGGAGATAGTCAATTTTAGAAGATCAAACAATTATTTTTATATTGACAAATAGATGGCTAATTTTGCTTTACAGAATAAACAAAAAGCTGATGTCTGCTGAGGGTTTAAGAACCTGTGCTTTGTTTCAATTTGATAATCCAGAGTCAGACATGAAATACTATGAAATTTTATCCTGAAGGTCACAGACCACCCTTTTATGAAATTAAACAAACCTTTTACATGGTGAAAAGCGGGTTTGCTAACAAATAGCTTTGTCTTCCTGCAAACCTCATGAGAATTTATTCACGCTGACTCCTTATCTTAACATGTAACACAATCGCCAATTAGTGTCAAAGTTACTGGAGCCATCACACTCCCAACTGCATTAACCTTATGTACTGGTTCAAGGAAAATGCAATTATTCTTCTTCTGAACTAATCACTAATTTCGAAGTTATTATTAACTAATTTAATCTTTAAATTGGCATAACCTATCACACTACATATCAAATTTATTGCTCAAAGGAAAGGAAGAGTATTCGGATGTATATTAAAACCAAAGCAAGTGGAAAATAGGATTTTCTTAAATTCAGTTGCAGAGAAACCATGCTTTTAACCTTGTCCAGGTCAGAACCATTGGAAAAAAAAAAAAAAAAAGACATTATTCATGTCACTGAAGACTAAGAGTGATTTTTCTAATTCCCTGGCATATTAATGACCAACAATGAGTGGACCCCTTAAGTACCTCATTTATTGTCTTAAATATGAAAATGTTTTAGAGATTAGAGAGGAAATTGTTTGAATTAATTAACTGAGCTGGTGCTCAAGGGATCTAGTACAAGATTTTTAGACAAAAGCTGGGAATTTACAATAATGACATTTATTTCATGGTTAGAAAATATAGCACCAGTGGGATTTGGAGGCACTCTTAACATTTTAGCTGATGTCTGTTGAGGACTTAAGAACCCTCTGAAACCATTTATTTTATTCATTGGAGACTTCTCTCAATTACAGTATAAAAGGCATTACATTAAAATAGCCATGAGGCCCACAAATTTCATCATATAAGTGGAATTGGATAACTGGCACAATGAAAATTTAGAATGCAGATGGAAGCTATTAAAGTAATAGCATCATTTTAAAATATTCTTTTTGCAGGAAAGGTAATGTGAAGAAAGATAAAAACAGAAGTGTTGTACATGGTTAGCTTAATCACATTTTCATTTCTCTTGTGGGTTATCAGTTGCAAATGAGACGCCTCTGTGCTTAAGAATCCATCCATATGGTTGTTCTTCCTATAAGCATGGCAGAACAATTTGAAAAACATTTTGGTTTAAGCTGGATTATGTAAATACTCAAAAATATCAACCTCAAGGTTGGCCTAACACATTTGTTTATTGATTTATTTATCTAGGTATTTATAATTTATTTCCCCATTTCTACATCATCAATAATCAGTCAATCAATTATCTATCTACCTACTATACTTTCGATGTGCCTTGTCCTTTGGTTTGTGGAGGTGGATTCCTCAAGAACAGATTAATGTCCTCTCACCATGGGTAAGTGAGTTCTCATTCTTAAGACACTGGATTAGTTCAATGGAGAACTGCCTATTAAAAAGAGCCTGGCTTCTTCAGTTCCTCTCTTTTGTTTCCTTGCTTGCCATGTCACCTCTGCAAATGCCTGCTCTCCTTCTGCTTTCCACCATTAGTTGAAGCAGCATGAGACTCTCACCAGATGCAGCTACCCAATCTTGAATTTTCCAGCCAACAGAATTGTGAGCCAATTAAATCTCTATTCTTTATAATTTCCCAACCTGAAGTATTCTGTTATAGTAACATTAAATTGACTAACACACTCTCCATCTATCATCCATCCATTCATCTGTCCATTCATCAAAATTTATTCCTATCTAGATTGATCAATCTATGTTATACAAAGCTAGACCTGATTTACTACAGATAGATTATTTGGAAGTGCTAGGTGTTAACACAGAATTTGCCTCATTGGACCAACTTTCATAGCAACACTCAAGCGTGTTACATGTGTCATTATCCTTCCCATAAAAATAACTGTATTATATTTCTTTACATATAAAAATGTAAAGTTCAAAGCCTTTTATGCCCCAAACATCAATTTTATTTCAGTTTTAACAGTTTTACTGAGGTATAATCAACATAAATTACACATATTAAAAGTATAAAATTTGGTAAGTATTGACCTATTTACATACCCATGAAAATATCACCACAAGATAATGAAGATATGTCATCCAAAAGATTTCTCATAAACCTTTGCGACCTCTCTGTGTTTCCTTTCCCATAATCTTACACCACAGGCAACTTCTGATTTGTTTTCTGTCAATATGGATTATTTTACATTTCCTAGAAATCTATTTTATTTAAATAGAATCATACAGTATGTACCCTCTTGCCTAATTTCTTTCAATCAGCATAATCACCCTGTGATTGATCCATTTTGTAGGTTGTATCAATAGTTTATTATTTTTATTACTGACTACCATTATTTTGTGTACTTATACAAGAGTCTATCCATTCATCTGTTGATTGATAGATGGGTATCGGGTTAAGAGTTTTGGGCTATGAAGATGCATATAACACCTTTATATAAATGAATGTTTATACTTTTTCTTATAAACTGAGGTTTCTATTTAGGTTAAAAAATGAATTTGAGTTATATTTGATATATGTTGTCAGGCATAGATCAAATGTCTTTCTTTTCTTCATATCTAATTACATAAACCTATTATTTTAGCAATATTTTTAAAAAGACTATTTATTATGTAACTAATTGCCTCTGTACTTTAAAAGTAGCTGACAACACACATATGGTCTGATTCTGTTCATTCATTCATTTCTCTTAGTATCAATATCACATCATTCTTAAATATTGTAGCTTTATAATAAATCTTGAATAAAGGTAATCCTAATCTACTTTGTTGTTTCTTTTCAAAGTTGTTTTCACTATTCTGTATTCTTTACCATATTAATTTTAGAATCTGTTTAAGAAATTTTATAAAAACTTTTGTGAAATGTCATTGTATCCACAGATCAACCTCAGGAGAATTTAGATAATCAAATTAGAGTCCTCCAATTCATGAATATGTATACGTCAGCATTTATTTAGGTCTTTATTACTTATAGCAGTGTTTTGTAATTTTTATTATTTAGATATTTCACATCTTTTGTAAAAATGGAGTCCTCCTAGGTGAGCAGATCACTTGAGTTCAGGAGTTCAAGACTAGCCTGGCCAACATGGGGAAAACCCTGTCTCTACTTAAAAATACAAACAAAAAATAAAATTAAAAAAATAAAAGAAAATTTAGCCAGGCATGGTGGTTCATGCCTGTAGTTCTAGGTACTTGGAGGGCTGAGGCAGAAGAATTACTTGAACCTCAGAGGGAGAGGTTGCAGTGAGCTGAGATCGCACCACTGCACTCCACCCTGGGTGACAGAGTGAGACTCTATTAAAAAAAAAAAAAATAGAGTCTTAAATATTTTACATTTTGTGTTACTCTTGTAAATGTAATTACTTTTAATATGAGTTATTGTCTGTTGCTATTACTATATAGAAACAGAATTGATTTTATATTGTGCTCTTGCAGCTCTGCTAAATTCTCCAATTCTAGTAACATTTTGTAGAGTCCACAGATTTTTTTTTAATATAATGGTCATGTCTGTACATGAAAACAGGCTCATTTCTTTTTTTTCAAATGTATATACTTAAAAAATTTTTCTTGTGTGATAGCACTGACAAGATTAGCCAGCACAATGCTGAATATAAGTGGTACAAAAGGAATCCTTGGCTTATTTATGACATTAGAGAAGAAACATTCATTGTTTCACCATTAAGTATGATGTTAGCTTCGGTGTTTTTCAAAGAAGCTCTCTGGCAGGTTGATAAAGTAACCCTCTGCTCTTACTTTGCTGATGGTTTTTATCAGGAATGGATGTTAAATGTTTTCACAAGCTTTTTCTGGATAAATTGGCATGACCGTATGATTTTCCTTTTGTAATTGTGTCAATATGTTGAATTACATAATTGTTTTATTATTAAGTTAAATTTGAATTTCTAAGATAAACAACACTTGATCATGTTATATTATCTTTTTTACATGATGTTGAGTTTGATTTTCTAAAGTTTTTTTAGGATTTTATTATCAATATTTTCTTGTAGTGTATTTATTTATTTATTTTTTGGCATCGTAGTAATGCTGGCCTTAAACGTTAGCTGGAGACTGTTCTCTTTTATTCAATTTTCTTAAACATTTTTTGTATAATTTCTTTATTTTTTCTTTAATGTTTAATACAAGTCAAAATTGAAGCCATCTGTACCTATTTTTTTGTGAAAATAAACTATTTAATATTTGGAGTTTTTAAAGTGTAAATAAATTCTTTCATAGATATCAACCTAAGCAGATTTTCTATTTCTTTTTGAGTGACTATTGGTAGTTTGTGTCTTTTGGAGGATTTGTTCATTTCATGTAAGTTGTTATATTTATAAGCATAAAGTTGTTCTATTTCCTTACTACCATTTTAATGTCTGTAGAATCTGTAGTGATATCATCTCACTCATTACTGATATTAGTAACTTGTGTTTCTCTATTTTTTTCTGATTTATCTGGCTAGATGTAATACATTTTGTTGACATTCTCAAAACATCATCTTTTTGTTTTATTGGTTTCTCATACTCATTTAAGCAGTGAGTCCCCTTCCACATGACCCCAGGCCTGGGCAACTGCCAGTCTGTTTTTGTCTCTATGAAGGTTGGTGTTCTACATATTTCATATAAATGCAGTCATACAATATGTGGTCTTTTGTGTCTGGCTTCTTTCATTTTCCATAATGTTTTCTTTTTCTTCAGATATCAGTGTTACTTACCAATGCATAACGTTTTCAAGGTTCACACTTACTATATAACGTGTCAGTACTTCATGTCTCATTATAGCTATATAATATTTCGTTATATAGATATACCACATTTTGTTTATCCAGTTTTTTCATGATGGAGATTTGGGTTGTTTTCACTTTACGGCTAATATAAATAGTGCTACTATTGTCATTTGTTTGTATTTGTTTGAATACCTGGTTTTAATTTTTTTTTAGGAGTATACCTAGGAGTGGAATTTCTGTGTCATATGTTAATTCTATGTTTATCTTTCTGAGTAACCATCAAACTGTTTCTACAGTGGTTACACCATTATAAATTCCCAAAAACAATGTGCAAGGGTTCCAAGTTCTTCACCTTTATGCTTATTATCATTTTTTTGTAAAATATTGTTATTAATGCTATCCTAGTGAGTGTAAAGTGACATCTCATTGTGTGTTTTAATTTGTATTTCCTAATAACTAATGATGTTGGGAGTCTTTTCATGTGATTGTTGGTGTTGGAGAAATGTTTATTCAAATCTTCTGCCTATTTTTAAATTAGGTTGTTTCTTTTTGTTACTGAGTTTCGAGTTTCTGTATGTATTCTGGACACTGTACTCTCATCAAATATATCATTTGCCAACATTTTTCCCACTTTTTTAGGTTGTCACTTTACTTTTGTGATTGTGTCCTTTGATGTATGGAGTTTTTTTCGTATAAAGTCAAATAATTTATCTCTGTCTTCTTTTGTTGATCAGGCTTTGGTGTCATACCTATGAATCCATTAACAAATACAAAGATTTCTAAATCTCTGGTCCACTTAAAATTACTGGAGTGGATTTCTCTCCTACCTTTTGTTGTTGTTGTTCTTTTTTTCTTTTTTTTCTTTAAAAATGTTTTCTTTTTTTTCTTTTTTTATTATACTTTAAGTTCTAGGGTACATGTGCACAACGTGCAGGTTTGTTACATATATATACATGTGCCATGTTGGTGTGCTGCACCCATTAACTCGTCATTTCCAAAACAGCATGATTAATTCAGCAAGCTATGTTATCCACAGTATATTTTTCCATTTCTGTGTCTATGAATGTATTGATACACTCTTTCTGGAAGGAAGAGGCTATGATATAAACTCATAAGACTGAAATCAAGAGAAGACAAATATAATAATATACATTTAATTATTTAGTGTTTAAATCATATCTATTTCCCATAATTCGGGAATCCCACTTTAAAGATTCTTATAAGGAAATAAAAATTTCAGTTCATAAAGATATATAAATGGGGTTCATTGCAATATTTGAAGTAAGAAAATAAAAATGTAGACTGCATGAGTGATAGAAGTAGTACAGTAAAGTATACTAAAAACGAAAAACAATGTAATTTTCAAAAAAATTAATCAAACTACATGTATTGAAGTGAAAACAGATGAAGAATTACCGATGTGTTGTGAAAAAACAATCTCAGAAGTTATAAAAGACTATCTGAATGAAAAAAATTCCCACTAAAACATGAAAATATTTTGGATATTGTATTAATATAAAACTTCATTTTTAATAAATTTAGTTTAGCTAACAATAAAGTTATCTGGGAAACAAAACTAAGTACAAAGTGAAAATCAATGCATTTAAGAAAGAGCTGGTGCCCAAAGAGATATGATAGTTACACAAAACAAGAAACTAGAAATTTACCTATTATAGACATTGTGAGCAGCACCAGACACTAAAAATTGAAAGGTTAGATTTCCAAGAACTTCAGATAATGTAATTATTAAAATAGAGTCTATAAAATAACAGTTTTAAAGTATTTATAGTATTGAAGGAATTTTTAAAAAATAGAACATGTAAGACTTATCATAAAATACAATTAGGTATCTGCTTCCAGATATGAAAATGAAGAGAAAATAAGTGAGCTGGAAAAAACAAACAAACAAACAAACATAAGCATATTATCCATAACAGAAGACAGTATTTAAATTATTGAAAATCTGAAGGTAAAAATAAGAGAACTGGGGATATTAAAAACAAACAAATTAAAAACAGTCTAGAGAAAGAGAGAAAAGAAGAAAAGATGAGAAAAGAGAAAGAAAAGAAGAAAGAAAAGAAAAGAAAAAAGAAAAGAAGATGTGTTTATAGGGGAAATGTTAGACTAATAGCTGACTGCCCAACTAAAATAATGGCAGCCATAAGACAATGGAATTATATTGTTAAAGTGATGAAAGAAAAAACCGCCAAATTATAATTTTCTAGAAAGGACCCTGGAAAAAGCCACAAGAAATAGTGTTAATATAACATTAGAGTCGAATGAATGAGAAAAAAATGATAGCCTACACCAAAAGAATTAATAATTCCAGAAATACTGTATTTCAGTAGCAAAAAAAAAAAAAAAGGAAAAAAAAAAAAGAAAAAGTCAGAAGGTTAAATTAAATAGAGTGGTAAACTAGAAAGGCCAGAAAATCAACCAGCCAACTATGTTCTACAAAAATTTCTGAAAGATAATCTGTTTACCAAAGCAATAAGGAATGCTCTGTCGAGATGGCACCCACATCATTCACAAGCTCAGTAGTGGCTCTGGTTTATATGCCAGGACTAATAGTAGGAGATATTGTTACATTGGAATCACTTACTGTGAAGGTAGAGTCTCAGAGTTACAGAATCTGGGTTGTATTGTTTAAATATCACAATCAAGGTAAGTGCAGTTACTTTAGCGGGTAGCAAGAATCAGAGTGGCAGCCATGAATGTGAGACCTGCAGTTAATAAAAGGGATAGTTAATTGTACAAGGTGTTCCTACAAGAAAGACAGATGTACAGCAACTAAAGTATTGCTAAATTTATGTCATTAAGAGAAATTAATGATTTCGGATCAGGTAGCTGACACAGTTATAAGACTATTAACTCTTTCACTAAATGAGAAAACACATCCTAATAAGGTAGGGATGAGAATTCTGCCAGAAGATAGATAGCCTTAGTATTCAAATGGCAATGTTGGCTCTTTCCTGGGTCAGCAACATGTCAACTCACTTTTCAGATTTTGGACTTGCCAACCTCCATAATCAAATGAGCTGATTTCTTTAAACAAATGTCTCTGTATATACACACATCCTATTGCTAATGTTTTTCTGGAGAACTCTAGCTAGTATATGAGAAAACTGTTAATTGGGAGAAAAGAGTAACCAGACCATTAATTAATTATTGGATATGATACTTGAATTGATACTCAGTATTCAAAATGCCACCATGGCTTCTCATTAGGGAAAGAAAAATATGTGGATAAGGTAACAAATAAAATCCTTGTCAGGGTCTGGCTCAGAGTTGGTCTACTAGGCCAATAAACTTAACCAGTGGTCATTTCACCAAGCCTGCAATTTATAATAAGGATGAATATACTTGGTAGTAACAGAGCCTTCACATTGATTTCATGAGCATGGATTTAAGTGGCAATGTAGTGTGAAAGGACAAGCAAAAGCCTCTGAAACTACCCCTCCTACTCTGTGTCTCTTGGCAAAACAATGCTGCTATTCTTGGGATGGTAATACTGGTAATATTCTTTATATTGCTCTACAATAGAGAAAGGAGATGCTTATTTATGAAAAGTACACAGCCAGATACTTATTATTTTGCTGTACTGTTTTATCTAAATAAAAATGTGTTTACTGTTTTATAAGAGGTATGAAGGATAAACTGTTTAGCCTAGCAATACATTTAATTATATATATGTATATCTAATAGATCATATAAAAAGTAAAAAGATAGAAGTAATATTACAAAGTTAAAGAAGCAATATTACGAAAATTTTAAAAGACATAAATGTTTAGATTGAAGATACAAATCAACCACTGGGTAGCACACATCAAAAGCAGTCTACACAAACATTTGAAGTGAAGCTTTAGGAAAACAAACAACAAAAAACATGATTTTTTTTTAATGCTGAATCTGAAAGAATATACAGATTGACAATAAAAACTACACTGGATTGGCAGAATCATTACCTTATCAATGGAACATTAAATTCAATAAAAATATATCAGCAAAAATATTTTATAAAAAGCACTTTCATCATATAATTCTATGCTCAAATCATAAGAGAGAGGGAAAAAATTCAAATGAACAAAAAACAAGTTTGCCAAAAATGATAAATAATTGAAGATTTACTTCAAGAAAAATATTGAACTCTGGATAAAATATGATTAAAGTATTAGAATAAAGATAAGTAAGAAAGTAAGTGAAATATATAATACATTCCATGATGATAAGTACTGTGGATGAAAATACAATAGGACAGGAAGATGTTGAGGATTATTTTGCAATTTAAAAATATAAACATATAGGTTTATTTGAAGGTAATGTTTCAGAAAATAGCAAATAATAATAATTAATAATAAGAAGAAGACAAAGAAACCATGTGGATAATTGAGGAAAGAGCATTCTAAGAAGAGGGACTTGAGCAGACAAGCAAGAAGGCTGTAAAGCCTAGGTGTCTCCAGTGTGTCATTGGAACTTCCAGAAAGCCAGTGTTTCTGAGTAAACCAGGGGAAGTGCTAGGACATGAGGTCAGATAATGGAAAGTGCATCAGATGTCGCAGCTTATAGACCAAACTAAAGATTCTGTTTTTACTAAGACAAGGATGTGAAGAGTTTATTTTACAGTGAATGACATTATTTCATTTTGCAAATACACTATAAAGGGAAAGGACTGAAGAAGGAGACCAATAAGGAGATAACTGTCACATTCCAGGCAGGAAGTTATGCTGTCTAAAATCAGATGATAGCAGTGATAGAAGTTTAGTGATGATGGCATTTGCTGAGGGAGTATGCAAGAGATGTAAAAAGTGATTCCAAAAGTTTGGCCCTGGGGAACAGAAAAGAAAAGATGGAGCTGACAGTTTGGGAATAAATATCAGAAGTTCTTGTTTGGACATTTAGTAGTACAATTTCCATTCGATACTACACACATACACACACATACACACACACACACACACACACACACACAAGATACTAAAGAAAGTAAAAAGATAGAAGTAATATTCACAAAGTCAATAAAGTAGATATTTTTAGCAGGTAAAATGATGAGTCAACAAGTCACCAAAGCGGAGGTCCAATTAAAATATCAATGGGGATTCAGGAAATACAGAGAATGCCACAAAGTTACTCCTCGAGAAGAGCAACTCCAAGACACATAATTGTCAGAATCACCAAAGTTGAAATGAACGAAAAAATGTTAAGGGCAGCCAGAGAGAAAGGTCGGGTTACCCACAAAGGGAAGCCCATCAGCCTAACAGCGGATGTCTCGGCAGAAACTCTACAAGCCAGAAGAGAGTGGGGGCCAATATTCAACATTCTTAAAGAAAAGAATTTTCAACCCTGAATTTCATATCCAGCCAAACTAAGCTTCATAAGTGAAGGAGAAATAAAATGCTTTACAGACAAGCAAATGCTGAGAGATTTTGTCAACGCCAGACCTGCCCTAAAAAAGCTCCTGAAGGAAGCGCTAAACATGGAAAGGAAAAACTGGAACCACCCACTGCAAAATCATGCCAAATTGTAAAGACCATCAAAGCTAGGAAGAAAATGCATCAACTAATGAGCAAAATAACCAGCTAACATCATAATGACAGGAACAAATTCACACATAACCATATTAACTTTAAATGTAAATGGACTAAATTCTCCAATTAAAGGACACAGACTGGCAAATTGGATAAAGAGTCAAGACCCATCAGTGTGCTGTATTCAAGAAACCCATCTCACGTGCAGAGACACACATAGGCTCAAAACAAAAGGATGGAGGAAGATCTACAAAGCCAATGGAAAACAAAAAAAAGGCAGGGGTTGCAATCCTAGTCTCTGATAAAACAGACTTTAAACCAACAAAGATCAAAAGAGACAAAGAAGGCCATTACATAATCGTAAAGGGATCAATTCAACAAGAAGAGCTAACTATCCTAAATATATATGCACCCAATACAGGAGCATCCACATTCATAAAACAAGTCCTGAGTGACCTACAAAGAGACCTAGACTCCCACACAATAATAATGGGAGATTTTGACACCCCACTGTCAACATTAGACAGATCAACGAGACAGAAAGTTAACAAGGATATCCAGGAATTGAACTCAGTTCTGCACCAAGCGGACCTAATAGACATCTACAGATCTCTCCACCACAAATCAACAGAATATACATTTTTTTCAGCACCACACCACACCTATTCCAAAATTGACGACATAGTTGGAAGTAAAGCTCTCCTCAGCAAGGTAAAAGATCAGAAATTATAACAAACTGCCTCTCAGAACACGGTGCAATCAAACTAGAACTCAGGATTAAGAAACTCACTCAAAACTGCTCAACTACATGGAAACTGAACAACCTGCTCCTGAATGACTACTGGGTACATAATGAAATGAAGGCAGAAATAAAGATGTTCTTTGAAACCAACGAGAACAAAGACACAACACACCAGAATCTCTGGGACACATTCAAAGCAGTGTGTAGAGGGCAATTTATAGCACTAAATGCGACAAGAGAAGGCAGGAAAGATCCAAAATTGACACCCTAACATCACAATTAAAAGAACTAAAAAAGCAAGAGGAAACACATTCAAAAGCTAGCAGAAGGCAAGAAATAACTAAAATCAGAGCAGAACTGAAGGAAATAGAGACACAAAAAATCCTTCAAAAAATTAATGAATCCAGGAGCTGGTTTTTTGAAAGGATCAACAAAATTGATAGACCACTAGCAAGGCTAATAAAGAAGAAAAGAGAGAAGAATCAAATAGATGCACTAAAAAATGATAAAGGGGATATCACCACTGATCCCACAGAAATACAAACTACCATCAGAGAATTCTATAAACACCTCTACGCAAATAAACTAGAAAATCTAGAAGAAATGGATAAATTCCTCAACACACACACTCTCCCAAGACTAAACCAAGAAGAAGTTGACTCTCTGAATAGACCAATAACAGGCTCTGAAATTGTGTCAATAATCAATAGCTTACCAACCAAAAAGAGTCCACGACCAGATGGACTCACAGCCGAATTGTTCCAGAGGTACAAGGAGGAACTGGTACCATTCCTTCTGAAACTATTCCAATCAATAGAAAAAGAGGGAATCCTCCCTAACTCATTTTAGGAGGCCAGCATCATCCTGATACCAAAGCCTGGCAGAGACACAACAAAAAAAGAGAATTTTAGACCAATATCCTTGATGAACATTGATGCAAAAATCCTCAATAAACTCCTGGCAAACCGAATCCAGCAGCACATCAAAAAGCTTATCCACCATGATCAAGTGGGCTTCATCTCTGGGATGCAAGTCTGGTTCAACATACGCAAATCAATAAACGTAATCCAGCATATAAACAGAACGAAAGACAAAAACCACACGATTATCTCAACAGATGCAGAAAAAGCCTTTTGACAAAATTCAACAACCCTTCATGCTAAAAAGTCTCAATAAATTAGGTATTGATGGGACGTATCTCAAAATAATAAGAGCTATCTATGACAAACCCACAGCCAATATCATACTGAATGGGCAAAAACTGGAAGCATTCCCTTTGAAAACGGGCACAAGACAGGGATGCCCTCTCTCACCACTCCTATTCAACATAGTGTTGGAAGTTCTGGCCAGGGCAATTAGGCAGGAGAAGGAAATAAAGGGTATTCGATTAGGAAAAGAGGAAGTCAAATTGTCCCTGTTTGCAAATGACATGATTGTATATCTAGAAAACCCCATTGTCTCAGCCCAAAATCTCCTTAAGCTGATAAGCAACTTCAGCAAAGTCTCAGGACACAAAATCAATGTACAAAAATCACAAGCATTCTTATACACCAATAACAGACACACAGAGAGCCAAATCATGAGTGAACTCCCATTCACAATTGCTTCAAAGAGAATAAAATACCTAGGAATCCAACTTACAAGGGACGTGAAGGACCTCTTCAAGGAGAATTACAAACCACTGCTCAATGAAATAAAAGAGAATACAAACAAATGGAAGAACATTCCATGCTCATGGGTAGGAGGAATCAATATCATGAAAATGGCCATACTGCCCAAGATAATTTATAGATTCAATGCCATCCCCATCAAGCTACCAATGACTTTCTGCACAGAATTGGAAAAAACTACTTTAAAGTTCATATGGAACCAAAAAAGAGCCCACATTGCCAAGTCAATCCTAAGCCAAAAGAACAAAGCTGGTGGTATCACGCTACCTGACTTCAAACTATACTACAAGGCTACAGTCACCAAAACAGCATGGTACTGGTACCAAAACAGAGATATAGATCAATGGAACAGAACAGAGCCCTCAGAAATAACACCGCATAGCTACAACTATCTGATCTTTGACAAACCTGAGAAAAACAAGCAATGGGGAAAGGATTCCTTATTTAATAAATGGTGCTGGGAAAACTGGCTAGCCATATGTAGAAAGCTGAAACTGGATCCCTTCCTTACACCTTATACAAAAATTAATTCAAGATGGATTAAAGACTTAAACATTAGACCTAAAACCATAAAAACCCTAGAAGAAAACCTAGGCATTACCATTCAGTACATAGGCATGGGCAAGGACTTCATGTCTAAAACACCAAAAGCAATGGCAACAAAAACCACAATTGACAAATGGGATTTCATTAAACTAAAGAGCTTCTGCACAGCAAAGAAACTACCATCAGAGTGAACAGGCAACCTAAAAAATGGGAGAAAATTTTTGCAATCTACTCATCTGACAAAGGGCTAATATCGAGAATCTACAATGAACTCAAACAAGTTTACAAGAAAAAAACAAACAACCCCATCAAAAAGTGAGCAAAGGACATGAACAGACACTTCTCAAAAGAAGACATTTATGCAGCCAAAAAACACGTGAAAAATGTTCATCATCACTGGCCATCAGAGAAATGCAAATCAAAACCACAATGAGATACCATCTCACACCTGTTAGAATGGCAATCATTAAAAAGTCAGGAATCAACAGGTGCTGGAGAGGATGTGGAGAAATAAGACCACTTTTACACTGTTGGTGGGACTGTAAACTAGTTCAACCATTGTGGAAGTCAGTGTGGCGATTCCTCAGGGATCTAGAACTAGAAACACCATTTGACCCAGCCATCCCATTACTGAGTATATACCAAAAGAACTATAAATCATGCTGCTAGAAAGACACATGCACACGTATGTTTATTGCACCACTATTCACAGTAGCAAAGACTTGGAACCAAGCCAAATGTCCAACAATGATAGACCGGATTAAGAAAATGTGGCACCTATACACCATGGAATACTATGCAGCCATAAAAATTATGAGTTCATGTCCTTTGTAGGGACATGGATGAAATTGGAAATCATCATTCTCAGTAAACTATTGCAAGAACAAAAAACCAAACACCGCATGTTCTCACTCATAGGTGGGAATTGAACAATGAGGACACATTGACACAGGAAGGGGAACATCACACTCTGGGGACTGTTGGAGGTGGTGGGAGGGGGGAGGGATAGCATTAGGAGATATACCTAACGCTAAATGACGAGTTAATGGGTGCAGCACAGCAGCATGGCACATGTATACATATGTAACTAACCTGCACATTGTGCACATGTACCCTAAAACTTAAAGTATAATAATAATAATAATAATAATAATAATAAAAATATATCAATGGGATAACATTTTCACTCTAAAGATCTGGAAAAAAAATATGACAGTATCATGAATTATCAAAAACATGAGGCAGTCATAATAAGAAATAAGTTTTCCTACTTATTTAGAATATACATTTTCATACTCTTTCAGCAGAAATTTAATAGACTCCAGAAAGTTGCAGATTTGATACAATCCAGAAAGTTTCTAGCGAACAAAATTCCATTTTTATGGTTGAAATATCTTGTAGTAATATAAATAATTAAATCCAGGACAACTTGGAAAGGAACAAGGTTTACAATATGAATAAAATTCTACCTCTCTTAATTATATAGTATAGAGTGATACATATTGCTCAAAGCAATCTACAGATTCAATGCAATCCCTATCAAAGTGCCAACATCATTCTTCACAGATTGAGAAAAACCAATTCTAAAATGCACATGGAACCAAAAAAGCACCCAAGTGGCTAAAGAAATTCTAAGCAAAAAGACAAAAATCTGGAGGCATTACATTATCTGACTTCAAATTATACTACAAGGGTATGGTAACCAAAAGAGCATGGTACTGTTATAAAAGTAGATACATAGACCAATGGAATGGAATACAGAACCCAGTAATAAAGTCAAATGCTTACAACCAATTGATCTTCGACAAAACATACAGAAACATAAACTGAGGAAATAACACCCTATTCGGTATATGATGCTTCGAAAACTGGATAGCCACATATAGAAGAATGAACTTGGATCCCTATTTCTCATCAGGTACAAAAATCAACTCAAGATGGATTAAAGAATTAAATCTAAGACCCGAAAACATAAAAATTATAGAAGAAAACCTAGGAAAAACTCTTCTCAATATTGCTGAGGCAAAGCATTTTGACTAATACCCCAAAAACAAATGCAACAAAAACAAAAATAAATAAATGAGACCTAATTAAACTAAAAGCTTCTGCACAGCAAAAGAAACAATCATCAAAGTGAACAGAAAACCCACAGAATGGGAGAAAATATTTACAAACTATGAATCCAACAAAGGACTAATATTCAGAATCTATAAGGAACCCACAATCTATAATAGACCCTAAATGGTATAACGAACATTGGAGACTCAGAAAGGAGGAGAGTGGGAGATGAGGGGAGGAATAAAAAAATACACATTGTGCAAAAGGCATATTACTCAGGTGACATCAGCAAGAAAACATAATCCCACCAAATAGTGGGCAAATGATATGAATAGACACTTTTCAAAATAAGATATACAATTGGCCAACAAACAAATCATCAGATAAATGCAAATTAAAACCACAATGAGATGTCACCTTACTTCAGCCAAAATGGCCATTATTAAAAAGTCAAAAAACAATAGACGTTTGTGTGGATGGGGTGAAAAGGAAATATTTATACACTGCTGGTAGGAATATAAATTACTACAACCTTTGTGGAAAGCAGTATGGAGATTTCTCAAAGAACTAGAAGTAGATCTACTATTTGATATAGGAATCACACTAATGGGTATCTACCCAAAGGAAAAAAGCCATATCAAAAAGACATCTGCACACATATGTTTATTGCAGCACAATTCACAATTGCAAAGATACAGAACCAACCTAAGTGCCTATCAACTGATGAGTGGATAAAGAAAATGTAGTATGTATACACTATGAAATACTACTCAGTTATAAAAAAGAATGAAGTAATGGAATAGAAAAACTAATATCATATGTTCTCACTTATAAGTGGGAACTAAGTTAAAGATACACAAAGGCAAACGGTATGGTGTAATGGACATTGGAGACTCAGATAGAAGGGGAACAAGTTGGGGAAGAGTGGTGAGAGATAAAAAGAAAAAAGTACATATTGGGTACAATGTATGCTACTTAGATGATGGGTGCGCTGAAATCTCAGACTTCACCACTATACAATTCTTCCATGTAACCAAAAACCACTTGTACTCCAAAAGCTACTGAAATTTAAAAAAACAAAGACAAACAAACAAAAAATCACATTTGACAACACGAAAAAAAAAGTAAAATAAAAGACATATGACTGTTTAAAACAAAAAAAGCAAAGAAAAATAACATATTAAAAATATTTTTTAAGTACGTTTTTGAACAAAGAAAAATATCTGAGAGAATATATCTGTAATGTTCATTATTGGCCACTATAATATGATAGAATTGCAGAATTGGAGATAAAAGAATGTTGAATTTTTATCTGTCACTGTGTTAATGAAAAAGTTGTAAATCATTTTGTAATATTTTGTATTAAAATAGATTTTAAAATACTGTATTTGCAATATAATCACTTTTAAATATTTTATTTGTATATTTGTTGTTCTAACTTTAATAATTGGTGCAAGCATTGAAACATATTAAAGATAAAATAATATGAAATATTTTTGTAGATCTACCAAACCTCATTTCCAAAAGTATGTTAACTATTAGAAACAGGATGGATTATTATTTATTTGTTTAGTTGCAAAAAGTATGATTATAGTCTTTAAAATTTATCAACATTTTTTTTTACTATGAAATCAAAGTCAAATTTAATTGAAAAATACTAATTGAGCACCTAGGCCCTAGGCCATGCTCTTGTAAAGAACCTTTTCTATTCGATGTGTTAGAACTAAATTAGTTATAAAAAGACAAATTCAACAATGTTGGATATTATATTTTTAAGGAGGAAACACATTTTTCTCTCTTTATTCTTAGATATCGGTAAACTATTCCACAGCTAGAGTTGATCAAGATTCACTATCTTGTTACAAGGCAAATTTTTGCTCTATAGCACTTAGAATTAAATAAAACTTCATAGTCTGAATCATATCTGCACATGAAAGGATAGGCCAAGAAAACTCCACTATCTACTTTGGGGGAGTTGGCCAGTTAGCAACAAATGCACACCAGGTAAGACTGCGTGACTGCAGCTCAATGAAATGATGGCCTATTTTTAGCTTAGCTCTTTTTCTCCACTCTAAAAGGCATGACTGAGCTTTGTGTTCACGTTTTCATAAAATGATGGCTAAATAGCACCAGCTAGAGCCAAGAACAGTGAAAGTAAGCATCGCTGTATGTTTCTGCCAGAAATGCCTCTCGAACCTTTTTGAATAAATCCTGCCAAATGTTCAGAACCATGCCAGGACAGACACAGGCTCTTTTATAAACCATTGACCCTTCAGACTCAGGTGTATATCCATGAATGACTAGATTTTTAAGTCAATATTATTCTGGTACTATGGTGAGTGAAAAGAAATACTGTCATGTCTAGCAATCACCTAACTGGAAGAAACTCAAAAAGTTATTCAGTCCAAGTACACTCTAATTTATATAGATATACTTTAAAGACAAAGTGGAGAAAAATATTACACTGGTGTCAAATTTACTTAACTACATTCCTTTCCCCTGTAAATAGGTATTCTGATTTCTTATAAATATGTGAAGCTTTCTAATTCTTGGCCAGGAAATTACTGAGTTATCTTCTTAATTTTGATCTATTTTTTCCCAATCCTGTTGCAGATTCAATTATTTGATGATACCTAGCTTCTAAATGAGTCCCCTAAAGGCATAGACCAATTAATAAATATGTTTGTAATTTATTTAAAAATAAAACACCAATAACATTCTTCACATTTAAATTTTATATAGTACTTCTTTAAAGAGGTAACATTTTATTTAAAACACATTGAAATATTTAATTTTTCCTCAACCTTATTAGTAAAATGTGTCATTAAATTGATAGTGAGTTTTGTTTCTGTTACACATGTACATAAACATTTTCTTTTACAGTATTTTTATTTCTTTTTAAATTTTTAAGTGTGAGTATTGTAGAGTAGATTAACCTAGGAGATACTGCTCCAATAGCATTCTATCATGCTCTGAATTACACAACAAGATGGCAATAAATAATAAATTACAGTAATTATATTTCAGAAAATAATAATCTGATTTGAGATAAGTGATCAAAACCTCAAGTCTTTCAATGATCAATGAGAGACAATAAAATAAGATGGGGCAAGGTAGAACATACCACTTGTTTTATCTGCCTGAGAAACTTATTTGCGGTCATAAATGCATTTCTGTTTTCTTCATTTAGAATGAAAGATAATAAGTGCATTTCCTTTTCTTCCTTTGGAATGGCATGATGCAACTTGCATTTTATGATGAAGAGGTCAAATAAAATTTGTTGATATTATTGAAATTAAAGTAATTTAAATAAGCCTCTGCACCATAGTCTAATTTATCCATATATGGTTGAAAATATTTTTACATATTTAATTTAAAATCTGCAAAGTTGATTAATAATCAGTCTCCTTATCTGTCTTCTCAACCTTCTCTTTCTTAACTTTTTCTTCTGTGCCTTCTTCCCTCTCTGCTTTATATCTGATTTGCAAATTGTTTCTAACAATCTTCACCAACTAGTAACCTGACATTTATATAATTTAAAACATAATTAAATAAAACTAATCTAAATAAGTAGGAACATGTTATGAGGTTTCTATTAACCTGGACATTTTTCTTCTGTCCTTATAATCTTGAATGTAATTTTGATTCTTTTGTATTTTGTATGCATATTTACACATATGTTATACATGTATTAGAGTCAGTATAATAAATATTTCCACATATTCTGGAATAAATGCATAAACTATGGAGAAATTTATAATTTATACAATGTAATATTTTTATATGAATTTCATTTGTCCCCTCTATGCATTCTTACCTCATACTCTTTTCTACTGGGATTGTGTATGTTCATTTTTAGGCCTTTTTTACTTTGTTTTTAATAATTATGCTTGCAAATACTCAGTTAACTTTTAGTATAGGTTTAAACAATTGGATGTCCTGAAAAGTTTCTTTCTACAACCCTATATCCTAAAATATTTGCAGCTACTCCTTGAATTAGTCACTTATCCTTTCTAAACATTAGTTCCCTTATCTAAGTTAAGTATACAAATAGCATACTTAACTAGGGGCAAAGATTGGAGACAATGCATAGTTAGCTCCAGTATACTGTCTCCAATAAAGTAGGCATTTAACAGTCATTATCTCAATTATTTTTTAAAAAGCAAAATATGTGGAAAATGGTAGTCAAGTTTTACGTAAGTGACTTTGAGGCAAGATAAATTGCATTATAAGTTAAAAGGGTTTGCAGGATGTGGATTCTGTTATAAACATCTGTAGCTTGTTAGGCTGAACCAGAACCAAACTATTTCAGGATGAAGAATTCCTGCCATTTACAGATGACTTTTAAAACATGTAAATATTGACATTAGCTCAGGAGCACTGGATGGAAGCATCCCTCCAGAGACATCCACGGTGCTTTCATTTCCTCTGAAGAGTCTAAGCTTTAAATATTTAAATGCAGTTAAAGGGTTTAAAATATGAAGAAGAAAATATTTTTATTTTTTAATGATGCATACCACTTAGTTTACTCTCTGTATGCATTAGGGCTTATTGCAAATTCCCCAAACACTTAGTTATTATTTCACAATCTTTTCTCTGGTGATTTATAAAAGTAACTTATAAGACACCTCCAGAGCTAACTTCATGCACTTGGGGAGTATACAGTATATGCATCAGAGTAAATAATTTTGTTTTATAAGGGTGACTCTCAGTAAAAAATCTGATGAAAGCAATATTTTAGGTTTACCATTTCTTATGTAGTCCAAAGAACACTCATTGTGGTGTCTGTTTGATGTCTGTTCATCATGAGAGGTCCCCTGGATCTGTGGTAATTTAATCATCTATCTACTTGTTTGTTGAGCACCTATTATGTGCTGCCACTGTCTTTATGGCTCAATATATCAAGGTCACTTGGCAATGCCTCTACCTTTCATTTTATTGGGAGAAATATATATATAATCTGAACATTAACAAGACAAATATAAAGAGATAAATTTGTAGTATATTATGGGAGCTCATAGGAAACTCACCTAATCAAGCCTGAGGAAAAGTTTGAGGGAAGACAAGCATGAAAGACTTCACAGAAGTAAGCCCTCACTTACGTATTGAATAATGAGTAGAGTTTAGTTAACTGACAGAGGATGTCTTGAGACAATGGAAATAATAAAAATTTGATGTGGCTAAAATGATATATAAATGGAAAACAGGTGATAAAAAGAATGCCCAGGTTAGCAAGGCCTAGATTAGGGATGATTTTATATTCCATGCCAAGGATAACTACTTTATTTTGTTTTGGGTAATGAGAAATCACATAGTAAAATTTAAAGAAGAGAGTTGAAATAAATTTGTTTCTTTCTCATTACTATCCCCAAATGCATGGCTGCTCCTCTTAAAACCCTGACAAATCTTTTGAGAAGCAATTGCTTAATCTATTTTATTAGAAGTTGACAATGGAATAGTACATTTTCTCTTTTAGAGATATTTGTAATTTAACAGGAGGTTCTTAGACATTGTTTACAATATAAACAATCTCTGTTGGTAGAAGTTAAAGGTACTGTAAAAGAAGTGTAGGATTGTTATTTGGGTCAGGGCAATCTTCATTTATCTCTCAAATAAAACCGGTTTCCACCCATGCTGCATCTTCTGTCCTTCTGATCTACATGAAAAGTTTGTTCTACTCTGTCAATGACTGTGAGTCTTTGCCTGTTGCAGAAGATGTTATTTTCTCTGTGCAAGAATCCCTGACTTCCTTCCAGGTTAAGCTATATCACAACAGATGTTTGGTTCATGGTATGTCAGTGCTGGGTGGTGTGAAATACAAACCATAACATTGACCTACTACATTAAGCACATCTGACTAACTAGATTAGGCAACCAAGAGACGGTTAATGTACTGGAAGCTTTAGTAAGATGAATGTATTTCAGCAGGTGAGAGATTAACCCTATGAAGTTTTGAGTACCTACCAATTCAGAAAATGGTTGTCTATTCAGTGCTGAAAAGCATTCCAGGATATTCCCCACCAAACTAAAAGACATATCACTTCATCTCATATTATAATATCATTCACAAAGAAGCAATAAGCAGTATCCTTGTATTAGTCTGTTCTCATGCTGCTAATAAAGACATACCTGAGACTGGGTAATTTTTAAAAGAAAGAGGTTTAATTGATTCACAGTTCCACATGGCTGAGGAGGCCTCACAATCACGGTGGAAGGCAAAGGAGGAGCAAAGTTATGTCTTGCATGGCAGCAGGCAAGAGAGAGCATGTCCAGGGGAACTCCCCTTTATAAAATCATCAGATCATGTGAGGCTTATTCACTGTCATGAGAAGAGCACAGGAAAGACCTGCTCTCATGATTCAGTTACCTCCCACCTGGTGCCTCCCATGACATGTGGAAATTATGGGAGCTACAATTTGAGATTTGGGTGGGGACACAGCCAAACCATATCAGTCCTGTAGACTTCTTTGGATTCTGGAAACATCAGAGTCCACACCTAGGAATATATCAGATGGCAAAAGTGGCTATATGTAAAAAGAACCTAGGCTAGGAAAACTCTACAACAAATTGAGGCTGCCACGCAACCAGTCCCACCACTTGGTACATACTATTCGTAGACCTTATCGTGTCAGAATTGACAAAAGATGAAAGGATTCAATGGCAAGTCCATAGCACGAACCACATTCTCTGCTGTAGAGGAATTACACTTTAATTATTTGGTGTTTGGGGACAACATCATTTCATCTGCAGTAAATAATGATATGCTTACCCTAAGCCATTAAGAATTATCTTAACCAGAGGAAACCAAATGGCCTGTATTCAGATCTTTTTCTTTTTAGCATGATTCTGTTAGATCTACCAAGTTGGGACCTACTTACTTGGAAGGGCTTAGAAACAGTCTATAAATAT
Source organism: Homo sapiens (assembly GCF_000001405.40). Taxonomy (NCBI): domain Eukaryota; kingdom Metazoa; phylum Chordata; class Mammalia; order Primates; family Hominidae; genus Homo; species Homo sapiens. The sequence goes on along the minus strand of NC_000012.12, from coordinate 60,800,754 downwards.
AGGTTTGAGGACAAACCAAACCAGAAGTTATGAGTGAGCTACAGACATAGGTTATTGGTAGCCCAGAAACCCATGGCACCCACCATGGTTTTACTTTCTTCTGTTTGTACCTTTGTATGTGGAGTAACATATGACCAGCAGAAAAAAGAGGATAATTCTGAGATTGCTTTGTTATTGTATTTAATTTAATTTTATTTTATTATTTTTATTTTTATTTTTTTGGAGACTGAGTTTTGTTCTTGTTGCCCAGGCTGGAGTGTGGTGGCACAATCTCGGCTCACTGCAACCTCTGCCTTCCAGGTTCAAGTGATTCTCCTGCCTCAGCATCCCAAGTAGCTGGGATTACAGTCACATGCCACCATGCCCAGCTAATTTTTTGTATTTTTAGTAGAAACGTCGTTTCACCACGTTGGCCAGGCCGGTCTCAAACTCCTGACCTCAGGCGATCCACCCACCTCAGCCTCCCAAAGTGCTGAGATTACAGGTGTGAGCCACCATACCTGTCCTGCTTTGTTGTTGAGTCAGCTTACATACAAGACAAAAAAATAAAGGCAGCTACATTACTGTTACATTTATGGGTGGCATTATAAGATAATTAAGATGGAGAAGTTTCTTAGTGGATAAAGCGGCAAGTGGTGTACCTAGTAATCTACTCTGTATGGAAGAAGTGGTCAGAGGTAACAATAGGTATAGATTCTGGAAAGTGGTTAATGGCAGGAGACTGGGAAGGAAAACGACTGGAGGATCAGAGACAAGGAAGAGTACAGGCATGTGAACAGACATTTGGAGTAGGCATAAATTATGAAGATATTGTATTTATATGTTAATGCTCACCAGAAAGTATGCATCTGAAAACACACTCAAACTTCAGGTCTACAAAATGACTTGGTCAGTTAGCATTAGCTTTTCTTCATTGGTTATATAAGATCAGGCATAATGGCACATGTATGAAGTAGCCACAGTGGCAGATACGGAAGGTATTTGTGGGCTCCGTAACACTGACTCCCATTTACTGAGATCATATAGCTAATATTATCTCTGAATAGTCAACTGCCAGGTACAGAAACCAACAGTAAGCCCAAAACATAACATCATTCCTCAAGAAGCAACTGGTCAATTGTTAACTAGACAACAATTTTAAACTCTTCCTGTCCTATAAAGTTCAGTAGTTTAGATACTTCTCTTGGGCATGATTTTGCCTTTCCTGCCGAAAGAGCCTAAGTCAGTGTCTGTAAGAGCTTCTTAAAATGTTTACTTCATGGCACCACATAATACAACATTTCACCAGGGGCCCCACTACACAGAGAAGAAGATACAGGAATAGACCCTTAATCATATGATCTACCGATTGTATTATATAACACACCATCTGGAAGCTGCTAGCCTAGTAAAGTGCTAAACACCTTAGTAGAGGCACAGGTAAAGCACCTCCTTAGAGGCAATATTCTGAAAGGATGAGATGCTTTCAGAATATAGTAGATACATTAAACTCAAGATGTGTATATTATGCCATATATCAGTAGAAAGAATCCAAGTACCAATTAGCAAGAAGAGTGCTGGCCTCACTTAACAAGATTCTCAATGATCAACTGGGAAACTGTGTTATTTGACCCTGAAACTCAGATCTCCTCAAAGGGAACACAGAAACATTGCCATTGATGTACATGGTGTAGCTATTGCCAATGTCCTTCAGATATATTTTTGGTCTAGGGACCAACAGGCAAGAAACAGTGTTATCATCTAAGCAAGAGTAAGTGACCCAGTTCAGCAGGAGAAGTTATGCCTGCTTTTATACAGGGAAAACAAAAAGGATTATTGGTGAAATCTCACTGTTCACTGGGTGTCTCTCAGTGCTACCTTGCCCCATTGTAAGAAGGAATGGATACTTGATTCCCTTGAGCCTCCCTTTCCTGAGATACTTCCTAATGAAAAGCACATTTGTGGGGATAAGTGGTGGCAGCAATTGAAATGTGCTGCTCAATCTTCAACAAGAGAACTGGCTGCAGGGAGCATAGTTAACAGCCCAGTGGCCACTCTTATGAAATCACCATAATGTTCACAACCAGACCACATATTCCCCAGGCTGTTGTTAGCCAATGACTGAGCATGGCAAGGTATCAATGCTGGCTCATTTCTGTAGGACATGGAGCTCCTTTACTGAGAAATTTTGACTTGGGGACTCCCCACTATTCTGATCAAAACTCTCTTAAAACTGTGCAGTAATCTGGATTCTTCTTGCCCAATTCTTCCTTAAACTGTTGTCAGACCTGCAATGTAGCATGAAGACTTCCCCCTACTTTCAATCTCTTCAGTGGATTCTTAACAGGGTTGCCCCTAGGAAATCTCTTGTACTTTTAATCCCCTGCTGGTGTTTGCTTCTCAGAAGACCTGAATTGAAACAATGATCAACGACTGGAATGGTCTATTACGTGTCAAATGAAGCTTACCAAGTATGCCTCATCCTACAATTTAATATATGAGTATAAATATGTTCACTGAGATTAAAATTGGCTTTCTCAGAGGCATTTTTACTTGCTGGAAAGCAATTTGTTATTTTAAAAATAGTTGCTTCAAGGTTATAGAAAATTGTAATACACATGTTTTGGAAGGTACCAGAAGTTTCTGAAATATATTTTTGAAAAGTTTCATAGCTAGTATGTTATGCAAACCACTCATGTAATAGTTATGCAAGGGATGTATAACACATTGAGCATAATCAATCAGAATATGGTTGATGCAACATAAACTAATAAAATGATAGGTCCACTTGAAGTATCTAGTACACTTTCAAATGGCATATAAATTAACCCTACTAATTAACACCAAACACCTACTCCCTGAGTCAAAAAGTGTGGAGTTGGCTGTGGACTGCCAAACATTGATAAGATGACCTCTTTTGTTTACATCCACAAGCAGTGGTCATTTGGTGCAGTGACCAGGGCTGAGCAGTAATTCAGGCAGAAACAGAGGTGAGAAAGAGAAGAAGAAGAAGAAGAAGGAGAAGGAGAAGGAGAAAGAGGGGGAAGGGGAGGGGGAGGGGGAGCACGAGAGAGAGAGGAAAATTCAATCATTCAACACTTGTACCAAGTAATCTATGCTATCTAATTTTTTTTTCACAGTTGCTTATACTTAGTCATTAGCATATTGAAGGAAAATCAATGAAATGTATAGCAGGGGAGTGTGTTACCCCCTTGGTGCTGCTTACTACTTGACATCCATGGAAACTCTGACCTTTCCATTGACCTTGAAGTGTTGTTACTGAGAATAATGCAAGTAGATGCATACATAGTGGCATATTTATATAACAGGATACTAATTTGTATATAAAAATTACCAAATATAGTTATGTGAATTAAACTAGGTAAATCTCACAAATGGATATATCAAGAAAAAACAAGGTAAAAAGTCACAAAAGAAAACATAATTTTATATTTATATAATGTTTAAAATGGGCAAAAACCAAACTATTTTTTATTATTTAGAAAAACTATTAAAAATCAAGGCAAAGTTCATAACAAACGTAAATACACTGGTTAACCCTAGAGACAGTGAGAGAGATGTAATCAGGCAGGGTGATCATGTGATGTGATTGTGCTTACCTACCATTTCATTTCATAATTATCCTTTGACTACACACACATACATATTATGTTCTCTTGTATTTTTCAATACAAATTACATTAAATGAACACAAACTTTATATTCACTATGCTCTCTACCATATTAAAGATGTTTGAAATATTGAAGGAAATATATAATTAATAAAAATCAAGTTTTAAACAGCAATGTATTCCAGAAGTTATACTATGAAAATAATTTCCCTTAACCACTTTTCATGTGGAAAGTATCCAAACTATATATTATATACAGAATGATACATTTGAAAAACAAACCAAGAGGAGAAAATGAAAGCATAGTCTCAAGGACAGCAAAAAAGACAACAAAAAATCCAAAGCGGGAATAGCCCAAAATGTTAATAGAGCAGCTGGGTTTTTTTGCCTTCTTCAACAAAATAATCTCTTTTGTACATTGTTTGTTCTTTCAATTTAAATAATGAGCATGCTCTATTTACTTGGTAGAAAACTAACTCCATACTCATTCATTGTAATAGTTATCAGAAACAGAATTTACGTAACAATGGTATTAGCCATGGTCTCAGTATGGTTCATCTGATAATTTCCTGGAGCAGGTAACTGAAATCTGGGTCCTCAGGGCATTGGATCAGTGGTTGTAACAATTGTGCAATTTTGAGGTAATCCCCTCTGAGAACAGTACAGGGAGAATTTTCACTGTGGATAAAATGAGTTGATCAGCTCCCTGGAGATAACAGGAGATAGGAAGGGAAGATTCAGGTTTTTTAAAAAGTGTAATAACATCAAACTTTACCCATTGCCCAGTTTTGCAAGAAACTTTTCTATTAACCATTGCACCTGACTTCTAAGCCAAGTAAAGGAATGAAAGTTTATTCTGTCTTAGTTGTTTTCAATGCATCTATGCCCATTAACTGGAACAGAAACTTCAAACACGCTGGCTTTAAAAAATTAGCAATATATCCAGCCAAACTAAGCTTCATAAGTGAAGGAGAAATAAAATCCTCTACAGACAAGCAAATGCTGAGAGATTTTGTCACCACCAGGCCTGCCCTAAAAGAGCTCCTGAAGGAAGCACTAACCATGGAAAGGAACAACCGGTTCCAGCCACTGCAAAACCATGCCAAATTGTAAAGACCATCCAGGCCAGGAAGAAACTGCATTAACTAACGAGCAAAATAACCAGCTAACATCATAATGAAAGGATCAAATTCACACATAACAATATTAACCTTAAATGTAAATGGGCTAAATGTTCCAATTAAAAGACAAAGACTGGCAAATTGGATAAAGACTCAAGACCCATCAGTGTGCTGTATTCAGGAAACCCATCTCACATGCAGAGACACACATAGGCTCAAACTAAAGGGATGGAAGAAGATCTACCAAACAAATGGAAAACAAAAAAGGCAGGGGTTGCAATCCTAGTCTCTGATAAAACAGACTTTAAACCAACAAAGATCAAAAGAGACAAAGAAGGCCATTACATAATGGTAAAGGGATCAATTCAACAAGAAGAGCTAACTATCCTAAACATATATGCACCCAACACAGGAGCAACCAGATTCATAAAGCAAGTCCTTAGAGATCTACAAAGAGACTTAGACTCGCACACAATAATAAAGGGAGACTTTAACACCCCACTGTCAATGTTAGATAGATCATCGAGATGGAAAGTTACAAGGATATCCAGGAATTCAACTCAGCTCTGCACCAGGTGGACATAATAGATATCTACAGAACACTCCAGCCCAAATCAACAGAATGTACATTCTTCTCAGCACCACACCACACTAATTCCAAAATTGACCACATAGTTGGAAGTAAAGCTCTCCTTAGCAAATGTAAAAGAACAGAAATTATAACAAACTGTCTCTCAGATCACAGTGCAATCAAACTAGAACTGAGGATTAAGAAACTCACTCAAAACTGCTCAACTACATGGAAACTGAACAATCTGCTCCTGAATGACTACTGGGTACATAACGAAATGAAGGCAGAAATAAAGATGTTCTTTGAAACCAATGAGAACAAAGACACAACATATCAGAATCTCTGGGACACATTCAAAGCAGTGTGTAGAGGGCAATTTATAGCACTAAATGCCCACAAGAGAAAGCAGGAAAGATCCAAAATTGACACCCTAACATCACAATTAAAAGAACTAGAGAAGCAAGTGCAAACACATTGAAAAGCTAGCAGAAGGCAAGAAATACCTAAGATCAGAGCAGAACTAAAGGAAATAGAGACACAAAAAACCGTTTAAAAAATCAATGAATCCAGGAGCTGCTTTTTTGAAAAGATCAACAAAATTGATAGACCACTAGCAAGACTAATAAAGAAGAAAAGAGAGAAGAATCGAATAGACGCCATAAAAAATGATAAAGGGGATATCACCACCGATCCCACAGAAATACAAACTACCATCAGAGAATACAATAAACAACTCTACGCAAATAAACTGGAAAATCTAGAAGAAATGGATACATTCCTTAACACAGGCACCCTCCCAAGACTAAACCAGGAAGAAGTTGAATCTCTGAATAGACCAATAACAGGCTCTGAAATTGAGACAATAATTAATAGCTTACCAACCAAAAAAAGTCTAGGACCAGATGGATTCACAGCCGAATTCTACCAGAGGTACAAGGAGAAACTGGTACCATTCCTTCTGAAACTATTCCAATCAACAGAAAAACAAGGAATCCTCCCTAACTCATTTTATGAGGCCAGCATCATCCTGATACCAAAGCCTGACAGAGACACAACAAAAAAAGAAAATTGTAGACCAATATCCCTGATGAACATCAATGCAAAAATCTGCAATAAAATACTGGCAAACCGAATCCAGCAGCACATCAAAAAGCTTATCCACCATGATCAACTGGGCTTCATCCCTGGGATGCAAGGCTGGCTCAACATATGCAAATCAATAAACATAATCCAGCATATACAAAGAACCAATGACAAAAACCACATGATTATCTCAATAGATGCAGAAAAGGCCTTTGACAAAATTCAACAACGCTTCATGCTAAAAACTCTCAATAAATTAGGTATTGATGGGACGTATGTCAAAATAATAAAAGCTATCTCTGACAAACCCACAGCCAGTATCATACTGAATGGGCAAAAACTGGAAGCATTCCCTTTGAAAACTGGCACAAGACAGAGATGCCCTCTCTCACCACTCCTATTCAACATAGTGTTGGAAGTTTTGGCCACAGCAATCAGGCAGGAGAAGGAAATAAAGAGTATTCAATTAGGAAAAGAGGAAGTCAAATTGTCCCTGTTTGCAGATGACATGACTGTATATCTAGAAAATCCCATCATCTCAGCCCCAAACGTCCTTAAGCTGATAGGCAACTTCAGCAAATCTCAGGATACAAAATCAATGTGCAAAAATCACAAGCATTCTCATACACCAGTAGCAGACAAACAGCCAAATCATGAGTGAACTCCCATTCACAATTGCTTCAAAGAGAATAAAATACCTAGGAATCCAACTGACAAGGGATGTGAAGGACCTCTTCAAGGAGAACTACAAACCACTGTTCAATGAAATAAAAGAGGATACAAACAAATGGAAGAAATGGAAGAACATTCCATGCTCATGGGTAGGAAGAATCAATATCGTGAAAATGGCCATTCTGCCCAAAGTAATTTGTAGATTCAATGCCATCCCCATCAAGCTACCAATGACTTTCTGCACAGAATTGGAAAAAACTAATTTCAAGTTCATATGGAACCAAAAAAGAGCCTGCATTGCCAAGTCAATCCTAAGCCAAAAGAACAAAGCTGGAGGCATCACACTACCTGACTTCAAACTATACTACAAGGCTACAGTAACCAAAACAGCATGGTACTGGTACCAAAACAGAGATCTAGACCAAAGGAACAGAACAGAGCCCTCAGAAATAATGCCGCATATCTACAACCATCTGACCTTTGACAAACCTGACAAAAACAAAAAATGGGGAAATGATTCCTTATTTAATAAATGGTGCTGGGAAAACTGGCTAGCCATATGTAGAAAGCTGAAACTGGGTCCCTTCCTTACACATTATATGAAAATTAATTCAAGATGGATTAAAGACTTACATGTTAGACCTAAAACCATAAAAACCCTAGAAGAAAACCTAGGCATTACCTTTCAGGACATAGGCATGGGCAAGGACTTCTTGTCTAAAACACCAAAAGCAATGGCAACAAAAGCCAAAATTGACAAATGGGATCTCATTAAACTAAAGAACTTCTGCACAGCAAAGGAAACTACTATCAGAGTGAACAGGCAACCTACAGAATGGGAGAAAATTTTTGCAACCTACTCATCTGACAAAGGGCTAATATCCAGAATCCACAATGAACTCAATCACATTTACAAGAAAAAAACAAACAACCCCATCAAAAAGTGGGCGAAGGATATGAACAGACACTTCTCAAAAGAAGACATTTATGCAGCCAATGGACACATGAAAAAATGCTCATCATCACTGGCCATCAAAGAAATGCAAATCAAAACCACAATGAGATACCATCTCACACCTGTTAGAATGGTGATCATTAAAAAGTCAGGAAACAACCGGTGCTGGAGAGGATATGGGGAAATAGGAACACTTTTACACTGTTGGTGGGACTGTAAACTAGTTCAACCATTGGGGAAGTCAGTGTGGCGATTCCTCAGGGATCTAGAACTAGAAATACCATTTGACCCAGCCATCCCATTACTGGGTATATACCCAAATGACTATAAATCATGCTACTATAAATACACATGCACACGTATGTTTATTGTGGCACTATTCACAATAGCAAAGACTTGGAACCAACCCAAATGTGCAACAATGATAGACTGGATTAAGAAAATGTGGCACATATACACTATGGAATACTATGCTGCCATAAAAAATGCTGAGTTCATGTCCTTTGTAGGGACATGGATGAAGCTGGATACCATCATTCTCAGCAAACTATCGCAAGGACGAAAAACCAAACACTGCATGTTCTCACTCATAGGTGGGAATTGAACAATGAGAACACATGGACACCAGAAGGGGAACATTACACACCATGGCCTGCTGTGGCGTGGGGAGAGGGGTGAGGGATAGCATTAGGACATCTACCTAATGTTAAATGATGAGTTAATGGGTGCAGCACACCAACATGGCACATGTATACATATGCAACTAACTTCAACATTGTGCACATGTAGCCTAAAAGTCAAAGTATAATAAAAAAATTAGCAATAATAAAAATGCATATGTATTGTGACACTGGACAAATAAGGAAACAAAGTAAATGACATGAACTGTTAGACCCTCATGTTTTTTCTTTTTTTTAATTATTATTATTATACTTTAAGTTTTAGGGTACATGTGCACATTGTGCAGGTTAGTTACATATGTATACATGTGCCATGCTGGTGCGCTGCACCCACTAACTGGTCATCTAGCATTAGATATATCTCCCAATGCTATCCCTCCCCCCTCCCCCCACCCCACAACAGTCCCCAGAGTGTGATATTCCCCTTCCTGTGTCCATGTGATCTCATTCTTCAATTCCCACCTATGAGTGAGAATATGCGGTGTTTGGTTTTTTGTTCTTGCGATAGTTTACTGACAATGATGATTTCCAATTTCATCCATGTCCCTCAAAAGGACATGAACTCATCATTTTTTATGGCTGCATAGTATTCTATGGTGTATATGTGCCATATTTTCTTAATCCAGTCTATCAGTGTTGGACATTTGGGTTGGTTTCAAGTCTTTGTTATCGTGAATAATGCCGCAATAAACATACGTGTGCATGTGTTTTTATCTTACTCATGTTTTTTCTTATGTTTGTGCCTAAAGGAGGTTGATTCAGACATTCTCCATTGGGTAGGATATAGGGGTGACAATTACAAAGTTAGAAATCTATTTTTCACCAAGACCATTACTTGACTTCTGCTTGCTGCTTCTGTTCATTTCTCAGGAAATCTGTAAAGTTCAATTTATGATCATCAGAGGAGGATGTGCATGGTAGTAGCCATAACCTCATTCAATATTCAGCCAGCTTATTATGCTTCTACATCTATCCTTCCCCTGAAAATTCCCATTTGTAAGAGTATAGTCACAGCCTTAGCAACTCATCTCTTTAAGATAAATTCAGAAATAATTCCATATCTTATGTTAGCATATTTTATCTAAAACCTTCTTAAAAACATAAATAGTAATAATAAAAAATTATTCTCCCATTAATAAAACTTGCTATGCATGAGTTACAATTATATGTATAATAGATACCATAACATAATCCTCTCATTAGTTCTGCCAGGGGCTTTATTCCAGGAATTTCTGATTGATTTGGTGATGTGTATTAGATCTAGGGCTGTACATCATAGGCACGTTTAGCAATTAGATTATTTCTTCTCAGATTTTGACTTTTGGGGGCCCTGCAGTTGAGTTGCTCTAGGTCTAGCTCTTAAAAGTGCCATTACCTGATGCTGACATTCCATAAATGTTTTGATACTGCTTTCTCAAGTTTTCATTGATTCTGAGTTCTGAGAATGTCTCAAAAAAGCCATTGGTGAATCTCAAAAGAAAGTTTCCTATTAATGGGCTCCCTAATCCCTTAGGGCTGGGTCAAGTTTAGAGTGGCCGTGGCATAAACCACATGGTGAATTAGAGAAGTTGCACCTGGTAACTGTTAGTTGATGGTGCTAGTCTTTATCAATTAAAATCTTAATCGTTTACTGATGAATCAAAGTTAAAACGTGATTACCTGCCTTCCCAATGGATCTTAACTTCCAACTTCAACCTCATCAAGATATTTTGTTTCTGTTTTTGCTATTATTGCCTTGTCTTGTGTGTTTATTGTATGCATCTAGGAAAATACATTGAAATCTATTTCTATAACATATGTTAAAGTTTACATTTCATCAGCATTTTAATATGAACATTTTTTACAATATACTGCTATTTCTTTCATATTGTTTATAGACTTTATTTTTTACCATTTCTAGAATCTCCTTTTTCAAAATGATTTTTTAAAACATTTTATTGAAATTATTCTCAGAAATATTACACGTATGCTTTTTTCTGTAAATATGTATGTCTAAATATGTATTTTACCCTCTTTGAATGATGTCAGTTAAATAATGTACTCTTAAAATTATTTTTAATTGACAAATAATAATTATGTATATTTATGGGGTACAGTATGATGTTTCATCTATCTCCTCAATGACTTAGCCCTTTGGGAGTCAAGATGTTGAAAATCTATTATTTCAGCAATTTTGAAATTTATATTATTATTAACTGTGGTCACCATGCAATGCAATGGATCAGTAAAAAATATTCCTTCAATCTAACTAAAATATTGTACCCTTTGATCAACATCTCCTCTTACCCCATACTGCCCCATCCCCCTAGCCTCTGGTTACTACTTTTTGACTCTCTGTTTCTATGAGATAAACTTTTTTAGATTTCACATATAGGTGAGATTATATACTATTTATTTTTCTGTGCCTGGGCTTATTTCATGAAGCATAACTTTCTACAGTTCCATCCATGTTGTAAATGTCTGAATTTCCTATTTCCTTCTCTATTAAGTCAGAGTAGTATATCTACCACAATTTCTTTAGCTATTTATCTTTTGACAGATAATTAGGTGGCTTCCATAATGGAAGTGGCTAATGAGAATAATGCTGAAATAAACATGGGAGTGCAGATATTGCTGGGATATACTGATTTAAATTTCTTTGGATATATAGCCAGAAGTGGAATTGCTGGGTCATATGGTAATTCTATTTTTAGTTTTCTGAGGATCCCTCATACTGTTTTCCATAGCAGCTGCACCAAATGGCTTTACTAATTTATCAGACCAAAAACACACATAGGTTTCCTTTTCTCCACATTCTTGCTAACATTTGTTTTCCCTGTTTTGTTTGTTTGTTTGTTTTGTTTTGATAATGGCCATTCTAACAAGTGTGAAGTGCTCTCATGTTGTGGTTTTAATTTGCATTTTCTGAAAATTACAGATGAACTTTTTTTCATATATCTGCTAGCCATTTATATCTTTTCTTTTGAGTAATGTCTTTTCAGATCTTTGGCCCATTTTTCAATCAGGTTATTTGTTTTCTTGCTATTGAGTTGTTTGAGTTATTTATATATTTTTGATATTAGACCCTCTTCAGATATATGGGTTCTAATGTAAGGGGTTTGCAAATATTTTCTCCTGTTTCATAGGTTGTCTTTTTGTTTTATTGATTGCTTCCTTAGCTATGCAGAAGCTTTTAAGTTTGATGTAATCCCACTTTATTTTTGCTTCTGTTGCTAGTGCTTTTAGAGTCCCATCCAAAAAATAATTGCCCAGATCAATGACATGGAACTTTTCTCCTATGTTTCTCCTAGTAGCTTACAGTTTCAAGTCTCACATTGAAGGTTTTTACTTATTTTGAGTTGATTTTTGTGTATGGTGTGAGATAAGGGTTCAATTTCATTCTTCTGATATGGATATCCAATTTTCTTAACATTATGTACTGAATAAACTTTCGTCATCATGTGTTGACACATTTGTCAAAAATCAATTAACCATAAATACTAGGGTTTATTTCTGAGGGTTTTATCTTTTTTCTTTGGTTGATGTATCTACTCTTATGCAAGTACCATGAGAGTTTGATGTCTATAGCTTCATAATACATTTTGTAATCAGGAATTATGATGCCTCCAGCTTTGTTCTTTTTGCTCAAGATTGCTTTGGCTATTTGGATTGGCTTCTAGTTCCACACAAATTTTAGAATTGTTTCCTCTATCTGTAAAAAGTGACATTAGCATACTGACAGATATTGAATTGAATCTATAGATCTGTTTGTAGTATGGACATTTTAACAATATTATTTTGGTCCATGAAATATGGCATGTCTGTCATTTATTCGTGTCTTCTTTTATTTCTTTTATGAATATTTTATAGTTTTCACTGGACAGATCTTTCACTTTCTTGGCTAATTTTACTATAATATTAAATATGTTTGAAGCTATGAAAATGAGGTTGTTTTATTAATTTCTTTTCTGAATAGTATATTCTTACTGTATAAAAATTCTACTGACTTTTGTAAGTTGATTTAGTCACCTGAAACTTTACTGATTTTAAAAATCATTTATAGCAGTATTTTGGGGAGTCTTCCAGCTTTTCTGTGTATAAGATCATGTTATCACTCAGCAAAGAAAATATTACTTCTTCCTTTCCTGTATAATTATTTTTAATTTATTTTTCTTGCCTAATTGTTCTGGTTAGCACTTCTAGTACTATGTTGAATTAAAGTGGGGAAAGTGGGCATCCTTTTCTTGTTTCTAATCTTACAGGAAAAGTTTTCCACTTTTCACTGTTCAGTATGATGTTAGCTTCAGGCTTGTCTTATATGGCCTTTATTGTGTTGAAATCCAGTCTATGTATGTACCTTTTCTATATCTAGTTCATTGAAAGGTTTTTTTATCATGAAGGATTGTTGAATTTCTTCAAATACTTTTTTGCATCTATATAATCACATGACTTTCACCCTTCATATTAATATAGTGAATCCCATTTATAGATTTATGTGTGTTGAACTATCTTCACATCCCTGGGATAAATACCACTTGATTGTGGCGAATGATCTTTTTAATGTGCTGTTGAAATCAGTTAACCAGCATTTTACTGAGGATTTTTAAATCTATATTCTTTAGGAATATTGGCATGTAGTTTTATTCTCTTGTAGTGTCCTTGTCTGGCTTTGATCTCAAGATAAGTCTGGCTTCATAAAAAGAGTGGAAGTATTTCCTCCTCTTTATTATTTTAGAAGGGTTTGAGAAGAATGGGTATTAGTTATTTAAATGTTTGGCAGAATTCAGCAGTGAAGTTATCAGATCTTGGGCTTTTCTTTGATCAGAGACTTTCTACTACTGATTCGATCTCATTACTGTTCATAGGTCTGTTCGGATTTTCTGTTTATTACTGATTTAATCTTGGTGAGTTGCATGTTTCTAGGAATTTATGAATTTCTTTTCTATTACCCAATTTGTTACTGTACAGTCGCTTATAATATTCTTTTATGATCCTTTGTATTTTTGTGGTATCAGTTGTAATGTCCCCTCTTTTGTTTCTTGTTTTTATTGCACCTTGTCTCTTTTTTACTTTGTTAGTCCAACAAATGTTGTTGATTTTGCTTCTGTTTTTTTAAAAACCATGTTATAGATTTACTGCTTTTCTAATCTCTATTTTGTTTATTTATAACCCTATCATTGTAATTTTCTTTTTTCTGCTAAATGTAGGCCTATGTTATTTTATTTGTTAATTCTGTGAGGTATAACATTAGGTTGTTTATATGAGATCTTTCTTATTGTTTAATCTAAATATTCACTGATATAACCTCAGAATCGCTTTTGCCGCATTTCATAAGTTTTGGTATATTATTGTTTTATCATTGTTTGTGGTCAGAATATTTTTAAAATTCTCCTCATAATTTTTGCTTTGATCCATTAGTTATACCTGTTTAATTTCCGTATATTTGTGAGCTTTTCAAAATTCCTTCTATTATTGATTTCTAGTTTCATGGCCTCACAATCAGAAAAGACACTTGATATAATTTTAAACTGCTTAAATATTTTAAGACTTGTCTTGTAGTCTAACGTATTATCTATCCTGGAGAATGCTGTGCATGCCCTTGAGAATAATTGCATTGTCCAAGCAATTCTATCATTATTGGGTGGATTGCTCTTTAAATGCCTGTTAGATTCATTTGGTGTAACGTGCAGATGAAATTTAATGTTTTCTTGTGAGCTTTCTATCTAGGTGATCTTTTCAGTGTTGAAAATGGAGTGTTGAAGTTCCCAACTATAATGTATTGCAGTCTAGCTCTCCTTTAGATCTATTAATGTTTGCTTTATATATTTGGATTCTCCTATGTTAGGTTCATACATGCTTGCTATTTTTTAAAACTACTTGATTAATCTCTTTATTATTAAATAATGACGTTTTGTCTCTTTTCACAGTTTTTGAAATAAAGTTTATTTGCCTTATATAAGTATAGCTACCCCCATTCTCTTTGGTTTCAACTTGTACAGTGTGATGATTAATATTAAGTGTCAACTTGATTGGATTGCAGGATGCCTAGATAGCTGGTAAAGCATTGTCACTGGGTGTGTCTGTGAGGGTGTTGCCAGAGGAGACTGATAATTGAGTCAGTGGACTAGTAGAGGAAGACCCACCATCGATGTGGTGGGTACTATCCAATCAGCTGCCAGTGTGGCTAGCACAAAACAGACAGTAGAAGGTGGAATGGCTGTATGTTTCCCTACATTCCTCCTACCCTTGGACATTATATCAGGTTACTTAGCCTTTGGACTCTTGGACTTGCACCAGTGGTTTTCTGGGGGCTCTTGAGCCTTCAGCCACAGACTGAAGGCTGCGCTGTCAGCTTCGCTGCTTTTGAGGCTTTTGGACTCAGGCTGAGCCACTACTGGCTTCTTTCTTCTCCAGCTTGCAGAACGTCTATCCTGGGACTTCACCTTGTGATTATGTGAGCCAGTTCTCACTAATAAACTCCCTTTCATATGTACATATATTCTGTTAGTTCTGTCCCTCCGGAGAACCCTGAATGATACACATAGAATATATTTTTCCATCCCATTATTTTAGTCTATGTGTGTCCTTAGAGGTAAAGTGCATCTCTTGTAGACATCATAGGGTTGAGTCTTTCTTTTTTATTCATTTAGTCATTCAAAGTTTTCTGATTGAATAATTTAATCTGTTTACATTTAAAGTAAGTATTGATAGGTAAAGACCTACTATGATCATTTTGTTAATTGTTTTCTGGTTAATTTATAGATCCTTTGTTCCTTTCTTTCTCTCTTCCTGTTTTCCTTTGCGGTTTGATGATTTTCTGTACTGGTATGCTTTGATTTTTTTCTTTCTATCTTTTACGTACCTTCTAAGGGTTTTTGCTCTATGATTACCATGAGAGTTACATATAACATCTTATACTAATAATAGTGATTTAAGTTGATAACTACTTAACTTTAATCACTTGCAAAAACTGCACTTTTACTCCCCACACAACAATTTGTTTTTGATGACATATTTATTTATTTTCTATAGTTTCTGGCCCTTAGCAAATTATTGTAGCTATAGTTGTTTTTAATAGTTTTATTTTTAATTGTATGCTGAAGATATAATTTTCACACACCATTACAAGTGTTTTGAGTTTTACTATATACTTCTTTTACCAGTGAGTTTTACATTTTTGTACATTTTCCTGTTGCTCTTTAGTGATATTTTTCTTCACTTTGAAGACTCTTCCAGCACTCTTGTAAGATAAGTATGGTTATAAGTTCTCTCAACTTTTTTTTTGTCTGGGAAAGTTTTTATCTGTCTTTCACTGTTGGAGGATGTGATTGCCGGGTATAGTATTCTAGATTTACAGTTTTTTTTTTTCATCTTTTTGAATATATTATGCCACTACCTCTGGCCTGTTAAGTTTCTGTTGCAAAATCTGCAGATAGATTTATGGTTCCCTTGTTTGTAACGTGTTTCCCTCCCCTTGAAGTTTTTAATATTCCTTTTTTTGTCTTAAATTTTTGACAATTTGATAATAATGTGTCTTGGTGTAGATCTCTTTAGATTCATCCTATTAGGTGTATGTTCAGCTTTCTGGATATGCATTTCTAATTCTTTCTCCAAATTTGGGAAGTTTTCTTCTATTATTTCTTTGAATATATTTTCTGTTTCTTTCTCTTTCTATCTGCTTCTGGTACTCTGATAATGTGTACATTATTCCATTTGATGGTGTCCCATAAGTTTCTTAGCCTGTCTTCACTTTTTTTTATGATCCTCATAAAAAAAAGCCAGAAAGTTTTTTTTTTATGCACAATAATTAAAGAGCCAAACTTTCTGGAAAGGACTGTAAAACTTGTACACTATCAGTGAAATATAAGCCCCTTACCCCTCAGGAAGAAGTCTCAAAGTGGAGTTTTCTTTCTGAGTGGAGTATAAAGCTCTGTGCTCAGGGTGACGTTAGTGCATAGGTGTATCTCCACCTTTTCTATCCTTCTTATGTGGATATTTTTTTAGTCATCCAGTGTGTAGGAGGCTGGGTGACTAAAAAAATTTCAACTGGATTTTGGCTTTCTCTAGAGAGTACTGATCCATTTGTAGGTGTTTATTGATGTGATTGCAGCAGGAGGGGTAGTCAAGAGCCCCTTATTCTGCCATGTTACTCAAATGATTAAATAATGTATCTTATTTATATTTCCAATCTTTTTTCAATAGTCTAATCTTATTTTTAATATATATTCAATATTGCTTATGATAAGTCTGATGATATCCTACTCCCCTTTCCTGAATGTATTTTATCATTTCCATTTAGAGGCCTTGGCTTAAAAAAATTATAATTCAAATGTCTTGCTAGGATATCACCATAGCTAACACATATATTTTTTATGTACTTATTTCTCTAAGGGCTTAATACATAAACTATTTCATTGAATTTTCAAAGTATGATCCATCAAGTATATATTGCAATTTATATTTTACATGTTAAAAAATAAAATACTAACATATTAAGTAATTTTCCAAAGCTCATAGGTTAATTAATTGTATAGAATGAAATAAAACCTGTATATCAGGCTGTAGAGTCTGTGTTTCTTGACATAAGCAAAAGTTTCTTGCCCCACTTTGTAAATGGATTGTATTGTTCTTTACCTATTGAAGTCTCATGTGGCATCTCAGATCTCAGATGGGTATGCCTGTTGAAATCTCATGGGTAGTTTTGTATTGACAAGTAGTAGTAGATGATGAGTTCTCAAGTTCTCATTGTTCTCCAGTTTTATAAAATTCAGCTCGAGAAAGTCTGACCTTGGGGTTGTGGTTTATAGGGAACAACATTATATTCAGAAATAAGAAGAAAGGAAGGCTTCTCAGCACAAACTACTACACTTTCCAATACTGCCAGTATTAACAGGAATAGTGTAGAATTACATGAATAATATAGTAGTGGCAGCCCAGTCCAATTCATGGACATTAACATATAGTAAGTAAATAATTATTATAATGTCTAAATAATATCCAAAATTATCTGGATAATTTCTCCAAGCCCCATTTCTAATTGCAAGATCAGTGATTTACTCACATAGTTTCATTCTAAGTCTTCATCCATCTTAAGAATGGTTTGTTACTTCCTTCTGCACCCCAACATCTCTTACACATAGTTGCTCCCACACCAATGTTTATTATTTAAAAGGTCCCAATTGTGGCACTATCATGAGTTTCTTCCAGTTTTTCCCAGTGGCTTACCACAGTTCCTATGGCTCCAGTAGAATATAGGAAGTGCAGGGAGGGGATTTAGGTTTATGCACTTCCACAAGAATTTTCTATTATTCATCTGTCTTCCCATAATTTGGATGTAACAGCTCTGAATTATTTAAATTTGCATAATTCTTTATAACTTAAATTATTTTTCAGGAACATTTTATTTTTACACCAGCTATAAAGACTAAGCCCCAAGCATTGTATTTCATTTTTAGGAAGTAATATAATTTTCTCATTAAAATAAAGTCATTCATTTTGTAAAAAAATACTGCAAATAGTGTCTGCATAAATCTTAGGCAATAGAAAATGTACAATTTCAAAATATTCTCTTCTTCTTGGTACATAATATTTTCATTTGTTTATAAAAACCCTAGAAGAAAACCTAGGCAATAAAGTCCAATGTATCATTATTATGCCTTTGTGTCCTCATAGCTTAGTTCCCACATATGAGTGAGAACATACGATGTTTTGTTTTCCATTACTGAGTTACTTCACTTAGAATAATAGTGGCTGGATAATTTATAAAGAAAATAAATATATTTATTATATAGTTGTGAAGCTTTAGAAGTCCAAGGTCAAAGGGCTGCATCTGGTAAGAGCCTTTTTCATGGTAGGGGCTTTGCAGAGTCCTGAGATTGTACAGGGCACCACATAGTGGGGGTTTCAGCATGCTAGCTCAGGTCTCTTCTTCTTCTTATAAAGACATCTGTCCTATTCCATTAATCCATTAACCTAGGTATTACCATTCAGGACACAGGCATGGGCAAGGACTTCATGTCTAAAACACCAAAAGTAATGGCAACAAAAGCCAAAATTGACAAATGGGATCTAATTAAACTAAAGAGCTTCTGTACAGCAAAAGAAACTACCATCAGAGTGAACAGGCAACCTACAGAATGGGAGAAAATTTTTGCAATCTATCCATCTGACAAAGGGCTAATATCCAGAATCTACAAAGAACTTAAACAAATTTACAAGAAAAAAACAAACATCCCCATTAAAAATTGGGCAAAGGATATGAACAGACACTTCTCAAAAGAAGACATTTATGCAGCCAACAAACATATGAAAAAAATCTCATCATCACTGGTCATTAGAGAAATGCAAATCAAAACCACAATGAGATAACCATCTGACACCAGTGAGAATGGCGATCTTTAAAAAGTCAGGAAACAACAGATGCTGGAGAGGAGGTGGAGAAATAGGAATGCTTTTACACTCTTGGTGGGAGTGTAAATTAGTTCAACCACTGTGGAATACAGTGGAGCTTCCTCAAAAAATTAAGAATAGAAGTAACTTAGGATCCAGCAATGCTACTTCTGGGTGTATATCCAAAATAATTGAAGTCAGGATCTCAAAGAAATATCTTCTCTCCTATGTTCATTGCAGAATTATTCACAATAATAAGATATGAAAACAACTTAAATTTCTACTGATGATCAATGGAAAAAGAAAATATGGTATATACATATGATGGAATATCTCATAGCCTTAAAAAATAAAGAAGGCCTGGGAATGGGGTGAAGATGGCTGAATAGAAGCAGCAGTGATCAGAGGTTCCCATCGAAAAATTCCAAAACAGTGTGCAAATCCTGCACTGGTAACCAAAGTATCCAGGTTCTGTCATTAGGATGACTAGGCAGCTAGTGTGAACCACGGAGAGGAAGGAAGAACAGTGTAGTGCTGTGGCTTACCTGAGAGCTACACAGGGCAGGGGAGCCCCCACCCCCAGCCAAGAGAGGCAGTGAGTGAGCATGCTACTCAGCCTGGAAAACCATGCTTTTTTCATGGAACTGTGCAACCCATGGATTGGAAGCTCCCACTCATGAGCCCACACCACTGGGGCCTTGAGTCCTAACCACAGAGCCGCACAGATTTTCGCTTGGGTAGAATTGGCCTAAGCCTGCCGAGTTCCCAGGGGAAGGGATGAGAGCCAACATTGGAACTGCAGGGCCTCCCTGAAGGAACCCCAACTCCAGCCAGGAGCTCAGGGACAGAACTCAGATTTCCCTGGGCCTGAGCCCCTTGGGAGAAGGAAGGCCATAGTCTCCATGGACCAGCAGACTTAGTCTTTCCTCCTGCTAGCTCTGAGGAATCTGGGGAGCCCAAAAGAGTGGATTTTCCCCACAGCACAGCACACCCCCTCCACCAATGAACAGCCAAAGTGCTTTATTGAATGGGTCCTGCTTCCCATGCCACCCAACTGTGTGAGATCCCCCCAACAGGGGTTGTCAGACATCCTATGCAGTAGTGTCACTACTGACATCAGGTCAATGCCCCTCGAGGTCAGAGATCATAGAGGAAGAAGCAGGCACCCATCTTTGCTGTTCTCCAGCCTCCTCAAGAGACATCTACAGGCACGGGAGTGAACCAGATGAATAGGGCCTGAAGTGAACCCCCAGCAAACTGCAGCAGCCCTACAGAAGAGGGATCTGACTACTGAAATAAAAACAAACAAACAGAAAGCAACAACAGCAGCATCAAAAAAAAAGTCCCCACAAAAACCTCATCAAAGAGTCATCAGCCTCAAAGATTGAAACTAGACAAACTCATAAACACAAGAAAGAATCAATAATAAAAAAATGTTGAAAACACAAAAGGCCAGAGTGCCTCTTCTCCTCCAAATGATGATAACACCTCTCCAGCAAGGGCGCAAAACAGGACAGAGGATGAGACAGACAAATTGACAGAAGTAGGCTTCACAAGGTGGGTAATAAAAAACTTTGCTGAGGTAAAGGAACATGTTCTAACCCAGAACAAAGAACCTAAGAACTTTGATAAAAGGTTAGAGGTGCTGCTAAGTAGAACAACCAGTTTAGAGAGGAACGCAAATGACCTGGTGGAGCTGAAAAACACAGCATGAAAACTTAGTGAAGCATGTATAACTATCAATAGCTGAATCAATCAAGCAGAAGAATGGATATTAGAGTTTGAAGATCATCTTTCTGAAATAAGTCAGGCAGAAAAGACTAGAGGAAGAAGAATGAAAAGGAACAAACAAAACCTCTGAGCAATATGGAACTCTGTAAAAAGACTGAACCTATGCTATGACTCATTGTAGTACCTGAAGGAAATGGAGAGAATAGAACCAAGTTGAGAAACACATTTCATGATATTATCCAGAAGAACTTACCTAACCTAGCAAGGCAGGCCAATATTCAAATTAAAAAAATACAGAAAACACCACTAAGATACTCCACGAGAATATCAATTCCAAGACACATAATCATCAGATTCACTAAGGTTAAAATGAAGGAAAAAAAATGTTAAGGGCAGCCAGAGAGAAAGACCAGGTCACCTACAAAAAGAAGCTCATCAGACTAACAGCACATCTCTCAGCAGAAACCCTACAAGCCAGAAGAGAGTGAGGGCCAATATTTAACACTCTTAAAGAAGAAATTTTCAACCCAGAATTTCATATCCAGCCAAACTAAGCTTCATAAATGAAGGAGAAATAAAATCCTTTTCAAAAAAGCAAATGCTGAAGGAATTCATCATAAACAGGTCTACCTTGTAGAGCTCCTGAAGGAAGCACTAAATATGGAGAGGAATAAACAGTACCAGCCACTGAAAAACACATGAAAATATAAAGGCAAATGACACTATGGAAAAAACGGCATGAACAAGTGTGCAAAATAACAAGCTAGCCTCAAGATGACAGGATCAGATTCACACATAACAATATTAACCATAAACGTAAATGGGCTAAATGCCCCAATTAAAAGACACAGACTGGCAAAGTGGATAGAGTCAAGACCTATTGGTATACTGTATTCAAGAGATCCATCCCACGCACAAAGACACACACAGGCTCAAAGTAAAGACATGGAAGAATATTTACCAAGGAAATGGTAGCTTGATGGGGATGGCATTGAATCTATAAATTACCTTGGGCAGTATGGCCATTTTCACGATATGGATTCTTCCTGTGCATGAGTAGGGAATGTTCTTCCATTCATTTGTATCCTCTATTAATTCATTGAGTAGTGGTTTGTAGTTCTCCTTGAAGAGGTCCTTCACGTCCCTTGTAAGTTGGATTCCTAGGTATTTTATTCTCTTTGAAGCAATTGTGAATGGGAGTTCACTCATGATTTGGCTCTCTGTTTGTCTGTTGTTGGTGTATAAGAATGCTTGTGATTTTTGTACGTTGTTTTGTATCCTGAGACTTTGCTGAAGTTGCTTATCAGATTAAGGAGATTTTGGGCTGAGACAATGGGGTTTTCTAGATATACAATCATGTCATCTGCAAACAGGGACAATTTGACTTCCTCTTTTCCTAATCGAATACCCTTTATTTCCTTCTCCTGCCTAATTGCCCTGGCCAGAACTTCCAATAATATGTTGAATAGGAGTGGTGAGAGAGGGTATCCCTGTCTTGTGCCAGTTTTCAAAGGGAATGCTTCCAGTTTTTGCCCATTCAGTATGATACTGGCTGTGGGTTTGTCATACATAGCTCTTATTATTTTGAGATACGTTCCATCAATACCTAATTTATTGAGAGTTTTTAGCATGAAGGGTTGTTGAATTTTGTCAAAACCAATGACTTTCTTCACAGAGTTGGAAAAAACTACCTTAAAGTTCGTATGGAACCAAAAAAGAGCCCACATCACGAAGTCAATCCTAAGGCAAAAGAACAAAGCTGGAGGCATCACGCTACCTTACTTCAAACTATACTACAAGGCTACAGTAACCAAAACAGGATGGTACTGGTACCAAAACAGAGATATAGATCAATGGAACAGAACAGAGACCTCAGAAATAACGCCACATATCTACAACTATCTGATCTTTGACAAATCTGAGAAAAACAAGTAATGGGGAAAGGATTCCCTATTTAATAAATGGTACTGGGAAAACTGGCTAGCCATAAGTAGAAAGCTGAAAATGGATCCCTTCCTTACACCTTATACAAAAATTCATTCAAGATAGATTAAAGACTTAAACGTTAGACCTAAAACCATAAAAACCCTAGAAGAAAACCTAGGCATTACCATTCAGGACATAGGCATGGGCAAGGACTTCATGTCTAAAACACCAAAAGCAATGGCAACAAAAGCCAAAATTGACAAATGGGATCTCATTAAATTAAAGAGCTTCTGCACAGCAAAAGAAACTACCATCAGAGTGAACAGGCAACCTAAAAAATGGGAGAAAATTTTTGCAACCTACTCATCTGACAAAGGGCTAATATCCAGAATCTACAATGAACTCAAACAATTACAAGAAAAAAACAAACAACCCCATCAAAAAGTGGGCAAAGGATATGAACAGACACTTCTCAAAAGAAGACATTTATGCAGCCAA
Organism: Homo sapiens; assembly: GCF_000001405.40. Classification (NCBI taxonomy): domain Eukaryota; kingdom Metazoa; phylum Chordata; class Mammalia; order Primates; family Hominidae; genus Homo; species Homo sapiens. Next base: position 60,777,538 of record NC_000012.12, on the reverse strand, counting down.
AAAACACAAGAAAAAATGCTCACCATCACTGGCTATCAGAGAAATGCAAATCAAAATCACAATGAGATACCATCTCACACCAGTTAGAATGGCAATCATTAAAAAGTCAGGAAACAACAGGTGCTGGAGAGGATGTGGAGCAACAGGAACATTTTTACACTGTTGGTGGGACTGTAAACCAGTTCAACCATTGTGGAAGTCAGTATGGCGATTCCTCAGGGATCTAGAACTAGAAATACCATTTGACCCAGCCATCCCATTACTAGGTATATGCCCAAAGGACTATAAATCATGCTGCTATAAAGACACATGCACACGTATGTTTATTGCACCACTATTCACAATAGCAAAGACTTGGAACCAACCCAAATGGCCAACAATGATAGACTGGATTAAGAAAATGTGGCACATATACACCATGGAATACTATGCAGCCATAAAAAATGATGAGTTCATGTCCTTTGTAGGGACATGGATGAAATTGGAAATCATCATTGTCAGTAAACTATCGCAAGAACAAAAAACCAAACACCGCATATTCTCACTCATAGGTGGGAATTGAACAATGAGAACACATGGACACAGGAAGGGGAACATCACACTCTGGAGCCTGTTGTGGGGTGGGGGGAGGGGGGAGGGATAGCTTTAGGAGATATACCTAATGCTAAATGACGAGTTAATGGGTGCAGCACACCAGCATGGCACATGTATACATATGTAACTAACCTGCACATTGTGCACATGTACCCTAAAACTTAAAGTATAATAATAATAAATTTTTAAAAAAAAGGAAAAAGAAAAAGAGGTGCCTTGATGTGGTGGATATAAAAAAAATAATAAAGGAAGAGTCACTTCTGTGGCCTTCACTTGTACATAAAAATTAAAATCCCAAAGGCACTTATTTCCATTATTTCTAGATTATAATTTGATATGCTCGAAAGTACATTAAAATACAATTATTTTATTAGATTTTAACAATTTTTACTGATTCAGCAAATGCCTAACATCTCTCTTCCTAGGATTATCTTTTCTCAGATGGAAATATTTAAGTAGATTATAATCTTTTATTTTACCTATAAAATCATTACTTTTTCTTTTACCTATTAAAAAAAAAAGAATATTTACCAAGGAAATGGAAAGCAGAAAAAAGCAGGGGTTGCAATCCTACTCTCTGACAAAACAAACTTTAAACCAACAAAGATAAAAAAGACAAAGAATCACATTACATAATGGTAAAGGGATCAATGCAACAAGAAGAGCTAACTATCATAAATATATATGCATACAATCCAGGAGCACTCAGATCTATAGAACAAGTTCTTAGAGACCTACACAGAGAGTTATACTCCCACGCAATTAAAGGTGGGAGACTTTAACACCCCACTGTCAATATTAGACAAATCAACAAGACAGAAAATTTACAAGGATATCCAAAACTTGAACTCAGCTCTGGATCAAGTGGACCTAAAAGATATCTACAGAACTCTCCACCTTCAAACAACAGAATATACATTTGTTCAGTGCCACATGGCACCTACTCTAACATTGACCACATAATTGGAAGTGAAACACTCCTCAGCAAATGCAAAAGAACTGAAATTACAACAAACAGTCTCTCAGACCACAGTGCAATTAAATTAGAACTCAGGATTAAGAAACTCACTAAAAACCACAAAACTACATGAAAATTGAACAACCTGCTCTTGAATGAGTCCTGGGTAAATAATGAAATCAAGGCAGAAATCGAGAAATTATTTGAAACAAATGAAACAGACAATGCACCAGGATCTCTGGGGATGCAGCTAAAGCAGTATTACGAGAGAAATTTATAACATTAAATGTCCACATCAGAAAGCTAGAAAGATCTCAAATTAACACCCTGACATTACAATTTAAAAAACTAAAGAAGCAAGAACAAACAAATCCAAAAGCTAGCAGAAGAGAAGAAATAATTAAGATCAGAAGTGAACTGAAGGAGATAGAGACACAAAAAACTTTTCAAAAAATAATGAATCCAGGAGCTAGTTTTTTGAAAAAAATATAAAATAGACTGCTAGCTAGAATAGTAAAGAAGAAAAGAGAGAAGAATCAAATAGACACAAAAACTGATAAAGGGGATATCACCACTGACCACACAGAAATACCAACTACCATCAGAGAATACTATAAACAACTCTACACAAATAAACTAGAAAAATCTAGAAGAAATGGATAAATTCCTGCAAACATACATCCTTATAGCCCAGAAAAAAAGTTGAAGACTAGACCAGAAAAAAAGTTGAATCCCTGAATAGACAAATAACAAGTTCTGAAATTTAGGAAATGATAAATAGCCTACCAACAAAAAAAGCCCAGGACCAGATGGATTCACAGCCAATTCTACCAGAGGTACAAAGAGGAGCTAGTACCATTCCTTCAGAAACTATTTCAAACAATCGAAAAGGATGGACTCTTCCCTAATTCATTTTATGAGGCCAACATCATCCTGGTACCTAAACCTGGCAAAGACACAACAAAAAACAATAACCTCAAGCTAATATCCCTGATCAACATCAATGTGAAAATCCTCTATAAAATACTGGCAAACCAAATCCAGCAGCACATCAAAAAGCTTATTCACCACAATCAAATCAGCTTTCTCCATGGGAGGCAAGGCTGGTTCAACATATGCAAATTGCTAATCGTAATTCATCTCATAAACAGAACCAATGATAAAAAACACATGACTATCTCAATAGATGTAGAAAAGGTCTTTGATAAAATTCAACATCCCTTCATGGTAAAAACTCTCAGTAAACTAGGTATTGACGAAACATCTCAAAATAGTAAGAGATATTTATGACAGCCAATACCATACTGCATGTGCAAAAGGTGGAACCATTCCCTGTGAAAACCAACACAAGATGAGGATGCCCTCTTTCGTCTTAAACTAAAGAGCTTCAGCACAGCAAAGAAACTATCATCAGAGAAAACAGGCAAACTACAGAATGGGAGAAAATTTTTGAAATCTACCCATCTGATGAAGGTCTAACATCCAGAATCTACAAGGAACTTAAACAAATTTACAAGAAAAAACAAACAACCCCACCAAAAATTGGGCAAAATACATGAACAGACACTTCTTAAAAAAAAGACATCCATGTGGATAACAAACATATGAAAAAATGCTCAACATCATTGATGGCTAGAGAAATGCAAATCAAAACCACAATGTGATACCATCTCACGCCAGTCAGAATGGCAATTATTAAAAAGTCAAGAAACAACAGATGCTGGCAAGGCTGTGGAGAAACAGAAAAGCTTTTATACTGTTGGAGGGAATGTAAATTACTTCAACCATCACGGAAGACAGTGTGGTGATTCCTCAAGGACCTAGAACCAGAAATACCATTTGACAATGGCAATTTGACAATTGGCAATCTCATTACTGTGGATATGCGCAAAGGAATATAAAGCATTCTACTATAAAGATACATGCACATGTCTATTTATTGCAGCACTATTTACAATAGCAAAGACATGGAACCAACCCAAATGCTCATCAATGATAGACTGGATAAAGAACATGTGATACATATACATCATGGAATACTAGGCAGCCATAAAAAGGAATGAGATCATGTCCTTCGCACACCATGGATAAAACTGGGAGCCATCATCCTCAGCAAACTAACACAGGAACAGAAAACCAAATACTGCATGTTCTCACTTATAAGTGGGAGTTCAACAGTGAGAACACATGGACGCAGGGAGGGGATCAACACACACTGGGTCCTGGGTGGGGGGAGTAGGGAAGGGAGAGCATCAGGACAAATAGCTAATGCATGTGGGGAATGTGGGGCTTAAAACCTAGATGACAGGTTGATAGGTGCAGCAAACCACCATAACATGCATATACCTATGTAAAAAACCTGCATGTTCTGCACATGTATTCTGGAGGTTAAAAAAATAAGAATAAATTAAAAAATAAATAAATAAATAAATCCTGTTATATCTAGCAACATAGATAAACCACATGAGAAAAAATGAAATTTGTCCCTTAAACCATACTCAAAAATGAACCTAAAGTAGATTAAAGACTTAAACAAACGACCTGAAGCAAAAAATTTTCTAGAAGAAAACATAGAGGAAAAGTTCATGGCATTGGTCTTAGCAGGTTTATCGGGTATAAAACAAAAAGCACAAGCAACCAAAATAAAAATATACAAGTGGGACTACGTCAAACTAAAAAGCTTCTGCACAGCAAAGGAAGCAATCAACCAAAAATATAAAAAGGCAACCTATACAGCAAGATAAAATATTTGCAAACTATATATCTGGTAAGGGGCTAATATTTAAAATATATTGGAATACCTACAACTCAGAAAAATAAAGATAATCTGATTAAAAAATTGGAAATTAACTTGAATAGATTTGTTTAAAAAAACATATAATTAGATAACAGCTAAGGGAATAGATAAGGTTTTTTTTAATTTTTATTTTACTTTGAGTACCAGCATACATGTGCAAAGCATGCAGGTTTATTACATAGGTATGCATGTGCCATAGTAGTTTGCTGAATCAATCAATTCGTCACCTAGGTTTTAAGCCCCACATGCATTAACTATTTGTCCTGATGCTCTCCCTTCCCTCCTCAACCCCCACAGGCCCCGGTGTGTGTTGGTCCCCTCCCTGTGTCCATGTATTCTCACTGTTGAACTCCCACTTATAAGTGAGAACATGTGGTATTTGGTTTTCTGTTCCTGCGTTAGTATGCTGAGGATGATGGTTTTCAGCTTCATCCATGTTTCTGAAAAGGACGTGATCTCATTTCTTTTTATAGCTGCCTAGCATTCCATGGTGTATATATGGCACATGTTCTTTACCCAGTCTATCACTGATGGCCATTTGGGTCGGTTCCATGTCTTTGCTATTGTGAATGGTGCTGCAATAAATATATATGTGCATATGTCTCTATAGTAGAATGATTTATATTCCTTTGGGTATACACCCAGAAATGGGATTGCTGGGTCGAATGGTATTTCTGGTTCTAGGTCCTTGAGGAATCACCACACTTTTATCCACAATGGTTGAACTAAATTACATTCCCTCCAACAGTGTAAAAGCTTTTCTATTTCTCCACAGCCTTGCCAGCATCTCTCATTTGTTGACTTTTTAATAATTGCCGTTCTGCCTGGCATGAGATGGTATCTCATTGTGGTATTGATTTGCGTTTCTCTAGTGATCAGTGATGTTGATCTTTTTTCCATGTTTGTTAGCTGTATGATTTTTTTAGAAGTGTCCATATATTATGCCCACTTTTTTAAAAATTATACTTTAAGTTCTGGGATGCATGTGCAGAACATGCAGGTTTGTTAAATAGGTATACCAGTGCCGTGGTGGTTTGCTGCACCCATAAACCCATCATCCACACTTAGCTGTTTCTCCTAATGCTACCCCTTCCCTAGCCCCCCAATCCCACAACAGGCACCAGTGTGTGATGTTCCCCTCCCTGTGTCCATGTGTTCTCATTGTTCAACTCCCACTTATGAGTGAGAACATGTGGTGTTTGGTTTTCTGTTCCTGTGTTAGTTTGCTGAGAATGATGGTTTCCAGCTTCATCCATGTCCTTGCAAAGGAAATGAACTCATACTTTTTTATGGCTTCATAGTATTCTGTGTTGTATATGTGCCACATTTTCTTTATCCAGTCTATCATTGATGAGCGTCTGGGTTGGTTCCAAGTCTTTGCTATTGTGAATAGTGCTACAATAAACATACGTGTGCATATGTCTTTATAGTAGAATGAGAAAATTTCAGGCCAATATCCCTGATGAACATCGATGCAAAAAGCCTCAATAAAATACTGGCAAACCAAATCCAGCAGCACATCCAAAAGCTTATTCACCACACTCAAGTCAGCTTCATCCTTCTGATGCAAAGCTGGTTCAACATATGCACATCAATCAATGTATTCCATCACATAAACAGAACCAATGACAAAAATGACATGATTATTCCAATATATGCAGGAAAGGCCTTCGATAAAATTCAACACCGATTCATGCTAAAAACTCTCAATAAACTAGGTATTGATGCAATGTATCTCAAAATAGTAAGAGCTATTTATGACAAACTCATAGTCAATATCATACTGAATGGGCAAAAGCTCCAAGAATTGCCTTTCAAAACTGGCGCAAGACAAAGATGCCCTCTCTCACCACTCCTATTCGACATAGTATTGGAAGTTCTGGCCAAGGCAATCAGACAAGAGAAATAAATAAACAGTATTCAAATAGGAAGAGAGGAAGTCAAATTGTCTCTGTTTGCAGATGACATGATTGTATATTTAGAAAACCCCATCATCTCAGCCTAAAATCTCCTTAAGCTGATAAGCAACTTCAGCAAAGTGTCAGGATACAAAATTAGTGTGTAAAAATCACAAGTATTCCTGTACACCAATAATAGAAAAACAGAGAGCCAAATCATGAGTGAACTCCCATTCACAATTGCTATGAAGAGAATAAAATACCTTAGAATACAACTTACAAGGGATGTGAAAGACCTCTTCAAGGAGAATTTTGCCCATTTTTGGTGGCGTTGTTGGGTTTTTTTTTTTGTGGAAATTCATTTAAGTTCCTTGTAGATTCTGGATATTAGACCTTTGTCAGATGGGTAGATTGCAAAAATTTTCTCCCATTCTGAAGGCTGCCTGTTTTCTCTAATGACTTTTTGTTGTTGTTGTTGTTTTGCTGTGCAGAAGCTCTTCAGTTTAATTAGACCCTATTTGTCAATTTTAGCTTTTGTTGCAATTGCTTTTGGCGTTTTCATCATAAAATCTTAGCTCATGCTTATGTTCTAAATGGTATTGCCCTGGTTTTCTTCTTAGGTTTTTTTTTTATTTATATATATATTTATTTCTTTAATCCATCTTGAGATAATTTTTGCATAAGGTGTAAGGCAGGAGTTCATTTTCAGTTTTCTGCATATGGCTAGCCAGTTTTCTCAGTACAATTTATTAAATAGGAAATATTTTTTCCCATTACTTGTTTTTTTCAGGTTTGTCGAGGATCAGATGGTTGTAGATGTGTGGTGTTATTTCTGAGATCTCTGTTCTGTTCCATTGGTCTATAAGTCTGTTTTGGTACCAGTACCATACCCTTTTGGTTATTGTAGCCTTTTAGTATAGTTTGAAGTCAGGTAGTGTGATGTCTCCAGCTTTGTTCTTTTTGCTTAGGATTGTCTTGGCTGTATGGGCTCTTTTTTACTTCCATATAAATTTTAAAGTAGTTTTTTTTTTTAATTCTGTGAAGAATTTCAGTGGTAGTTTGATGGGAATTGCATTGAATCTATATATTACTTTGGGCAGTATGGCCATTTTCACGATACTGATTCTTCCTATCCAGGAGGATGGAATGTTTTTCTTTTTTTTTTTTTTTGTGCCCTCTCTTATTTCCTTGAGCAGTGGTTTATAGTTCTCCCTGAAGAGGTCCTTCATGTCTCTTAGACAAGGTATTTTTAGTGAGAATTACCCTTCAAACTTTTGCAATGAATGTAATTTGTTGAATAGATTTTCATTTGGCTACTTAAAATTTACTTTAAATATAAAGACCTATGCATCTGTTTTTAATATTAGGTATTGAAATATTGTTACAAATTCTACTTTCTCTCATTGAATGATTGGTGAAATAAATTACCTTACCTGGAGTCCAAATAGGTAACTGTCTCCAAGTTATTTGATATTATAAATGGCTAAGATAATTATTGTATGTTTGATTGAGATTCTTCTATTTTAATATTTTATACTTTTATGTTTCCTTCTTTTCAGAGTTCTCATTTTTAATTTATCTCAGTTCCTTTGTCCAAAGTTAAACTTACACACATTCTATTGTTACCTTGTTAAGCACTACTGCTTCCTCTAAAATGTTAAAATTTTGATTGCCCCTTGTATTAATTACTCTAAGAATTACTTCGTCACCTTTGTGTGATCATGTGGTATGTGAGCCTCAAAGAGTATCTTAAGAATGATCCAATGGGCACATCATTTCCATTTATACCTCTTCCCTCACCAAGCTTTTCCAAATAAGCACACAACCTAACCAAATACCACTGTGATTTCATTGGTATTCCTTCATCTTCTATGACCAGTTTGCTTTTTTTAAATATAAACAAAGTAGCTGCCACAGGCTGAAGCTCTGTGTATCCCATATAAACTCTGTCTATATAGGCTTAAACGTCTGTCTATTTTATTAGAGGATCATGTTTTGTCCACTGGCTTGGTATTATCCTGCTTCTATTTAGGATAAAAAGGTTATATTTTCATTGGGATCTAAGTCAAAAGGATTCATTGGGCAGAAACATAGAAGTATTGATACTGTGTATATGATGGCACTATTAAATATCCAATTTATCCGCAGACTCAGATGTTTTCCCGTTTATTCATTTCAGTTCATTATTATTTATTCAATATCAACACTGTCTTGGAAATATATTTTAAATTAAATTAATATCACTTTCTTCTTCTCACTGAATGCACAAAATGATACTTCAATGAATGCTTATTAGCTGACAATATTGATGCATGACAGTGAAGTAGTAACATCCAAATTCCAAAGTGATTACACTTATTAGAACACATTTTTAACTATTGAAATTTTAAAACATCAAGGCCAGGTGCAGCGGCTCACACCTGTAATCCCATTACTGTGGAGGCCAAGGCAGGTGGATCGATTGAGATCAGGAGTTCAAGACAAGCTGGCTAACATGGCAAAACCCTGTCTCTACTAAAAATACAAAAATTAGCTGGGAGTTTTAGTGCACACATGTAATTTTAGCTACTCAGAAGGCTGAGGCAGGAGAATCGCTTGAACCCAGGAGGCAGAGGTTGCAGTTAGCCAAGATTGCATCACTGCACTCCAGCCTGGGCCACAGAGTGAGACTCTGTCTCAAAAAAATAAAATAAAATAAAATAAAATAAAATAAAATAAAATAGAAATTTTAAAATATCAATGACTTGAATCTTAAAAGCAATGCAATTACTAATATTCACACTATTATAGTAGTTTAAAAATAGATTAGATATAAACTTATCAGGAGAAAAGACAATGAATAAATCAACAGGTTATTCCTGAAAATACAGAGAAGTAACTGAACTATTTGAGGAGCATCATGGCATAGAGAGGGACAATAACCAACAGGTCCAGTAACACGTGATTTACCTAAAAAGTAAGATAAGCATTTTTACTCATACATATTTATCAAATAGTTACTTTGTCTATAGTGTGACAGATGTTCTTTAAAAGATAGAGTGTGTAATTTTTGTCTGTGTGAAGCGTGTGGCTGAATAAGCCTTGTCACCATATTCCTTATTCTAAAGTTGAGGAAACACTAGGCATTCTAGTAGCTTCAATGGATTGTGTGTCACATGATAGCTTTCTTTGAAGTTCATTTTTTACTACATTTCCTGCCATTGTGTTTCAGATTGTTTCCTTAACTCATTATTATTTTGTCCTTTATGATAAAATTGCTGAGTTTATCCAAGTGCTTGCTATTTGTACATACCTGCCAGCTTTATATTTCTCTAAAACTCTTTCATGTCAAAGGTTCATAGAAAATACGTTATTGTTGCACACTAAAGTCTCACATTTCAGAATTACACCTCTAGTTCAGAGTTAGAGAGCTTTTTTTTCCCTGTTCTGACAGGGTAGCCGATTCAGGGTGTCCAGTGGAAAATTATAGCCATTTATCAATAAAGGCGAGGGAGTCATCTTTTATTGTAAAACGTTAGGCTTCTGGATGATTCTAAACTGCCACAGACAGAATTACTCCCACTGTACTCCTTGGGGGCTTCTTGCTTTTCTGAAAAGAAAAACAGAGGTAGTAAAGTTTGTTTATTTCTTAACCACTGTCTACCTGGAGACTCCAAATACGTCCTTGCTTCAGACCTCATCTAGATTTTAGGCACTTTTTTCTCAGAAAGTATTAAATTGCAGTATTCAAATCAGTATGACTTATAATGTAGTTTAGAATGCTATTGAATTTTCTGTCTAGTTTATGCACAAGAAAGGCATTTGTTTATGAATGGATGTGGCAGTTTGCTACTAGGAGACTAAAGGAAAATATTTTATTTTTGCTTTTGGTTTAATATTCTTTTTATTTCTTTTCTCAGTAACAAATTCACGGAGGGCAACTCATCTGGGTACCTATCTGAGAACCTTAATGAAGCACAGTTTCCTTCGCAGCAGCATAGAAGATGCTTTTCATTTTCTATGGGAGTTCTTATATGACAAACCTACCCTCTCTTTGTATTTAATTTGGCTAGTAAAATAGAAAGAAACGTTAATACTTTAAGAAAAAATGATATGTTGTAGGCTAATGTTCGACCTTTCTCACCATGTTTATGTTCCTAACCGCATCTATTTTTATTCCCAAATATTTGCAAGTCTGGACTTTTAGGACTTGTAGAAACCAAAACCTTGCATCATCATATTTCAAGGCCAAGTTAACTTAATAATAATTAAGTTGTCACTGATAATTTATTTTTTAAAAGTTAAGCATGGAAACAGTGCCTCCTCTTTTAAACTAATTTTAAAATTTTTGGAGGGGAGGAGCCAAGATGGCCGAATAGGAACAGCTCTGGTCTACAGCTCCCAGCATGAGCGATGCAGAAGACGGGTGATTTCTGCATTTCCATCTGAGCTTTGAAGAGAGCAGTGGTTCTCCCAGCATGCAGCTGGAGATCTGAGAACGGGCAGACTGCCTCCTCAAGTGGGTCCCTGACCCCTGACCCCCAAGCAGCCTAACTGGGAGGAACCCCCCAGCAGGGGCAGACTGACACCTCACAGGGCCGGGTACTCCAACAGACCAGCAGCTGAGGGTCCTGTCTGTTAGAAGGAAAACTAACAAACAGAAAGGACATCCACACCAAAAACCCATCTGTACATCACCATCATCAAAGACCAAAAGTAGATAAAACCACAAAGATGGGGAAAAAACAGAGCAGAAAAACTGGAAACTCTAAAAAGCAGGGTGCCTCTCCTCCTCCAAAGGAATGCAGTTCCTCACCAGCAATGGAACAAAGCTGGACGGAGAATGACTTTGACGAGCTGAGAGAAGAAGGCTTCAGACAATCAAATTGCTCCGAGCTATGGGAGGAAATTCAAACCAAAGTCAAAGAAGTTGAAAACTTTGAAAAAAGTTTAGAAGAATGTATAACTCGAATAACCAATACAGAGAAGTGCTTAAAGGAGCTGATGGAGCTGAAAACCAAGGCTTGAGAACTACGTGAAGAATGCAGAAGCCTCAGGAGCCGATGTGATCAACTGGAAGAAAGGGTATCAGCGATGGATGATGAAATGAATGAAATGAAGCGAGAAGGGAAGTTTAGAGAAAAAAGAATAAAAAGAAAGGAGCAAAGCCTCCAAAAATATGGGACTATGTGAAAAGACCGAATCTACGTCTGATTGGTGTACCTGAAAGTGACGGGGAGAATGGAACCAAGTTGGAAAACACTCTGCAGGATATCATCCAGGAGAACTTCCCCAATCTAGCAAGGCAGGCCAACATTCAGATTCAGAAATACAGAGAACGCCACAAAGATACTCCTCGAGAAGAGCAACTCCAAGACACATAATTGTCAGATTCACTAAAGTTGAAATGAAGGAAAAAATGTTAAGGGCAGCCAGAGAGAAAGGTCGGGTTACTCACAAAGGGAAGCCCATCAGACTAACAGTGGATCTCTCGGCAGAAACTCTACAAGCCAGAAGAGAGTGGGGACCAATATTCAACATTCTTAAAGAAAAGAATTTTCAACCCAGAATTTCATATCCAGCCAAACTAGGCTTCATAAGTGAAGGAGAAATAAAATACTTTACAAACAAGCAAATGCTGAGAGATTTTGTCACCACCAGGCCTGCCCTAAAAGAGCTCCTGAAGGAAGCACTAAACATGGAAAGGAACAACCGATACCAGCCGCTGCAAAATCATGCCAAAATGTAAAGACCATCGAGACTAGGAAGAAACTGCAGGAACTAACAAGCAAAATAACCAGCTAACATCATGACAGGATCAAATTCACACATAACAATATTAACTTAAAATGTAAATGGACTAAATGCTCCAATTAAAAGACACAGACTGGCAAATTGGATAAAGAGTCAAGACCCATCAGTGTGCTGTATTCAGGAAACCCATCTCATGTGCAGAGACACACATAGGCTCAAAATAAAGGAAGGAGGAAGATCTACCAAGCAAATGGAAAACAAAAAAAGGCAGGGGTTGCAATCCTAGTCTCTGATAAAACAGACTTTAAACCAACAAAGATCAAAAGAGACAAAGAAGGCCATTACATAATGGCGAAGGGATCAATTCAACAAGAAGAGCTAACTATTCTAAATATATATGCACCCAATACAGGAGCACCCAGATTCATAAAGCAAGTCCTGAGTGACCTACAAAGAGACTTAGACTCCCACACATTAATAATGAGAGACTTTAACACCCCACTGTCAACATTAGACAGATCAACGAGACAGAAAGTCAACAAGGATACCCAGGATTGAACTCAGCTCTGCACCAAGCAGACCTAATAGACATCTACAGAACTCTCCACCCCTAATCAACAGAATATACATTTTTTTTTCAGTGCAACACCACACCTATTCCAAAATTGACCACATAGTTGGAAGTAAAGCACTCCTCAGCAAATGTAAAAGAACAAAAATTATAACAAACTGTCTTTCAGACCACAGTGCAATCAAACTAGAACTCAGGATTAAGAATCTCACTCAAAACCGCTCAACTACATGGAAACTGAGCAACCTGCTCCTGAACGACTACTGGGTACATAAAGAAATGAAGGCAGAAATAAAGATGTTCTTTGAAACCAACGAGAACAAAGAGACAACATACCCGAATCTCTGGGACGCATTCAAAGCAGTGTGTAGAGGGAAATTTATAGCACTAAATGCCCACAAGAGAAAGCAGGAAAGATCCAAAATTGACACCCTAACATCACAATTAAAAGAACTAGAAAAGCAAGAGCAAACACATTCAAAAGCTAGCAGAAGGCAAGAAATAACTAAAATCAGAGCAGAACTGAAGGAAATAGAGACACAAAAAACCCTTCAAAAAATTAATGAATCCAGGAGCTGGTTTTTTGAAAGGATCAACAAAATTGATAGACTGCTAGCAAGACTAATAAAGAAAAAAAAGAGAGAAGAATCAAGTAGATGCAATAAAAAACAATAAAGGGGATATCACCACTGATCCCACAGAAATACAAACTACCATCAGAGAATACTGCAAACACCTCTACACAAATAAACTAGAAAATCTAGAAGAAATGGATACATTCCTCGACACATACACTCTCCCAAAACTAAACCAGGAAGAAGTTGAATCTCTGAATAGACCAATAACAGGAGCTGAAATTGTGGCAATAATCAGTAGCTTACCATCCAAAAAGAGTCCAGGACCAGATGGATTCACAGCCGAATTGTTCCAGAGGTACAAGGAGGAACTGGTACCATTCCTTCTGAAACTATTCCAATCAATAGAAAAAGAGGGAATCCTCCCTAACTCATTTTATGAAGCCAGCATCATCCTGATACCAAAGCCGGGCAGAGACACAACCAAAAAAGAGAATTTTAGACCAATATCCTTGATGAACATTGATACAAAAATCCTCAATAAAATACTGGCAAACTGAATCCAACAGCACATCAAAAAGCTTATCCACCATGATCAAGTGGGCTTCATCCCTGGGATGCAAGTCTGGTTCAGTATATGCAAATCAATAAATGTAATCCACCATATAAACAGAACCAATGACAAAAACCACATGATTATCTCAATAGATGCAGAAAAGGCCTTTGACAAAATTCAACAACGCTTCATGCTAAAAAGTCTCAATAAATTAGGTATTGATGGGATGTATCTCAAAATAATAAGAGCTATCTATGAGAAACCCACAGCCAATATCATACTGAATGGGCAAAAACTGGAAGCATTCCCTTTGAAAACGGGCACAAGACAGGGATGCCCTCTCTCACCACTCCTATTCAACATAGTGTTGGAAGTTCTGGCCAGGGCAATTAGGCAGGAGAAGGAAATAAAGGGTATTCAATTAGGAAAAGAGGAAGTCAAATTGTCCCTGTTTGCAGATGACATGATTGTATATCTAGAAAACCCCACTGTCTCAGCCCAAAATCTCCTTAAGCTGATAAGAAACTTCAGCAAAGTCTCAGGATACAAAATCAATGTACAAAAATCACAAGCATTCCTATACACCAAAAACAGACAAACAGAGAGCCAAATCATGAGTGAACTCCCATTCACAATTGCTTCAAAGAGAATAAAATACCTAGGAATCCAACTGACAAGGGATGTGAAGGACCTCTTCAAGGAGAACTACAAACCACTGCTCAAGGAAATAAAAGAGGATACAAACAAGTGGAAGAACATTCCATGCTCATGGGTAGGAAGAATCCATATCGTGAAAATGGCCATACTGTCCAAGGTAATTTACAGATTAAATGCCATCCCCATCAAGCTACCAATGACTTTCTTCACAGAATTGGAAAAAACTACTTTAAAGTTCATATGGAAACCAAAAAAGAACCCACATCACCAAATCAATCCTAAGCCAAAAGAACAAAGCTGGAGGCATCACACTACCTGACTTCAAATTATACTACAAGGCTACAGTAACCAAAACAGCATGGTACTGGTACCAAAACAGAGATATAGATCAATGGAACAGAACAGAGACCTCAGAAATAACGCCACATATCTACAACTATCTGATCTTTGACAAACCTGAGAAAAACAAGTAATGGGGAAAGGATTCCCTATTTAATAAATGGTGCTGGGAAAACTGGCTAGCCATATGTAGAAAGCTGAAAATGGATCCCTTCCTTACACCTTATACAAAAATCAATTCAAGATGGATTAAAGACTTAAACATTAGACCTAAAACCATAAAAACCCTAGAAGAAAACCTAGGCATTACCTTTCAGGACATAGGCATGGGCAAGGACTTCATGTCTAAAACACCAAAAGCAATGGCAACAAAAGACAAAATTGACAAATGGGATCTAATTAAACTAAAGAGCTTCTGCACAGCAAAAGAAACTACCATCAGAGTGAACAGGCAACCTACAAAATGG
The DNA here is from genome assembly GCF_000001405.40 of Homo sapiens. Lineage (NCBI taxonomy): Eukaryota > Metazoa > Chordata > Mammalia > Primates > Hominidae > Homo > Homo sapiens. The sequence goes on along the minus strand of NC_000012.12, from coordinate 60,762,393 downwards.
GAGAAAATTTTTGCAACCTACTCATCTGACAAAGGGCTAATATCCAGAATCTACAATGAACTCAAACACATTTACGAGAAAAAAACAACCCCATCAAAAGTGGGTAAAGGACATGAACAGACACGTCTCAAAAGAAGACATTTATGCAGCCAAAAAACACACGAAAAAATGCTCACCATCACTGGCCATCAGAGAAATGCAAATCAAAACCACAATGAGACACCATCTCACACCAGTTAGAATGGCAATCATTAAAAAGTCAGGAAACAACAGGTACTGGAGAGGATGTGGAGAAATAGGAACACTTTTATACCGTTGGTGGGACAGTAAACTAGTTCAGCCATTGTGGAAGTCAGTGTGGCGATTTCTCAGGCATCTAGAACTGGAAATACCATTTGACCCAGCCATCCCATTACTGGGTATATACCCAAAGGACTATAAATCATGCATCTATAAAGACACATGCACACATATGTTTATTGCGGCATTATTCACAATAGCAAAGACTTGGAACCAAAGCAAATGTCCAACAAAGATAGACTGGATTAAGAAAATGTGGCACATATACACCATGGAATACTATGCAGCCATAAAAAATGATGAGTTCACGTCCTTTGTAGCGACATGGATGAAATTGGAAATCATCATTCTCAGTAAAGTATCGCAAGAACAAAAATCCAAACACCGTATATTCTCACTCATAGGTGGGATTTGAACAATGAGAACACATGGACACAGGAAGGGGAACATCACACTCTGGGGACTGTCGTGGGAGGCGGGAGGGATAGCATTAGGAGATATACCTAATGCTAGATGATGAGTTAGTGGGTGCAGCACACCAGCATGGCACATGTATACACATGTAACTAACCTGCACATTGTGCACATGTAACCTAAAACTTAAAGTATAATAATAATAAATTTAAAAAAAGAAAAAAAAAAGAATAAGAAATAACAAAAATACAAAATAAAAAATAAATTTTTTTATATAAAAACTAATTTCAGGTTACAAAATTCTTAAAGTCAGGAGCCAATTATTAAAGTAAAGGAATATAATTCAACTGCTAATAATATTATCATGTGTAATAGATGCTATCTTAAATGTTAATAGCCAATATAGTTTTCCTCTCCTTTACACTGAAACCATCTGGAAATAAAATTCAGTAAAACCAGTGTGGGAGTGAAAGACAGCTAAAGAGTAACTGCTTTATATGTATCTGACCACAAAAACCAACCTTAAGCTGATTACAACACAATCTTCTTCAGAAATTGAATTAAGTTAAACAAGCTTCATGGAGAATTGCTTAAAAGATGGCAGTTGACCTACTTTTACAGATATTAAAAACTTCTCACAATTTGACTTGAGCCATACTCATCAGCTCGAGATTTTTTGCTCTTCCTTATAGACAGTTTGCAGACAATAAATTTATTTCTAAATGTTCATACTACACATATATATTGAGCACATATTATGTTCCAGGAACTGTTCAAAGTGCAAGAGACAACCAATAGTAAAATAGACAGCAATCTCTGCCATTACGGGGTTACCCTTTACTAGGTGTAATAAGTATATTTTTTTCATGTATATGGAAAATAGTGTAAGGTAATGGATATATTGTTTCACTGTAGCTATGGAAAACTTAGATTATGATGCATAATTTTGTTCTTTTTCTTAGTTCTTCAAGTTTTTTACTCCTATTATCTTTTTACTTTATCACAATTTTTAATTAATCTTATATTGAAATGCTTTTCGTGTTATGAACTGTCTTAAATTTCTTCTGAAACAATGTGAAGTAAAATACACAAAATTAATGTGAGTAATATTCATATCCCCAATTTGGTAAGTGTAAATTAATAGAATCAAACTTACTAAAAATTTAGATTTATTATAATCGTAGGCATTAAAATTTTCACAAACTACAAGGACATATGTTTATTTCAAAGAGAAAGGATGATTCATGATAGAAAACTATCACTACAGAAGTCAAGAGAACTGAGATTTATTTTTCATTGGTTTTATATGTGGTTATGTATGAAGCATGACCTCTCAAGGTCACAAATGATAAAAATATATTTTACCCAATGGAATATAAAAATTCTACATAATTTTAAGTCTATTGCTAATATATGCTAATCAATTAAGAATAACTTTGCACTTATAAGGTATCAGTATTTTCTTTAAGTTTCTTAAACACCTTGTTTACTCAGTTAAGTCTATCAACTGACTTATGTTTATTAGTTATTAACCCAAAGTAATCCTATATGATAGATATCCTTATTTTGGAGATCAAGGAAATTATGGTTTAGAGACACTAAGCCACTTTAGCAAGTTATCACAACCAATAAGCAATTGTATTTGTAATTGAATGTAGACAAACTTACATCACAGCTGACAGAACTGGTCACTACCCAGCTACAGTATTTATTGTGTATGAGACGTGGCAAACACATTAATTGGTATATTTAAGTGAAGATATAACTAAAAATATGTTTAATACATTAGGTGACAAATGGGGCATGGGAAAGTCTAGTGCAAATGGATTTTAGAGCAAGAGGAAAAATTATCTTCGAATATTGTTGAAAGGAACTTCAAAATATTGGGCAATATAGAATGGGCATTTTCAGGAAGTTGAAATATTATTAAGAAAGCCATATTGTACAATCATAGACTTTAGAATTGAAAGAGCCTGGAAAGACTACTTGTAGATAGAATAATGGTCCTCAAAAGAGGTCCTTACTCTAAGTATGCGGAACCTCTGAATATGTCATGCTATCTAGCAAAAGGGACTTGCAGATGTGCTTAAGCATTTAGACCTTCTGATGGGAATATTTTCCTGGATTATCAATGTGGGCCCATTCTAATTCATGAGCCCTTAAAATTAACAAAGCTCTCCCATCTAGAGTCAGAGAGACAGACAGAGGGATGTGACAAAATGAGAAGCAGGTGAGATTTGAAGCTTCAGAGGGACATCAGTAGACATTGCTAGCTTTGAAGATGGAGAAGGGGGCAGGAACCAGAGAATCTGGTGGACAATAGATGTGAGAATGTCTTCAGGCTGACATCCTGAAAGGACATGGGGACCTCAGGTCTAGAATACCAAGGAATTGAATTCTGCCAATAATATGAACGAGCTAGGAAACGAATCCTCCCCAAGAGCCTCCAGAAAGGAATTCTGACAGCTTCCTTTTAACTCAGTGAGACTCATATCAGGCTCTTGACCTCCAGAATTGTAAAAAATAATATTTGCATCATTTAAACCCTTTAATTTTTGGCAATTTGTTATGGAGGCTAGAGAAAACTAATACACCACCTGAAAAAATATTCTTCACATAGGTAGGTAAGTGATATAAGGGAATGTATCTTAGATATGTGAGGTGGAGTTTTTACATGTAACATAGCTGGAACATGGCAGTTCCATTTGAAAAATTCAGTATTGACAGGTATTCATCCTGGTTTTTAAGATCCCTCAGAAAATGGGTTTAAGAATCATTGTTAATAATATATTCTAGGGAAGTAAACACTTTAGAAAAACTTAGATCTGGTAAGAAGGATTTCAATTCTGTGTAATTAAATTTTTCATAAAATTATAGAACATTTAAGTTGGAGGCAAATTTGAAGATATTCACAATCAGCCCTGTAGTCCAGCATATGAAGATGCTGAGGCATGGAAGTTGTCTATGTAAACTTTAGTTTCCAAATCAGGGAAAGGTTTTGGAAATAAACTTTCAAATTTAATAACCTACTTTTTCTTAGTGTTCATATTTGTTTATGTTATGTCTATTCTCAGGTCAGATGGAAAACTACAATCTCAGTCTCATAAGTGGCTTCTCTACCCATAAATCTATAGCCTGACTATAGAATCAAGTGCTAAATGGAAGTATGTGAGCCTAAATTCCACTGGAGAAAGCTATTGTAATGATTTATTATGAAGATGATTCATTATATCATCACTAAGATGGGAACAACCCCTATGTTACACGGGCTACATGGCCTGCACTTTTCACACCATATTTTAGAAACCTTAAACCCAAACTGTGACAGGTATATATAAAGGGAATTGATTTAAACTCCCTTAAAAATGCAAATGCATTCATAACTAAGTCTGCACATATATTCTACCACTGACTCAGACTTCTAAACAGTTTCAATTTTCTCCAGACCTTTTTATGGAGTTCCTATACTTATTTAATATAAGGGATTCACTTCTGTCATTAGAGACACAAATTCTTCCTCAGGATCCTTACATACTGTATATCGCAAGGGAGCTTAGCAAATCATCTCTGACAGTTAATAAAATCTATATAAAATAACGATGAAAAGACAGACAAATATCAACATGTTTTGTCTTAGTCTTTGCCATGTTGCTGATAACAAATCCAAATAATATCATTTGTTCTTTACCCAAGTTTCTTTGGAAGAACTTGAAATAACACATGGAATGAGTATGGGAATAGCTCGAGTATGATATTCCGTTGTTGGATTATTGAACCCTATCATTATTCCCATTAATTAGGAATATGTATTAACATTAAATCAGATTGGAATCTGGTTATAAATCATTTCCAACTCATAATTCCAACTCTTTTTGAGAGAATTGGGTCAGGAAAAATTATTTATAGTGATTTACATCTAAAGTTCTTGGTGTATGGTCAAAGTCACTACCAGTATATAAGATTACCTCCTATTTGAGGCAGTATTTTTCTTTGAATCAAAGACCTGTTTTTTTTCTCAAATTTAATTACAATGATTTATAAATGCTATGAATTATCTCTGTGACTGAATTAGATAGTCATTTTATAGTGACACTGATGCTTCCTAAATGTTTTAAAGTAGGCTGTAACTCAAATGATCTCACAGAAATTTCTAGGATTTAGAATCAAAATATTATTGAAAACAACCATAACTTGTTTTAACGTCTATTATTGCTTCTTTGTGTAGCCAACTAATCATAAAAAAATGTTTTTCATGAGAGAGAGATGGAAGGAGAGAGAAAATGATCTCTTCCAAATGAGTCAGATCTGTCATCTTTGTAATTCAGAAATTGTCGATTTGAAGCTTAAATTTTTGGTGTTTTTGGTGATATGTGTGCTATTTAATGATGATGATGATGATAGCAGCAACAGCAGATAATGTTTATTAACTGCCTAATTTAGGCCAGGAATTACTATACTTTACCTCATTTAACAGAGAATACAGCAATAGAAATATGTCATATACAGAAATACTTGATTATTAAGATAAAAATAAGAACATAATATCTAAACCTTGTTAAAAATTTGAGACAAAACAAATCTCAAAAATAATTTCTGAATATAATTCCAAAATATAAAACCATATTAACAATAATTTTGTTTCTAAAACAAAATCATTGATGAAAAGAAAAATGTCACCTACTATGTACCCACAAAATTAAAAACAAAAAATTTTAAAAAAAGAAAAAGAAAAACAACTGAAGTCATTTTAAATATTTTATTTTAAATGGAAGTAATCAGGAATAATATTTCTTAAAAACTAGTTTGTGAAGTTATGATGATAAAATTCAAAATTTTGATCAAGGTAGGAAAATATGTATAATTTTCAAGTTGCTACTAAAGAAGCAAAAGAGAGAGATTAAAAAAAAAGGAGACATTTAAAACAGACCAGGGACTTCAGAAACCAACTAAGAAGAAAAGACAATAAGCATATACAAAGCAACTGTTTATAATGAATTGGGCAGCACAGGGCTATGGTGCTTGAGAGAAAGGAAAAAAAGAGGTGACCTCTGCATTCAACTTGGCTTTCTGTGACGATCACTACCCAAATTATGGCACAGAGAATTGCCAGAGAAACACAAATGCACCCTCAGGAAATATATATATATGGCAGGAGAGCTTAGTCAAACAAAGTAGAGATCTAACTGGAAGGTATATGGTTTGGATGCTGGAGTTTGCTGAATCAGCTGCAATTTATAGGACAGAAAACTAGTGGTGAAGGAATTGCACAGATAAGAAAATCCAGAGGACTACATAGGTTTCCCTTTGAGGCTTTGCCCAAATACTAACTTGTGCATGCACTGGGCAAGACCCTGAAAACGAGTCAGAGAATAGCTAATACTAGGGGATAGGGGATCAGGGAGATGAATGCATATTCTGGAGGCCTTACCGAATATGTGTTAGGAGATATGACTAGACAAATTGGAGATGCCTCATTAAACAGACAGACATGCCATCATGATCCAAGAAAGATGTTTTAGGAGCAGGGTTACTCTAGTCATTGAGTAAAAAATATGCTGTATCCTTCATAACAATTTCTGAAACCAAGGTTTTATAGGATCAAGAAGACCTGTCTGCTAGCCAGAACTAAACTTAATACAATCTAAATGTGGGCAGAAAATAAGCTTGCAGCATCTGCCTTGTTCAGGATAGAATTAAAATTACTAGACATGCAAAGAAGGAGGTGAATATGACTCTCAAGTAATGGAAAAAAAAGCTATAGTAACAAATTCAGATGACACAGATGTTTGGGGATTTAAAGATAAGTGTAGTTAAACACTTGTGATAAAAATTTTATGTACTTAAAAAAGGCATAATAAATGAAAGATTGGGAATCTCTACAAAGATATGGAATGGATACAAAGAAATTAACTAAAATTCTAGACTTGAAGAATTCAATATCTGAAATGAAAATGTAACAGCAGATCAATTTTTGCATCTTATAAATAAGAACACCGGTTTTAGAAAATATGAGTCTGTGCATTCAGTCAACATGTTATAAGAAATGTCAGTTATTAGCATGTTTTCAAGGTGGCTAGACCAAGTCATCTGCATTTTTTTTCCCCAGGGGTTGACCCTGGGGAATTAGGAGATAAATGGATCAAAGGCAAGATATCTAAACTGCTTTCTCTTCAGTCCATTCTCTTACTTTGTCAACATCTTCTTGCCACATATATCAGGTAGCTAGTCATTATTCATATTACAGCATTTTCTGCAAAATCTTGTATAAAAGAATATGCCTAACATAAGATGAGGATGAAAATTTGAACCATATGCATAAGCATAGGAGTTTCCTGTATAAAGCATGTACAATTTTTTATGAGTCATTTTTTCCTAGTTAAATTACTTCATAATTTACGTTACTTAAAATTTTTTATACATGTTGATGAAGGCATTTATTTGAATGTCTATGGCCAAAGTCACTTGTTTTCATGGCCAATGGGTTCCCATTTTAATTATATGATTTGGAGTTTTCAACTCAGCTTATTAAAATAATTCTTATCTTCACTTGCATAAGATTGGTTTTCATTTAATTACAAAAATGAACTTCAAACCTTTGTTATACTTTTTAGCTATAATGGAGAGATTGAAAAAGGTCTCAGTATACAACAGTTCAAGTTACAGTATCATTCGGTATTCTATCCCAACAGAAACAACCTCTTGCAGCATACCAAACATTCTCAATTAATGGATTGGTGACTACAGGTCACTATTCAATAAATTCTGGGTTTTATTTGGTTTGTAGATATAACTATATCTAAATATTACAGTGCCAGTTGTTACAAACACCTGCTTTTAGGTATGGTGGAACAATTGAGCCACAGGGGAGATAAATCTCTTTGTATTCATGAAATTCAGGCTATTAAAGAACAATTAAGAACATACTGTCAGGTGACTTTGTTGTGATTTAGGCTTTCTGTAGTTTTTTTTAAAATAAATTTACTTATTTGGTTCAATTTCCTAGTAGCTGGAACCTGTGACCTTCACAGATATTCAATACATTACGTTAAGACACAATAGTCCTTTCTTAGTGAGGATATAATCTCACGCTAACTGATGTTTATGTGGACGATGTACCTAAAGAGTCCCATCTTTTTTTTTTTTTTTTTTTTAAGATAGAATCTCACTCACTCTGTCGCCCAGGCTGGAGTGCAGTGGTGTGATCTCTGCTCATTACAATCTCTGCCTCCCAACTTCAAGATATTCTCCTGCCCCAGCTTTCCGAGTAGCTAGGATTACAGGTGTGCACCACTAGACCTGGCAAATGTTTATATTTTTAGTAGAGACTGGGTTTCACAATGTTGGCCAGGCTGGTATTGAACTCCTGACCTCAAGTGATCTGTGCTTCTTGGCCTCCCAAAGTGCTGTAATTATAGGCGTGAGCCACCACACCCGGCCCAGATTTAGGACATTTGTTTTTAAGTTATTGCATTAGTTATCTATTGCTGTGTAATGAATTGCCACATACTTACTTTTGCTTTATTTTTGATACACATAAAATAATTGTACAAATTTATGGACTAAAATGTGTAATGATCAAATCAGAGTAGTTAGCATATCCATTACCTTATTTATCATTTCTGTATGGTAAGAATATTAAAATTCCTCTTCTAGCTATTTTGAAATATACAATACATTATTATTAACTTTAGTCACCCTACCATGCAATACAACACCAGAACTTATTCCTCCAAACTGTAATATTGTACCATTGACCAACTCCTCTTTTCCTCATCCTTTCCCATCCTCTAGTAACCAAGATTCTACTGTCACCTTCTATGGGATGAACTTTTTTTGATTCCATATATGAGTGAGATCATGCCATATTGGTCTTTCTGTGCCTGGCTTATTTCATGCAGTTAAATAAGGTTCTCCAGGTTAATCCATGTTGTTACAAATGAAGGTATTCATTCACATTTATGGCTGAATAGTATTCCATTATGTATATATGCTACATTTTCTTTATCCATTATCCCTAATGAACACTTAGATTGACTCCATATCTCGGCAATTGTGAATAGTACCACAATAAACGTGAGAGTACAGGTTTCTCTTATACATGCTGATTTCATTTTCCTTTAAGTATATAACCAGTAGTTGGATTGCTGGATCATATGGTAGTTCTTTTTTAATTTTTTGAGGAAACTCCATACAATTTTCCCTAATGGCTGTAATGCTTTACTTCTCACCAACGTTGTACCAGGATTCCCTTTCTCCACATCCTCGACAATACTTGTAAATCAACACACACTTGACAACTTATAGTTTCTAAAGTCCAGGACCAACTTAGCTGGCCCCTGTGTTTAGGAGCTCACAAAGTAGCAGCATAAGTACTGGTTGGCTGCATTTTGATCTGAAGACTGGACTGGAAAAGAATTGGCTTCAAAGTTAATCCAGGTTTTGATGGAATTCAGTTCCTTGTGGGTATAGGACTTAGAGCTTCCATTTTTTGCTTTGTTTTTTTTTTTTCCTGGATGTCAGCCAAAAATCACCCTCACTTCCTAGAAGTTGTCTGCAGTCTGTAGAGGCTGTTCATACTCTCTTGCCATGTGGGTTTTCCCAACATAACTGTTTATTTCATCAAGCCAGCTAGGGAAGAGGGTCTCTAGAAAGAGTCTGATTGTAAGACAGAGTCTTATATAACATAATATATTCACAGAAGTGAAGTATCATTACCTTTGTCATATTTGTCATATTTTGTTAATTAGAAACAAGTCATGGGTCTGATATACTTTGAAGAAAATGGGTTGAAACAAAGGGTGTAAACACCAGCATTCAGAGATCATTCACAAGTCACCTTACAGTCAGTCAAACACACCAACTAAGCCAACTCTTAAGACCTTTCTCACCACCTCCTGTATATGTTTCACTTCCTCATTTGAATTTTGTTAGACCACTGTTCTGAGAGTAATAAAGAATATGATATGCTTGTGTAATATTATGTTTCCTAGACCATTTTGTAGATGATCAGAAAACAGACATGTAAGTAGTTCAATTTAATAGAAAATATATCGCTTCAAACTTTGAAATTTATGCCTCAGATTAGATCTGCTACAGAATAAGTGCAGTCTCAAGTAGAAAAGATTTTGTTCCCACTTAATACTCACTTTAAGCTTTCTCTGGCTACAGGTAGAGGTCCAATGTGACCTACTTGCTTTGGGTAATTTTACCCATGATCATTGACAAGAGATTATATATTTGTTTATATTGGACACAGTAATTTGTCACATTAGTTGTTTTATAGGGTGTAAGGGAAATATGTGCTATCTTAGATCTGTGATCTAAGAACCAATACACTACTCATTTCATTAACTTAGGTAGATAGTCTAGTGAACTAAATAAGCCTTTCTTGGAGAGATGGTGTTTGAGATGATCCTCTTCAATACTTCTCAACTCCAATAGATATTTCCATAAGAGTGCCTCATATGGATGGATATTATCTATTGTCCATTTTCTATGGCCAATTTGCATGACCAAACAACAAGGCTACTGGCCAACATTAAAAAATCTGGGAATACACATAATGTTCTCCTGAGTGAGTACTTAACTCTTCTTCCACTACCAAATAAACACTTATGAGTTCATAGTGAAGATTTGCCTTTGCCTTCTTACATCAAGGTTTTACCACTTGCAAGGTATATTGCTACTTATTTCCAAACAGCAACATGCTTTCAATACTGAAACCCATGATAGTGAGCCAGAAAGGTTGCTTTTTCTCAGCTAATAGAGAATCATAGGGTCACAGAGTCAAACAAGGGATTGTTGGAGGATTGGGGGAAGAGAGAGAGAATAGAGTATACGACCATAGAAAAACTGAGAAAAACGTGTTTTTTTAAAGTCACATGGAACATTACCCAAGATATGGCTACAAAGCAAGTCTAAATTACTTTTAAGTGATTAAAATTATAGTGAGTATGCTCTCTGACAATGAATTGGATTAAAAACAAATAAAAATAAAACAATTATATCCCTAGATATTTGTAAATAAGCAACATACTTTTAACATTTTTATATTTTAAATGCTGGGATACATGTGCAGAACATACAGGTTTGTTACTTATGTGTACATTTGCCATGGTGGTTTGCTACACCCATCAACCCATCAAAAAAAGTTTAAAACCCCACATGCATTAGGTACTTTTCCTAATGCTATCCCTCACCTTTCCCCCCACTCCCTGACAGGCCCCAGTGTGTGATGTTCCCCTCCCTGTGTCCATGTGTTCTCATTGTTCAACTCTTACTTATGAGTAAAAATATGTAGTGTTTGGTTTTCTGTTCCTATGTTATTTTACTGAGTATGATGGTTTCCAGCTTCATCCATGTCCCTGCAAAGAACATTAACTCATTCTTTTTTATGGCTGCATAATATTCCACGGTGTATATGCGCCACATTTTCTATATCCACTCTATCATTGATGGCCATTAGAGTTGGTTCCATGTCTTTGCTATTGTGAGTAGTGCTGCAATAAACATATGTGTGCATGTGTCTTTATAGGAGAATGATTTACAATCCTTTGGGTATATACCCAGTAATGGGATTGCTGGATCAAATGGTAATTCTAGTTCTAGATCCTTGAGGAATCATCACACTGTCTTCCACAATGGTTGAACTAACTTAAATGCCCACCAACAGTGTAAAAGTGTTCCTATTTCTCCACATCTTCTCCAGCATTTGTTGTTTCTTGACATTTTAATGATCACCATTCTAACTGGTGTGAGATGGTATCTTATTATGATTTTAATTTACATTTCTCTAATGACCAGTGATGATGAGCTTTTTTTCATGTTTGTTGGCCACATAAATGTCTTCTTTGAAAAGTGTCTGTTTATATCCTTTGCCCACTTTTTGATGACATTGTTTTTTTTTCCTTGTAAATTTGTTTAAGTTCATTGTAGATTCTGGATATTAGCCCTTTGTCAGATGGATAGATTGCAAAATTTTTCTCCCATTCTGTAGATTACCTGTTAACTCTGATGATAGCTTCTCCTGCTGTGCAGAAGGCTTTTAATTTAATTAGATCCCATTTGTCAATTTTGCCTTTTGTTGCCATTGCTTTTTGTGTTTTAGTCATGAAGTCTTTGCCTATGCCTATGCCCTGAATGGTATGGCCTAGGTTTTCTTCTAGGGTTTTTATGATTTTGGGCCTTATATTTAAGTGATTATCCATTTCGAGTTAATTTTTGTATAAAGTGTAAGGAAGGGGTCCAGTTTCAGTTTTCTGCATATGGCTAGCCACTTTTTCCAACACCATTTTTTAAACAGGGAATCCTTTCCCCATTGCTTGTTTTTGTCAGGGTTGTCAAAGATCAGATAGTTTTAGATGTGTGACATTATTTCTGAGGCCTCTGTTCTGTTCTGTTCTGTTGGTCTATATATCTGTTTTGGTACCAGTACCATGCTGTTTTGGTTACTGTAGACTTGTAGTATAGTTTGAAGTCAGTTAGTGTGATGCCCCCAGGTTTATTCTTTTTGCTTAGAATTGTCTTGGCTATATGGGCTCTTTTTTAGTTCCATATGAAATTTAAAGTAGTTTTTTTCTAATTCTATGAAGAAAATCAAGGCAGCATGATGGGAATTGCATTGAATCTTTAAATTACTTTGGGCAGTATGAGAATTTTCACAATATTGAGTCTTCCTATCCAAGGGCATGGAAACTTTTTTCCATTTGTTTGTGTCCTCTCATTTCCTTGAGCAGTTGTTTGTAGTTCTCCTTGAAGAGGTCCTTCATGTCCCTTGTAATTTGGATTCCTGAATATTGTATTCTCTTTGTAGCAATTGTGAATGGGAGTTCACTCATGATTTGGCTGTTTGTCTATTATTGGTTTATAAGAATGTTTGTAATTTTTGCATACTGGTTTTGTATCCTGAGGCTTTGCTGAAGTTGCTTATCAGCTTAAAGTGTTTTTGAACTGAGACAATGGGGTTTTCTAAATATACAATCAAGTTATCTGCAAACAGAGGCAATTTGACTTCTTCTCTTCCTATTTGAATACTCTTTATTTATTTCTCTTGCCTGATTGCCTTGGCCAAATCTTCCAATACTACGTTGAATAGGAGTTGTGAGAAAGGGCATCCTTGTCTTTTGCCGGTTGTCAAAGGGAATGTTTCTAGCTTTTGCCCATTCAGTATGATATTGGCTGTGGGTTTGTCATAAATAGCTCTTATTATTTTTGAGATATGTCCCATCAATACCTAGTTTATTGAGTGTTTTTGTCGTGAAGGTGTGTTGAATTTTATCACAGGTGTTTTCTGCATCTATTGAGATAATCACAGGGTTTTTGTAATTGGCTCTGTTTATGTGATGAATTACATTTATTGATTTGTGTATATTGAAGCAGCCTGGCATCCCAGGGATGAAGCTGACTTGATCTTGATGGATAAGTTTTTTGATGTGCTGCTGGATTTGGTTTGCCAGTATTTTAAAGAGGATAATTGCATCAATGTCCATCAGGGATATTGGCCTGAAATTTTCTTTTTATTTTTTGTGTTGTCTCTGCCAGGTTTTGGTATCAGGATGATGCTGGCCTTATAAAATGAGTTAGGGAGGAGTCCCTCTTTTTCTATCGTTTGGAATAATTTCAAAAGGAATGGTACCCACTCTTCTTTGTACCTGTGGTAGAATTTGCCTGTGAATCCGCCTGGTCCTGGGCTTTTTTGGGTTGGTAGGCTATTAATTACTGCCTCAACTTCATAACTTGTTATTGGTCTATTCAGGGATTTGACTTCTTCCTGGTTTAGTCTTGGGAGGGTTTATGTGTCCAGGAATTTAATCAAGTTCTTCTACATTTTCTAGTTTATTTGTGTAGAGGTGTTTTTAGTATTTTCTGATGGTAGTTTGTATTTCTGTGGGATCAGTGGTGATATCCCCCCTTATCATTTTTTATTGTGTCTATTTGATTCTTCACTCTTTTCTTATTTATTAGTCTGGCTAGTGGTCTATTTTGTTAATCTTTTAAAATTTCACCTCCTAGGTTCACTGATTTTTTAAGGGTTTTTCACATCTCTATCTCCTTCAGTTATGCTCTAAGTTATTTCGTGTCTTCTGCTAGTTTGAATTTGTTTGCTCTTGCTTCTCTAGTTCTTTTAATTGTGATGTTAAGGTGTCAATTTTAGATCTTTCCCCATTTCTGATGTGGGCATTTAGTGCTATAAATTTTTCCCTAAACACAACTTTAGCTATGTCCCAGAGATTCTGGTACCTTACGCCTTTGTTCTCATTAGTTTCAAAGAACTTACTTATTGCTGCCTGAATTTCATTATTTACCCAGTAGTCATTCAGGAGCAGGTTGTTCAGGTTCCATGTAGTTGTGTGGTTTTGAGTGAGTTTCTTAATCCTGAGTTCTAATTTGATTTCACTGTGGTATGAGAGACTGTTTCTTATGATTTCCATTCTTTTGCATTTGCTAAGGAGCGTTTTATTTCCAATTATGTGGTCAATTTTTGAGTAAGTGCTATGTGGTGCTGAGAAGAATGTATATTCTGTTGATTTGGGTTGGAGAGTTCCATAGATGTCTATTAGGTCTGTTTGGTCCAGAGCTGAGTTGGAGTCCTGAATATCCTTGTTAATTTTCTGTTTCATTGATCTGTCTAATATTGACAGTGGGGTGTTAAAAATTCCCACTCTTATTGTGTGGGAGGCTAAGTCTCTTTGTAGGACCATAAGAACTTGCTTTATGAATCTGGGTGCTTCTGTATTGGGTGCATATAAATTTAGGTTAGTCAGCTCTTCTTGTTGCATTGATCCCTTTTCCATTATGTAACGCCCTTCTTTGTCTTTTTTGATCTTTGTTGGTTTAAAGTCTGTTTTATCAGAGGCTACAATTGCAACCCCTGATATATTTATTTATTTATTTATTTATTTATTTATTTTATTTTGCTTTCCATTTGCTTCGTAAATATTCCTGCATCCCTTTATTTTGAGCCTATGTATTTGCACTTGAGATGGGTTTCCTGAATACAGCACACCAATGGGTCTTGGCTCTTTATCCTTTTTTGCCAGTCTGTGTCTTTTAATTGGAGGCGTTGAGCTCATTTGCTTTTAAGGTTAATATTGTTATGTGTGTATTTCATCCTGTCATCACGATGTTAGCTGGTTATTTTGCATATTACTTGATGCAGTTTCTTCATAGTGTCATTGGTCTTTATATTTTGGTATGTTTTTGCAGTAGCTGGTACTGTTTTTTCCTCTCCATATATAGTGCTTCTTTCAGGAGCTCTTGTAAGGCAGGCCTGGTGGTGACAAAATTCCTCAGCACTTGCTTGTCTGTAAAGGATTTTATTTCTCCTTCACCTATTAAGCTTAGTTTGGCAGGGTATGAAATTTTGGGTTGAAAATTATTTCCTTTAAGACTGTTGAATTTTGGCCCTCACTCTCTTCTGACTTGTAGGGTTTCTGCAGAGAGATCTACTGTTAGTTTGATGGGTTTCTCTTTGTAGGTAATCTGACCTTTCTCTCTGGCTGCCCTTAGAATTTTTTCCTTGCTTTCAAGCTTGGTGAATGTGACGATTATGTGTCTTGGGGTTGCTCTTCTCGAAGAGTATCTTTGTGGTGTTCTTTGTATTTCCTGAATTTGAATCTTGGCCTGTCTTACTAGGTTGGGGAAGTTCTCCTGGATAATATCCTGAAGTGTGTTTTCTTACTTGGTTCCATTCTCCCCATCATTTTCAAGTACACCAATCAATAGTAGGTTTTGTCGTTTCACATAGTCCCATATTTCTTGGAGGCTTTGTTCATTCCTTTTTATTCTTTTTTCTTTAATCTTGTCTTCACTGTTTATTTCATGAAGTTGATCTTCAATCTCCGATATCCTATCTTCCACTTGATTGATTTGGCTGTTGTTATTTGTGTATGCTTCATGAAGTTCTCATGCTGTGTTTTTCAGCTCTATCGGGTCATTTATGTTCCTCTCTAAACTGGTGGTTGTAGTCAGCAGCTCCTCTATCCTTTTATCAAGGTTCTTAGCTTATTTAAATTGGGTTAAAACATGCTCCTTTACCTCAGAGTTTATTGTTGCCCACCTCCTGAAGCCTACTTCTGTCAATTCATCAAACTCATTCTCCACCCAGTTTTGTGCCCTTGCAGGTGAGGAGTTGTGATCCTTTGGAGGAGAAGAGGCACTCTGATTTTTGGAATTTTCAGGATTTTTGTGCTGGTTTTTCCTCATCTTTGTGGATTTACCTACTGTTCATCTTTGATGCTGATGTCCTTTGGATGGTGTTTTTGCACAGGCATCCTTTTTGTTGATGTTGATATTATTGTTTTCTGTTTGTTAGTTTTCCTCCTAATAGTCAGGCCCCTCTTCTGCATGTCTGCTGGAGTTTGCTGGAGGTCCACTTCAGACCCTGTTTGCCTGGGTATCATCAGCAGAGGCTGCAGAACAGCAAAGACTACTGCCTGCTCCTTCCTCTGGAAGCTTCATCCCAGAGGGGCACCCACCAGATGCCAGCCAGAGCTCTCCTGTGTGAGGCATCTCTTGACCCCTGCTGGGAGGTGTCTCCCAGTCAGGAGGCATGGGTGTCAGGGACCCACTTGAGGAGGTAGTCTGTTTCTTAGAAGAGTTTGAGTGCTGTGCTGGGAGATCCTCTGCTCTCTTCAGAGCCGGCAGGCAGGAACATTTAAGACTGCCAAAACTGCACCCATAGCTGCCCCTTCCCCTAAGTGCTCTGTCCTAGGAAGATGGGAGTTTTGTCTATAAGCCTCTGACTGGGGCTGCTGCCTTTCTTTCAGACATGGCCTGCCCAGTGAAGGGGTATCTAGAGAGGCAGTCTGGATACATTGGCTTTGCCACACTGAGGTGGATTCCACCCAGTCTGAGCTTTCTGGTGGCTTTGTTTACACTGTGAGGGGAAAACCACCTACTTAAGCCTCAGTAATGGCAGATGCTTTTCCCCCACCAAGCCTGAGCATCCCAGGTCAACTTCAGACTGCTGTACTGACAACAAGAATTTCAATCAGTAGAACTTAACTTGCTGGGCTCCATGAGAGTGGGACCCACTGAGCAAGACCACTTGGCTCCCTGGCTTCAGCCCCCTTTCCAGAGGAGTGAATGGTTCTGTCATGCTGGGGTTCCAAGTGCCACTGGGGCAAAAAACAAACAAAAAATCAAACAAACAAACAAACAAACCTCCCACAGCTAGCTCAGTGTCTGCCCAACCAGCTGCCCAGTTTTGTAATTAAGCAACATACTTTTAAATAACACGTCAGTCAAGGTGGAAATCATATGTAATTGTACATGAATAAGACAATTTTCAAGTTAAATGTTAATAAAAGCAGAAGATACCATATTTTGTGAGATACAAACAAAGCAGTTACTAGAGGAATATTCATAGCTTTAAAATGTTTATATTAAAGAGAAAAAAGGTACAAAATAATGATTAGGATCATGCATTAAGAAGCTAGATAACAAACAGAAAATTAAACCCAAAGTAAGTAGAAAGATGTTTAATACATAAATTCACCTAATTTATACCAGCAATTTCAATCTTAGGAATGTATACTCCCCCAAGAAACAAAAATAGATGCTCAAAAAGAGGTTTGCAAAACAAATGTTGTAGTAGCTTTATTCACAATAACCCATGCTGGAATAAACCTTAACGACCATAAACAAAAACAAACAAATTGAAATATATTCATAATGACATGCTAGTCTGTGAAAAAAAGGGAATAAATTACCAATTCACATAAGATAAATAAATATCAAAATCAAATAGAACAAAATAAGCTAGAAACAAAAATGAATTT
This sequence comes from Homo sapiens, assembly GCF_000001405.40. Taxonomy (NCBI): domain Eukaryota; kingdom Metazoa; phylum Chordata; class Mammalia; order Primates; family Hominidae; genus Homo; species Homo sapiens. The sequence continues at coordinate 60,744,898 of NC_000012.12, read as the reverse complement.
ACTGTATCATCTCAATTATATAAAATTTTAGAAGAGGCCAAACTAATCTATCATGATGCCACTGAATTGTATAAAATTTTACTATTTTACTGTCATTCCATGAGATAACATTATAACAAATGCATAATTTTATTGTTTTATATTTATTAGTAAATGATTTTAACACATTTGAAGCTACTGTTTCCTCTCTATAGCCAAATTTTTGTATTTTAAAACTTTGTCTTTGATTTACTTATTGTTTTAAAGGCAGACATTTATTTAGACTGCCCAAATAATGATTCACAATAGAACTGAAAACTAACCCTTTGCCCATTTGCCCTGAGAATACTCACTGGTGACATTTGTGGCTGCAGCATTTACCGTGTGATAAATTTGCCATGAAATATTTCACTTTTATTATTTTTTTATTCCTTTAGATATTGAATTTGGAAATAAAATACATCATTCAATTTTTAGAATTCTGTTTTTAGTAGTGTTATTTCAATTTATAAAATATAGTAATCCTCAATTGCTGAAAATGTCAAATCCTAGAAAACGTAGCATTCCTATGCATGATGTTAACATCGCTCTTGAACAGTTATTGGTTGAAGATTCATACGATGAATGCGGTTTTCCTGAAATAGATAATTCTGATGATTAGGATGATTCTGATGCTAACTCTGTTTAGAACTAACTCCAAGAACAGTCTTTATATTTTATTTTTACATTGAAACTCAGTCTGATTTGCTTCAGCCTCAAAGAGCTTCCTTATGTAAAATTAAATGAATGGCGGCGGTGAGCTACATTTTTTTTTTTTTCTAAACAGTAAAAGGTTTAAGAAAGTAATTCATGGAAACTACATTTCATAAAATTTATCTATGCAGAAATGTTTATAAGTGAATACAAAATATTGTAATTGGTGAAACTGAGTAATTTGACACTTGTTATAGCTCTTCATTATAAAATACATCCACCAATTCTTAAACAGCTTGACAATATTAGTTCTCAGTTGTAGTACCCTTTTCCTTAAAAATAGTAATATTGTGCATTAAAGATAAATGCTCATTACTTAAATGTACCAGGTAACACACATTTAAAACATAATGTATTTCATCAATTCACAAGTACACATATAATGTAAATAATTGTTTTATCAATATGTATTCATTGAAAGCCCATTATGTTCAAGGAATTAAAATTGTTATATGTCTCAATAGATTCACTGCTTTTTCTTTAATTCATAAATTAATTTCCAGTTTATAAGGAAAACGATTTCTTTCATTGCTGCGTTAAAATTTCAACAGAGCAAACTTGGTTCTTTGGAGTCTGACTGTATATTTAAATATGTAGACATTCTTTACTTTTTTCATGGAAATCTTGGTAATATTAATTGACTAATTGAGCTAACAGATAGTTATAGAATGCTCTAAACAATACTTGAAAGTACATACTCCTTCTCAAGTATTAAAATAAAAAACTTAAGTTTTCACCTAGAAATATGAGTGAACTTTACTCAACATAATAAAAAAAGAATGTTATAAAAATTATTGTGATGGAAATGAATGAAATAAAAATAAAAACAATAGAAATAAGAAATGAGACCAAAATTTGTTTGATTTAAGCATTAATAATATTTTAAACCACCTATCAAAAATCATGAAAGAAATATTAAAGGAGACACAATTTGCCAATACTAGAAATGAAAAAGTGAGCAGCACAATTGATTTTTCTGACATTAGAAGGATAACAAATATTATGAAAAATTTAATGTCAATAAATTTGTCAATTTATTAAATAGGCAATGTTCTTGTAAAATACAGACCAAGGTAAAATATGGGCAACTATTTACAACAACTTGTAAAATACAGATCATAAGGTAAAATATATATATATATATAAAATATAAAATATATATAAAATATATATTATAAAATATAAAATATATATAAAATATATATTATATATAATATTTATATATAAACATTTATATAAAAATATATTTATTATATATAAATATTTATATATAAATATATTATATATATTTATATATAAATGTATTTATTATATATAAATATAAAATAAATATATTTATTATATATAAATATAAATATAAATATATTTATTATATATAAATATAAATATATTTATTATATATAAATATAAATATATTTATTATATATAAATATAAATATATTCATTATATATAAATATAAATATATTCATTATATATAAATATAAATATATTCATTATATATAAATATAAATATAAATATATTCATTATATATAAATATAAATATATTCATTATATATAAATATAAATATAAATATATTTATTATATATAAATATAATTATAATTATATATAAATATGTAAATATATATTTTTATATAATATTTATATATTATATGTTATATATAAATATTATAAATATAATATTTATATATAATATATATTTATATTTTATATATATAAAATTTACTTTACCTTATGGTTATTTAAAATATAAAATTTATTTTACCTTATGGTTATTTAAAACATTGATGTTTTATCTCAAAGCTTTCTCAGGAAAAGTTTAGATGTTTTCATGAGGTGAACTCTATCAAATAATTAAGGAAGGCCAGGTGTGGTGACTCATGCCTGTAATCTCAGCACTTTGGGAGGCAGAGGTGGGCAGATCACCTGAGGTCAGGAGTTTGAGTCCATCATGGCCAACATGGTGAAATCCCATCTTTACTAAAAATACAAGAAATTAGCCGGGCATGGTGGCTCATGCCTGTAGTCCCAGCTGTCCAGGAGGCTGAGGCAGGAGAATCACTTGAATCCAGGAGGGAGAGTTTGCAGTGAGCAGAGATCACACCACTGCACTCCAGTCTGGGTGACAGAGCAAGACTCTGGCCCAAAGAACCAAACAACAAACAGATCATTAAGAAAAAAATGTCTGTGTTACATAATTTTATAGAATAGATGAGGTAAATATTACAACTAATTTTAAATAACCAACATCACCTCATTACTCAACTTTAATATAGCTAGAAAAACAGCAACTACAACAATAAAAATACATGTCAATGCCCTTTATAAAAATAGATGCCAAAATATTAATAAAATATTACATATTGGCTTCATCAATATATAAAAAGGACAATAACTCACAAACAAGTGACTTATTTCAGGAATGGAGTTTGCATTGCCTGCATTAACATTAACAAGCCAAATAAACAGTAAAGGAGACACAAAGGTAGCCACTTGAAGTTTCTGTAGTAAATACACACACAGACACACACACAAACACACACACACACACACACACACATATATATATATATATATATATAATAATTTATATCCAGGAAAAGAATTGGGGAGAGGGGAGAGTGAGAGACACTTAAACCCTTTATTTTATATGTCTAGCTCCTGTTTTTATATAAATAATACGTATAAATAATATATATTACATATATATAAATAAAAAATATAAATAATATACATATATATCTGGCAAAAAGTTTAAGCATTTCTTGTCATTAATACTGAAAGTTTTCTAGTTGTTTTATAATTGGCTATTTAAAATAAATTTTATGGTTTGGCTGTATCCTCACCCAAATCTCATCTTGAATTGTAGTTCCCATAATCTTTATGTGTCATTAAAGGGACCTGGTGGGAGGTAATTAGATCATAGGGGCAGCTAGTTTCCTGCTGTTCTCATGATAGTGAGTGAGGACTAAGGAGATCTAATTGTTTTATGAGAGGCTTTTCTCTCTTTTGCTCAGCACCTCTCTTTGCTGCTGCCATTTGAAGAAGAACATGTTTGCTTCCCCTTCCACCATAATTGTCTGTTTCCTGAGGCCTCCCTAGCCATGCTAAACTGTGATTCAATTAAACCACTTTCCTATATAAATTACCCAGTATCGAGTATGTCTTTATTAGCAGCATGATAATGGATTAATATAGTAGCTTAGTACCACAGAGAAGGGAGCATTGCTCTAAAGATACCTGGATATGTGGAAGTGATTGGAACAGGTAACAGGCAGAGGTTGGATACTTTTGGAAGGCTCAGAAGAAGACAAGAAAATGTGGGAAAGTTTGGAACGTCCTAGAGACTTGTTGAATAGTATTGACCAAAATGCTGATAGTGATATAGACAATGAAGGTCAGGCTTCTTTGATTTCTGATAGAGATGGGAAAGTTATTGGGAACTGAAATAAAGGTCACTCTTGCTATGCAAAGAGACTGGCAGCATTTTTCCCCTGCCCCAGAGATCCATGGAACTTTGATCTTGAGAGAGATGATTTAGGGTATCTGGCAGAATAAATTTTGAAGTGGCAAAATGTTTGAGAGGAAGCAGAGAATAAGCGTTTGGAAAATTTGCAATCTGACAAAGCCATAAAAAGAAAACCTCATTTCCTAGGAAGAAATTCAATCTGACTGCAAAAGTTTGCATAAATGATGAGGAGCTGAATGTTAATCACCAAGACAATGTGGAAAATGTCTCCAGGACACGTCAGAGACCTTCATGGCAGTGCCTCCCATCATAGGCTCAGAGGCCTAGGAGGAAAAAATGGTTTTGTGGGCTAAGTCAAGGCCACCCCTGCTGTGTGTGGCTTTGTAACTTGGTGCTCTGTATCCCAGCCACTCCAGCATGACTGAAAAGGGCGAAGATACAGCTTAGGCCATTGCTTCAGAGGGTGGAAGCCCCAAGCCTTGGAAACTTTTAATGTGGTGTTGGGCCTGTGGGTGAGCAGAAGGCAAGAACTGAGGTTTCAGAAACTCTGCCTAGATTTCAGAGGATGTATGGAAACACCTGGATGTCCAGGCAAAAGTCTGCTGCAGAGGCAGGACCCTCATGGAGAACCTCTGCTGGGGCAGTGCAGAAGGGAAATGTGAGATTGGAGCCCGCATAAACAGTGCCTGCTGGGGCACTGCATAGTGGAGCTGTAAGAAGAGGACCACCATCCTCCAGACTCCAGAATCATAGATCCACCAACAACTTGCACCATGCTCCTGGAAAAGTCACTCAATGCCAGCCTGTGAAAGCAGCCAGGACGGGGACTGTACCCTGCAAAGCCACAGCAGAGTTGTCCAAGGCCATAACAGCCCACCTCTTGCATCAGTGTGACCTGGATGTGACACATGCAATCAAAGGAGATCATTTTGGAACTTTAAGGTTTAATGACTGCCTATTGGATTTCAGACTTGCATGGGGCCTGTGACCCCTTTGTTTTGGCCAATATCTCCCATTTTAAATGGGTCTACTTTCTTAATTCCCCTATCCCCATTGTATCTAGGAAGTAACTAACTTGCTTTTAATTTTACAGGGACATAGGCAGAAGGGACTTTCCTTTTCTCAGATGAGATTTTGGGCTTGGACTTTCAAGTTAATGTTGCAATGAGTTAAGTTTTTGGGTGGCTGTTTGAAGGAGTGATTGTGTTTTGAATTCTGAAGACAAGAGATTTGGGAGAGGCCAGGGGTGGAATGATATGGTTTGATTGTGTCCCCACCTAAATCTCATCTTGAATTGTAGTTTCCATAATCCTCACATGTCCTGGGACAGACCTGGTGGGAGGTAATTAAACCATGGGGGTGGTTATCCTTATGCTCTTTTCATGATAGTGAGTGAATTCTCATGAGATCTGATAGTTTTATAAGGGGTTTTTCTCCCTTTTACTCAGCATTTCTCCTTGCTACTGCCATGTGAAGAAGGACATGTTTGCTTCCCCTTTCACTATGATTGTAAGTTTCCTGAGGCCTCCCTAGCTATGCTGAACTGTGAGTCAATTAAACCTCTTTCCTTTAAGATTACCCAGTCTCAGGTATGTCATTATTAGCAGGGTGAGAACAAACTAATAAAATAAATTAAAAAAAAATCTATCTTTTTCACACTAAGGCCTATATTCACAGGTGGTCTGCCATAGAGAAGACTTTAATTTTCTCGCTTTAACATCCTCTTTTGTGAAATACTCAGAGAGCTTCATAAGAAGCAGCAATTTGCCAAATGCCTTTTAGGGCAGTTTTTTTTTTAATTATTCCTTTTTGTGTCCTTCTGCTTCTCTTTTTATAATACTTTGTGATAAAAATTAAACTGTCCTTATTATGTATTTTATTTTTCTTAGCTTATAGTTTACATTGATAATTAAATATAGATAAATAATTATTCAAATTTATCTAACACAAATGAAAGTGTTTTGGGAACTCTGACATACAGAGGAATCAAGTCAGAAATGATGGAACAGTTGCGCCTGTGCTTCCCAGGTGATCATTCTGAGGATCAGAGAATAATGAAATATTTCACAATAAAAAATGCAAATTTAACTATGATATCCTTCAAGAGAGAAATATTGAAATCTATCCTTTCTTATATCTTATGAATTATTCTTGTTTTGTGGTGTATGTACTATGTATGGTGATAGACTGAATTGATCAAACACAGAAAAAAAGCAACTTTTATGACTGGCTTATTCAGCACATCATTGTGAATGTTATTTATTTGAGCTGAACATGAGATCATGAGTTTTAAATCAAATTGTCCAAGTTATTGTGAACCAATTTTTTTCACTATACTGTTACTCCCAGTAACCTAGCAATTATTAAAAAGTGCATGTGTGTGTTTTTTGTTTTGTTTTGTTTTAAAGGGCCAGGGAAGCAGAAGGAAGAAAGTAAGCTAGCAATAGTAACAAATATTTAGCATATTAAACAGGAAAGCATTTATTTTCAAGATATCCTTTTATTATTTTATTTAAAATAGTCTACTCCTTTATAAAGCAGTTAAAATATTCAAAGGATTCATCAATTGAGGAATTCTAATGGAGCTTGGCTTCCTGTTACATGTGCCTTGCTTAAATAAATATAGAAATCTATCATGAGCAAGAAGGACTTATCTTGGAGTGTAGTGGATTTATGATCATGAAACATATTCTGAAGTTCAAAGACTTTGCTTCTTTGGGGTCCATTTGAGAGGGATATGTCTGCTTCCCCATTCCTGTTGAAAACTCTCCTCCACAGATGTCCCCGAGAAAAGACAACATCAGAAAAGGGAGCAAAATAAGGAAGAACTGGGAGCAATAAAATCTCCACTTAAGCCTCCAATGTGGATTTAAAATAAAACTAGCAGCTCGGCCTCTATCTCATACTTATATTAAACCTAAATTACTTTGTATTTAATAAAAAAGCACACTCCACCAAGTTAGATGAAACCCAAAGCCTTTCCGTTTTTATTTTTTACTTCAAAATAAATGCCTTCACTGTTAACACAGATTTGTATTCCCTTAAATTCTATGTGGCTTTAGCAGTGGACTTTTTATTTCACTACAGTTACAAAGAAAATATACAATACTTAACCCTGTTGAACTACCATAATAATACATTCAATAACAATAGAAGTGACTTTTTTTTCTTTTTTTTAATAATACTTTAAGTTCTAGGGTACATGTGCACAACCTGCAGGTTTGTTACATATGGATACATGTGCCATGTTGGTGTGCTGCACCCATTAACTCATCATTTACATTAGGTATATCTCCTAATGCTATCCCTCGCCCTGACCCCCACCCCATGACAGGCTCCGGTGTGTGATGTTCCCCTTCCTATGTCCAAGTGTTCTCATTGTTCAATGCCCACCTATGAGTGAGAACATGCGGTGTTTGGTTTTTTTGTCCTTGCGATAGCTTGCTGAGAATGATGGTTTCCAGCTTCATCCATGTCCCTACAAAGGACATGAACTCATCCTTTCTTATGGCTGCATAGTATTCCATGGTGTATATGTGCCACATTTTCTTAATCCAGTCTATCATTGATGGACCTTTGAGTTGGTTGTGATTCCCCAAGGCTCTAGAACTAGAAATACCATTTGACCCAGCCATCCCATTACCGGGTATATACCCAAAGGATTATAAATCATGCTGCTTTAAAGATACATGCACACATATGTTTATTGCAGAAGTGACTTTTTTTATAGCCACAAGAAAATTAAAATACTCCATATCACTTTCTAAATATTAGATGAATAATTTTCAGAAAATTAAGAGAAAGTGGTAACATGCAGAAAATGCAATAATGCAGATAATTTTTGTAATGAATCCGAACACTGAGAAGGTTGGATAGACTGTATCTCCATTGGTCACTTTCTAGCTGGAATTTACTTGCTTTTTTTTCTTGGTCTCTCAGTTTAAATGTAAAGACCAGGGAAAATATTTCATTATTTCTAAAAATTTAAACACACACACACACATGCATATAAAATTAGGACTTTCTATTAATATATAAATAATATATATAACTATATAATATATACCTTTCATGCAAAAATCTGAAGACATTTAAATTAAATATATTAATATTTTTGAATTCATTGATAAAATTAATTTATTTCAAAGTGGCAGGTAAAAGTAAATTTGCCTTTGAGAACTAAAAAGTAATAAACAGATATACAATGTATTTTCCATACTATTTTATCACTAAGAGAGTATTTCATGCCTTTGGAAAGATAGATATTGATTTTTTTTTAGTGAATTGTTCATTTAAATGTTGCTCTTCTAATTCTGTCTTAACTAGAGGTAATACCAATTTCTAAATGAGCAAATCAAACAAAAGGGACAGATTAGAAGTATAGACCAACCATAGGGGATTAAAAGAGAAAATATTGGCTTAGTAAACCTGTGAAAAATAATTGAATTAAATTATGTTATTATTAATCATTTCTATTCACTCTAAAGGGTTTGCTTGTTTTCCACATGCCCGTGAAGTAACCTAGAGGTGCCCAAATTACCACTGATCAATAGTTTGAAATTATAGTTTTTAAACTTTAATCTTCATTTTTGTATGTAGTATTCTGTGTTCTATCATTAGATTTTGTGGAATTATTTATTCTGAAATCAGGTCAACATTGTTCAGACACAGAAAAAAATGTGAACTTCTTTTTTGTATATAGGGACATACAAATTGAAGAAAACTCTATTTAGAAATATAGTGGGCAGATGGCCTTTAATTTCCAGCTAAGAGGCATTGAGAAAATTGGCAAAATATAGTGTACAAAAAATTCAGATACTTGGTTATTGAATACTATCATTTTGATAAAAGAAGACAGAAGGAAACTAAGTAATACTACACAACTACTATTCTTCATCGGAGGCAGTCCCCTGTAGTGGAAAGAAAACTGGATGAGCTTTGCCAACACTTAGTAAGGACTCCCTTACTAAATAGTTTTTTTTTTAATTTTGATGAATCATATAACTAATTTGAATTTTAATTTGTTCATTTACAAGGTAAGAGCATTGGCATAGTATTAAGACCCTTTTTAACTGTGAAATTGTATGCTTCTTGATAACAAATTTCCATAGAAACCTGAAACTACTGACTTCATTAAGGTGATAATTCAGAATGAATGCATATAAGCTTTATCTTCTTTACCCCATCAATAGGTATATGTAACAAAGTGGTAAAATAGTCCTCCCTTATTCCAGTGTAATAACCTGTGGAATGTTATATGGAGCATGGAATATTTGTCTTATTCTTGAATTTAAAATGAGAACCTGAATGCCTTAAGTTATGGAACATGTATTTCAAAAAATTTGAAGAGGAGGAAATACATCTAATGCATGCTATGAGGCCAGTATTACTCTGTTGCCAATGCCAAACAAGGACACAACAAAAAAAGAAAACTACGAGTCAATAGCACTGATGAACATAGATGCAAAAATTCTCAACAAAATACTAGCAAACTGAGTTCAACAACACACTAAATAATCATTCACCATGATCAAATGGGATTTATACCAAGTATGCAAGGATAGTTCAACATATGCCTATCAATAAATGTGATGCATCAGATTAACAGAATTAAGAATGAAAGTCAAATAATTATTTCAGTAAATGATGAAAAAGCATTAGATAAAATTCAATATCCTTTTATGATAAAAGTCCACATCAAAACGAGTCTAGAAGGAACATTAGTCAAAATAATAAAGGACATATAAGACAAACCCACAGCTCACATGGTACTGAACAAGGAAAAAATGAAGGCCTTTCCTGTAAGGATTGGTACAGGAAAACGATGCCCACTTTCACCACTGTTGTCCAACATAATATTTGAAGTCTTGGCCAGAGCAATTGGGCCAATGAAAAAAAAATAAAAGGCATTCAAATTGGAAAGGAGGAAGTTATATTTGTCTTGTTCACAGATGACATGATCTTACACGTAAAAAAATCTAAAGGCCACAGCAAAAAACTGTTAAGAGCTGATAAATGAATTCGGTGAAGTTGTAAGATACACAATCAGCAAACAAAAATTAGTAGCACTTATATACATTAACAGCAAACACTGTGAAAAAGAAATCAAGAAAGCTACCTCATTTACAATAGCTACAAAAAGTATAAAATACTTAGAAATCAATCTAACTAAAGAAAAAGATCTGTACAAGGAAAACTGTAAAACTGACAGAAGAAAGGGAAGAGGACACAAAACAGGGAAAGATACTCCAGGCTCATGGACTGGAAGAGTTAGTATCGTTAAAATGACAACCCTACTCAAAGAAATTTAGATTCAATGTAATGCTTATCAAAATGCCAATGACATTTTTCACTGAAATGGAAAATAAAAATCTTAAAATTTACGTGAAACCACAAAAGGTCCACAATAGCCAAAGCATCCTGAGCAAATAGAACAAAGCTGGAGGCATCACACTACCGAACTTCAAAATTTACTATGAATCTTTGGTAACCACAACGGTATGGTACCAGCATAAACAACAGACATAAAAAACAATGGAACAGAAAAGAGAATCCAGATATAAATTTATGCATTTTCAGCCAACTAATTTTTGACAAAGGCATCAAGAACATGCAGTCTTTTCACTAAATAATGCTAGGAAAACTGGATAACTATATGCAAAATAATGAAACTAGATTCCTATCTCTTATCATAAATAAAAATCAAATCAAAATGAATTAAAGACTTAAATCAGCCGGGCCTGGTGGCTCAAGCCTATAATCTCAGCACGTTGGGAGGCCAAGGCAGACGGATCGCCTGAGGTCAGGAGTTCAAGACGAGCCTGGCCAACATGGTGAAACCTCGTCTCTACTAAAAGTACAAAAATTAGTTGGGTGTGGTGGCCCATGCCTGTAATCCCAGCTACTGGGGAGTCTGAGGCAGGAGAATGGCTTTAACTCGGGAGGCGGAGGTTGCAGTGAGCCGAAATTGCACCACTGCATTTCAGCCTGGGCAGCAGAGCGAGACTCCATCTCAAAAAAAAAAAAAAAAAAAAAAAAAAGAGACTTAAATCTAGGACCTGAAACTATGAAACTACCAGAAGAAGAAAATGGAAAAATGCTTTAGGATATTAGCCTAGGCAATTTTTTTTTTTTTTGGTAAGACTTCAAAAGCCCAGGCAACAAAAGCAAAAATAGACAAATTTGATTATATATCAAGCTAAAAAGCTTCTGTGCAGTAAAGCAAACAATCAACAAAGTGAAGGGACAACCCATAGAAAGGGAGAAAATATTTGCAAACTACCTATCTAACAAATAACCAGAATACACAAGGTGTTCAAACAACTTAGCAGCAAAACTAATAATAATAATAATCCAATTAAAAATTGGGCAAAACTCTAAACAGACATTTCTCAAAAGAATACTTACAAATGGTAAACAGGTACATGAAAAAAGCTCAATATCACTAATCATAAGAGAAATGCAAATCGAAACCACAATGAGATATGATCTCACCCAAGTTAAAATGTTTTGTATCAAAAAGACAGGGATTAACACACCAGTGAGCATGCGGAGAAAGAGGAACCCTTGTACACTATTGGTGGAACTGCAAATTACTGCAACCACTATAAAGAACAGTATGAATGTTCCTAAAGAGCTAACAATATAACTACAATATGATTCAGCAATTCATCTACTGGGTATATATCCAAAGGAAAGGAGATCAATGAGGAATACCTGCACTTCTGTGTTTATTGCAGCATTATTCACAATAGCCAACATGTGGAATCAACTTAAGTGCCTAGACAATAATAGCATATTATTTAACCATAAACAATAAAATACTGCCATTTGGAGCAACATGGATGGAACTAGAGGCTATTACGTTAAGTGAAATAAGCCAGAGACAAATATCATATGTTCTCGCTTATATGTCAGAGCTAAAAAAGTGGATCTCATAAAGATAGAGAATAAAATGGTGGTTACCAGAGGTTGAGAATGGTAGAGGGGAGGATGAAGGATAAAAAGAATATAAATATAAAAGCACAGTCATGTTGGTAACTTAATTGATTTATGCTATCACGAACATTGTCCTTGTTTTGTAATGAACCTAAAATAATGATTAAAAGATAAATAAAATGGTAAAAAAATTTAGAATAAAAACTGGATACAAAGGTAATTTAATGGAACTTCACAGTATTTGGAAAGCATATAAATTTTAAACTAATTGAAAATATTCTATGAAAACTAAAATGACTGCCTTTCATGAGGATAGGCACCATGATTGGTAAAAACCTACTAACAAATAGCATGTCTTCTAACTCTGAAAATGAAGAACTTGGCTACTATTGTGACAGCAGAATTTTTCCCCACTGTTTTGATGTCTTATTATATTTGGGCTGCTATAAGAAGCTATCATGGACGGAGGCTTTTAAAGAACATAAATGTATTTCTCGCAGTTCTGGAAGCTGAAAGTCTGAGATCAGGGTGCCAGCATGGTCAAGTTCTACTCATGGCCCCTTTCCAGTTTGCAGACTTTCTCCTTTTTCTTGCATCTGCATATGGTAGAAAGTGGATGAGAGAACTCTCTGGGGTTTCTTTCATAAGAGCACTAATCCCACTCACAAGCATTCTACTCTTATGACCTAATCACCACCCAAAGGCACCTACCATCACATTGGGATTCGGGTTTCAACATACAAATTGTGGAGGTACACAAACATTCAGTTAATAACATGAATTAGAACAGTTTCTAATATGGTTTGGCATAGAAGCAGATGTAGTGATTAAGAGCTTAATCTTGGAGTTCAGAATTAATTCAAATCTTGACTCAGTCACTTTTTCAGCTTTTTAGCTTTGTGCGTGTTTTCTGTATCTGAATTCAAAGTACACGTATTCAAATTAATTATATCAATACACACCTTGGTATATCAGTAGTAGATGTTTTTCTCACTAAAAATATTTCATGACTTTGTAAAACGCACTTTAAAATATATTAAAACGATCTATGTATATCTATCAATCTATCTGTAAAATTTGGAATTAGATTTATTATTGGGCTTTTTCATATAAGACTTGAAATTCTACTTGAAAATGTAGTATTGAATCTCCAGCCAACAAATGCTGTAGGGAAATTGTTCTTATCAGTACTGGGCTTTTGGAACTCAACTGATTTCTTCCAAGTAAGGTTCTGGAAAGGAAAGAAAACATGCAGTACAAAGCAGCTTCATGATACTCTGAATAAGAACACACAGAAGTTATTAATGGTGCCAATCACAAGTCATTAGAGTTTTTTCTAGCCTGAAGCTTTACACCCATACCTCATAAAAATTAGCACCTTTTGAAGTTATATTATTGAGAATAGGTTTACCCTCAAAGAGCAAATATATTTCCTTTTCTGCTACAAAGTTTATTTATCAAATTTTATAGTGGAAACAGAAGCACTCTGAGTCAACTGATTTAAAAGTATAATGGATACACATATCCAAACAACTTACAATAGCTAAATGCCAAAAGAAACCTATCTCAAGCATAAATTAGAAAATTCATATATTTTACTTCTATTTGAGTTAAATTATTGGCATCGTTGAAATAAAACATCCATTCTTGAAGTCTTAAAAATCTTGATTACATTTGTTGTGCCATAAGAGATAAGTGTCTACAAATTTAATACCCTAGGGAGAAAATACTATAAATTACCTTATAGTATTGTCGAAAAAATTCGGCTCCAAACAAAGGATTAGTCACCATGAAACATAATTTATTTTTATTTGATTAAGTGTCATTTATTTTATGTTATAGTCTCATGTTCAGAAGATTGAGTTACTCTTACTTACAGGGCACTATATTTGTATTTCCTTTATGCATTATTCTTACTAAGTTTAGTAACAAGCTATAGCTTCTATTAAATTTGTTTGGGATTATTCTTCTGTTTCCTAATTATGTATAAAAATGCACAAAATTGAGTAACTTGGTAAAATTCACTTGAAATTATTCTAGATCTCAGTTTTTTTGAGCTATTTAATCAATCAATGGTTTTCTAAATTATTGTTTTTTCTGTCATCAATTTACATTCCCTCATACTGATTTTAGTGCTTTAATTTTTTTTTCCAAAATGTATGGTTCATCAAGGTATTCAAATTATTTTACAAAATATTTTGTGCTTGTAAATATATTCCTTTTTAATTTTGTTCATTTTTGCCTTTTCTGTCTTACATTGACTTTCTCATTCTCATCAAAACATTGTCTAACTTTTCAATTATTTTAAAGTTTCAATATTATCCATTATTTCCTGGCTTTATTATTATAGACATCTAGTCATATTATATTTATTCATATTTTGTTGACTCTATTGAATATTAATTTGTGTTCCAATAAATTAAAATTGTGTCCAAATACAATTTAGAGCTATAAACTTCTAAGTTTTGCTTTTGCTATGCCCCACAAATTTTAACATGCATTGCTTTGTTACTTAGATTTATTTTATGAATTCTTCTTTAAATCAATGTTTCATTACTAGAAATATAGGATCTTTAACGATAGTTTTTGTTATTGGCTTTCCAATTTTATTTTCTTATGATTAGAAAATTTTACCTGCTAATATTGCAGACCTTAAAGTAATTGAGAAATATAATTTTGGAAACTGCATTCAACAATGTACCAATATAAGAGATGTTAAATATACATTTACAATTAAAACACATACACACACACACACACACACACACGTTTCTGGAAAATTTGTGCTAAAATATATTGTGATATATTCATGGGATTAACTATGTTTTTGAAACAAGATTTTAGTTCATAAATGTTATAGCACAGCATATTTTATTACATCTAGTAAATTTCAACTATACATCGTAACTCTAAATATGTCTAGTTTATGTAATTTATAACATGGAAAAAACCATCGTACACTTTAGCAAATTGTTTTTGTTTGTTAGTTGTTTGTTATTAAGAAAATATTCTATCTACTATGGGAAAAGGTGATAGTTTGGGGATATAGGTAGACTTTGCATGATATTCATGTTGCAAAAGTCACCTCTTTTTTTTCTAGTAGTTTCGCCATTGAAAAATTTAATATTAATGCTGTTTTTCCTTGTTAATATCAATATTTCATGCAGTTTAAGTGAACTTTTTAATCTCTGATAATTTCCAAGACTTTGTGTTCATTAAATATTCTGTTCTTCATCTTTATTTACTTATATTAAGATGCAAACTATATTGTGAAATACTAATAAGAAAAAATTTAAAACTTAATACTTTTGAAAAAATATATAACTTACCTGTTGGATTTTATATTTTAATCATATAGTCACAAATTTATATTATTACATGTGTACTTCCTCTAAATATGTTTTTTTTCTCTTTTTTATAATACTTTAAGTATTAGGGTACATGTGCACAACTTGCAGGTTTGTTACATATATATACATGTGCCACGTTGGTGTGCTGCACCCATTAACTCGTCATTTAGTATTAGGTGTATCTCCTAATGCTATCCCTCACCGCTTCCCCTACCCACAACAGGCCCCGGTGTGTGATGTTCCCCTTCCTGTGTCCATGTGTTCCGGTTGTTCAATTCCCACCTATGAGTGAGAACATGCAATGTTTGGTTTTTTGACCTTGTGATAGTTTGCTGAGAATGATGGTTTCCAGCTTCATCCATGTCCCAACGAAGGACATGAACTCATCATTTTTGTGGCTGCATAGTATTCCATGGTGTATATGTGCCACATTTTCTTAATCCAGTCTATCATTGTTGGACAGTTGGGTTGGTTCCAAGTCTTTGCTATTGTGAATAGTGCCTCAATAAACATACATGTGCGTGTGTCTTTATAGCAGCACGGTTTATAATCCTCTGGGTATATACCCAGTAATGGGATGGCTGGGTGAAATGGTAATTCTAGTTCTAGATCCCTGAGGAATCACCACACTGACTTCCACAATGGTTGAACTAGTTGACAGTCCCACCAACAGTGTAAGTGTTCCCATTTCTCCACCTCCTCTCCTGCACCTGTTGTTTCCTAACTTTTTAATGATCGCCATTCTAACTGGTGTGAGATGGTATCTCATTGTGGTTTTGATTTGCATTTCTCTGATGGCCAGTGATGATGAGCATTTTTTCATGTGTTTTTTGGCTGCATAAATGTCTTGTTTTGAGAAGTGTCTGTTCATATCCTTTGCCCACTTTTTGATGGGGTTGTTTATTTCTTGTAAATTTGTTTGAGTTCATTGTAGATTCTGGATATTAGCCCTTTGTCAGACGAGTAGATTGCAAAAATTTTCTCTCATTCTGTAGATTGCCTGTTCACTCTGATGGTAGTTTCTTTTGCTGTGCAGAAGCTCTTTAGTTTAATTAGATCCCATTTGTCAATTTTGGCTTTTGTTGCCATTGCTTTTGGTGTTTTAGACATGAAGTCCTTGCCCATGCCTATGTCCTGAATGGTATTGCCTAGGTTTTCTTCTAGGGTTTTTAGTCTAATATTTAAGTCTTTAATCCATCTCGAATTAATTTTTGTATAAGGTGTAAGGAAGGGATCCAGTTTCAGCTTTCTACATATGGCTACCCAGTTTTCCCAGCACCATTTATTAAATAGGGAATCCTTTCCCCATTTCTTGTTTTTCTCAGGTTTTTCAAAGATCAGATAGTTATAGATATGCGGCGTTATTTCTGAGGGCTCTGTTCTGTTCCATTGGTCTAGATCTCTGTTTTGGTACCAGACCATGCTATTTTGGTTACTGTAGCCTTGTAGTATAGTTTGAAGTCAGGGAGTGTGATGCCTCCAGCTTTGTTCTTTTGGCTTAGGATTGACTTGGCAATGTGGGCTCTTTTTTGGTTCCATATGAACTTTAAAGTAGTTTTTCCAATTCTGTGCAGAAAGGCATTGGTAGTTTGATGGGGATGGCATTGAATCTATAAATTACCTTGGGCAGTATGGCCATTTTCATGATATTGATTCTTTCTACCCATGAGCATGGAATATTCTTCCATTTGTTTGTATCCTCTTTTATTTCACTGAGCAGTGGTTTGTAGTTCTCCTTGAAGAGGTCCTTCATGTCCCTTGTAAGTTGGATTCCTAGGTATTTTATTCTCTTTGAAGCAATTGTGAATGGGAGTTCACTCATGGTTTGGCTCTCTGTTTGTCTGTTATTGGTGTATAAGAATGCTTGTGATTTCTGCACATTGATTTTGTATCCTGAGACTTTGCTGAAGTTGCCTATCAGCTTAAGGAGATTTTGGGCTGAGATGATGGGGTTTTCTAGATATACAATCATGTCATCTGCAAACAGGGACAATTTGACTTCCTCTTTTCCTAATTGAATGCTCTTTACTTCCTTCTCCTGCCTGACTGCCCTGGCCAGAACTTCCAACACTATGTTGAATTGGAGTGGTGAGAGAGGGCATCCCTGTCTTGTGCCAGTTTTCAAAGGGAATGCTTCCAGTTTTTGCCCCTTCAGTATGATATTGGCTGTGGGTTTGTCATAGATAGCTCTTATTATTTTGAGATTCATCCCATCAATAACTAATTTATTGAGAGTTTTTAGCATGAAGGGTTGTTGAATTTTGTCAAAGGCCTTTTCTGCATCTATTGAGATAATCATGTGGTTTTTGTCATTGGTTCTGTTTATATGCTGGATTACATTCATTGATTTGCGTATGTTGAAGCAGCCTTGCATCCCAGGGATGAAGTCCACTTGATCATGGTGGATAAACTTTTTGATATGCTGCTGGATTCAGTTTGCCAGTATTTTATTGAGGATTTTTGCATGGATGTTCATCAGGGATATTGGTCTAAAATTCTCTTTTTTGGTTGTGTCTCTGCCAGGCTTTGGTATCAGGATGATGCTGGCCTCATAAAATGAGTTAGGGAGGATCCCCTGTTTTTCTGCTGAATGGAATAGTTTCAGAAGGAATAGTACCAGCTGCTCCTTGTACCTCTGGTAGAATTCGGCTGTGAATCCATCTGGTCCTGGAGTTTTTTTGGTTGGTAAGCTATTAATTATTGCCTCAATTTCAGAGCCTGTTATTGGTCTATTCAGAGATTCAACTTCTTCCTGGTTTAGTCTTGGGAGAGTGTATGTGTCGAGGAATGTATCCATTTCTTCTAGATTTTCTAGTTTATTTGCAAAGAGGTGTTTATAGTATTCTCTGATGGCAGTTACATGTTTTTAATGGAAGTATAGCATCAACCCACCTTTGGATTGAGATGTTTTTAAGAAAGTTATGTTACGTTTTGTTTTACATGGATATTTTAGGTCCCATGTCTGACCATGTGTTTTATAGGTAACAGATCAAAAAACAATGAGTTTCTATTAAGAGCAAAATATATTATACTTATCTATTATCTGTCCATCTACACTCAGTAGCCTTTGTAAATTTTTGCATCTATTAGTATCCCACAGAAGCAACATTAATAAAATTCAAATTTGCATAAATATATTTTCAAAGTTATTTCATAAATTGTTGGATGCTTACATAACTGCATCTTTTTGCAGATGTAGCACTGGTATGCAGTCATAGAGTTTATTCCAATATTACCATCTGCAACAATGATTATGGAATATACAGTACATGCAATATGAAATTGATTTAGATTCAGGTTTAGAGTGTACACATGCAGGTTTGTTACATGGGTAAATTGCATGTGTCATGGGAGTTTGGTGTACAGACATTTTGTCACCCAGATAGTAAGCATAGTACCTGATAGGTACCCTTTTAAAATCCTTATCCTTTTTCCACTCTCTACCCTCAGGTAAGCCTAGTGTGTGTTGTTCCCTTATTTGTGTCAATATGTACTCACTGTTTAGCTCCCACTTATAAGTTAGAATATGCAGCATTTTTTTTGTTTCTGTGTTAACTAACGATTCTTTAAACTATGATTTTCACTACCTTCACAGTTACCTAACTTCTCCTGAAAATAGACATAGAATTAAAATTTATTAGTCCACAAATTTTCCACAATAGAATTTGTACTTGTTATTTATTACATTTGTTCAGATCATTGGGCTAATAAAGCCAAGGACATAGGTTTTGACATTTTGTTTATAAAGTAGCATTGTTCTGTTATATTTCCATTGACAATACTTCTGATCAACCATCTCACAAATATATGCCTGGTTACAGCAGTCTGGTTATAAAACACGTGAATTCATTCTTACATTATATATTTTTTCTAACAATAATACAATAATAATACAGTTCTTCTATATACCTGGAAGCAAAAATACACTTCTTCTGTAACAATAATACATTTCTTCTGTATACCTAGAAACAGCCAAGATATCTGGTGTAATACAAATATAAATGATTGAATCCCTGACAAGTGTTCAAGTACTTCATTCAAGTAAAGACAGACTTTCTTAAACCTAACTAGAATGCAATTCTTAGTCTTTTATTATTAGTATATATTACTTCCTGATTTCACAGTGTTGGTTTCATTTGTTTGGCCTGAATTTGTCATTTTTACCAAGTATTATTAATAAATATTTCATGAGAATGGCCAGGTTGGGCTTGGGAGATTTATACTCCATTTCCAGTTTCAACTATAGTCTTTTCTAGCAATGTGACACATATGCAGAGAATTTTCACTTTCACATTTGGTTAAATCTGAAAGATGATTGAAAATAGGCTTTTTCCCTTTTCCCAAACCTTTTTATATATGACATTACTGAAACCTCCCTGTCAAGAACAGTACACAGGGAGACAAAAGAAAATGAATAGGACAAAAGAAAATGGAGACACCTAATTTGTTTTAGGAGGTGGTGAGAAAAGTATTTCATAATGCTGCTTCCCATCGCATTTTATCCAAAACATCTGTACCAATTTACATTTCTACCAACAGTGCACCACATCCTACCAACACTGTTATCTTTAGTCTTTTTGATAATAAGTGTGAGGTGATACCTCATCGTGGTTTTGATTTGCATTTTCCCTGATAATTAGTGATTTTGAGAATTTTTTGATATACCTGTCAGTCATTTCTGTGTCTTCTTTTGAGAAATGTCCTTCCAGCCACATGGGGTACAGCTCATGCTATTATTTGTGAGGTAAATGGGGCACATTAAGCCACCTGTCACTAGGGTCAGTAGAAAAATGGAAAAAAATATGCAAAGTAAATGTAAAAATAGAAGCTGTGCAGCCCTGTTTTTTAGTCTGTGGAGTAATTTGAATGCTCTTGCAAGAGTGAAATTGTCATTTCTTATATGGCACAGCTCTGTAAATACATACTTATTTTAGTGTTGAATAATGAATTTTATTTTACAACAAATACACCTGCAAAAATAAACCCACAAATGAATAAGCAGCCCAACAAATTAGCCAAAGTAACAAAGAGTTAAGGAGCTAATACCCAGTCACCTCTAAGACAACTCAAATAATGTATTACTGTATTGAAGATAAAAGCAGATGCATTCACAAAACTTAACCTGAACAGCTTACAGGTTAGTTTTATAAAAATGTCCCTACTACCCAAAGCAATTTACTGGTTCAATGCATTCTCTATCAAAATTCCAATGGCATTTTCTTACATAAATATAAAAATCATCCCTAAAATTTATATGAAACCGCAAAAGGCCTGAAATACCCTAAGTAATTTTGAACAAGAAGAACAAAGCTGGAGGCACCATACTTTTTCATTTTAAAACATATTATGAAGCCACAGTACTCTAAACAGCATGATATTTGCATAAAAAGAGGGATACAGACTAATGGACTAGAATAAAGAACACAAATAAACCAACATATACATGGCCAACTGATCTGTGACAAGAATGCCAAGAATGCACAATGAGAGATTGGATCCTTACCTCATAACACATACAAAAATCAACTCAAAATGAATTAATGACAGACAACATAAAACTCCTAGAAGAAAAAGAGAAAATGTTACTTCACATTGGCCTTAGCAATGATTTCTTGGATATAACACCGGAAGCACAGGCAACAAAAGCAAAAACAGACAAGTGGGATTACATCAAACTCTTTTGCACAGCAAAAGAAACAACCAATAAAATAAACAGGCAGCCTATAGACTGGGAGAAAATATTTGCAGGCATAAAACTGACAAAATTTCAATATTGTAAATATTTTTTTAAAACTACCACTCAATAGGAGAAAAACAAATAATTATAAAATAGGGAAAAGACCCAAATAGACTTATCTCAAAGGAAGATATACAAATGGCTGAAAGGTAAATGAAAAAAATATCAAAATCATGAATTACTAGGGTAATTCAAGTTTAAACCAGGTAACATACCACCTTATTCCTGTTAGAATGATTATTAACAAAAAGATAAAACCTAATAAGTGTTGGTGAGCATATGGAGAAAAGAGAACCCTGTATGCTGTTGATAGGATGTAAATTGATATAGGAAGTATGGGTAAAACAATATAAAATTTTCCTCAAAATTAACAATAAAACTATTATATGATCCAACATTCCTATCTCTGGATATATATCCAAAGGAATTGAAATCAGGATCTTCAAAATATATCTGAACTCACATGTGAATTGCAGCATTATTCACAATAGCCAAGAGCTGAAAGCAACCTAAATGTTCATCGACGGGTAAAGAAAATGTGGTATATACATGTAATGGAATATAATTCAGCCTTTAAAAAGAAGGAAATCCATCATTTGTGGAAACATGGATGAACCTAGAGAACATTATGCTAAGTAACATAAGACATACACACAATTATCAAATGCTATATGATCTCACTTGTATGACGAATATGAAATAGTCAAATTTATATAAATAGAGACTAGAATAGTGATTGTCAGGATTTGGAGGCAGGGAGAAATAAGGAGGCATTGGTCAAAGGGTACAAACATACAGTTATACAAGATGAATAAGTCCTATGGATCTATTCTACAGCATAATGACTACAGTTAACAATACTCTGTTGTACACTTAAAGATGAGGTAAGTGGGAAGATCTTCCATGATGTGTTCTTATCACATACAAAAAATTAAATAAAGATGATGGGAGAAAACTTGAAAGTGATGGATATGTTTATGGTATTGATTATGCTGAGAGTTTCACCTGTGTATACTTCTTTCCAAGTCATACATTGAATACATATGTACAGCCTTTTGTGTATCAGTCATAACTCAGTAAAGTGATTTTAAAATAACTGAAAAGAAAATAGTAATAAATATCTTATGTGAGTTGTTTCTCTAAGAAAGAATACAAAATTCCAAACATCTGAAACATTTTCAAGGAAAATATATTCTGATATAGAAGTTTTGCTTACTTAATTAAAAAAATAATTTGTTTCTGCTAATAATGATTGCACAATATAGGGAAATACAGAATAATTCCAAAAAGAACTAAAAGAAAAACAGAATTTGCTAACATAAGACCTATATATATATACACACACACACACACACACACACATATGTACATATATATACACACATATATACGTACATATATATACATACATATATATGTACATATATATATACACACACACACACACACATATGATAAGAGAAAGTGATCAGAAAGGAAATCAAATAACTAATGGGGTGCTTTAAAATGTAGATCCATATATCTTCATTTAGTCATAGTCCATACATTACGTTTTGATTTACATTCTTATCAAATTAAACATACAAACAAATGATTTGTAAAGAAGTTTATGGCGTCAATTTGCCTTGCTTCAATTGTTCGAGAATGCAAATATTTACAAAATAAAAATCTAAGAGAACACAAATTTGATACACATTATCAAAAAGAAAAGCTATGGAAAAAGTAATCATAGGTTAAAAATTAAAATTGATGAAAGAAAACAAGAAAATTGACACAATTCAAATGGCATGTAGTTAAAAATTCATGGTATAAAACATTTTTGAACTATACGTATATGTAAAATACCTTAGCTAGAAATAAAAGTCAAATGTGTTTTAGTCCTCAAGCACAGTTAGTGGTTTACAGTTTACTTTTACTGCTATTATAATTTAGTTTATTATTTGTTTAGTTAATTGGTTTTGACAAGCAGCTTTTTAAATTTGAACTTTGTCATTTGGTGACATGCAAAATTTTCCCTTTTGCACAGATTTTTGTAATATATTTTGTTATTAATCCTCATCTCTATATAGAATTTATTCTATAAGAAAAGATTAAAAGATACTACTTTTAAAAAATTATTTTGACTAAGATGAAAAATAATGAGCACATATTACCTAAATAGGTGATGAACTGTATTCTCATAAAATAAACAGAGATACAAGGCAACAACATGGGTTCAAGAAATAAATGTCTACTATGCATCATGCATGCCAGGGTCTTCGCCCATTCTTCTGAGTCATTCATTATAACTGTTCTCATTACAAGTCCTGTGATAAACAGTAGTTCAAGATATTCTATCAGAAAGAGTCACAAACAAGACCATACTTCTTTTTAATCAATGCTATCAATTCCAAATAAAACCTTGTTTAGTTTACTTTCCAATGTATTGTCACACAGATTAAGTTGAAGATAAAGTATAAGGCTTATAGAGATTTAGTTTTAGACTTTTTAAATCAATCTAGCCGGGCACAGTGGCTCACACCTGTAATCCCATCACTTTGGGAGGCCAAGGTGAATGGATTGCCTGAAGCTTCTCAGGAGGCTGAGGTGGGAGGATCACTTTAGCCTGGGAGGCGAAGGTTGCAATGACCCGTGATTGCACCACGGCACTCCAGCCTGAGTAACAGAGTGAAACGTTCTCGAATAAAAAAATTTAAAAAAAAAACCTAAAAACCAAAAATTAAAATAAAATCAATCTAACATGCTATTTCAATATCATTGGAATTGGTCACTGTAAGAATAGGGCTGCATGATTGTTATGGGAAAATAAATTACTTGGGCTTGAAAATTTGAAAGACAGTCAGAGATACGCCAAATGGTATAGCCGCCTGTGCTATTTAACAAACCGTCCTCTCTCCTTTATCTATGAACACCTGCTTTATAAGGTGTAGTTTGTGTCACCTCCTGAAAGCCAGCCTGTTTTTTTCAATCTGAAATATATGCATTTTTGTTCTCACTGTACCTCACATATTCTTCCATTATAACTTTTACTGCAATGCCATGTTAAGTCATGTGATGTTGCCAATATGCAAACATTTCCCTACTTGCAAAATAGCAACTCCATATGGTTCAATTTACTTTATAATTTATCAATTGGACTAGATACTACTTGAAGTCATGAACATTGTCTCATTTGTCTTTCTGTATCTAGCACTTATAAAAGATCCCAAAGAATTTAGATAAATACCTGAAAAGTGAATGAAGGAATACCCTCTACCAAAATAAGTTTGACAGCAACTAGAAAACAAAGGAAAATGGAGTATATTGAACCTAAACTACTTGTTATTAGATATGTGAATACAAAAACTGTTTCCTAAAAGAAGCCTTACCAAACAAATTTTGTCATCATACATATGCCACTTTTCCTCTTAAATACATCCTTTATTGCATCCTAAGGATTAAATATTTTCTCCAAATTGCTGTTAGCTACTCTCTAACTTTATTTTCTAAATATTCTTTTCTGCTCCTTAGAGTTCCAAGAATAGTTCTTCAATCACTTCCTTCTTTTTCAAATGATCTGTACATTAGGATCAATGGAAAGTGACTTCTATTCTTCTCAATATTTCATAAGTCACTGAAGTCTCCTACTGCTAGATTAATGCTTTCTTCATTGCATCAACTGATTCAAAAGAGATTTAATCATTTGTGCTATATTTTAAAACCAGTAAAACAAAGCCTAGAATGTTCTAAATTGAAAAAAATATTCTCCATGGTAAAGTGATATATTTTCTAAGTTTTGGTAGCTATACATTTTTAATTATTTGAAACATATGTAACGTAGTCAGGAACCTTGTATACCCTATATAATTACACAGATCCTCAATCCATGGAAACAGGATGGACACATGTCTAAAAAATATATAGAGAAGGAAAAGGATTTTTTAATAAAGGACCTTCCCCCCTTAAAAATAGAATCACTTCAACATTTCTTACAGAGGTTTAAAAAAAGCAATTGAGTTCCTTAACCTGTACTTTGGCATCTCTGCTGACAAATATATCATTTTGGCTTTTATTCCCACCTTTAGTGATGAAAAATTCAGCAAATAAATATAATTCACGACTCACTTTTCTCAAAGGAAATTGCATAATAGCTAATTTATAAGTTAACATAGACATGTAAATGTATCTTTAATCCATTTAATATTCTGTATTCTTTGCTTTAGAGAAAATTAGGAGGGCGCTTTTTATTTAACATTTATCTAACTTCACAATAATTTGGAGGATGATTGAATCTCGACACAATGTAGAGCAAAGCCAATTACACTAATTGCAGCTCCTTTATGCTAACCATTGATTGATTCATTTATTTTCATGTTTGGTGGACAATTAGTTTAATTCTATCACATAAAATGTTTCTGTCATGTGATATCAATCAATACATACAAAGAACAAATACAAAAAATACTGCAAGGGATAATTTTTCTAGGAATAAATCTAAACAAAGCATTTCATAATCTATGTCACTGTTTTGAAAATTATTGTATTATTTGAAATGTTCAGAGTTCAACAACAACAACAAAAATGACATGCAAATAAACATGAAAGTATAACCAAGACACAGAGAAAAAGCAAGTAATAGAAACTCTCTCTAGGGAAGCCCAAACAATGGACATACTCAAAAATAATTTTAATCAATCTATTTTAAATACATTCAAAGAGCTAAAAAGTGTATACAATGATCTAATGTTAAAATTAGACACATATATAGTGCAACTCTAATTGATTTCTTTATTTGTGATAGTTAACATTACATAAAGTTGCCATGAACACTGAATTGGCCTGAACTGAACCATTGCTCCAAGTGAAGGTAAAGGGTTTGGTTTCTATACTGTGAGCCTCTGGTCATGTTTGGTCAACTGAAATGCCATTTGTACTACATAGACTCTTTTGCCAACATCCTTGAAAACAAGCCAGTCTCATCAGCATTGAAAACCTGGTCTTTCACCTAACCCTAGAATACCTTAGTAGCTATTTTAACAACTCTTCCCCAGCCTTCTAATCTGTAGAAACTGCTTCATTGCAAATTTAACACATTTTATGCCATATTGCCTTTTGTAATGTAGGAGGTAGCCAGTACTGGCTGAGAAAGGTTTAACATTTCCTGACCGTGGGTAAAATAATCATAAATTTCTTAGACTTTCAGCATCACAACAATGCTGTCCACTATGCTTTTTCTTTTTTAAAAAATTAATGTTCCTTAATTTTTAACCAGTTTTAGGTTTACAGGAAAATGAGTACCAAGTACAGAGAGTTCCCATATATCCAAAGTTTACATTAGGATTCACTTTTTAATGTTGTACATTTTAAGAGTTTTGACAAACATAGAATGACATGTAGCTACCATTAAAGTATCATAAGAAATAGTTTCACTGCCCTAAAAATCCCCAGTGCTCTAAACTACTTATTCATCTTTCCTCCCCAAACCTCTGGCAACCACTGATCAATTTACTATGTCCATAATTTTTCCTTTTCCAAAATATCATATGGTTGATATCATATAGTATATGGCCCTCCCAGATCAGCTTCCTTTACTTAAAAACAGGTATTTATTATAAATTTCTTTCATGCCCTTTCATGGCTTAAGAGATCATTTTTTATCACTGAATAGTATTTCATTGTATAATGCATCACAGTTTGTTAATTCATGTAGCCAAGGAGATCTTAGTTGCTTCAAAGCACTGATGATTATAAAAAAAATGTTGCTATTAGGATTCATGTCCAGGTTTTATATAAATGTTAAGTTCTCAATTCAGTTGGACAAATACAAATGAGTGTGATTTCTTGACCATATGATGTGGTAAAATTATGTTTAGCTTTGTAAAATACTGCCAAACTATCTTCCAAATTAGTTGTAGCATTTTGTATTCTTATTAGAAATAAATGAACATTCCTGTTGCTCCAAGTTCTCACCAGCATCTGATGTTGTGAGTGTTTCAGAATGTAGACATTCTAATAGGTGTGCATTAGTATCTCATGGTTTTTAAAATCTGCAATTCCTAAATAGCATACATTTTTATTAGCTGTTGTCTCATGAAGTCACAAATTTAGCTGCCTTTGCATCTCTTCCATAGCCTCAAAATATGCTATAGATGCTATTCTAACATTTTCCAGGTTGGCCTCCCATACAGGTCAATGAACTTCCTTTTCCTTTTTTCTGGCTTTAGCATATGTGGGTTCATAAACCTGGAACTCATGGTCAATAGTTCTATAATGCTTGCCTGAACAATGGTTATCTGACAGATGTGTTTTTTTCTTTAAGGCACTTCACAGCCTTCTTGTACTTAGGAACACTAGAAAGCAGTGCAGCACTGTTTGAGGCCATTTTAAATGGCAAAATAATCAACAGAAAACAACAAAATCTGAAAAATGTGGTACTAAGTTGATTGAAAAGAATACTTGTCTATAAGAGCTGAAAGTAGAAGGCAGATCATTGCCTTGTTTGACCTTAGGTCGGAACATACATGTTGGAGACTCAAATTTTGTGCCTTTGTACATATTGTCTGCAAATGATTGTAAAAGAGCTGGGAGTATTGACTTTGAAGTTATAAACACTTTTTTTTACTGCTAAATTAGCAAATACAGAATCCACAAATAATGAGGATTGACTGCATATTCTTGGGGTCCATGCTGTAGTATAAATTGTATATAAAAGTCTCTAAATAGGTCATCAACTATTAGTTAAACCATATAGAAATTGGATTCAAAATCCTTCAGATGCAAAATGCTCTTTTTTTCTAGGACTTTCTAGGACTGTACCATCCCACTTGGTCATGTAGAAAATATTCCTAGGTATTTCGTTTTCTTTGTGGCTATTGTTAATGCAATTGTGTTTTTGATTTGATTCTTAGCTAGAAAGTTATTGGTGTATAAAAAGGCTACTGATTATTATACATTGATTTTGGATCCTAAAACTTTATTGAATTCTTTCATCAGTTCCAAAAGCCTTTTGTCAGAGTCTTTAAGGTTTTCTGTATATAGAATCATATCATCAGCAAAAAGAGATAGTTTAACTTATTTTCTCATTTGGATGCCTTTTATTTCTTTCTCTTCCCTGATTGCTCTGGCTAGGACTTCTAGCACCGTGTTGAATAGGAGTGGTGAGAATGGGCATTCTTGCTTGTTCCAGTTCCCAAAAGGAATGGTTCCAGCTTTTGCCCATTCAGTATGTTGGCTTTTGGTTTGTCATAGAAGAGTCTTATTACTTTGAGGTGTATTCTTTCAGTGCCTAGTCTATTGAAGATTTTTATCATAAAGGGATGTTGAATTTCATCAAAGGCTTTTTCTGCATCTGTTGTCATGGTCATATAAATTTTGGTTTTGATTCTGCTTTTGTAGTGAATTATTGTTGGAAGCCATTATCCTAAGCCAATAACAGAAAACAAAATACTGCATGTTCTCATTTATAAGTGGGAGCTAAACATTGACTACACATGAATGTAAATATGGGAACAATGGACACTGGGGATCACTAGACAGGGGCAGAGGGAGAGGGAGAGGGTGTAGGCTGTAGGGCCACCTGTTGAGTATTATTCTTGCTGATTGGGTGATGAGATCATTGAGACCCCAAGCCTCAGTGTCATACGATTTAACCATGTAACAAACCTGCACATGTACCCCTTAATCCATAACAAAAGTTGAAATTAAAAATAAATTATTAGAAGAGTTCAAAACAAGATACAAGCAGGCAGAAGAAAGAATCAGTGAATGTGAAGACAGGTCAATAGAAATTATCCTGTCTGACAAACAGAAAAAAAGAATTCAGACCTGTGGGGTACCATCAAATGTACTGACATATAAAAATGTCAATTTTAATCCATCTTGAAATAAAATTGCACACACACACACACACACACACACGCCTATATCTTACAAACTTAACTAGATTGTAAGCTTTTTAAAAGCAAGGACTTTATCAATGTAACTTTTTATTCTCAAAAACCAATATGATAGATTAACACAAACATGCATATATATACACACATTAATGTATATATTAATTTGAACAATTTTTCTATATTTTGCATTAGGGAAATTTTCAAATATTGTACTAAATTTAGGCTGGATTTGTGAATGACAGTTAACACCCAGAAACTCCTCATTTTAATAATATTTAAGGCAATTATTTTCTTCTTAAAAGTTTAGCCTAATTTTCCTCATTTTTTCCTGGAATATGAGATGGTATTTGATTTGCAGATTCAGTTCCTCTAGTGTTTCGATTGAATTTTCCAGAAATACATCTCTAAATGTTATGTTTCATATGCTGGCTGAGTTGTCTACTTTAGGAACCCAAATCAAATTTTACTGTAGTTTTTTATATGCCATATTTACTATTCTTACTTCAACTGCTTCAGCTTTTAGATCTTATTTTGCTCCACATTCATTGTGATTGTTGCAAGTCATTGTTTCCTGTCGCTAATTTGCATGGAAGGATTAGAAATCTCACACAGTGCTCAAAAGATTCTTTCAGACCAGCCTGGCCAACATGGTGAAACCCCCATCTCTACTAAAAATACGAAAATTAGCTGGGCATGGTGGCACACGACTGTAATCCCAGCTATTCGGGAGGCTGAGGCAGGAGAAACGCTTGAATCAGAGAGGCAGAGGTTGCAGTGAGCCGTGATGGTGCCACTGCACTCCAGCATGGGTGACAAGAGCAAGACTCCGTCTCAAAAAAAAAAAAAAAAAGATTCAATTTCCTTTATTGACAATTGTTATTATACTTTGTATTCTGTGATACTATCTTATGTTGACTAGATTTTTCCAATTAATAAATTCTGTGTAGTCGTTTTGCTATTGTATTGCTGCTGAATACGATAAAAGTTTTTTTTTCCTTCTTCTTTTCATCTATTGCTTTGAAGAGGTTGGATCTGTTTTGGCTCATTTATGAGATATTCTGAGAAAGATCCTGTATTTGTCTTCAGATCATTATCCAGTATATTAACACAGAAGTTTCAAAATACCTTATTTGCCTAAGTTGGTACATGTATAAAGTTAGGAAATTTATAGATGAATTAGGCATGCTAACTCCTTAAGATTCTTCAGATCTATCTCAAAAGTATATTTAAACATATTAAGAACTTTTATACTATTGAAATAAAAACAGTGTTTCATCTCTTCGTAAACAACATTGAGCAATAGCAAAAACAAACATTACTATATGCTTCCAGATTAACTGCTTTTCTGGTAAAATTTGAAAAGGGTGATTTTCTATCACTTCTATATTTTAAAATTTGGTCAATTAATTATTTATTGGTAAGCTAAGCTTTCCCAATGACGTCATAAAATATTTTCTGCATTTCTTCAATGCCATACTTTAGTAATGCAAATCAAATTAGCTCAGGACAAATGATTGGTATGACTTATGACATTGTCCTGGGCTACTTTGTTGGCCTCTCTCCTGTTCTTGAATAGTCTATCTAGTGGCTTATCAATTTTGTTTATGCTTTTAAAAACTAACTTTACGCTTTGTTGATTCTTAATACTGTTTTTGGTCTCAATTTCATTTAGTTCTCCTCTGATCTTCATTATTCCCTATTTTCTTTTTTATAACTTTGTGTTCGGATTGTCCTCATTATTCTAGTTTCTCGAGGTGCAACGTTGGTTTCTTGTGATCTTTTCAAATTTTTTGATGTAGGCATTTAATGCTATAAATTTCCTGCTTAGGAATGTATCTGCTATATCTCAGAAGTTTGGGCATGTTGTGTTTCCATTTTTACTTAGTTCAGAACTTTTTCAATTTTCATCTTAATTTCATCACTGTCTCAAAGATCATTCAGGAGGATGTTGTTTAATTTTCATGTATTTGTGTAGCTTCAAAAGTCTTTCGGATTGATTTCTAGTTTCATTACAATGCAGTCTGAGAACATACTTCATATGATTTTGAGACTTGTTTTATGGCCTAATATATGCTCTATCTTTGAGAATGTTCCATTTACTGATGAAGAGAATGTATATTCTGTAGTTGTTGGACAGAATGCTCTGTAAATATCTAGTTATGTCCATTTGATATAGAAGTCAACTTAAGCCCAAGATTTCTTTGTTAATTTTCTGTTTTAATGATCTGTCTAGTGCTGTGAGTCAGCTGTTGACATCCTCTATTATTATTGTATTACTGTTGGTTTTTTATTAGGTCTAGTTTTAGGAATCTGGGTGCTCTGTTGTTGTATACATATATACTTAATGTTGTTATATCCCATTGTTAAATTGATTCCCTTATTGTTATGTTATGAGCTTCTTTGTCTTTTTTTTCCTGTTTTTATTTGAAGTCAGCTTCATCCGATTTAAGTATAGCTACTTTTTGCTTTTGGTTTTCGTTTGTGTGGAATATATCTTTCTTTTTTATCCTTCCATCTATAATTGTCTACCAGAAAAGTGAGTTTCTGTTAAGCAGCATATAGTCAGTTGATGTTTTTAATCCATTCAGGTAATCAATATCTTAAAGTAGAGCATTTAATCCATTTACCTTTTGAAGTTAATATCGGTATGTGAAGTTTCATTTCTGTCATAATATTAGTTGTTATCTAGTTTTTTTTGTAATTTTTTGATTGTTTTCCCTCTGTTTATCTTTTGGTTTGGTGGATTTCTGTCATGTTACCATTTGATTTATTTATCTTTCTCCTTTGTATGATTGTTTTATGAGACCTGTGAGGATTAGTTTTATGTGTTTTTATGATGGTAAATATCAACCTTTAGTTTCCTAGTTTGGAGCTTTTTGAGCAGCTCTAGTAGGGCCTGTCTAGTGGTGATTAATTGCCTCAGCTAAACCATGTGTAAAATACAATCACAAAAATATTCACCTAGTTAGATATTCACTAGTTAATCTCAGCGGAAACAAAGGTGATTCCAACTTAGTGGAAACCAAGCCTCTAGAAATCAAGTAAGGAATGGATCCATTTATAGAACTGACTTTGATAATCATGTCTGACATATTAAACATAGTTAAGTATCCAGGTGGGCTGTTTTTGTTTAAAACATTTCCTTCAAATCTACATATGATTTTTTTTTAATCTCTAGGTTATCCCTTAGAAAATGAAATACATTGTTTACTGCAGGTCTAGAAATTCTGAGGAGAAAATAAGAGTAATGTTTTTTATGGCTTGTTTGACTTACTCTAGTAAACTTTAAGGAGCGTATGTACTAGAAGAAGCAAGTCTTTCTTGTTACTCTTTTAAACATCCTCTACCCCTGGTTTTATTCTGCCAGCATGGTTATATTAGAGAAAAAAACTTTCTACTTTATTAACAAACTGCAAGTTTTTGCTAAATTTTGTTGTCCAAACGTAAAAATGAAATAGAAATGAATTAGGTGGTTACTTCAGCAACATGTAATGGGAAGCTCCTGACCCAAAATCCACCTAGAGAAAGACCAAATAAACATCTATTCATGAGTCAGTTTTCTTTGAGAGAAAGAGAGAGACCAGTTGAGAGACTGCTACACACTAGCAACTGAGAAAATATCCACAATGTATGAGCAGAAAAATCTGAGGAACACTCAGGCACTGACCTTGCCCTATGAACTGCACCATAAAATCAGGAAAGCAATCTCCAACATCCAATTTCTCCCTGTGGAGAAGAAAGTTTGGATCTCATATATGCCACCCAAATTCTAAGATTTCCCACCTGTTTCCATTCTCCTTTGCTGCCAATATCCAGTTCTGGAAACAGAGGAGATTAGACACATATGAGTCTTTACAGAACACAAGAAAAATAATGGTGGTTTTCCATGGGTGTGCAAGCACTTTCAGAGACTTCATTACCCAGTAACAGAACAACAACAACAAAAAACTGGGCTTGAAAAGTCACAGTCCCTGCTGGGCACAGTGGCTCATGTCTGTCATCCCAGTACTTTGGGAGGCTAAGGCTTAAGGCCAGGGGTTTGAGATCAGCCTGAGCAACATAAGATGCTGCCTCTTCCAAAAAAGTAACCCATGTGTGGTGGCACATGCCTGTAGTCCCAGCTACTTGAGAGACTGAAGCAGGACAATTGCTTGAACCCAGGAAATTGAGGTTGCAGTGAGCTATGATTGTGTCACTGCACTCTAGCCTGGAAAACAGAGTGAGACCTTTTCTCTAAACAAATAAAAATTTAAAAATTCACAGTCCCCTCTTTCTAAATGGAAGGGACATGCTCTTCACTGGCTACTTGGCTGCCTGACTTCTAACTAACTTACATCAGGGTGTTAAAAAAGCAGACAAACATGAACCTACCATCAGACTGAGAATCAAACTGACACTTCTTGAGCCTCTCCTTTGGCTTGCTCCAGTGATAACTCCAGGTCTATTAATCACTCTTGGAAGAAACGTGTATATACATTAATGCTTCAACTTTTATATCTTCCCCACAAGGGACTGCATTTAAACCTAGCTCTGGAAGCAAAGGATACTGGCATACATGTGTCCCTGCAGACCACAGAAAAAAAAATAAAAGGTAATTTTCTATAAATGTGCAAACACTTTCAGAGGCTTCATCCTCCAGGAGCAGTACAGAGAAAAGATTTTAAAAATGTAGCCCCATGATTCTTTCCAAAAGGGACACATTTTTCCAATGGCTACTTGGCAGCTGGGCTCGAAACTAACTAGCATTCTGAAGTTAATGGGGAACAAAAGTATTAGCCCTCTGGAAGCCTGAGAAGTAGACTGATACTTCTCCAGCATTCTTCCCCAGCTCATCCTAGCAACAACTCTAAATTTATTAATTTCTTCTCTCAGAAGTTTGTACACACATTCAGTTTTCCAACCTCTACAGCTTCTACCTGAGTGATTGCCTCCTAAACTTCCTTGCTCTGGGAGCAGAGAGGACAAACCATATGCGAGTCTTTCTGGACCAAAGAATGAAGTAGAAGTTTTACAGTTTTACAGTTTTACTTTTATTCCCCAGGAGTGGTGCAGAGGAAGGGCTTTAAAAATGCAGCTCCCTGTTTCTATCTGGAAGGGATTCATGACACACATTGAGTGCCCCAACTTTTACAGCTACCTCATGAAGAACTCCAGGCTAAATATATTAGTTCTTGGAGCAGAAGGGACTAAACATATGCATGTCTCCCTAGGTCACAGAACAAGGATATGATATTAAGCAAGCATGCAAACACTTCCAGAAGCTACGTGCCCTTGGAGCAGTGTGGAAAAGGGGCAGAAACACAGCTTCCCTTTTCTCTGCAGAAGAACCTATGGCACACACTTTTATTGGCTACTTTATGTCCTGGCTTCTAACAAATGTACACAGGAAAGGTAATGGGAAAAGCAAACAATAGCTTTTTTGGCAGCCAGAGTCAGAGTTTGGCACTTCACAAATCTTTCCTTCAGCTGCCTCCAGTGATAAATCCAGGTGTACCCATTTGTCCTGGAAAGAGTTTGACCATGCATCAACTGGCACAATTTCAATAACACCCACCCAAGGGATTATCTCCTTAATGTCCTACCACTGGTAGTTGATGGTGCTTTGCATTTTGGAGTGTCCCTAAAACATAGAAAAAAGAGATAGATTTACAATGGACTTGCTTCCAGCAACTATCTTCCCAGGATCAGAGGGTATAGCCTGAATATGAATAAGCATTTTCCACAGATCATCTCCCTAGCTTAGTGAAGAAACAGTGGGAGATAAATATCTATACTTAGCTTCATTATGAGGCTAAAAGAAACTGGGACACACATCCAACACATCACCTATTCCAACTATGTCTAGAGAGTCTCACTCCTACCTTACTAGTGTCGAAGTGCTGAAAGGATGAGGCACACACTATGCTTCAGGGGGCCACTGAAAACATAGATAGTAGTCTGATAAAACACAAAGATTTGAAAGGCACCTTAAAAATCTCTCATCAGACATATTGGTAAGATCCTTCCCTACATGAGGTCAATCTGACAAGACTTGGAGAGATGGTTTAGATCTCCTAAAACCAACACAAGTTAAGTGATGATATATGACATACCCAACAGAGGATTCAATATAGTAGTCATAAAGATGCCTTCTGAGGTCAGCAGAACAATGGTCTCTCTCTTTCTCTCAAAGACAACTGACTCATGAATAGATGTTTATTGGTTCTTTCTCTAGGTGGATGGTGGGTCAGGAGCTTCCCATTACATGTTGCTGAAGTAACCACCTAATTCATTTCTATTTCAAAAAAGAGATAGAATTTCAATAAATAGATAGAAAGTGTAAAAAGTACAAAACAGAAGTCAAAGAGTTAAAGAATACTATAACTGAACTAAAATATTCAACTGAGGAGTTCAATAGAAGATTAATCAAAAAGAAGGAAGAATTAGTGAACTTGAAGACAAGTTACTATAAATTGAACAAATCTGAAGAGTAAAAACAAAAACAAAGAAAAGAAGTCAGGATAGTTTAAGAAACTTACGGGACACCATCAAGCATAGCAACATTTGCATTATAGGTGTATCAGGAGAAAAGACAGAAAATATATTTAATGAAATAGTAGCAGAAAAGTTTCTAAGCCTAGGGAAGGAAATAGAAATCTAGATGCAGAAAGCTCAAACGGTGTAAAGTAAGATAAATCTAAACAGATTAACACTAAGACACATTAAAATCAAACTGTCAAAAGTTGAAGACTGAGAAAGCTCAAAGCAGAAACATAAAAGTGAATTGTTACATACAAAGAAACTGCTATAAGAATATGAGTGGATTTTCCAGCAGAAAAAAGGAGTGCCATATGCCAAAAAGGAGTGGGATAATATATTTAAAATCATGCAAGAAAATAATATCAACTATCAACACTATATTCAGCAATGCTATCTTTAAAAAATGAAGGGGTAATAAAGACTTTCTCAAATGAACAAAAGCTGAGAGAGTTTGTCACCACTAGATCTGCCTAAGAAGAAATGCTAAAGGACATTCATCAAGTCAAAGGAAGAAGATGGTAATTCATAACATGAAAACATATGAAAATGAAAAATTCACTGGTAAAAGTAAGGACAATTTTAAATGCAAACACTCTAAAACAAATGGCAGTGGGTTAACCCATTATATCTTTAGTATAAAGGTTAAAACGCAAAACTATTAAAAACAGCTAAAACTGAAATAATTTGTTAAAGATATATATTATTTTAATAGTGTAAAAGGTGACATCAAAACATAAAACATTGCTTGTTTTTGTTCCCATTGCTTGCCTGACAAGCAATGGGAAAAGGACTCCCTATTTAACAAATGGCATTGGGAAAACTGGCTAGCCATATGCAGAAAGCAGAAACTGAATCCCTTCCTTACACCTTATACACAAATTAACTCAAGATGGATTAAATACATGAACATAAGACCTAAAACCGTAAAAACTCTACAAGAAAACCTAGGCAATACCATTCAGGACATAGGCATAGGCAAAGAATTCATGACAAAAACACCAAAAGCAACGGCAACAAAAGCCAAAATTGACAAATGGGATCTAATTAAACTGAAGAGCTTCTGTACAGCAACAGAAGCCATCATCAGAGTGAGCAGGCAACCTACAGAATGGGAAAAAATTTTTGCAACCTATTCGTCTGACAAATGGCTAATAACCAAAATCTACAAAGGAATTAAACAAATTTACGAGAAAAAAAAAATGACCCCATCAAAAAGTGGGCGAAGGATGTGAACAGACACTTCTCAAAATAAGACATTTATGCAGCCGACAAACATGAAAAAAGCTCATCATCACTGGTCATTAGAGAAATGCAAATCGAAACTACAATGAGATACCATCTCACTCCAGTCAGAATAGCGATCATTAAAAAGTCAGGAAAAAACAGATGCTGGAGAGGATGTGGAGAAATAGGGATGCTTTTACACACTTGATGGGAGTGTAAATTAGTTCAATCATTGTGGAAGACAGTGTGGCAATTCCTCAAGGATCTAGAACCAGAAATACCATTTGACCCAGCAATCCCATTACTGGGTACGTACCCAAAGGATTATAAATCATTCTACTATAAAGACACATGCATATGTATGTTTATTGTGGCACTATTCACAATAGCAAAAACTTGGAACCACCCCAAATGACCATCAATGATAGACTGGATAAAGAAAATGTGGCATATATATACCATGAAATACTATGCAGCCATGAAAAATGATGAGTTCATGTTCTTTGCAGGGACATGGATGAAGCTGGAAACCATCATTCTCAGCAAACTAACACAAGAACAGAAAACCAAACACCACATGTTCTCACTCATAGTGGGAAGTGAACAATGAGAACACATGGATGCAGGGAGGGGAACATCACACAGCAGGGCCTGTTGGGTGGTGGGGGCTTAGGGAAGGGATAGCGTTAGGAGAAATACCTAATGTAGATGACAGGTTGATGAGTGCAGCAAACCACCATGGCACGTGTATAGCTATGTAACAAACCTGCATGTTCTGCACATGTATCCCAGAACTTAAAGTATAATAATAATAATAAACATAAAACATAAGAGGAGAAAAAGTAAAATTGTAGAGTTTGTGTATGCAGTCAAAGTTAAGTTGTTACTAGCTTTAAAAAGCCAGTTATAATTATAACAAAAATAAAATAAAAATTCTATGTGCACGTATTGATAGAATTAATATTGTTAAAATATTAACACAAATTACATTTGTACAAATTTGGTAGGGATTATATTCAATCTATAGATAACAGCCCAAAGTGACCTACAGATTCAATGTAATCCCTACCAAAATTCCAATGTGGTTCTCGCAGAAAGAGAAAAAGAAAAAAAAATTGTAAAATTTGTGTAGAACCCCAAAAGATCCATAATAGCCAAAGCAATTTTGACTAAAAAGAAGAAAGCTGGAGGAATAACACTACAAGATCGCAAACTATATTACAAACCTATAACCATCAAAACAGCACAGTACTGGCATAAAACCCCACAAATCAACTAATGAAATAGGTTAGTGAATCCAGAAATAAACCAATACATCTATGGTCAATTGATTTTCAAAAAATGTGCCAAGAACTCAAAATGGGGAAAGGACAGTTTCTTCAATAAATGATGTTGGGAAAACTGGATATTCACATATAGAAGAATGGAAGTGAACCTTTATCTCACTGCTTACACAAGAATCAGTTTAAAATGGATTAAAGAATTTAAATAAAGACCAGAAACTATTAAACTACTAGAAGAAAGCATATGGGAAAATCTTCATGACACTGGTGTGGGCTGTGATTTCTTGGATATGATCTCAAATGCATAAAAAGCCAACAAAAGCAAAAATAGATAAATGGGATTTCATCAAAATAAAAAAGCTTCTGTACTGCAAAGAAAACCATTAATAGAGGAATGAGGCGACCCACAGGTTAAGAAAAATATTTGCTAATCATGCATTGCACATGGGGAAAATATCTAATATATTCATAGAACTAAAACTACTAAATAATGAGAAAACATAACATTCTTAAAACTGTACAAAGAGTGTGAACAGACATTTGTCAAAAGAAAATATACAAATGTCTAGCTAATATACTAAAAATGCTCAACATTTCTAATTACAGGAGAAATACAAATTAAAACCAAATTAAAAATGAGATATCATCTCATACCTGTCAGAATGGCAATTATATAAATATGAAAGATAAAAAGTGTTAGTGAGAATGTGGAGAAAAGTAAATGCTTATATGCTATTGGTGACCTCATTAATTAGTACAGCCTTTTTGACAAATAGGGTGAAGATTCCTCAAAAAACGAAAAGTAGAATTACTATAGGATCCAGTAATTCCCCTACTGTGTATATACTCAAAAGCATTGAAATCAATATGTTAAAGAAATGCCTGCATTTTATGTTTATTGCAGTATTATTTACAGTATCCAAGATACAAAACAACCTATGTGCCCATCAATATATAAATGGATTAAGAAAATATAGCATATATACACAATGAAATACTATTCAACCTTAAAGAAAATATAGCATGTATACACAATGAATTACTATTCAACCTTAAAATAGAAATTCTGTCATTGCAACATTAATGAATGTAGGTGACATATTGTTAAGTAAAATAAATACATTAGGCTCAGAGAGACAAATACCATATGATCTCACTTATGGTGTGAAACCTAAAAAAGTTAAACTCATAGAAGTAGAGAGTAGAATGGTGGTTACCAGAGGCTACTGGGTGGGGTGGTGAATGAGGAAAGGAGAGGCATTGGTCAACAAGTGAATCTCTTACAGGCAGCATATAGTCATGAATATTTGACCGCTTGAAGTTATTGTACAAATCACTGAAGCTCTGTTTATTTTTCCATAAAAATTATAATTCCCTTTCTCATTTTTGGCATTGTTTATTGATATATTTTAAATATCAGTACTAATATTCTTTTCTGTAGTGCCTAATATTCTCTCAATCTTATCCTGTATATTTCTTTATTATACATTGTAGTTTCAATATATAGAAATCAGATTTGGATTTTTTTTACATCTTCTATGTCTTCACATATTCAAAATATACTCTAGTTTCTTGAACATATGGAATAAAGTTATAAAACTATTTTAGTGTTTCTGTCTAAAATTTTGTCATGTGTATCATTTCTTGATCAGTTTCAATGATTGTTATTTCTCCTCATTATGGAATTATGAGGCTTTTACTTTCTAGCTGGTGGAAACTGGCAGTATTTCCATTTATCTGTGACACTGTTTCCTCCAATTTTTAAAAAATATTTTTTATCTTATCTCATAGTTTTCTCACATCCATGCACTGAACAGCACTCAACCAATTACTTGAGGAGAACATTTTTAAGATCTATAAATTTTTCTCTATAGTTCTTTCTTATCTGGATCTCTGTCAGCAAAAAAACTCTTCCCTCTCTCTTGGAGGGAACACTATTTTTTAATGCTCCAATGTTGTTTGCTATACAAATACATGAAGAGATAATATAGAACAAAAGCAAATACAAGGTATTTAAAAATATGATGTTTCAGGGAGAATTGTCCACTAATAAATCTTATCTACTTTTTTACATCTGGCCATCATTCTGGGCAAGGCCATTGTTGTCTCTTACACAGTTTGCCCTAACAGCCTTGTAAATTATCTCTATTTATATATCCACGTAAAGTAATTTGTGCATACAGAAGCTAGCATGAACTTCTTAAAATATGGCTTCATATTTTTTCTAAACTTCTGGTACTCCAAGTGTACTTAAAACAAAATCAATCACCTTACTACATATTATGAGACCCTTTATGAGATAACACTCATACACTTTCCAAATCTATTCTTTCTCATTCTCTATTTCTTCTTATTTTTTAATCACACCAACTTTAAGAATAGCTCTGCGCCCAGGCACGATGACTCATGCCTGTAATCCCAGCACTTTGGGAGGCAGAAGGGGGTGGATCACTTGAGGTCAGGACTTCAAGACCAGTCTGGCCAACATGGGGAAACCGTTTCTACTAAAAATACAAAAATTATCCAGGCATGATGGTCACCTGTAATCCCAGCTACTCCTGCTGAGGCAGGAGAGTCACTTGAACCTGGGAGGCAGAGGTCACAGTGAGCTGAGATCACACCACTGTGCTCTAGCCTGGGTGACAGAGTGAGACTCCATTTCCAAAAAAAATAGGTCTGCAGATTCCAAGCTGTTCTCACATTATGGGCTTCATATGTCTTGTTTTCTCTAACTACAATGCTCTTTTCTCAACTTTTTACATGACTACATCCTTCACATCATTTTGATCTCTGGTTAAATATTCTCTGCCAAAAAAAAAATCAAGTTCATCTATTACATTTCTATAGTCAACACTGCCATTTTATTCTGCATTTCAGCCATCTGTTGCAACCACTGCAAACATTTACTTACTTATTTATATATTTATTTAGATGTTACCTATTTCTACTAATAAGCTATAAGCACATACAAAAGATTTATGCCTGTATTCTTCAGAGCTTACCATAGGGTCACTAACAATGGTGCCTATTATTTTTAAATATATTGGTAATTATTTAGATTCTTAATTAAATTATAATTATTTATATATGAAGCTGTTCCTATTGTTCCCAAGATCATGCTATTGAAGCTTATGGGCTATACTTTTTCAATCTTAGTCTCAACTATAGCCTGATTTGAAGTATTATGTTCAGTGGGTTATTTTGAATATAAGATGTAGTCATTTATTCTGTTCTGGGCCCTGCAGATACAACATGGAGCAAAACAGGAAATGTTTCTTCTTCCTTTGAGTGTACTTCTTAGTGGAAAAAAAAAACAGATTCTGAACAAACAGACACACAATTATTTGATTTTTAGGCTCATGATAAATGTTATTAATATTCTTTAAAAGTAGGATTCAATAAGGGGACAGTGTATGATGATATGAGTGAAGGTGGCTGATATTTTATTAGAGTGGAAATGATTTCTTGGCACCAGCAAGCAACAAAAATAAAACTAGCCAAATGGGATTAAGGCAAAACTTAAGAACTTCTGCACTGCAAAGAAAAAAATTAATAGAATGAAAATAAAGCTATGGAATGGGAGAAAATATATGCAACTCATATAACTACTAAGTGATTAATACCCAGAATATCTACAAATCAACAACAAAATATCCAAATAACCATTTTTTAAAATGAGAATATTACTTAAATAGAAACTCCCCCAAAGAAGATATGTAAGTGGCCAAAAAGTATATTAAAAGATGCTCAACATCAGTAATCATTAAGGAAATGCAAATCAATACTAAAATAAGATACCACTCACTTCACATCCACTAGGATGGTTTGGCAAGGACAATATAGAAACACTGGAACACTTGTGTGCTGTTGTTGAGAATGTAAAATGATACATGCACTATAGAAACAGTATAGAAATAATTTAAAAAATTAAAAATAGAAATGCCATATTATTCAGCAATCTCACTTCTGGCTAAAGATCCAAAGGAACTGAAATTAGAGTCTTGAAGAGATCTGTACTCCATTTTCATTGCAGCATTATTCACAATAGCCAAGACATGGAAGCAACCTAAATGTCTATTAAACTGATGAATGAGTGGAGAAATCAAATATATTATACACATACAATGGAATATTATTCAGCCTTTAAAATGAAAGAAATTTTGTCATATTTCAACGTGATTGAAACTTGAGAACATTTACTAAGTGAAATACACCAGTCACAAAAAGACAAATACAGAAGGATTCCACTTATATAAAATTATAAATACAAACTCTTACAAACTGAAAGTATAATGGTGGTTGTCAACGGCTAGGGGCAGGGAAATGGGAAACTGTTGTTCAAGTTCCCATAGAGTTTAAATTTTGGAAAATTAGAGATATACTGCACAACAATGCACAACATAATTAACAATGCACTATTGGATGCTCAGAAATGGCTAAGATGCTAAATTTTATGTTATTTTTTACCACAATAGAAATCTAGAAGAATACAATCATAAATAAACTCAATTAATGTATAGGAAGGCAGAAGAAATAAAAAGAGAGCAAAGAAGAGATAGGACGAGAGGAAGAGCTAGATTTAGACAAAACCATGTGGATAATCACAATGAATATAAATCACAACCTATGCTAAAAACCAGAGATTCATTGTCAACTGGGAATAAAAAGCATTTTATATATACATAAATGCTTTATATATATATGTGTGTGTGTGTATGTATATGTATATGTATATATATGTACATATATACGTATACATATATACATATATACGTATATATATACATATATATACGTGTATATATACATACACACACACACACACACACACACAGAGACACACTATCATGTTTGGAGGTCTTGGGGGGTCCTAGTTAACCAGCTTACCCGGAAGCAACTTCTCTCTTTTAGTCCAATTCACATCAGAAATGAGTCTTAGGCAGCTTCTGATACTCAGTTTATTGCGGTAGCACTTCTACAAGGTAGAAAGTGTGGGCAGGCCAGTGGGACAGATACAGACACGGCATCAGGTAACCCACTGACAGGCAGGACCTCTTACTGGAGACTATTTTCAGAGTTTGGGAGATTCTTTCCTCTTTCTTATATCATATTCAGTCCTAATCAGTTAGCAGGTTTTTTTTTAACAAAGGGTGTTTAAGCTATTCTTGTAAGGGTAAGATTTGCTTTAAGGTTTATGAGGCTTGCATCTGTGCTGAGGTGGCTTGTTTTCTGAAAATCCGTGGGCTAGGTTGCATCAAACTGCTAAGTGACATGTAGTATCAGCTCTGTGAGACACTTGAGTGGACCTTATAACTATTATTAATCTTATAGCCATGATGTGTCTCTTATAGTAAACTATACACATATGCATACATTACCCATAAGAAACCCACTTTAAATATAGAGACAATGAGGTAAAGGATGGAGGACATTATACCATATAGTTATGAGGTGAACAGTTTTCCTCATAAAGATATGTTGTAATAATGCCTAATACCTCAGAATGTAAACCTATTTAAAAATAAAGTCAGTGAGAATGTAATTATTTTATTTTTATTTATTTATTTTTTTGAGACAGAATCTTGCTCTTTTGCCAGGCTGGTGTGTAGTGGCGTGATCTCAGCTCACTGCAACCTCTACCTTCCTGGTTCAAGCAATTCCCCTGCCTCAGCCTCCAGAATAGCTGGAATTACAGGCACATGCCACCATGCCCAGCTAATTTTTTTTTTTTGTATTTTTAGTAGAGACGGAGTTTCACCATGTTGGCCAGACTGGTCTCGAACTCCTGACCTCAAGCAATCCGCCCACCTTGGTCTCCCAAAATGTTGGCATTACAGGTGTGAGCCACCGCTACCGGCCGAGAATGTAATTATTTAAGTTAAGATCAGGTTACACTGGAGTAGGCAGTGTGTTAATCCAATATGACTGATGTGCTTCTTAGAAGAGGAAAAGAGGCTCCTCCTCTTCTATAATAGCGTTAATCCCATTCATAAGGGAGGTCTTCCCTCATTAGCTAGTCACCTGCCAGAGGGCACTTCCTCCTAATACTATTGCATTGGGATTAGGTTTCAGCACGAACGTTCAACCCGTAGCAATATGTATGTGTATATTTTTATTTAATGTTCATTATTGGTATATAGAATCTCCACTAATTTTCGTGTGTTGCTTTTGTATCCTAAAACTTTACCAAATTTGTATACTGCTTCTAACATTTTTTTTCTTTATTTCAGTGAAGTCTTTATGGAATGCTTCATATAGCATTCTCCCTATTCTCTCACCTAGGGAGAATGCTATGTGAAGAAGGAGGCAGAAGCTGGACTTATGCTACCCTCACACATCAAGGAATGCCTGGAGTACCAGAA
Source organism: Homo sapiens (assembly GCF_000001405.40). Lineage (NCBI taxonomy): Eukaryota > Metazoa > Chordata > Mammalia > Primates > Hominidae > Homo > Homo sapiens. The sequence goes on along the minus strand of NC_000012.12, from coordinate 60,700,409 downwards.
GCCAAAAGAAACAAGGAGTAATATTTCCTATAGGCTTCAGAGAAAGTATTGTTCCTCTAACACCTTGATTCGGGATTTCTATCTTCCAAACAGTGAGAGAATACATTTTTGTTGTTTTTAGCCGACCTGTTTATTATACTTCATGATGCCATTCCTAGGCAACCAATATAAATTTAAACACTTAATGAAAGCTCGACTGGCTTTATAATTATCAAAATAAATTTCAGAGCAAAGTATATATACATACATATTGTTATGGTTTGAATGTTTGTGTTGAATCCTAATCCCAATGCAATAGTATTAGGAAGCGGGGCCTTTTGGCAGATGAGTAGGTAATGAGGGAGGATTGCCCTTATGAATGGGATTAATGCTATTATAAAAGCTTCCCAGAGAGCCACCCTACCACTTCCATCAAGTGGGGGCACCAGGAAGAATGTACTGACACCAGACAGAAAGGGGCTGTCACCAGACACTGAATCTGCTGGTGCATTGATCTTGGACTTCTCAACTTTCAGAACTATGAGAAATAAATTTCTGTTATTCATGTCACTCAGTGCATGGTATTTTTTATAGCAGCCCAAATGAACTAAGGCACACACACACACACACACACGTATATACTTTGCTCTAAAACTTTATATATATATATGTATATATATACTATTTTGAACTGCATATATACACACATATATATGCAAATATTTTCTCTTAGTCTATAACTTGTCACTGTATGCAAAAATTGACTCAATAATTGTCTTAAACTTAAATTTAAAACAAAATCTATAAAACTTCTAGAAAAAATAATATAAAATCCTTAGGACCTTGGGTTATGCAAAGTTTTTTTATATTTAACAACAAGTGCATAATTTATAAAATAAAAACATTGTAAATTGGGCTTCATAAAACAAAATTTTCAGCACTTCAAAAAGCACTGAAAAGACAATGAAAAGACAAGTTATAGACTGAGAGAAAATATATATATATATATATATATATATATATATATATATATATATATATATCCAGTTCAAAATAACACATGTATATGTGTATAAATATATATATATGTCATTTTATATTGATAAAATGGTCAATTAATCGAGAGTCCAAACAATCTTAAATGTCCCTACACTTAATAGCTTTCAAATGTATGAAGGCCAAACTCAATAAACTTCAAGGAGCAACAGACAAATTTACAAGCATATTTCAGCATTTAAACATCCATCCCCCAATAGCTTATAGAACAAGTAGACCAAAAATCAGCAAGAACATTGACTTGAATAATACTTGAATAAACCATGTTGACCTAAATGGCATTTATAGAACATTCCAGGCAACAACAGAGTACACATTTACATGCATTTGGATAATCCACCAGGATAGTCTATATTATGGTCCATCAAATAAGGAAAACAATACATTTAAAATATCTCAAGTAACCCAAAGCATGTTCTCTAAACACAAGGGATTTAATTTAGAAGTCAGTAACAGAAAGGTATCTGGAAAACTTCCAAACTTACAGAAACTAAATAACATAAATAACCCATGGGTCAAGAAAAAATTAAAAGGGACATTAGAAAGTATTTTAAACTTAATAAAATGGAAGAAACATCATAACAAGTTTCATGCACAAATAAGGTGATACACAGAAAAAAATTTAGAGTGCCAAGCACTTATATCATAAAAGGCAACATATCAACAAAAACCCCTGAACTTTGACCCATACCTCACCATATGCAAAAATTGACTCAATAATTGTCTTAAACTTAAATTTAAAACAAACTCTATAAAACTTCTAGGAAAAAAATAATATAAAATCCTTAGGACCTTGGGTTACGCAAAGTTTTTTTATATCTAACAACAAGTGCATAATTTATAAAATAAAAACATTGTAAATTGGGCTTCATAAAACTTAAAATTTTCAGCACTTCAAAAAGCACTGAAAAGACAATGAAAAGAGAAGTTATAGACTGAGAGAAAATATTTGCAAATCTTGTGTGTGATGAAAGTTTTGTAACAGGACTATATAAAGAAATGTCAATATTCAATAGGAGATTAACCCAATAAAAACTGGGCAACATGTTTGAATAGATACTTCACCAAAAATATCTAGGTGGCAACCTAGAATATGAACTATCAAACACATAGAGGACAACAATAATGCTTAACAGTTCCATGGCATGTAGTCATTTATTACAGAAGTTAATGCAGGTAACGTTAAAGAATCAAAGCATTTACTTACTTTTATTAAAGACTCCAACTTGTTAACTTTAGTATTTGTTACCTTGTGGCATCTTTTTCTAGAAATAGGCTCAAATTCATTTGTTATTTTAATTCTAATAACATGTTAATTTGATTTCAAAATGGCTCAATCTTAAGCATTCTAGCGTATTTGTACTGTTGTATTTTATGACCTACCTTGTGTGAAATGAATCTTTACCTGTTTTAAAAAAATGTTTTTAGAGACAGGGTCTCACTATGATGCCCAGGCTGGTTTCAAACTCCTAACCTCGAGGGATCCACAGCCCTCAGCCTCCCAAAGTGCTGGGATTATAGGCATAAGCCACAACACCAAGCCAAATCTTTATCTTTGCATGTTCCTCACTATCTAAGGAAAAAAAAAAAAAGGCCGTATAAAGTGGCCCATGTTATTTTCCACATAAAGTTCTCACTTCCTTCATCTCTGTTTCATTATTCTTAAAATCCCTTTAGAAAGCCTGTAATTGATTATTTGAAATAATCATATGTAAACTTTTCTCACACCACTAAGCTTACTGAGTACATAAATTAGGGTAGGCATTTTGACATTAGTGTAGATTGGCCGTAATCACCATCATCTCACTGATGCCCAAGTTTGATGTATCTTTTTTGGATTAACATGAATTTCCTTCTTTTTGTTATCTTTTTTGAAATTTTCACTCACTGTAGAAGAATGATTTCTTTTTAATTGAAAGGACTACTTTTTATTCAAAGACATTAAAGTGTACATAGATAGAACTATTTTTTTCTTTAAGATTCAGCATTATGAATTTCTTTTTTCAAAAAAAAGTAAGAATTCACACTTCCAGTTGGCTCTCAATTATGTTTAACAAATTATAACTTGATTATTCCATAGTAAGATATCATCATATAATCACAATTATTCTCATTATAATCACTACCATGACCACCATGATCACCATCATCTTCCTCCTCCTCATGATCATCTAATAATAATTATATAAAACTGAAAAAGAGATCTCTTATCAAGCGATAATGGTATATCTAGAATTACATTTCCTTTCAAAAAATACCGAACTCCTCAAATAATTGTTTACATTACAAACATCTGCTGATTTACCCATAACTATTTAAAACACAACTTCCTTAGTGAAGCCTTTTCTGATTTCCTCAGGTTTTATGAATTTCGAATTCCATAAGCCTCTGATTCTAGCACTATTAGAGCATTTATCATATAATATTACTAGGATCTGATGGCTTGCATCTTTTTTCATCTCTATTGTGAGACCCTCAAATTACATGTCATGTTATAAGCACCTTTGAATTTTTCATGCCTTGCTCGTTGTCTGGCCCAAAGCAATTGGTCAACAAAAAGTTACAGAATAAATGAATAAATAAAACTGCTTATAGGTGTGATTTATATTTACCTAAAGTTAATGATATTATGTAACAGCCTTACAATATGTTATTTCCTGAATATTTACTAAGACCTTAATAATTGCCAGTAAAAACTTCAATTTCTCTCAGCCTACATGAAATGATCACACACTTTTGACACTCCTCTGTTATTGTGTGTAAAAATTTCTCTGTATTTGACAGCATTTTTTTAATTTACATAAATTGCCTTTAAGACTAGTTTTATTTTTAACCATTAATTTCACTGCCAGGTATCCTAAGTTATGTGACAAGTTAATTTAAAACCTAGGACTGTCAATCTTTCTAAATTAAGTTTAGGATCAAAGAGTGTGGTAAGGGTCAATCCAGCGGATTTGCTTTGAGGTAGAGGAACTGCCTGTGGGGAACTAATTAAAGAAAAGAAGATTTCCAGCCTCTTCCCTCTACCCACTCCCCAGCCCATGTTAGGCTTGGAGCAGTCTTAATCAGGACTTCGAGACATATTCTCATCTACTATCTGTGTGACCTTAAATAAAATACTGAGGTTTTTTAACTATAGTTATCACACTTTAAAAGGAAATAACTTTTTCTTAGCATTACCATGAGAAATGAATGAAATAATGAAGATAACCTACACAGCATAAAATGATAAGAAATAGAAATGTAGTTTCTTAATTTTGTTTGCTCCCATTTTAAAATAAAAGTTGTGAAATATGCCAGAAACAGAACGTTAAATACTCCATGTTCTTGCTTATATGTGGGAGCTAAAGAAAAAAAGTTAATTTCATGGATGTAAAATGTAGAACAGAGGTTACTAGAGGCTGGGAAAGGTAGAGGAAAGGGGGAGGGGATAGGGAGAAATTTCTTAAGGGATGCAAAATGTGGCTAGTTTGGAGGAATACATTGTAGTTTTCTATAGCACTGTACGGTTACTATAGTTAACCATAATATATAAATTTTAAATAGCTAGAATAGAGGATATTGAATGTTATCAACACAAAGAAATGATAAATGTTTGAGATGATGGATATACTAACTACACTGATCTGATCACTATGCATTGTATTTATTGAAACATCCCTACACCCCTTAAATATGTACAAATATGGGTAAATTAAAATAATAAATTTTAAAAAATGAAAACGAAACATCATAAAATACAAATAATAATTCTGACATAGAGTAAGAGTAAAGCTATAAAAATCTGTATTTAAAATACTCACATAAAAGGCTGATAATCTAAATTTGCAAAGCTCCTAAAGAGCTAAAGAAAGTCTTTGGTTTAAATTAAAAGTAACCCAAAATAATTTTTAAAAATCTGAAGTAGAGCATTTTGAGGGTCATTTCAGCAAGCATTTCTCAAAAAGAAGATAAAAGCGGCATATTCTAAGGATAGTTTATATACTACATTAAGAAATCTTAAAGTCAGAAAACTCAAATTCTAACCTTCAGTTCTCACCGACAATTTTTTTGTTTGAATGAGGGAATTTTTTATTTTTACTAGTTTTGTGCAGGGCATAATTAGGATATCAAAAGCAAAAAAGAATTACTTGTCTTTTCCTGAGAAATCTTCGGTAATCTAACTTACAGTCTTGAAGTAGCTGCCAGAGCTGCATAAGATGTTCTATATGATATGTGTATATGTATGTGTCTGTCTATATGTAGATGCATGAACATATGTGTGTGCATGTATATACGCATGTAAATATGTATAGATATGCACTATTTTACATATAATATTATATTCATTATTATTTATTCATTTTTATTTTAGAAAACCTATGGAATGAGGTTGGCATAAAATATCACATATCTAGAATGTCTTTCATGGTAGATATAGAAGGACTTGATAAAATATTATTTTGGTTTATTAGCTGGAAAATTCTGGCTCTAAAAATTTTCTGGCAATATTAAAAATCTAGGCTTTCTTTAGTACCTGCAATCTGGCTAATTGTTTAAGAATGAGTTTTCTTAGTCAATGCTAATTGACTTCCTATCAAGTAATAATATTTGAAAAGCCTATAAATGATTATTAGCACTCAACACTTTTTCCCAATGATTTTTTAGTGTGGAAAATTGGTTACTAATCATTCTGATAGAGCTTTCAAGTTGAGGTTATTGGTATAGGCTGCCCTGATTAATATTCTGGTATTCTTGTTGTTTAAAAATAGTTTATGCTCAAACATTCATTTTTGAATGAGGACTATGACAATTTAATTAAAGTTTAAACTCTAGTAGCTGTTGAAGAACGTACATAATCCAATTACATTTTACTCAATTAATTTAATAGCAAACCACTTTGCTATAATGAGTGTTAATCCCCTGATTTTTTTCTTCTTAGCTGTTTATCAATGATCTGTGAGATATCTTACAGGAAATCATATTGGGACATAATTATCCGTAGTGTAGTTAGAATTATTGATTAGATAATATTTAATTATCAAGAGTTCTCTATTTCTGCATTAGCTGGAAAAGGAGATAGTGGGAATATAATTAAGATACTTGCATCTAACTTTAAAGATTGGAATTCCTTGACTTAACAACACCATTATCTAATTTCTATACCAGAAAAGTAAAATTAAAATATGATGTCAGGATGAGAGTGATGCAATAACAGTTAATACTTCACACACAAATATAGACAAATTGCGCTCTGAAAACCAAGGAAAGAGTTTTCCATATTAACAGAACATTTTGAAATCTTAAGTATATAAAAAAGTCTTACCTCATTTCATTTTTGTTAGCACTTTATTTTTAATGAAATTTATAACAATTTTCCATGTCTAATAGTGATACATGTTAAATTTAAAAGTGTATAATATGCACTAGTAACCATTGTCAAAATGGTGATTCATTTCCTTCAGTCTCTGTGTACATGTTTACAATTTGTAAAAAATTTAGGTCATGCATTATTTATAATTGGTTATGCTATTTTATCTAAAAAAATGCTGCCATTAACTATTCCTACAACATTATTTTAATGCCAGTGTAATATTTCACTTTATGGGTGATGATTTATTTTTACCAATCTTCTACTTTTCAAATTTAGACTGTTTCAATCATCTTTTATTCTTATGTAAAATGACCCTTTCTCTGCATATGTTTTGTGTGTTTTGTTATTTTTTTCTTTAAAGTAGGATTACTATATCAGAAATTGTAAGAATTTTAATACATTATGTATATAGAAAATTAGCCTTTAAAAATGTTGCAGTAACTTACATTCCCATAGCACTGTATGGAAAGCCAGAGCTCTAAATATTAACCAATTTTATGTCTAACAGTTACTACATGACATTAGAATTAACACAGGATCATTTTATTTTTTGTATACTTAATACCAGTGTGTTGCATAACAGAAGCAAATAAATGACATCATTATTACATTATTTTAGAAAATATCTATAAATTTTGGGCTAAGTCATGCTGTGATTTAAAAAAAATTATTGAGGTTCAAATCTTGGTGGCTTACACAATAATAGATATTTACTTCTCCTAAGTCTCTGTTCCATGTGTACTTCACTGCAGAACTAGTCTGACAGAGCAGGCCATATCTGAAACATTGCCCAGTTCATGACTAAGGGAAAAGAGACATGATGATGCCATTCAATGACTCTTAAAGCTTATGCTCGGAAGTTCCACATAACACTTTCAACAGATCCATGGGCAAAGCAAATAATGGGCTTAAGCCTGGTATCCATGATGTAGTAAATATTCTCCCATAAGGAGGGGCTGAATAGAAGGGACAGCAAATATTTTGAAAATACTTCAATCTAGTACATATAGTTCATGAAATACAATGAAAATTGTATATAATATTGTTTAGATCAATGCCTAGACTATTTAAATAGATGAAAATTTTATCCAGTGGTTGACAACTTGTCAAACAACCCAGGTGAATAGAAGTAGTAATTGAGTAGATCTAATTTAGGAATTTCCACAAAATACATTGCAATTATATTTCATAGGAAAAAGAAGTGAGAATAATATTAATTATGTTCTTGTATGGAATGGCTGCTTTAATACATTGGATTTTATAAAACAATTAAAATCTAGAGTCATACATACATTGACATACAATCACACAAAAACTATATAATATATATAACCATATACATATATATTATATAGTATGTGGGTATATTATATGCATATATTTTCTAGTACTAATATATCTGACTTCTTAAGTAAGACAAATCTCATTTGAGCCAGTAATCCCTTTAATCTTCTTAAGTCGTAATAGTAAGTGAATAATGTGAAGTAAAAACCTCACTTCTGATGGAGGAATCTTAGGAGAAAATAAAGGATAGGCCTACTTAGGATAGACAGAAGTAAGGCTGTTGAAAAAGAAATTACAAGAGGATTAAGTACCATAAGTGGGGTCTAACATGGGTGTCTCACTACAGTCTACTTATTCTCAGAAATGATGTTGAATACACCTTTTTCAGATCAGTTCTCCTCAAGAAGACGCCTTGATGGATCTTCTAGTTTGCAAAATCAGGATCCATAAAGACAATTACTTCTTTTCAATTACCCGACCCTAAACAATTCTAAAAAGGTTAGGTACTCAGCACCCAGATGTAGCATTAATTTTTCCCTAACAAGTGACTCTGAGGCACAGAATTTCACATGATGATCATGCCCCTGACAAGAATAGTATATGTCTAACTGTGCCGAAAAACTCTAAGGCATGGTCACACACACAGAAGAAATAAAATAACAACTGAAGACTGAGTAATTGGATTATGTAGAATTTAAAAATGTGTTCTCTGGGTGTGATAGTAATCTAGCCACCATGTCTATTATCACCTATTGATGAAATAATTGACTACTCTGTCTACATAAAGTCCCATGTTTATCATTTTAAAGTTTTCCAGGAAGAAGAAGACTACTTGTAGGCAAGGATATGTGAATTCCATTAGTTTATGACCCAAGACTTAGAAAGATTGATCAGTACCAGGTTTAAGCTAATTGGTTGACCAATAATATAACTTACATTCCACCTTGCCAGTCACTGTGCTATGCCATTCAGTCCTAAAACTTATAATATTTCCCAGACTACCGACTTTCTGGCTTCATAGTTCTCTATGATAACATCTTGATAACATAAAAAACCTTGGACACTTTGTGAAAAGTTCCTGAACTTACACTGGTTCTTTAAACAAGTCAGTTTATGTTAATATCACCACTGTAGATGAATTAATTGGTGATCTCTCATCTTTAGGAAACTTAATTTCTTAAAATTCATACTAGGTCTAACCAGGAATGTTTAACAGGGATTTTATAACTTATCTTTATTCTTCATTTTAAATGATCTATTATTTTAGAAAACGTAAAGGCAATATTAATCTTCATAAGCCTCTGGATCTTAATAGAAGTAGCAACATCGTGACTTTTCTAAGTTTTACTTTTTTTTTAGTTTTTTAAGTTTTTTTTTATTATTTTAGTGCAGAGGTACATGTGCAGGTTTTGTATATAGGTAAACTTGTGTCACAGTGTTTGGTTTACAGACTATTTTATCACACATGTGGTAAGCATTGTGCTCAATAGGCATGTTTTCTGATCCTCTTGCTCCTCCAACTTTCCACCCTCGAGTAGGCCCAAGGGTCTGTTGTTCCCCACTTTGTGTCCATGTGTTCTTGTTATTTAGTTCTTACTTATAAATGAGAACAAGTAGCATTTGGTTTTCTGTACCTGCATTAGTTTGGTAAGGATAATAGTCTTCAATTCCACCCACACTGTTGCGAAGGACATTATTTTATTCTTTTTATAGCTGCATAGTATTCCATGGTGTATATGTACCACATTTTCTTTATACATTCTATCACTGATGGGCATTTAGGTTGACACTATGTTTTTGCTATTGTGAATAGTGCTGCAATAAACATACTCGTGCATGTGTCTTTATGGTAGAATTAATTATATTCCTGTTGGTATACATCCAGTAATGGCATTGCTGGGTTGAATGTTAATTCTGTTTCAAATTCTTAGAGGAATTGCCACACTATTTTTCACAATGGCTGAACTAATTTACACTACCATCAAGAATGTGTAAATATTCTCTTTTCTCTGCAACCCCACCAAAATCTTTTTCTATTTTTTAATAATAGCCATATTATTATTAGCATTTTGGCCAGAGCCATTCAACATGTCTCTAGGGAGTTCCAAACTTTCCCAAATTTTTTTGTCTTCTTTTGAGCCCTCCAAACTGTCCCAACTTCTGTGTGTTACCCAGTTCCAAAGTCATTTCCACATTTTTGGGTATCTATTCAGCAGTAGCCCACTCCTGATACCAATTTACTGTATTAATTCATTTTCATGCTTCTGATAAAGACGTACTTGAGACTGGGCAGTCTGCAAAAGAAAAAGCTTTAATGGACTTACAGTTCCACTTGACTGGGGAGGCCTAACAGTCATGGCAGAAGGCAAGGAGGAGCAAGCCACATCTTACATGGACGGCAGCAGGCAAAAAGAAAGGTTGTGCAGGGAAACTTCCATTTTTAAAACTGTCAGATCTCATGAGGCTTATTCACTCTCATGAGAACAGCACAGGAAATACCCACCCCCCTAATTTAATCACCTCCCACTGGATTCCTCCCAAGAAATGTGGGAATTGTGGGAGCTACAATTCAAGATGAGATTTGGGTGGGGACACAGCCAAACCATATCACATGCACAGCTATATGGATCTGAGCAAAACCACTTCTCAGGCACACATGAAGTCCTGAGGGACTTGAATTCCCTGGCATCCCTAATATCAGTGGCAGTAACTCTAGCAAATGAGAAAATTAGGCTCCCTTACACACCCCCAGGAAAAGGGCTGAATCCAGGGGGCTGAGCAGCAATGGTCTGCAGACTTGTTGAATGGCTCTGGCCAAAATGCTGATAATAATATGGACAACAAAATCTAGACTGAGGTGGTCTCAGATGGAGATAAGAAACCTGTTGGGAACTGGAGCAAAGGTGACCCTTGTTATGTTTTAGCAAAGAGACTGGCAGCATTTTGCCCCTGCCCTAGAGATATGTAGAACTTTGAAGTTGAGACAGATGATTTAGGGTATGTAGCAGAAGAAATGTCTAAGCAGCAAAGCATTCAAGAAATGACTTGGGTGCTGTTAAAGGCATACAGTTTTGTAAGGGAAGCAGAGCATAAAAGTTTGGAAAATTTGCAGCCTGACAATGCAATAGAAAAAAATCCCATTTTCTGAGGAGAAATTAAAGCCAGCTGTAGAAATTTGCATAAGTAACAAGGAGCCCAATGCTAATCCCCAAGACAATGGGGAAAATGTCTCCAAGGCATGTCAGAGGTCTTAACCTTCATGGCAGCCTCTCCCATCACAGGCCCAGAGGCCTAGGAAGAATATATGGTTTCATGGGCTGGGCCCAGGGTCCCTCTGCTGGGGCTCTCATGGAGAACCTCTGATAGTGCAATGCAGGAGGGAAATGTAGGGTCAGAGACTTCATGCAGAATTCCTACCAGGGCACCACCTAGTGGAGTTGTGAGAAAAGGGTTACCATCTCCAAGACCCAAGAATGGTAGACCCATTGACAGCTAGCACCATGTGCCTGGAAAAGCCACAACCCTCAACACCACCCAGGAGGAAGGCTGCACCCCACAAAGCCACAGGGGAAGAGCTACCCCAAACCATGGGAACCCACTCCTTACATCAGCATGACCTGGATGTGACATGGAGTCAAAGGAGATTATTTTGGTGATTTAAGACTTTACAACCCCACTGGATTTTGGACTTGCATGCCTGTAGCCTCTTTGTTTTGGCCAATTTCTCCCATTTGGAATGGCTGTATTTACCCAATGCCTGTGCTTCCATTATATCTAGGAATTAACTAACTTGCTTTTGATTTAACAGGCTCATAGGCAAAAGGGACTTGCCTTCTTTCAGATGAGACTTTGAACTTGGACTTTTGAGTTAATGCTGAAATGAATTAGGACTTTGGGGGATTGTTGGGAAGGCATAATTGGTTTTGAAATGTGATGACATGAGATTTGGCAGGGATCGGGATGGAATAATACGGTTTGGCTGTGTCCCCACCCAAATATCATTTTGTATTGTAACACCCACAATTCCCATGTTTTGTGGGAGAAAACTGATGGGAGGTGATTGAATAATGGGGGTGGGTCTTTCCCGTGCTGTTCTCTTGATAGTGAATAAGCTTCATGAGATTTGATGGTTTTAAAGATGGGAGTTTCCCTGCACAAGCTCTTTCTTTTCCTGCTCCCATCCACCTGAGTAGTGACTTGCTTCTCCTTGCCTTCTGCCATGATTTGGAGGCCTCCCCAGCCATGTGGAACTGTAAGCCCATTAAACCTTTTTCCTTCCCAGTCTCAGGTATGTCTTTATCAGCAGCATGAAAACGGACTAATACAGCATGTCAACCTGAAGGTCCTTGTGGAATGGGCTCATTGGGGAATGATCCAGGGTTGTAAAACCTATGGAATAATTGTGCATCCTTTGTGTATCTTACTCATTCACCATTCCCCACAGACAGGGAGCCTCCTCTGGCTCTGTGCCACTCCTGCATCATCCTGTCTTGTTCCTCTCCATTCCCTGTGGGCCAAATTTGTTTCCTGGATGAATCCCAGTGTAGTATTTATATAATACTTCTTCTTCTTTCCATGAGAGCAGCCCACACTAGCTTCTTCTAGTCAGTCATCTTCTATCTTTTGGCCATGGTTTCTAATGTCCTACTGGTCACATAAGAATCAGTATAAAATGCTGGTACTTAGAGATTATTTTTAATTTATTAGAGCTAGAGTTCCAGCAGTGAACACCTTATTTCTTAATTACATTTCTAATAAAGACTCAGATTTAGGGATGGTAAATATAGTCATTTTTTTTTTTTTTGATATGGAGTCTTGCTGTGTCACCCAGGCTGGAGTGCAGTGGCACAATCTTGGCTCACTGCAACCTCTGCCTCCTGGGTTCAAGTTGTTCTTCTGCCTCAATCTCCCAAGTATCTGGGATTACAGGTGTGTTACCATGCCTGGCTAATTTTTGTATTTTTAGTAGATACCAGGTTTCACCATATTGGTCAGGCTGGTATCAAACTCCTGACCTCATGATCCTCCCTCCTCATCCTTCCAAAGTGTTGGGATTACAGGCGTGAGCCACTGCGCCTGGCCACATATAGGCATTATATGAGATGAACAAGTAGATTTTCTTTTATTATTTATTGAAACAGTAAACTTTGCTACATACTATTTATGAGCACCTTAAGAGCATTATCTTATTTAATTTTCAGAACAGGTATTTGAAAAAAGTGTTTCCACTCTTCTCATTTTACAAAGAGAAAAAGTTTCAAAGAGGTCATATAACTTTCCATGGTTGCATAACTGCTAGATGGCAGAACTGGGAGTTATAATCAGATCAGTGTGATGTCTGAAAATGCTCTTAATGATTAGATAATTTTTTTGTGAATTCTGATGTATACCCTAACCTCAATTCATTTTTTCTATACTTAGATTTGCATCAAAGACCTAAACACAAGTCCAGGAATTATTATTTAACATCATTTTTTTGGAGATCAATTACACATTCTGTGGTTTCAACACTGTGCACATTTCTATCAAACTTTCACCTAACGGATTCATCAAGCTATTTTGCAAAGGTGCAAAAAAATTATTTGGATTGAAGAACTGACGCTAACTATTCTAGACTCATAAACAATTAGAAATAGAGATGATACCATTCCCGAAGTACCATCCCAGTTTCATGTTTCCAATACATATTGATACCATCTTTGATAGTGGAAATAGAAGGTTAATTGCATGATGCAAATGAAAATTGTAGCTTCCCAGTTAAAACTGTATGAGTTTATATTCATATTATCCTTTACCAGCCATGTGTTTTAGGAAAATTCCCTCCAATGTTTTAGTCTTCATTTGTTTAGTAAAATGATGATTAAAATCTATATTAAAGATTACATTAAGGATTACATATATAATAGCACAGAGCTCTGTATATAGTAAGGAATCCATAAGTATTATAATTTGTCTAAATCTTTTTAAAATCTGATGAACCGAAGTGTAATTTTTTAAATAAAATTTTATCCTCATACAAAAAAAAGATGGACAAGTACATTAATCCGTTCTCACATTGTTATAACTACCTGAAACTGGGCAATTTATAAAAAAGGAGGTTTAATTGACTCATAGTTCCCCAGGCTATACAGAAGCATGGCTAGTGAGGCCTCAGGAAACTTACAATTATGGCAGAAAGTGAAGGGAAAGCAGTTATGTCTTACATGGCTAGAGAAAGAAGAGAGCAAAGGTGGAAGTGCTCCATGCTTTTAAACAACCAGATCTCATGAGAATTTTCTCATTATCAGGTGAACAGCAAGGAGGATGTCTGCTTCATGCTTCAGTCACCTCTATGAGGTCCCTGCTCCAACACTGGAGATTATAATTTGACATGAGATTTGTGTGGGGATGCAAATCCAAATCATATTACCAAGTATGATGGATTACCATAAATTTTATTTTTGTTTGAGAGTAACTGCCTCTTACTTTTCCAAAGCATTAAGAATGTTAATTCAGCCAGGTGGTGTGGCTTCTACCTGTAATCCCAGCACTTTAGGAAGCAAGGTGAAAGGATCACTTAAGCTCAGGAGGTTGAGTCCAGTCTGGGCAACAAAGTGAGATCCCATTCTAAACAAAATTTAAAAATTAGTTGGGCATAGTGGTACATGCTCGTGGTCCCAGGTACTCAGGGGGCTGAGGCAGTATGATCACTTGAATCCAAGCAGTCAAGGCTGCAGTGAGACAGTGAGAGGTGATTACACCACAGCCCTCCAACCTGGGCAGTGGAGTGAGACCCTGTCTAAAAAAACAAAAAGAATGTTAATTCAACTTCTGGGAAAGAGGGACATTTTTTAAATTACTATTTTCCCGTGGATACTGAGTCCAAAAAATGATCATGAAGTTTTGTACCTTAATGGCTCTCAGCTACATTTAAGACATTTCAAGGTAACTTTAAAGTTTCAGATAATTATAACAAAATATTCAATCATATTCTATATTTATCTGCCCCCAAATGATTTTAGTAAGAAAAATATTTACTTTCTTTTACTCCATCAAAGCTTTAGGCATATTCTCAGATTTCAGACACCATTTTATTTCAAAAATTATCTAGGAAATACTCTACCTACAGTCATCGGGTTCTACTCAAAACTACACATGGTCAGTTGAGATTTCATAATTATCATAGAGGAAGGGAAATAGACTTTCTGAAAAGGGAAAATATAACTGCTAATGTCAGAGAAGTCATTTTTTAAAAGCCTAACAATTATATAAAAATTCATGCCAGGAAAATGAGTCAGTAAAGCATCATAGATTGCGCGGGCCTTGGTGGACTGAACAAAGGAGGATGAACGCGGGAATAAAGACAAAGACAAAAGAGTATATTTGGAATAAGGGGTCAGGGGGCTCCTTGCTTCTAGTGAACAAGGGCCCTGAGCTTCTATAGCCCTTCATATTTATCGAGTCAAGGAGATAGGGAGAAGGGGGTGGTCGTGTTCAGCTGCCTGACTCGGTGCAGCCCTGCATGACTGCATTCTCTGAGCAGTAGTCTCCAGATGTTCCAGCAGATAACCTCAAGGAGCACAGCGCCAGGGAGTGATTGCCCTCAGCAAACCTTCTGGTGGCCGGCGCAGAAGCAAGTTTGCCTACATTCTGCATTCATGATAAAGAGTTTGCTGTTTGATCATATAGCCTCAGTGGAATGCTGAGCTGGTCACAACCCTCAGGCTTTCGGCTCACTAAAATAGATATATTTTTATTGTACACTCAGGACTACTCCCTCAGGGAAAATTATTTGTATTTATCTCAATGACTTCCAACTTCATAAAATGACTTGCTTTTCCCAATGAAACAGTAGTGAAAGTAACATGTATCCTAAGGATTTGATCTAAAAGACAGCTCATGTTTCACCACATTCTACGTTTCCTCTGCAATGACAACCAACAAAGTTCCAGAAAAAGGCTACTGATTTAGCTTGGATCCTGCAGTAAAAATGATGTGGAACAGAGCCTAAGGCAACCAATTACATATATACGGCAGAAAATAAACATTTGCTGTATTAGTCCTTTAATATTTTAAGGTTGCTGCCTAATGTAAAACAATCTACCCTATTTAAAATGATATATGAATTTAATAAAACCTAGTATAAGATGTAAAATTAGTATAAATATAAAATAGTTGTAAATAATTAAAATTTAGATATTGTAAAATATTTGTCAGAGATGCTTACTAAAGTATATAAAATATACAACAGAAAAACTTGAGCGTATGTTCAAAAAATAATTGAACGTATATATTTAGGTTGTGAATTTTTAATAATAGATATTTCTCTTTTTTACTTTATTTATTTTTTATTATTATTATTATACTTTAAGTTTTAGGGTACATGTGCACAATGTGCAGGTTTGTTACATACGTATACATGTGCCATGTTGGTGAGCTGCACCCATTAACTCATCATTTAGCATTAGGTATATATCCTAATGCTATCCCTCCCCCCTCCCCCCACCCCACAATAGTCCCTGGTGTGTGATGTTCCCCTTCCTGTGTCCATGTGTTCTCATTGTTCAATTCCCACCTATGAGTGAGAACATGTGGTGTTTGGTTTTTTGTCCTTGCGATAGTTTGCTGAGAATGATTTATTTCTTAAGCATATATGTAGAATCAAACCCTATTATTCTAAACAGTGTAAGTGTAACCCATATAATTAGGCACTACTTAATTATCAAAATATTTAGCATAGGATAATTTAATGATCAGTTATTCAATATTTGGTATGAGTTACCAAAACTGTAATTGAGCCAAGGCTTGATCTATTATGGACAATATATTTTTTAAATTTTTCCCCACATACTTGAATCTTAAAAGACAACAGATATATTTGACTAAGAGTCTTAGCTCTGTACTTGGTTATCAGTTACATAATCTTAAGAAATGCATTTAATCATCATCTATATCTAAACTTCTGTAATAAAATTAATTTATCTAACAGAATTTGTAAATACTTAGGAGCATCTGGCATGGTGCTAGGTTCTGATTAATCAATAATTAATAAGTTTAACTCTATTGCTCACCTCATGAAACTTAGATTCTAGTAGAAGAGACAGATGACCAGCAGATAAATTAATAAATATATAATTAAAATTGCAATAAGTGTTAAGACAGACACTGACAGAGTGATTCTACTTACTTAGATAAGGTATCAGGAAGGCATTTCTGAGGAGATGACTTTTGAGTCAAGACCTGAAGTGTGAAGATCATGGAAAGTAATGTGAAGAATATCTTTTCAGTAAGAGAAAATTTGAGAAGAGGACATTTGAGAAGGTCCTAAGAAGGAAAAAAAAACTTGGCTTATTCTAGCAAAAAAAAAAATAAGATACCTAGCTGGCTTGTGTGTAGAAAACTATGATATCTAAGAAGTAGATAAAATCCTCTTAAACTATAACAAATAATTTTATTTGAGTCTAAGTTTAGATGAATGCCATTAAAAGGTATTAAACAGGGAACATAATATTTTAGAATTCTGTCTTTAAAAAACCACTTTGTTTAATATATGGAAGAGTTTACTGGAGAAGAAGAGTGTATTGGCCAGTCTTACCAACATAAAAAGGCATACACACACATAACCTCAGTGACAAACAGTTTTTATTATTCACTAATAGATTTGTGTGTCAGCTGGAATGGCTCTGCTTTTTCCTTCATACTGAGATCAGATTGACTCCACATCTGACATTCCCAGGGCCTGTATGTAGGGGTACTAGCTGTCTGGGGCATGTACCATGGTGGAGACCAGAAACTCCCAGAGGGAGGAGTAGACAAGTGATGTTACTAGAAGCATAAGCTTGCAACTAGCACCAGATCATTTTAGACTATATTGTATTAGCCAAATCACATCACATGGGAAAAAGCCAATATCAATGGTGTGTGGAAGCATACTTTGTCCATGGAGAAGGGATAGAGCAGGAGAAAGTTCATATGGAATTATCTGCATGAGGCTGAGGTTTGTTCCTTGTGATTATTTGCTGAACAATAATCTAAACTCCAAAATAAAACAAACAATGAATGCATTGAATCGATCATAATAATTCAACTTAGAGATAATAATACTGGTTTTATTTTGAAATAATGTTACCTTATATTTAATAATGATTATACCCCATGCACTATTTATATAAATTACTTTTATTAATTCACCTTAATCTCACAACAATCTGTGATTAGATTTCAAAACTGACATTGAGAGAGGCCGTGTCTTTTCCAATTTTATAGTTCATAAGCCAAAGTGCTCAATTTTAAAATCAAGTAGTCTCTGTGGAACGTGAAGTCTCAAAAACTGGCTAGGGACATTGTAAGAATTAAATAAGTGAAGTACATTAAATGATTAATAGATTGTCTACCATAGTAAGTATTAAATAAATATTATCATAGCAAGTATTTAGGGAAAAAATGATTATTTAAAAAGCATAATCCCTGATCTGAGTTTTCAGATTTAAATCAGGCAAGGTGGCTGATATGGTTTGGCTCTGTGTCCCCACCCAAATCTCATGTAATCCCCACATGTTGGGTGAGTGACCTCGTGGGAGGTGATTGAGTCATAGGGGTAGACTTCCCCATTGCTGTTCTTTGATAGAGCTCTCACAAGATCTGGTTGTTTGATAAGTGCCTGGTGCTTCCCCCTTCTCTCCCTCTCTCTTATACCACCATGGGAAGACTTATCTCCCCTTTGTCTTCCGCTATGATTATAAAACTCCTGAGGCCTCCCCAACCATTTGGATTCATGACTTAATTAAACCTCTTTTCTTCATAAATTACTCAGTCTCAGGTGTGTAGTTTTAGCTGTTTGAAAATGGACTAACACAGAAAATTGGTACCGAGGTAGTGGGGCATTGCTATAAAGACATGTGAGAATGTGAAGCAGACTTTGGAACTGGGTAACCAGCAGGTGTTGGAAAAGTTTGGAGGGATAAGAAGAAGACAGCAAGATGGGAGAAAGTTTGGAACTTCCTAGAGACTTGTTGAATGTCTTTGGTCAAAATGCTGATAGTGATATGGAAAATGAAATCCAGGCTGCCTGGTCTCAGATGGGGATGTGGAATTTTTGGAAACCAGAATAAAGGTGAAACTTGCTATGCTTTAGCAAAGATACCGGCAGTATTTTGCTCCCACCCTAGAGATATGTGGAACTTTGAACTTGAGAGAGATGAGTTAGGGTATCTGCCAGAAGAAATTTCTAAGCAGCAAAGCACTCAAGAGGTGGCCTGGCTTTTTCTAAAAGCATACAGTCACATACATTCACAAATAGATGACTTAAAATTGGAACTTATGTTTAAAAGTGAAAAAGAACACCAAAGTTTGGAAAATTTGCAGCCTGATCATGTGGTGGAAAAGAAAAACCCATTTTCTGGAGAGAAATTTAAGCCAGCTCCAGAAATTTGCATAAGTAACAAGGAGCCTGATGGTAATAGCCAAGAAAATAAGGAAAATGTATCCAGGACAATTTCAGAGATCTTTGTGGCAGCCCCTCTCATCTCATACATGAACACCTAGGAGAAAAAAAAAAATGATTTCATTGGCTGAGCTCAGGACCTTGCTGCTCTGTGCAGCCTTGGGATATGGAAACCTGTGTCCCAGCCACTCTAGCTTCAGGCATAGCTGAAAGGGGCAAGGTACAGCTTGATAGCTTGGGCCATTGCTTCAGAGGATGCCAGCCCCAAGCATTGGTGGCTTCCATGTGGCCTTGGGCTTGTGGGTATATAGAAGACAAGAGTTGAGGTTTGGGAACCTTTGCCTAGATTTCAGAGGATGTATGGAAATGCCTGGATGTCCAGGCAAAAGTCAGCTGCAGAAGCAGAGCCCTCATGAAGAACCTCTACTAGGGCGATGCAGAGGGGAAATGTGGGGTTGGAACCCACACACAGAGTCCCCACTGAGGCACCACCTAGTGCAGCTGTGAGAAGAAGGCCACCATCCTCTAGACCCCAGAATGTCAGATCCACTAACAGCTTGCACCATGCACCTGGAAAAGCAGTAGGCACTCAATGTCAGCTGATGAAAGCAGCCGTGGGGGCTGTACCCTGAAAAGCCATAGGGACACAGCTGCCCAAGGACTTGGGAGCCCACTCCTGGTGTCAGTGTGGTCTGGATGTGAGATATGCAGTCAAGGCAGATTTTGGAGCTTAAGATTTAATGGCTGCCATGCTGGGTTTCAGACTTGCATTAGGCCTGTAGCCCCTTTGTTTTGATCAGTTTATCCCATCTGGAATGGGAACATTTACCCAATGCCCGTACCCCCACTGTATCTTGGAAGTAACTAACTTTTTTTTTTTTAATTTTACAAGCTGCTATGTAGAAGGGATTTGCCTTGTCTCAGATGAAACTTTGGACTTGGACTTTTCAGTTAATGTTGGAATGAGTTAAGAGTTTGGAGGACAGTCGGGAAGGGATGATTGTTTTTGAAATGTGAGAAGGTCATGAGATTTGTAAGGGGCCAGGGGCAGAATAACATGGTTTTGCTTTGTGTCTTTATCCGAATCTCATGTCAAATTGTAATTCTCACATGTTGGAGAAGTCAGCTGGTGGAAGGCGACTGAATTGTTGGGGCAGATTTCCCCCTTGCTGTTTTAGTGCTAGAGTTCTCACAATATCTGGTTGTTTAAGTGTCTGGCATTTTCCCCTTCTCTCTCTGTCCCTCTCCTGCCACTATGGGAAGATGCACCTTGCTACCTCTTCACCTTCCAACATGATTGTAAGATTCCTGAGGCCTCCCCAGCCATGCAGATCTATGAATCATTTAAACCTTTTTTCTTCCCCAATTACCCAGTCTCAATGTCTTTATAGCTGTGTGAAAATGGACTAAAACAATGGTATTATACAGAATATATTTAAAACATAAATTAAATAAGATTCAAGAGTGACATCAAAAGGATGGGTGACCAAAGGTGCCTTATGTTCATTTCTTCTACAAGAATGCAACAAGGCCAAAAAATAACAGCCAAGATTCAAGTGGAATATCAAAGGGAGAGTGATGGAGTGTAACAGGGAAATAGAGAGATGCCTGTGTTGCTAAGGAATCCCAGGAAGGCATCGTGAAGTTACCCTAACTCTGCCACCCTCTTTTTCCTGCCTGAATTTGCCTGAAGTCAAGAAGAACTTCTTCTAGCAGGATAAAAGTAAGCAAAAGAACTCCGGCAGTCCCCATTGCCCTGCAAACACCTATAGTCTTTACTGCAGAAGAATCCCACAGTTACCACTAGCCCCAAGCTTAGTTTGGGGAGCTGCCAGGAATTCACACAGATGCTTTGCTCTGGACTATGAGCATAAGATATTCACTCCCCAACAACAACACAACCCCTATTACTCAAGCTGCTGCAGCATGGTGGCATCCTGAGAACTGAGCCACTCCTGGAGTGTCCCTTCTCTGGGAGCTGGTAGTCATTGCACCTTTCTAGCCCTGGGAATCTGTATGTATTCCATCAATCCCATATGAGTGTTTACAAAACCACAACCCTGGTTGCTCTGTTCCTGGGCTCAGGACTGGCTGAGATTCTGGTCCTGCACAGCAAGGAAACCAACCCCTGACACTCACATTTCTAGCCGGAGAAACTGTCTGAGAGACCTGACAAGGTCAGAGCTGCCCTTGAGCCAGCCAAACCACTGTACACTTTCCACAGAACAAGAGAGGCTCCCAAACTGCAAGCAGCTGACACACCTCCAGGCTAGCAAAGAAGCTACATGTCTATGCCTGTGGCCTATCTAGCAGCCCCATGCCCATACCTGGGGCCTGGGAAACAGCCGGGGGTCCACTCTTGGTAGCTATTTCCCAGACCAGACCAGCAGTCAAGTAGTTACACCCAGCACCTGAGAAACAGCCTGGTGGTACCAACCCTGGTGGGCCAAGCACCTTTATCAGTGTCCCCAGCAAAACAACTGCATCCATGTCCCCAGCCAGAGTAACAGCTCTGGCCCTAAACCTAGCAAGCCAGAGCCCAAATAGACCAACACAACTTGTGCATACATGTGTGCTCAACCTGAGAAACAGCCCAGGAAGTTCACACTCAGTAATGTCATGCTATTGCCACTACAATCTCTTGCAGCCTAGGTTACTGAGACACTCAAAATATTATTAGCATAAATTAGAGCTAAAGAAAATGCATAAAGATTCCATTTCTGTGTCCACCTAGAACCATAGCCAAGGCTCCCTACCCAACAGACACCCCAAGACTAATCCATAGGAACAAGTCTTTCCCTGTGAAACCTACTCTATAAAATTAGATGTGTCAACTTTTCTACCAGAGGCATAGAAATCAACATAGGGATAAAATCAACATAAAAAAGAAAGGAAACATGACACATCTAAATAAACAAAATAGATCTCCAGTAACATATCTGAAGTATAAGGAAATACACACAATACCAAAAAAGAAGACAAAATAATAATCTCAAATACTCAGTGTGATGCAAGAGAATATAGACAGATAATTCAATAAAATCAGAAAAACATTTTACAATTAGAATGAGAAATTCAAAAGAGAGCTAGAAGGAAAATAACCAAATAGAAATCTTAGAACGGAAAAAATAATCAATTAAATAAAAAATACAATTGAGAGCTTCTAACAGGCTAATCCAAGAAAAAGAAAATATCTCTGAACTGAAGAAAGGTCCTTTGAAGTAATTCAGGAAGATGAAGAAAACAGAGGAAAAAAAAGAAAGAAAAGAAAGAAGGAAAGAAAGAATGAAAAAGAGAGAGAGAAAGAAAGGGAAGGAGGGAAGGTAGGAAGGAAGGAAGGAAGGGAGGGAGGGAGGGAAGAAGAAAGGAAAGAAAGAAGAAAGGAAGGCTATAGGATTTATGGAACACCATCAATTGAACAAATATTCACATTATGGGTATTCAAGAAGGGGAGAAGTATACAAATTAAAAATAATAATAATAATAATAGCTAAATAAAGTACCAAGTTTTGGGAGAAAGATGGACATGCAGATCCAAAAAAGTTTGAAGCCTTTGAATAGATTCAACACAAACACATTCTCTCTAAAGCACATTACAGTCACATGTTCAAAAATAGAGACAAAGAAAGAATTCTAAAAACAGCAAAAGAAAAATGTCAGGTCAAATATAAGAAAATGTCCATAGACTAAGAGCACATTTCTCAGCAGAAATCTTCCATACTAGGACAGAATGGAATAATACATTCCAGTTGCAGAATGAAAAAACAAAAAGCAAAAGACAATAACTTCCATAACCAACAACGCTATCCTTTAGAACTGAAGGATAAATATTTTTTTCCCAAACAGATAAAAATGAAGATTTATGACTACTGTTCTCGCCTTACAAGATGCTCAATGGAGCACTAGATTTGGAAGTGAAAAGATGATAACTATGATAATGAAAACCTGCAAAATGATAAATCCTGATCTGACACAGAAAGGAGAAAGATAAAAGAATCTAAAATTACTACAGAAAACCACAAAACTTTAAAAATAAACATTAAAAGAGAAAGTAAAAAAAAAATAGCAATACAAACCAAACAGAAAATAATCAACATGACAAGAGTATGTCCTCACACACCAACAAAGCATTAAATGTAAACTGATTTAATTCCTCAATTAAAAATTATAGACCGGTCTAATGGTAAAAAAGAAAAATCAACTACATGATGCCCATAAAAACAGACATTCCATGCAAACAAAAAGCAAAAGTGAATAAAAATACCTATACTTATAGCAAATAATATAGACTTTAAGGTGGTATAAAAAAAAAAAAAAAAAGCCAGGCATGGTGGCGGGCGCCTGTAGTCCCAGCTACTTGGGAGGCTGAGGCAGGAGAATGGCGTGAAGCCGGGAGGCGGAGCTTGCAGTGAGCCGAGATCTCGCCGCTGCACTCGAGCCTGGGCGACAGAGCGAGACTCCATCTCAAAAAATAAATAAATAAACAAACAAATAAATAAAACAAAGAAGATCATTATATATTGACAAAAGGATTATTTCAGCAAAATGATATAACAATTATAAACATATGTACACTCAACACTGGAACACTCAGATATATAACTAATATTGAATCTAAAAGGAGATATAAACACAATGCAATAATTGTTGGGGACTTCGACACCCTATTCTCAGCAGTGGACAAATCATTTAGATAAAAAAATCAACAAAGAAACATTATTTAAACTGAACAATAGATCAAATGGACCTATCAGCCATGGACAGAATATTTAATCCAATACTGTAGAATACATATTTTTTCCAACAGAACATATTACATTCTTCAGGACAAATTATATGTTGGGACACAATACATGGTTTTGAAAAAAAAAAATTAAATTGATTTGTTTTGTTTTGTTTTCCCAAGATGGCAGACTAGAAACGTTTAGTGTGCCTCAGCCACTTGGAAGTAGCTAGATAATACATAAAGATAAACTCTGTGAGCTTTAATTCAGGAAGGTAAATAGGAATCAGCTGGAATGATGAAGGGTACCCCAGATCCCAGGGAGGAGAATGTCAGCACAAACCCCCATGATGGTATCTGGCTGATAAAAGTGAGTGAAGTCCCAGCACATTAGAGAGGTAGAGAGCCACCCTCTGTAACTTAACTTTCCACTAGGAATCTGACCAACCCAAGCTGAGAGAGAGCACTTTGTTTCTTCTAAACTCTGTATTTAACATGGAGTGAGGTTTGGAGACACTGTGAGGGAAACACAATGGGAAAAGCTGTAAACGTTTTCCCAGACACAGGGCTGAGGGCAGGACATCATTTTTAATCAAGGCACTTACAAAGTCAGCCATTCAAGCTGAGAACCAAATAAAGAACACAATCACATTTACAATAGCCACTCCCCAAAATAAAATAGCTAAGAATACAGCTAACCTAATGAGAAGGATCTCAAGGAAAACTACAAAACAGTGTTAAAAGGAATTATATATGACAAAATCAATGGAAAAACTTTAAATGTTTATGAATTGAAAGAATTAATATTCTTTAAATGACCATACTGCCCAAAGCAATCTACAGACTTAATGCTATTTCTATCAAACTACCAATGTCATTATTCACAAAACTAGAAAAATCTATTCTAAAATTCATATGGAACCAAAAAGACCTAAATAGCCAAAGCTAGCCTAAGTAAAAATAATAAAGCCAGAAGCATCCCAGTATCTGACTTCAAATTATAACGAGGCTGCAGTAATTAAAACAACAGGGTACTGTTACAAACAGCAGACACAAAGATTAATGTAAAAGAATACAGAACCCAGAAATAAAGCCTCACACCTAAACTTATCTAATCTTTGACAAAGTTGACAAAAATAAGCAATGAGGGAAGGCATCCTATTAATTACAGGATACTGAGATAGCTGGCCAGCCATATGTAGAAGAATGGAATTGGAATCACACTTTTTGCCATATCCAAAAATTAACTCAAGATGAATTAAATATTTAAATGTAAAATCTCAAACTATAATTATCCTATAATAAAACTTGGAAAGCATCATTTGGGGCATGGGCCTTGGGAAATAATTTATGCATTAGTCTTCAAAATCAATTGCAACAAAAACAAAAAATTGACAGGTAAGACCTAATTAAACTAAAGAGCTTCTGCACAGGAAAAGAAACAATCAACAGAGGAAACATACAACATACAGAATAGGTGAAAATAGGTGCAAACTATGCAGCTGACAAAGGTCTAAGGAATCTATAAGGAACTTAAACAATTGGATAAGCAAACACCAAATAATTCCATTACAAATGGGCAAAATAAATGAACGGATACTTCTCAAAAGAAGACATACAAGTGGTCATTAAATGTGAAAACATGCTGCCTATTACTAATCACCAGAGAAATGCAAATCAAAACTAGAATTAGATACCATCTCACACCAGTCAGAATGGGTATTACTAAAAAGTCAAAACACAACAGATGCTGGCAAGGCTGCAGAGAAAAATGGACACTTATATGCTGTTGGTTGAAATGTAAATTAGTTCAGCCACTGTGGAAATAAGTTTGGAGATTTCTCAAATAACTTCAAACAGAACTACCATTTAACACAGCACTCCCTTTACTAGGTATATAGAAAAAGGAAAACAAATCATTCTACCAAACAGACACGTGCACTCACATTTTCATTGCAGCACTATTCATAATAGCAAGAAAATGGAATCAAGCTTGGTGCCCATCAATGATGGATTGGATAAAGAAAATGTGGCACTGACAACACTGAATACTAAGCAGCCATAAAAATAATGAAATCATGTCTTTTGCAGCAACTTAAATGTGGTTGGACACCATCATCCAAACGAAATAACACAGGAAAAGAAAACCAAATACCTAATTATTTAAGAAGTATTTCAACCCTTTTAATTTAAGAAAAATAAGTGTTCGCTTTTATTTCTCAGAATTTATTATTAGATTCAAAAATATCTTCAAGTATTTGTCATTCTTCAGACTGTAAAATATAAACAACACACCTGGGAAGTTTTGCATCTGTATAGTTTCATTTTTTGCAAGAAGTATGATTTCTAGAGATATCTGTCAACATTTGAAAGTTGCTGCTATTGTTACTAAAATTAAATACAACATACTTCAATTATTAAAAAAGAAAATAAAACCAAATACCACATGTTCTCACTTACAAGTGGGAGCTAAATTTTGGGTATTCATAAATATAAAGATGGCAACAATAGTAACTGGGAACTATTATAGGGAGGATGAAGGGAAGGGGTCAAGCATTGAAAAACTACTGGTTACTATGCTCAGTATGTAGGTGATGTAGTCATTCATACCTCAAACCTCAGCATTATGTAATATACCCAGGTAATACACCTATACACATACTAACTGAATCTAAACTAAAATTTGAATAAGAAATAAATTATATGTAATATTTTATCTGAACACAATAGAATAAAACTAAAAAGCTAATTTAAAAAGAAACATTTGAAAGTATGAAAATACATAGAAATTAAACAACATGCTCACGAATGACCAATAAGTGAAGAAAAAAACTCAGAAGAAAATGTTAAAATTCCTTGAAACAAATGAAAATAGAAATACAGCATACCAAAATCCATAAACTACAGCAAATACAGTATTAGGAGACAAATTTACAGCAATAAATGCCTACATCAGAAAAGTTGAAAGATTTCAAATAAGGAACCTAACAATTTCCCTTCAGGAGCTAGGAAAGTATGAACAAACTGGATTGATTCAAGACGGCCAATTAGAAGCAGCTGCACTAATGGGGAAGAATGAAAAGTGGCACAACAGTTCAGCACTTACAACTAAATTATCCAGGTTCTCACATTGGAATTGACTAGACAAACAACTTTACCAATGGAGAATGAAGAAAAGTGGGGGGAAGGGGCAGCGATGGCCTACCAGGGAGTGGCACAGAGCCAAAGGAACACCCCCTGCCAGCCAAGGGAAGTAGTGTATGATTGTGAGACCCTCACTGGGAAACCGTGCTTGTCCCATGGATCTTTGAAACCAGCAGATCAGGAAATACCCTCGTGAACCCACACCACCAGGGAGGGCCTTGGGTTTGATACACACAGCTGCGTGGAGTCTTTACAGAGCAGCTGCTCAGGCACACACAGAGACCCAGGACTTTTATATACTCCAGCCCAGAAATCCCCAGCAAGGCAGGAAATCCATCCACTCATATCCCTAGAAAGGAGGCTGACTCTAGGGATCCAAGCAGGATTTTTCTGTGGGCCCCACTTCCATGGCAACTCACAAGTTAAGACCCACTGGCTTGGAATTTCAGCCAGCCAATGACAACAGCCTGGAATTTGCCTGAGAGGGGTCTGAGTTTCTCTGGAGAAGGGCAGCCACCATCTATCTCTGCAATTTGATAGACTCAGCCATTCCAGCCTGCTGGCTTTGGAGACTACAAATGATCCAGACAAGGAAGGGTCCCCGACAATGCAGTACAGCTGCCTTACCAGATCATAGCCAGATGGCTTCTTTAAGCGGGACCCCAATCCATTTCTCTATACTGGGTGGTACCTCCCTGTGGAGGCTTCAGCCACTCCAGCTAGGGTTTTATGGACAGAACTCTGATCTCTCCCTGGAACAAAGCCCTAAGGAAGGAGTGGCCACCGTCTCTGTAGTTCAGTAGACTCAGTCATCCCAGACGGCTGGCTTTGGAGAATACAAATGGTCTGGATGAGAAAGGGTCTCCCACAACACAGCCAGCTGCCTTGCCAGATTGTTGCCAGACTGCTTTTTCAGTGAGACCCTGATCCATTCCTCCTCATTGTGTGGGACTTCCCTATGGGGCTTCAGCTACTCCAGCAGGTGTTCTAGGATAGAGCTCTAATCTCTTCCTGGGATGAAGCTCCCAGGGGGAGGGACAGCCACCATATCTGCTGTTCAGTTGACTCAGTTGTTCCAGCCTGCCAGCTTTGGAGAATATAAATGGTCCAGACCAGGAAGGGTTCCCCTCAATGCAGCACACCTGCTCTACCAAAAAGCAGCCAGACTACTTCTTTAAGCAGGTCCCCGAGTCCATTCCTCCTGACTGTGTGAGGCCTCTCAATAGGGGCTTCTAGTCAACTCATACAGGGACATTTGGGCCAGCAACAGGTCAGTATCTCCCTGGGACACAGCCTCCAGAGGAAAAAGCTGGATGCCATCTTTGCTGTTTTATAGCCTTTACTGGTGATACCTCCAGGTGTGAGAAATACTGAAGCAACTAGGGTCTGGACGAGACCCCAAGCAAACTTCATCAGCCTTATGGAAGAGTGGCCTGTTAAAAGAAAAACAAACAAAACATCAACATCAAAAAAAAAAATACCCCACAAAACCCCATTCAAAGGTCAGC
The DNA here is from genome assembly GCF_000001405.40 of Homo sapiens. Taxonomy (NCBI): domain Eukaryota; kingdom Metazoa; phylum Chordata; class Mammalia; order Primates; family Hominidae; genus Homo; species Homo sapiens. The sequence goes on along the minus strand of NC_000012.12, from coordinate 60,671,940 downwards.
AGCCTCAAAGATTGAAGGTAGATAAGCCCACAAAGATGAGAAAGAATGAATGCAAAAATACTGAAAACTCAAAATTCCAGAGTACCTCCTCTCCTTCAAATGACTGCAACACCTCTCCAGCAAGGGCAAAGAACAAGGCTGAGGATAAGATATCTAAAGTAACAGAAGTAGGCTTCAGAAGGTGTGTAAATAACAAACTTCACTGAGCTAAAGGATCATACTGTAACCCAATGCAAAGAAGCCAATAACCATAATAGAATACAGAAGCTGAAAGCCAGAAGAGCCAGTTTAGACAGAAACATAACCAACCTGATGGAGCTAAAAACACAAATTGAGAACTTCATAATGCAATCACAAGTGTCAATAGCAGGACAGACCAAGTGGAAGAAAGAATCTCAAAGCTTAAAAACTATCTTTCTGAAATAAGGCAGACAAGAATAGAGAAAAGAATAAAAAAGAATGAACAAAACCTCTGAGAAATATGGGATTATGTAAAGAGACCAAACCTAGAATTAATTAGAGTACCTGAAAAAGATGGGGAGAACAAAACTAAGTTAGAAAGCATACTTCAGGATATCATCCAGAAGAACTTCATTAATCTAGCAAGACAGGCTAACATACAAATCCAGTAAAAGTAGAGAACTCCAGTGAGATACTCCATGAGCAGATCAAACCCAAGACACAAAATCATCAGATTTTCCCAGGTCAAAATGAAAGAAAAAATGTTAAGCACAGCCTGAAAGAAAGGTTAAGTCACCTACAAAGGGAAGCCCATCAGACTAACAATGGACCTCTCAGTGGAAACCCTATGAGCCAGAAGAGATTGGGGCCAATATTCAACATTCTTAAAGAAAAGAATTTACAACCCAGAATTTTATATCCTGTCAAGCTAAGCTTCAAAAATGAAGATTCTTTTCAGACAAGCAAATGCTGAGGGAATCCATCACCACCAGGCCTGTATTGCAAGAGTGCCTGAAAGAAGCACTAAGTATGGAAAGGAAAAACCTTTACCAGCCACTACAAAAACACCCTGGAGTACACAGACAAATGACACTATGAAGCAATTACATGAACAATTCTGCAAAATAATCAGCCAGCATCATGATGACAGGATCAAATTAACACATAACAATACTAAATTTAAATGTAAATAGGCTAAATGTCCCAATTAAAAGACACAGAATAACAAGCTGGATAAAGATCCAAGACTGACTGGTATGCTGTCTTCAAAAGACACAGCTCATTTGCAAAGATGTGCACAAGTTCAAAATAAAGGGACAGAGGAAAATTTACCAAGTAAATGGAAAGCAGAAAAAGAGAAAAAAACAGGGGTTGAAATACTAGTTTGACAAAACAAACTAAATCAACAAACATAAAAAAAATACAAAGAAGGACATTACATAATGGTAAAGTGTTCAATTCAACAAGAAAAGCTAACTATCCTAAATATATATGCACCTAATACAGGAGAACCCAGATGAGTAAAGCAAATTCTTAGAGACCTACAAAGAGACTTAGACTCCCACACAATAATATTGGGAGATTTTAACACCCTACTGACAATATTAGACAAATAAATGACACAGAAAATTAACAAGGATATGCAGGATTTGAACTCAGCCCTGGATCAAGAGTGCCTAATAGATATCTACAGAACTCTCCGCCCCAAAACAATAGAATATACATTTTTCTCATTGCCACATGGCACTTACTCTAAAATTGGCCGCATAATCAGAAGTAAAACACTCCTCAGCAAATGCAAAAGAACTGAAATTATAACAGTCTCTCAGACCACAGCACAATCAAATTAGAACCCAAGATTAAGAAACTCACTCAAAACCACACAACTACATGGAAATCGAACAATCTGCTCCTGCATGACTCCTGGGTAACTAATGAAATTAAGGCAGAAATCAAGAAGTTCTTTGAAAGTCATGAGAACAAAGAGACAACATACCAGAATCTCTGGGCTGCAGCTGAATGTATAGCACTAAATGCCCCCATCAAAAAGCTGGAAAGATCTCATTAACAACCTAACATTTCAATTAAAAGAACTAGAGAACCAAGAGCAAATGAACCCCAAAGCTGATCAGAGCTGAACTGAAGAAGTTAGGGATACAAAAGAGCCTTCAAAAAATCAACAAATCCAGGAACAATATTTTTGAAAAAAAAAAAAAAAGTAAGATAGACTGCTAGCTAGACTCACAAATAAGAAAAGAGAAAAAAGTCAAATAAACACAATCAGAAATGATAAGGGGATATCACCACTGACCTCACAGAAATACAGACAACCATCAGAGAACACTATGAACACCTCTATGCACATAAACTAGAAAATCTAAAAGAAATGGATACATTTTGGACACATAGACCCTCTCAAGACTGAAACAGGAAGAAATTGAATACCTGTATAGACCATAACAAGTTCTGACATTGAAACAGTAATAATAGCCTACCAACCCCAAAAAGCCCAGGACCAGATTGATTCACAACTGAATTCTACACGAGGTACAAAAAAGAGCTGGCATCATTTCTACTGAAACTGTTCCAAATATTTGAAAAGAAAGAACTACTTCCTAACTCATTCTATCAGGCCAGCTTCATCTTGATACCAAAAACATGGCAGAGATACAAGAAAAAAATGAAATATTGAGTTAGCATCCTTGATAAACATCGATGGAAAAGTCCTCAATAAAATAGTGGCAAACTGAATCCAGCAGCACAATAAAAAATGTATCCAACACAATTAAGTTGGCTTTATCCCTGGAATGAAAGGTTGGTTCAACATACACAAATCCATAAATGTGATTCATTACATAAACAGAACTAAAGGCAAAAACCACATGATTATCACAATAGAGGCAGAAAAGGCCTTTGATAAAATTCAACATCCCTTCATGTTAAAAACTCTCAATAAACTAGTTATTGAAAAAACATACTCCAAAATAATAAGTGTCATATATGACAAACTCAGTCAATAGCATACTGAATGGGCAAAAGCTGGAAGCATTCTCCTTGAGAACCAGCACAAAACAAGGATATCCTTTCTCATCACTCCTATTCAACATAGTATCAGAAGTTCTGGCTAGGGAAATCAGGCAAGAGAAATAAATAAAACCTATTTGGATACGAAGAGAGGGAATCAAATTATCTTTATTTGCAGATGACTTGATTCTACATCCAGAAAATCCCATTGTCTCAGCCCAAAACTTCTTAAGCTGTTAAGCATGTTCAGCAAAGTCCAGGATACAAAATCAATATGCAAAATCACTTGCATTCCTATATACCAAAAACAGACAAGCCAAGAGCCAAATTATGATTGAACTCACATTCACAATTTCTACAAAAGAATAAAATACCTAGGAATACAGCTAATAACGGAAGTGAAGGACCGTTTCAATGAGAGCTACAAATCACTGCTCAAAGAAATCAGAGGGGACATGACAAATGAGAAACATTCCATGCTCATGAATAGGAAGAATCAATATTGTGAAAATGACCATACTGCCCAAAGTAATTTACAGATTCAATGCTATTCCCATTAAACTGTCATTTATATTTTTGCATTCTTCAAAGAATTAGAAATAACTATTTTAAAACTTACATAAAGTCAAAAAATAGCCAGAATAGCCAAGAAAATTCTAAGCAAAAAGAACAATGCTGGAGGCATCACACTACCTGACATCAAGTTATACTACAAGGTTACAGTAACCAAAACAGCCTGTTACTGGTACAAGAACAGGCATATATACCAAGAGAACAGAACTGAGAACTCAGAAATAAGATCATGCACCTACAACCATCTGATCTTTGACACATCTGACAAAAACAAGCAATGCGGAAAGGACTCCCTTTTTAGTAAATGGTTCTGAAGTAACTGCTAGCCATATGCAGAAGATTAAAACTGGACTGCTTTCTTACACCATATATAAAAATTAACTCAACATGGATTAAAGACTTAAATGTAAAATCCCAAACTGTAAAAACCCTAGAAGAAAATCCAGGCAATACCATTCAGGACATAGGCACAAACAAATTTTTCCTAACAACAACACCATAAACAATTGCAACAGAAGCAAAAATTGACAAATGTGATCTAATTAAACTAAAGAGCTTCTGCAAAATAAACTATCATCAGAGAATACAGGCAACCTAGAGAATGGGAGAAAACTTTTGCAATCTATCCATCTGAAAAAGGTCTAATATCCAGAGTCTACAAGAAACTTAAACAAATTTTTCCAGAAAAAAAAACAACTGAATTAAAAAGTGAGAAATGAACATGAACAGACACTTTTCAAAAGAAAACATACATGCAGCCAACAAAAATATTTTAAAAAACTCAACATCACTGACCATTAGAGAAACGCAAATCAAAACCACAATGAGATACCATATCATGCCAGTCAGAATGCTATTATTAAAAAGTCAAGAAACCACAGATGCTGGTGAGCTTGCATAGAAAATGGAATGCTTTTACACTGCTGGTGGGAATGTCAATTAGTTCAACCATTGTGGGAGACAGTGTGGCAATTTCTTAAAGACCCAAAGTCAGAAACACCATTTGATCCAGCAACCCCATTACTGGGTATATACCCAAAGTAATATAAGCTATTCTAATATAAAGATACATGCACACAACTATTCACAATATCAAAGACAAGGAATCAACCTAAAGGCCCATCAAAGATAGACTGGATATAAAAAAGGTGGTACATATACACCATGACTATGCAGCCATAATAAAGAATGAGATCATGTTCTTTGCAGGGACATGGATGGAATTGGAAGCCATTATCCTCAGCAATCTAACACAGGAACAGAAAACCATACACCACGTGTTCTTAATTATAAGTGGGAGCTGAATGATGAAAACACATGGAAACATTGTGGGGAACAACCAACACTGTGGTCTGTTGCCACGTGGGGTTGCAGTTATGAGGAGGATATGCATCAGGAAGAACAGCTAATGCATGCTGGGCTTAATACCTATGTAATGGAATGATCTGTTCAGCGAACAAACACGACACACGTTTACCTATGTAACAAACCTGTACATACTGCACATGTGCCCCTGAACTTAAAATACAAATTGAAAAAAAAAAAAAAAAAAACCTCCAAATTAGAACTAAAGAAATAATGAGGATTGGAGCAGACGTTAACAAAATTGAGACTAAAAATATGAGAAAAGATTATGAAAACAAAAAGTTAGCTTTGTAAAGATAAACAAAATCCAAAAACTATTAGCTAAACTAATTAAGAAAACAATAGATAAGACTCAAACAAATAAAACCAGATATAAAAAAGAAGACATTACAACTGATACCACAGAACTACAATGGATCATTAAAGACTGTTACAAATAACTACATGCCAATAAATTTGAAAACCAAGAGAACAATAGATAACTTCCTGGACACATACAAACTACCAATATTGAACCAAGAAGAAATAGAAATTCTGAACAGACGAATAATTAATGACAAGGTTGAACAGTAATAAAAGAAAAAACAAACTTTCCAAAAAAGAAAAGTTCAGTAGTAGATGGCTTCACCACTAAATTCTACCAAACTTTTAAAAAATAATTACTACAAATTCTTCTAAAATTATTACAGACATTTGAATGGGAGGGAATTCTTCCAAACTCATTCTGAAAGGCCAACATAATCCTGATACCAGTTATATAAAGGCACAAAAAATGTGATACATCACATCCACAAAATGAAGAATAAAAATCGTGTGATCATTTCAATAGACACAGAAAGGCATTTGAAAAAATTCAACCTTTCTCCATGATAAATACTCTCAATAATCTGAGTTTAGAAAGAAAGTGACTCAACACAATGAGGGTAGGCCATATATAATGAACCCACAGCTAACATCATACTAAATGGAAAAAAAAAAATCTGAAAGCTTTTCTTCTAAGAACTGGAACAAAACAAAGATGCCCACTGTCACCTCTCTTGTTCAACACAACACTGAAGATTCTAGCCAGAGCAATTAGGCAAGAGAAAGAAATAAAGGGCATTCAAATTAGACAAGAGAAAGTACAATTATCTGTGTTTGCAGATGACATTACCTTATATATAGAAAAACCTAAAAGCTGTAACACACACACACACACACACACACACACACAAAACCACGTAGAACTAATAAACAAATTCAGTAAAGTCTCAGGATACAAATCAACATACAAAAATCAGCAGCCTTTCTATACATAAACAATGAACTAGCTAAAAAAAAATAGGAAACAATTCCACATATAACAGCTATAAACAATTCCTAGGAGTAAATTTAACTAAGGTGAAGAAATATCTCTATGACATAAATATAAAATGTAAAACACCGATGAAAGAAACTGAAGAAGACACACAAAAAATGAGAAGACATCCCATGGTCACGGACTTGAGTAATTAATATTATTAAAATGAGCATACTAACCACAGCAACCTATAGATTCAATGCAATCATTATCAAAATGCCAATGGCATATTTTACATATATTTAAAAAATTCTAAAATTTATATGGAGCCACAAAAATCCCCAATAGATAACTACTCCTAAACAAAAAGAACAAAACCAGACACATTTCACTATGAGTCTTCAAAATATACTATAAAGTTGTATTAGCCAAAACAGCATGGTACCAATGAAAAGCATATATGCAAATCAATGGAACAGAATAGAGAACCCAGAAATTAATCCGTTTATTTACAACCAACTTATTTTTGACAGAGATACCAAGAACACTCATTAGGCAGTCACTTCAATAAATGTTGCTGGGAAAACTAGATACCTATGTGCAAAAGAATAAAGCTATACTCTCTTCTTTCACCCTAATTGAAACAAAAATCTACTCAAAATGGGTTAAAGACCTACATGTAAGACTTAAAGCTTTAAAACTACCAAAGGAAAACCCAGAGAGAACACTTCAAGACATTGGTCTGAGAAAATATTTTATGAATAAGGCCTTAAAATCACAGGCAACAAAAGGAAAAATAAGCAAACAGGATTATATCAAACTAAAAAACTTCTGCATAGCAATAGAAATAATCAACAGTGTAAAAAGACAACCTCCAGAATAAGCAAAATTATTTGCAACTCCTCTTCCCACATAATATTAATGTCCAGAATATACAAAGAACTCAACTATCTCAACAGGAAAAAAATTGATTTAAAGATGGCAAATGGTCTGAGCAGATATTTCTCAAGAGAAGACATTCAAATAGCCAACAAATACATGAAAAAATTATCAACATCACTAACCATTAGGAAAATGTGAATCAAAACCATAATGAGATATCATCTCACACCAGGTAAGATAGCTATTATGAAAAAGACAAATCACAAATGCTAGCAAGGATGTGGAGAAAAGGAAACTCTTATACAGTCTTGGTGAGAATGTAAACTAGTACAACTACTTTGAAGAACAACATGGAGGAGTCTCAGAAAACTGCAAATAGAACTACTGTATGATCCACAACCCTGCTACTGGGCATTTATCTAAAAGAAAGGATATCTGTATTTCAAAGAGTCATCTGCACCCCCATGTTTATAGTGACACTATTTACAATAGCCAACCTATGGCATCAACCCAAGTGTCCAACAGATACATTTTTTATACATACAAAATGAAATACTACTATTCATCCATTAAAAAAGAATAAAATCTTGTCATTTTTGTAACATGGTTAGACCTGGGGGACATTATGGCATGTGAAATAAGCCAGTCACAGAAACTTAAACCCTGCATGTTCTCACTCATATTTTGAAGCTAAAAGTGTTGTTTCATAGAGATAAAAAGTAGAACAGAAAGTGCTAGAGTCTGGGAAGTATATGGGGAAAGGGGAATAGAAAGATTTGTTACATGGTGTAAAATTATAGCTAGATATGAGGAATAAGTTCTAGTGTTCTATAGCACTGTAGGGTTACTGTAGTTAACAATGATATATTTTATATTTTCAAAGGGCTAGAAGCAGGATATTAAATCTTCCCAACACAAAAATTGATAAATGTTTGAGATGATTGATATGCTAATTACCTTGACTTGATCACTTTACATTGTATGTATTGAAATATCAATATGTACTCTATAAATGCAAACAATTATGTGTCTATCAAAAAACAAATGAGAGTAAATCTATTTAAAATCTAAAAACTCTTCTTCATCAAACAGGCATTATTAACTTTATGTTACAAATGAAACTTGAGGATTATAAAACATAGGAATGTATCACACAGTTTTAAAGTGTCGACCTTGAATTTAACTCTGATATGACCTGAATTCAAGTCCATGGTTCTTTCAACTCTATGCTTGGAAATGTTATTTTACCACCAGAAGATAGTCACAAAAGATGACAGAATAGAGACACATACAAATGTGTACCCACACAAAAATTTATTTATCCCTATCTCTTTATCATTCTAAGAACACTGAAGAATCAATACATTATATAAACATCTATATGGGATATAATAGAGTGGGATTTGTTATGATTACTTAGTATGTCATCAAGCAAGGAGACTACACTATAAATGTTTGTATAGTCTTTCTGATGATAATGATTCTACTAGTAATACTCTATCATGAAAGATACTTCTCCATCCTCCATCAAAATTGCCTCTCCTTAAATGATGAAGCTTGAGTTGCTCTGGGTGTGTCAGGTAGAAAATCCAGGTACATTTCCAAGGGAAGAGATGATTTTCTACTCTTGCTTCTTTACGACTGATCTTTTCAATTGACATGATAGTGGATATGTGGCACCAGAGTTTTTGCCAGATTTATCTTTTTAAAAAGCAGCAGATGCATCTGTCTTGCTCCATTTTTAGAAGAGTGCCTTTCCCAGAAATGTGCTCAATTAATATTTCTTAAATTAATTAAAGAAAGAATGTCAAAGATTCTTTCCTAGAATGTAGGAAGATGTTTTCCTACATCCAACCCAGGTGCAAAATTTCTAATTACATGAATTATTTGACATACTACAGATAAGTTCTTACCTTGTGTACATTCTTGGGATGTCATAGATTGCATTAGAGATCATTCTGCTCAGACTTTCTCTCTCACAGATAATGCCCAATAGGGAAATTTTCATATAACTGTGTGAATGGGTAGGTGGGAGAAGTAGTAGGGATGGAAACTATAGCTGCTAGAAATGATGGATTCCTGCTTACAAGAGTATTGCAAGTTATTAAAATAACATTATTTTAGAGTGAGTTAAAAAGTTAAGTCTTGTTAAAAAGCAATGCTGAAATATTGTTTTCATACAGGCTGACCTTTTTCAGTTGGGACTTGGTCAATTAGGGTAACAAAACATGTACACTTTAAATGATATCCTCTAGACCAAATACACATTGTTGGTATTACAGTCATATATCAGGTGCTCCCCTACTCACACACTCAATTTGTATGTTTTCAAGCAAATCCAGTATTCGTGGGCCTTAGGCTAATAAAATGCTGGACTCTGTAAGAATTATAAAACAAAATAAAGATATTTACATTATGTAGAATTAGAAAAGTAATTGCAGCAAATTGTAAACACATTTTTACTAACATAAATTTTACAAACATATGTCAATCCATGTACACATTGTGAGAACCCTTTCCAGGGTCACAGAAAAAGCTCTGTCTGGAAGGCCTGAAGTTTAATACATTTGCTCATGGCAAATCCTCCTTTATCCGTAAAGGATGTCCACTAAAGTGTCTAATAACACTCTCCGGTTCTTGAGATCAAATGAGAATTAGGACTTGATAGAGCAGAAATTGAATACTACAAATCTGACTAATATTCCTAAGCTAGGGCATAATTTTCATGTGGATATGGAATGCTATCTATATGGACCCCCACACTAAAAAAAAAAAGAGTTAGGGAAGATATAACAAAAGGTGAAAATATTAGCTTTGCCGTGAATACATGACATATTTATTAGATATGTTATATTCATTGCATGTGTTATATAACCATGTGCTTAAACAAACAAACAAAAAAGCATGGTATTTGGGCAGTTTTCTAAAGCTAAATTCCTGGCACTAATGAGAAATTCTTTGTTTTAAAAAACTCTAGTTTTTTAAGAAGTCATTGATTTGTCTATTCTGATGTTGATAAGCCATATAACTCCAGAATTCAGTCACACAGAGCTGTTTGAATTTGAGTGTTAGTAAAAATGTGATTGCTCTTACTTCTGATGTCACATTACTAAATATAACTCTTAATATTTGGTGTATTCCCCTTCCTTTCCACCACACCCTAGAAGTTTCAGGAGGATAAATGTGTATTTTACATTGATTTTGATCAAATGGCTTTTGCCCTGAGTAGTATTAGATGGTTAGGTCATTGCAGCAATTATATGGCAGTATTCCCCAAGCAGACCTTTCATCTACTTTTAATAGAAAATCAATAATGGCTAAACAAGGACAGAGATGGCATTTTAATGTTTACCAAAGAGCATTTAGACATCTGAGATGCCTCAGAAGTGGTTTCAAAATCCATTTTGAGAATAGGGACAAAAAATGTTCTTTATATTCTATTTGTACCCTGAAAATACACCTTTTTAGGGAGCTAAATGATGAGAGCACATGGACTCATAGAGGGAAACAACACACACTAGGGCCTTTCAGAGAGGGGAGGGAAGGAGGAGGGAGAAGATCAGGAAAAAGTAACTAATAAATTCTAGACTCAATACCTGGGTAATGAAATAATCTATACAACAAATCCCCATGACACAAGTTTACCTATATAACAAACCTGCACTTGTACCCCTGAATGTAAATTAACATTAAAAAATTATATATATATATATAATTGTAGAGTTGTGATGTATGCTCATAAACTTCAAGCGAACTGTTGTTTTTATTTGCTATTAGAAAATAAGACATGCCACCATTTTTACAAGACCATATTCTATACACAGAGAAACACATGATTAAAATATAATACTGGCATCTGTAATTTGAAATCTATTCACTGAGATGCAAAAAAGTACTAGTGTATCAAATTCAGATTTATTTTGCATCACACATTTAAAGTTTTAAATGTGACAGTTGTAACATCATTTCTACAAGATTACTTGTAAGATAAAGAATTCTTACAAGAATTCTTCTATGCTATATATTAAACAAATACAGGTTATATATGAGGTAAAAAGTTTTAATTTACTTTCATATGACAAAGACCTGAGCAAATAATGCCCTTTATTATCTATATTCCTTTTTTTACTATCTATATTCCAAGTTAATTAAAGAGAAATATTTTCAAAATAAATAGTTTAATACTACTTCTTTTGTTTTCTTCCATCAGCGCTAAAAATTATGAGACCTTAGTGATTAATGAAGGCAACAGTTTTATTACTGGGTAACAACCAGTATTATACACAGGAACCTAGAATGATGCTTACAAAGTAAACTCAGAAGTTCAGAAGGCATTTCAAGCCAATGGCCTTTTATTGAATGAGGTTAAACTCAAAAAAAAGCTACTGAAGGCACAAAACTCCTCTGAGAAACCCTTCATTTCAGTCTGTGCAATCAAGAGACCTAATTAATGCTTCACCTCATGCAATATTTACAGATCCTATGTAAACAGGTCAGCTTGTTAAACCACCTTACCTCTGCAAAGCACATCGTTACATCACAAGTCAGTGAAGAGACAGAAATAAGCTAGTCACCACTTTAATGAATTACTGAATCAACTAAAACCCTAGGATATCCCAAAAGTAATCATGTCTCCCCTTTTTTATAAAAAAATACTTCATCAATGTCATCCTAATGTTTTACTATCATTATATCACTATGTTTATGTGATGTATGGTGAATTACCTAAGTTGCCAATTATTTGAATTCCTGAAGCTACTAGAATTTACCATACAGGTGGTTCTTTCATGATATGAAGGTAGTCACATTCTTAAATATTCTTATTCACTAGATTTTTTTGTCTATAAATTATCTGTAATTTTTAAAGGTCAATGACTAAGATCTTTCCAGGATTTTGCAAACATATAGGTTAGAAAATTTTTAAATTTATATGAAAATATTGAATGTCACTTTTAAGCTACTAGCACCTTCAAAGTGCCTCATTTACTATAATCCCAGCCAGTAATTTAGGTAATGAGAATATTTGTATTAGCAAATACTATAGTGAGTAAACTGAATTGGCACTTTCATTCTGAACCATTAAATTAGTTACTTACTTTCACTCGTATTTTGTAGCCATAATCCTCTGATTAAGTGATTTGGATAAGATTATAAAATAATGATCTTTAAATATTTTGATAATTCAACAACATTCTAGAACCTCTGTAATGACATATTTCTGTAATTACTTTTTAATCATTTTAGGAAAAAAATTACGAAGATGTCCTAAGATGTATCTTTCCATCAACATGCATATAACCTGTACATTTACTATGTATTGATCATGTCATAGTAACCATCATATGCTGGAATAACTCAACATCTATTTATCTTGTGTCATGTTTCAACTTCTCCTTCCAATCTTTTGATTACTGTGACAATCTTTTGATTGCTGAGTTGAAATTAGTTTTTGTCTCCTCTTGCTATTAGCATCCTTAGAAATAACTCATGATATGTTTATTAGGCAAATTCTAACACAAATGTTATCTTCTTCCAGGCTATTTTTCAAAGTTCCATACCTACAATATTGTGCTTGGTATAGATGTCATAATATTTTAGGAACTTTGAAAAGATTGTCACATAAAAAAGGACTTTGATGTAGCTCAAAAATTTCACCCAAAGTTTTCAAAGACTGTTGCAAGAAGGAATAATTTGACTCAGTAAAATATTTTAAAAAATGCAAAACTTTAACTTTGTGGAATTGGAATTTTTAAAGATTCATAAATAATGTTTGAATCTGTAAATTATATTTAATAAGATTTTAAATTTAATATTTAAAAATAACCCAGGAACCCAAAACTTGAAGAGAATTAATAAGACTGCTTATGTACCTACAGAGAATTAGCATTCCTTACTCATAAAACTTTTTCCATGAATCTCAACATATACCGTACATAATTGAAATGTACGTAAAAGATCTATGGTTATCAAGTGATAGATTTTTCCATTTCTATGTTGTTCTAATGTTGAGTACAACTGGGAACTTCCAAATAGTTGGCAAAACACTTACTGTCAAGCACACAGGTGTAACAATAAAATAAATCCAGAAAAAATTATTATTGCATTCACAGAAATACATTACAATAGATGGTGCCTGCAATACTTTTTACTTAAGAATTGTACTATATGTCATTAAATGCTATGCTAAACGTAGTATTTGAGAGCAAGAAACACCAATGGAGCAAATATAAGAATACATCAAAGTAAAAAACAAACTAGAATAACACTGCATAATATATAGAATTTCATCTGGACTCTAATGCATTCTTATCTTCATTAAGTTTGCCCCTGCTAAAGACCTGTTCTGACCAGAAGAGACCAACTAGCATAAAACTACTGGCAGATAAGTGAAACAAATCAGTCAGATAAAACCTGTGCCAATTTTTTCACCTCTAAGGTGAGGGTGTTCACAAAATCATGCCATGTCACATACTACAAAGTGAATGAAGTCCACATGCTGTTCTTGAATGGAACTGATACAGAGAATCTTTTTTTCTGGGGAAATTCAAGAGGGAGTTAAACCAAAACCAGTTTGTGTTGACCATGTAAGAACTGCAGGGTTTCTTAATTAGTTTTGCTATAATGTAGGGTCTGTAGTTCTTAGCCATATCAAGCACTATCAGTCAGAAAAGAAGCAGGCAGGTATTCTTGACCTCTTTTGAGTTTCTGTAAATGTATCATAATTGTTTGCCTTCTGAGGATTATCCAGGAAGAAATTAAGCATTTGAGGTAAAACAAAGTAAGCTTCTGTTTTCTAAAGATTCCACAGAAAGTTCACAGATTACAAAATTATTATTTTGACTACATTGTGAGAAAATTTTCTTTTTCCTGGAACGTAGTGCTTGATGGAATGTCAAAGAGAAAAATATGATAATATGACATCTTGTAGCTAACAGTGACAAGGTATTTTATGCAGTGAAAATTATAAAGAAAATAGTATAAATTGCATGATATTGTTTTCTTCTGTCCATGTGAAATTTGATTCTTGTAGCCCTTAGAGTTTGCAGCATGTTGGTCAAAATGAGATAGATTGATTGTGTTCTTGCTATATCCAAGAAAAAAAGAAAAAACCTGAGCACTTACCTGGCTATATTCTTCCTGGATTTCTTATATATCATCTTCTACACTGATAGATGGCTATGATATAGTTTGCTTCTTAGATACATATTAATAAATTTATGTTCCTGGGTAGCAGTTTGTGGGTACATTTTTTAGGATTTATCAGCTCCAGTTATAACATGTATAAGTACAGAAATATGAACTAAGAACCATAAAATCGCTTATAAACACCCAATGTCATTTTCTCCAAAACGTTTTCTGGGGAATCTTACTTTTTGTCCACTTTCCCAAAAAAATCACTACCTTTTCTATTTCCCCTTAATTCATATGAATCATAATTACAATGCTTAATTATCTTTAAGCATAATTTTCTTTCTGCCTCTCTTAATACTTGAAATTCCTTTGGTAGGACAGACAACATATCTTTTTCTGATACGTAGTTTGAAGTGCTTTGTGATGTTCTGTGGACATTTTGTATGTTGGCTGACAAATATAAAGGTAACCAATTGTGCAATAGGCTATTATCTAATTACCTAAATAATTATCTAAATGCTGCATGAAATGTATTTCCTGATAACATGACCATAACTCTAAGTATCTAAATAAAACATAACATTATAATATAGAGATATTTAGGTACATACTGCTGGAGAGACATATATTACTGATATCCAGCTGTTTTATATCATATGTAGTTTTGAGTATCTTGTTCCCACATCTGGTGAAAGTAATTTATTTGTAAAAACGGTACTTTATGATGTTAGTAATCTTCCTGATTGTGTAGGGAACAGTTGTACTTTATATCAAAATATACTCAATATTATAACATGAAAATATTACAGAAAGTCAAAGGTAGTTGTATTTGTCTATTCTCACAATGCTATAAAGAACTACCCAATACTGGGTAATTTATAGAGAAAAGTTTAATTGGCTCACAGTTCCACAGTCTGTACAGGAAGCCTGGGGAGACCTCAGGAAACTTACAATAATGGCAGAAGGCAAAAAGGAAGGAGGCACATCTTCACATGAACAGAGCAGGAGGAAGACAGTGAAGGGGGGAGGTGCTACACACTTTTAAACGACCAGATCTCGTGAGAATTCTGTCATGAGGCAGCACTAGGGGAATAGTGCTAAACCATTAGAAACCACCCCCATAATCCAATCACCTCCCACTAGGCCCTAGCTTCAACACTGGGGATTATAATTCAACATGAGATTTGAGTGGAAATACAGAGCAAAATCATAACAATAGTCATTTCATTATTTACCATTATTCACCAGTATTTTAAGCCAATTGATTGTTCATACATTATTCCTTGTTAGTTCTTATTATATCTTATTTCATGTCTTATTACTACACAAAATGTGGTTTGAAGGTTCAAGTTTTATTAGAGATGTGTAGAAACCTGGAAAGAGCATCACTCTAATTCTTGCTTAAACAAAAAAGCTGGAAATACACAATGATATTTTTTCTTGAACCCATTGGAGACCTGAGTTCACAGAGGGTAATGGGTTGAGAAAATTTGAGACCATGAAAAAGGAGCATTCATGTAGGACAGACATAACTTTTTGCGAACTGGAAGACAAACTGTGGTAGGTAGAATAATGGTCTCTCCAAAGATGCATATGCCCTAATCCCAGAACCTGTGAATACGTTATACATTACATGAAAAAGTGGGATTCAGGCAGAAGAGTGATGTGATATGAGGACTCAGTTCACTTTTGCTAACTTTGAAGGTGAAGAACAGGAGCCATGAGTGAAAGAATGCGAGTCTTCTCTAGAACCTGATAAAGAAAAAAAATATCCTACCTAGAACCTACAGAATGGAAGAGCCCTAATAGTACCTTTATGTTGACCCAGAAAGATTCATGCCAGGCTTCTGACATATAGAAATGTAAGATAATAGATTTGTGTTGCTTAAGTCTCTAAGTTTTTGGTAATTTGTTATAGAACCCATGAAAAACTAATAAACAGGACAAATAACCAACATGGAATCTTCGGAGTGCTAGATGCCTGCAGACAGCAACAGTATCCATGTATTAGTTCACCAGGGTAGATGCTATTGGAAATCGTACATGCTGATAATAAACATTCAGCTATATTTTGGTAAGCTGAATGTGTATAGTGTGCGAATTTCAAGCCCCTAAAGGCCAGAGGCATAGGGAAATTTGTAACCTCTTGCAGAGTTTTTTTTCCTCCACAAACTTTACAGGCAGCAATAGGAAAGATCAGGAAGAATACTGGGAAACCTGCTCTTGTAGTACTGGCTCAGGGAGGGGGAAAAAAGCTACTGCTGATATTCTGCCAAGACTCTCCCCCTTGCCATTTCTCTTATTTGTGGAATTAAAGTCTTTTTTTTTTTTTTTTTTTGAGCCAGAGTCTCGCTCTGTCACCCAGGCTGGAGTGCAGTGTTACGATCTCGGTTCACTGCAAGCTCCGCCTCCCGGGTTCACGCCATTCTCTGGCCTCAGCCTCCCGAGTAGGTGGGACTACAGGCGCCGGTCACCGCGCCTGGCTAATTTTTTGTATTTTTAGTAGAGACGGGGTTTCGCCGTGTTAGCCAGGATGGTCTCGATCTCCTGACCTCGTGATCCGCCCGCCTCGGCCTCCCAAAGTGCTGGGATTACAGGCGTGAGCCATCGCACCTGGCCTGGAATTAAAGTCTTAATCTGCAGAGGCAAGGACAACAAAGTCTGCCACCTTAGAACACTGGAGGAAACCTCTTGCAACTATTTACTTTTTCCAAATAACATGTTTTAACTATAAAGTCATACATAAATTAAAAGGATGAGAAACACATGTCATACGGACCCTAAACAGAACAAAAACAGAAAAAGTATATAAATTTCAGACAGAGTAGACTTTAAAATAAGGGGGAAAATCAGAAAAACATTATATCATGGTAAAGGGATAAACTCTTTATGCAGACATAACAATCATAGATGTATATGCACCTAACAATAGAGTTACAAAATAAATGAGGCAAAAACTGATAGCTCTAAAAGGAGAAATAAACACATTTACAGTTATAGTTGTTATATTCAACAATCATCTCTCAATAATTGAAAGAACAAGCGGGAAAAAATTAGTAAGACTATAGGTGACCTGATAAACACTATTGACCAACTTGATCTAATTGAAAGTTACAGAAAACTCAACTCAAAAACATGAGAATACATATTTCCACCAGGACACATGGACAGTCACTAAAATGTGCCATTAAAAAAATCTTAACAAATTTAAAAGAACAGAAATAAACTCAAATAAATAAGGAAGACTGAAGAGATATTTTAGAAATATTTTTACTAAGCAAAAATGAAAATAAAACATTGCAAAATTGTCAAATGTAGCTAACAAACTTAAAGGAAAATTCATACCATCAAGCGCTTATATTAGAAAAACAGGAAATAAAATTAGTTACCTTAGTTTCTGATATAACCATAGCTAATCTAACCAAGAAAACAAAACAAAACAAAAAGTAAAGAAAATGACAGATATGGCCAATGTTGGAATGAACATGGAATATTGTTATATACCCTAAATACATTAAAAGGAAAATAAAAAATATATGATAACCAACTCTACAAGTTTAGATAAAATGCTCCAATTCCTTGGAAGACATTACTTAAAAACTATCTCAAGCCTGGGCGTGGTGGCTCATGCCTATAATTCTGGCACTTTGGGATGCCAAGGCAAGCAGATCACTTGAGGTCAGGAGTTTGAGACCAGCTTGGCAAACATAGCAAAACCTGTCTCTACTAAAAATACAAAAATTAGCTGTGCGTGGTGGTGCGCATGTGTAATCCTAGCTACTCGGGAGGCTGAGGCAGGAGAATCACTTGAACTCTGGAGGCAGAGGTTGCAGTGAGCTGAGATCACACCACTGCACCACACCAGCCTGGAGTACAGAATCTCAAAACAAAATAAAACAAAACAAAAAAACAAAACCCTAATTAAAAAAAAAAAAAAAAAAGCCTAACTCAGGAAGAAACAAATAACCAAAATAGCCTAGTGCATGTAAAATAAATTGAATTTTGTAACTGAAACTCCTACAAAAAAGAATACTCCAGGTACATATGGTTTAACCAGTGAATTCTGTGAAGCATTTAGAGAAGAAATGATACGAATTTGATATAATCACTTCCAAATAAAAGAAAAGAAGAAAACATTTACCAGCTGATTTTATGAGTTCAACATTACCTGAATGCTAAAACTAACAAAAATATCACAGGAAAAAATTTAAAAACCTGTAGAGTAAGTATTTTAAAACTACATAAAAGGCTATATAGCATATTGGGCTATGAGGTCCACACAAACTCTGTAAAATTATTAATTTCTGACTTTGTAGCATAAAAACAACCATAGACAATTTATAAATCAATATCCAATATAATATGTAAAAAGTCCTTTAACTAAAAGTTGAGCTTAGCAAAGTTTATAGTATACAAGGTAATATACAATGTCAGTCTTAATTTTATATAGCGATGAACAAATGGAATTTAAGCTTAAAAATCAATCAACAATAGAAACATTTAAAATGAAATACTTTGTATAATCTTATAAAATATGCAGAATATATACGCTTAAAAGTACAAAAACTGATGAAAGTGATCAAAGAATCACTGTGCAACAGTATTTTCATAGATAATATAAGGTTAAAGACAATTGGTATACTCTAGTGGTAAATTTCTTTCTCACAGGGGTGTCATTTAGCAATTTTAAAAATAGCTTACCTATATGTTAGGGTTAAATAAATGATAAAAAGATTGCATATGATTAGAACCAGATATCTAATTGTCAGATCAAGAAGTTATAAATAAGCAAGAATAAATGCCAGAGTGTATGGTATAATGTTAATTTAGAGATATCAGTATAAACCCATGTTTGGCTATAGATAGATAAAGAAAGTGCATAGCCATGTATTTATAAACAGGTTAGCATGTTTACTGTGGCTGTTTTAATACATGTCCATAAAACCTTTGATACTCTTTTCTCTAAGAGTTAAAGCTTAATTTCTGTCCTTTTGAATATAGGCTGGATTTAATAACTCATTTGCAAAGAATAAAGTATATTAAATACAGTAAACCCCAAGTTTCTCTTCAAAGAATCAGTATGTCAGTATGTTCAGCTTTCTTATTCTTTTTTTTTTCTTTTTTTTTTTTTTTTTAAGACGGAGTCTCACTCTATCACTCAGGCTGGAGTGCAGTGGCATGATCTCAGCTCACTGCAACCTCCACTTCCCGGATTCAAGCAATTCTCCTGCCTCAGCCTCCTGAGTAGCTGGGATTACAGGTGCTCACTACCACGCCCAGCTAATTTTTGTATTTTTAGTAGAGATGGGGTTCACCATGTTGATCAGGCTGGTCTCGAACTCCTGACCTCAGGTGATGCGCCCGCCTCACCCTCCCAAAGTGCTGGGACTACAGGCATGAGCCATCGCACCCGGCCCTCTGTTCTCCATTTTAAAGTTTAACTTCCTGGTTCTCTTCCCCCCTTTCCCTTTAGTTTCAGTAAACAACTTTCCCGCCAGTTGTAATCAGTAGTTCACATCTGTTCCCCTGGTCACCTGCTTTGACCTGAGTCACACCTGGTCACCTCCTCTGTCCTGATACATCCTGAGTCACCTGTTCTGTAACCGTCCTTCCTGCCAAACTACTCACCCCGCCACTCCAGCTCCTACCCCTGCTCTCTTTAAAAAAGCCCATCGGAATTAGCTTAGACTGTGCAGTCCAACCCTAGCCAATAGGGGAATGACACAGCAGTAGGGGCTACCTGCATCAGGAATAAGAACCCCTTCCTCTCCTGTGTTCAGGTCTCTTGCCATTGCTCCATCCGGGGGTTGCACCCTTCTATAGAAGTAAAAATTACCTTGCTGAGAGAATTAAATTCTTTGTCTGAGCGCTAGTTCTTTTCAGCATCGAGGAACAAGTATTTGTTTCTAACAAGCATGAAAAATAAAACACTAACTTTTCATTGAAGTAAACTGGCACTCTACCTTAATCAAGTGATCAACTTTAAGGTTATGAATAACTCATGCTGATATCATGTACCCCCGATATGATGTGATAACAAAAGAACTTTTCTTCTGTGCTATTTCCCCCTAAAATCAGTAAACTTATTCCAATCATGTGGAAATATTAGACAAACCTAAATTGAGGGGAATTCTACAACATTTTTTAACATTAATCTTTAAAAGTGTTATGGAATACAAGCAAAGACTGAAAAACTATTACAATTTGGAGAAGATGCAAAAACAAGTGAAGACATAGTTTTCAAAATGCCTCCTGGAACAACAGATAAAGAACATTGGTGGAAAATGTTGAAACCTGAATAAAGTCTGTATTAATACTATCATGCTAATATTAATTTCTTAGTTTTGAAGGAAGTACCATTGTTATGTAAGGTATGTGCCAGATTTTAATTTAGTATAGGAAAGAAACCAATATTGTTTTTTTTAAAAAAATGTGTTTTTCTTTAATGCCATCAAATTATATGGTGTAAAAGATTTGACAAGGTTAATTAATTTATATTCATGTGATCATCACCTCTTTAAATATTGAGAAAACATACTATTAGATCATTGACACACAAAAAAAGTGTTGGTCTATTTTCACAGCTAAATGTTACACAAATTACAATATAACACGTGTAGAGTATAATAATTACAATCTGTGATGACCACTTTGAGTTTATATGGCACTTACTTGAAAGTTAATTTAAAGACTAAAATTCTGTAGTTTTAAATTCATAAAATACAAGATTTTTTTTTAAACTGAGGTGCTACTACTAGTGTTGAAACAATAAAACAGTTTAAAACATTTTATATGAAGGGACTTTTAAAGTACTGGAAATACAGGTTAAAGCTTACACATACAATAATGCTTTCAATCATCATAGTATATAAATAACACTAGGAAAATGGCTTTTATTAAATTTTTGCTGGTAAAAAATATATGTATAATCTAACTAATTTTCTCTAGCTTATAAGTCATTACCTGTGATTATATCATAAAACTCAGATTTTTATTCTACCTGCAGTAGTAAGTTATATGTGAAAGAATGACATATTAACTTTTGGAATAGTTTCAGATATCCTGGATTGACTGTTATTTAAGGAGTTTTTAATAATTGATAATAAATAGAAATTTAAAAATATTTCTATAGTGTTATATTTAACATTAGTATAAATACACATTGGAGAACAAAAAGGACACACTCAATATTTACTTGATAGCAAAAGATAGACCAGAATCTCTCCCATAGAACTGAATCTTTCCTATCAGGAGAACTAAATCAGTATTATTGACTTGAAACTCCATCATAATTATTGTGCATCCTATCATGGGATAAATTGTATTCCCCCAGATTTCATATGCTGAAGTTCTAATCCTCAATATTACACAATATGAGCTTATTTGAAAATAGGGTCAATGCAGTTGTACTTAGAAAATATATGGTCATATTGGAGCAGGGTGAGCCTCTAATCCAATATGACAGGTGCCCTTATAAAAAGAAAACAATTGAAAACACACATACATGAAGAACACTATGTGAAAAAGAAGGCACAGACTAGATGATACTTCTGCAAGCCAAGGGGCTCTGTGATTGCCAGCAAACCACCAGAAGGTAGAAAAGAGGCATGGAAAAAATTTTGTTTGTTTGTTTGTTTTCTCACAGCATTAAGAAAGAAGCAACCATGCTAATACTTTCACATCTGGAACTTCTAGATTCTAGAACTCTGAGCGAATCAATTTCTATTGTATATTCCACCTATTCTGTGATGCTTTTTTTTTTTTAACAGCAACCCATGAAAACAAATACAAACATTTTCAGCCCATATTTTTGAGTCAAGACTGACCAAGGCACAAAGTACATTAGGAGACAACACCACCTGAATGTTTGTTTCTAGAGTGTTACTTTATAGTCCAAGTATATTAAAACCTTGAGCATTAATATTAATACTAAATTATAAGGTTTCATTTACTGCCACAACAATATTCTATATGATAGAATTTTTTCCACAAGATTCTTATTTGTTATTCTAAATCCCCAAGGAAAAGGCATTCCCAATGGAACTTGATAATCTTAACAAAATACAAAAATACACTGTTGAGAATATCCCTATTTCGTTGATATAGGAGATAAAAAGAAATTATTTAGGCAGATAGTGAGGGTAAGGAAGTCCTCAGTAAGGTTTTCCTTTTAATGAAAGCAGCTCCAAAGTCATTTCTTTTCTATCAAAAAGCAACCTAAAACATCTAGCTGCAGGCATAGATAAGCAAGCTGGAAGCTTGCATAGGCGAATACCAGCAGTAATGCCAATAGGAAAGGGATACCTTAAAGCCAGGTATATTCAACATGGAGGTTTCCTCTTTCCTTTTCTTTGTCTCCACGTATGCAGACAACATCGAGCCAGATAAAGACTGCAATTGCATAAAGATGACGGTGGGATGGACGGCCTCTTCATTCACTAAGTAAATGGCACACCTGGTCCAACCAATCCACTGCACCCTGAGTAAATCAGACACTGCCTCCTCAAGCCAGTCTATAAATCCCCTTGCACTCTGCCATGGATGAAAAGTCCCACTTGAACACCCCTCTCTCTCTGCAAGAGAGAAAGATATTTTCTTTTCTCTTTCTTTCACCTATTAAACCTCCACTCTTAAACTCATTTCTTGTGTGTCCATGTCTTCAGTTTTCTTGGTGTGAGACAATGAACCTTGGGTGTTTCCCCAGACAAACAACACTGCTTCATTGTGGGGTCTTGCTCAGGATTGGAAGGTAAATTCATCAGAACGGTCAGTATAGGAGCAGACCTCAACTCTGTCCTTTCATTTTGAGGCTCTCGGCCTCCATTTTAAAATCAAATCAAACCAAATGCTGTGCTTCTGTCAACCATTTAAAAAATGATTAGCCTGGCTGCCAGCCTTACAAAACTCAAGGGAACGTCTGGCTAGGGAGAATACAGAGAATCCCCCAGTACACATGGTTACTGGGCATGTTGGCCATGCTTCAAACTGGTTTCCTTTCACAGAGGACGCAGCTGTTGCATGGGGCTAGAAGAGATTCTGAAGTAACTTAGGATTTCTGGTCAGTGCTATCCCCTGGTGCTATCTGAAGGCTTCTGGACAGAACCAAGCAAAGTCAAGGAAGTCAAAGGGGAATCACAAGTGGAGAACTAGGGCTGCATGGGTATGTGTGACTAAACACATTACTTAGTTCTTCCAGTTCCATAGCTGGTGGGGGGTTCACACCCAAAACCATGTGTGGCATATTTAACAGGTATCAGGACCTCAGGGAACTAAAGAGGGAAAATAGTTTGAGGGACATCTCCACTGTCTTCCCCTCCACCCTGGGTTACAACCAAAGGAAGGAGACTAAAAAGATGCTTTTTTTTTTCACTTCTGTTTATAGATGGGTAATAGACCATCTTTGGCCTGCATTCCTCTGGAGTGCATTCTGAAGCATGGGGCTTCCTTTTACCCCAAGACTTTGAAGAAAAAGGTGGCTCATTTTCTTTTGCACAAGGGGATGGCATTCTTACTAGATCTTTGCAAGCATTACAAAATCAACCCAGCTTTTTTAGCAGTCATATAAGGCAGGCCTATAGAGAATGATTCCCCAAAAGTAGTGAAGTAACTTCCAGGGGAACCATCTGAGGATCCCCCTTAGTTGGGGCCCCCTCAAGTTCCCTTCTCATTATAGAATTTATGTAAAGAAAGGGAGACCCCGCTAGGTATATAGAAGCTTTCTAAAATTTAATGCAGGTGTTTAACCTCACATGGAGGGATGTTATTCTGCTCCTAAACCAAACCCTCACCTAAGCTGAAAAACAAGCAGCTCTGTAGGCAGGAGAGAAATGCAGAGACAAGCAACATGTCTTCTATAGTAGACTGAAAAGGAAAAAAGGAGATAGGGCAGGTGAAGAAGGAATGGAAATACTATTCCTGATAGGAAAGAAAGCAGTTCCTTTTGACAACCTTGATGGAACTTCAATAGCTCCGCAAATGAATGGAAAAGGAAACACTTGTTTAATGTGCATATTGGAGGGCCCACAAAAAATTAGGACCAAACCTCTAAACCGTCCATAATAGACCAAAAGCCGGATGAGAATCCCACAGCTTTTATGGAAAGGCTGAGTGAGACACTAATAAAACACACCTCCTTATCCCCTGATTCAGTTTAGAGACAGCTCATCTTAAAGGACAAGTTTTTTACACAGGCAGTTGCTGATATTAGAAGAAAACTGCCAAAGCAGGCTATAGGAACAGATAGCACCTTGGAGAACCTCCTGAGGGTGGCCACTTTGGTCTTTCATAACAGGGATCAGGAAGAGGCCCAGGATAAAGAGAGAAAACACAAGAGAAGGACAGAGGTTCTAGTAGCTGCTTTGCAGGCTTGAAAAGTCCAGGATCCCCAAGGTGCATCCACTAGTTGCTATTGATGTGGCAAGTCAGGGCACTTTAAAAAGGAGTGCCCAAGCAGCAAATAAGAAAAAAGCCACATCAACCCTGTCTAGCCCGTGGTGGGGAACACTGGAGATCCAACTTCTCCCAGAGATGAAGGTTACCAGGTTCAGAACAAGTCTCCAGATGGTCCAACTGGACCAACAGACTAACAGGTCCCAGGGCTCAAACCCCTGACTCCAGTGGCTCAAACTGCCATCACAGCACAGGACCCTTGGGTGATTCTATAAATTGAAGGAAGTAAAGTAAATCCCCTTCTAGACACTAGAGCCAGTCTCTCCATTCTTTTCTCTAATCCAGGCTTCCGCTCTTCCTGTAGCACGACTGTGAAGGGTGTCTCAGGAAAAACTCTAATATTTTTCTCAACTCCTTAGCTGCAGTTGGGGGAACCTACTATTTACACATGCTTCCAAGCCATCACCACAGTGGCCCTACTGGTCCCAGAAACTGCCAAATTAACCTTGGGAAATAACTTGTTTAAACCCCATATAATGTGGCAGGATTACTGTCCTCCAAGGGGAGCCTTTCTCTAACAGACAGCCAGCTCCTTAAATATTAGGCTCTGCTGTTAGAGGGTTCCATCATCCAGTTCAAAACTTGTTCTCACCTAAACCCATCCACTTTTCTCCCTGAGGAAACGAGGGAACCTGACCATGGTTGTGAACAAGCTGTAATGCAAACCTATGCAGCCAGAGCTGATATCAAGGAAACTCCCCTAGAAAATCCAGACTGGACTCTCTTCACAGATGAGAGCTCTCTCGTAAATCAGGCAGTTCATAAGGCAAAATATGCAGTAGTCACTCTAAATAACATCATTGAAAGTGTGTGTCTCTCTCCAGGCACAAGTGCTCAATTAGCTGAACTGATAGCTCTTACAAGAGCACTTGAATTAAGTAAGGAAATGGTAGCTAACATTTACACTGACTCCAAGTATGCTTTCTTAGTTCTCCATGCTCATGCTGCCATTTGGAAGAAAAGACATCTTCTTACCATTAATGGATCCCCTATAAAATACCATCAGGAAATTAACAGGTTATTGTCATCAGATTTCCCTCCATGAAAGGTAGTACTGATGCACTGTAAGGAACATCAGAAGGAAACAGATGAAATAGCCAAAGGAAACAAGTTAGCTTATCAGGCAGCCAAGTCAGTAGCAAAGAAGCCTCAGGGCATCAAAACACTTGAAGCCCCTCTAATCTGGGAAGGCTTCATAAGAGAAATTAAGCCTCAGCACTCCCTTACAGAAATAGAACAGGCTACTTCTTCCAGGGTACAATTTAAAGCCCTCAGGATGGCTACAGTCAGAGAATGGCAAATTCCACTTGCCAGTTTCCAGCCAACAGAAAGTCCTTAAAATCCTTCACCAAGCTTTTTACTTGGGAAAGGATGAAGCTTATCAGTGTGCCCAGAGATTGTTTTCAGGAGAGAACTTATTAAGAACAGTCAAACAGGTTGTTAATGCTTGTGAAGTCTGTCTTAATAATAATCCCCTCAAGAGATGGCTCCTTCTTCCTCAAACCCAAAGGATAGAAAGCTATTTAGGGGAGGACTGGGAGATAGACTTCACTCAAATGCCAAACACAAAGGGCATCCTATGCCTTCCGGAATGGGTACATACTTTCAATAACTGGGTAGAAGCATTTCCATGCCATACAGAAAAGGCCTCTTAGGTAATAAAAGTGTTAATTAGTAAATTACTTCCCGTTTTGATCTACCTATGTACCTCCGAAGTGACAATTGCCCCTTGTTTAAGCCAGCAGTCACAAAAAGGGTCTCAAATGCACTAGGCATACAATATCATCTCCATTGTGATTGGAGACCCCAGTCCTCAGGAAAGGTAGAGAAGACCAATGATATTATCAAAAGACACCTCAGAAAATTGTCCCAAGAAACTCACCTTCCTTCATTCACTCTTCTTTCCATGCCCTTACTTCATGTTAGAAATACCCCTTTAAAATTAGGTCTGAGCCCTTTTGAGATGCTGTATGGATGGCCTTTCTTTACCAATGATTTTTTTTTAGACCAAGATACTTCTGAATTGGTTAAGCATATGACCTCTTTGGTCACTTTGAAAGGAATTTACTCAACTAGCAAAAGCCAAACCCCAAGAAATAGGATGGCATTTATTTAACCCAGGATGTTTGATATTGGAAAAGGCTCTCCCTTCTATCTCTCTCTCCCTAAACCCAAGCTAGGATGGGCCTTATGCCATTTACCTTTTAATCCCCTCAGCAGTAAAAGTTTAGGTATCAACTCCTGAATACATCACATCTTACTCAAAGCCTGGAAAGCTGAGAGAGCAACCCCTGACAGCCCAGAGGAAGTGAAGAAGTAGGAGATCTTAAGCTGAAAATCATAAAAGATAAGTAAGTTAATAAGGGGTACTTATCCTACTCAGTCCCACTTCTGCCTTACCAGATACTTTCAGTTATTTCTACCTTTTCTCTCGAGATTTGTCACCAGATATTAGAGCTTCTTTTTGACGCATATATGCAGGGAGATTTTAATTATTCATGGGATTGCATTTGTAACTTTTAGACCCCCAAGGGGAAATGTTATATCTTGGCAAGTAAAATTTTAGGTGGAAATTTTCTACTACACCACACTTGCAGGAATTGCTATACACACTCTACTATTTGCATTAGGGTTATACATAATAACACCTTCTAACTGGAATACCAGACAGAGAGTTTCCATTACTGTAGTATTTTGCTTAATTATTATCCTTTTAGCAGGGGTAATGGTCACCAACAAAAAAGAGCATGAAAGTTTTACTATCACTGAGTCTGCTAGAGCTTTTTATTGGGTTTGGTAATATGTCACACCCTAGCTATGCAAAGAAGGTTATAAAGAGAAGAGATTTTATATAAAAAAGGATCCTGTATGGTAAACACCTGTCCTAAAAAGATAATTAGTTGTTTAAAAAGAGGGATATTTAGGACAAGTCAGAAAGTTTAAGCATGTCATAGATGGTATGTGGAAGTTGTGGAATTATTAATAATTGCAGGAGAGATTTAGCCAAGGTTAACACTACAGTTACTCTAGCAACCAAATAACGTATTTCTCCCAATATATTGCAAGTTATAAAAGATGGCCTATACCTGAAATTATTCCCTAATGGCAAGTCAAGGGGGGATTATATGTTTTTCTCAAAGAAAAATATTACTTTTATATCAACACTTCTGGTAAAGTACAGCAACATCTGGTGGAGGCAAACCAGTATTACAGCCCATCGGAATGGCTGACAGGTATCAAACTCTACTGCCATGGTTGTGGCCTATAGTACCCACACTAATAGTGGTAATCTTAATACTTATATTTAAACTAAAATTTCTCTCTTGTTGCATAGAAACAATCAAACTCCAAATGGTGCTGCAGAAAGAACCATGGATAGACATGCATTTCTTCCAAGGACTCTTAGATAGATCCCAGAAGGAGCCCTAGCCACTGTTTCCCACACAACACCCCTTTTCAGTGGGATGTAGCCAGAAAGAGCCAGTAGCATCCAACACCTCTAATAGCAGTTAGAGTTACCACTCCTGATGGGGGGAATGATATAGGAGTTAAAAAGAAATTGATTAGGCAGATAGTGAGGGTAAGAAAGTCTTCTGTAAGGTTTCACTTTTAATGAAAGCAGCCCCAAAGTCATTTATTTTCTAACAAAAAGCAACCTAAAAAATCAAGCTGCAAACATAGATAAGCAAGCTGGAAGCTTTCACAGATGAATGTTGGCAATGGTGCCAATAGAAAAGGAATACCTGGAAGCCAGGTATATTCAACATGGAGGTCCCCTCTTCCCTTTTATTTGTTGCCACATGTGCAGGGAACATGATACCAGCCAGGTAAAGACCGCATTTGCATAATAAAAGATTAGGGTGGTATGGCCAGCCTCTTCATGCACTATCTAAATAGCACACCTGGTCCAACAAATCCACTAATCCCTATGTAAGTTAGACACTGCCTTCTCAAGCCAGTCTGTAAAACTCCATGCACCTCACTGTGGACTGGAAGTCCTACTAAGGAGCTCCTCTCTCTCTGCAGGAGTGAAAGCTATTCTCTTTTCTCTTTCTTTCATCTATTAAACAACCGCTCTTAAACTCATTTCTTGTGTGTTCATATCTTCAATTTCCTTGGCATGAGACAATGAACCTCAGGTATTTCCCTAGACAAACAGCACTGCTTCATTATTAAAAGAGAAGAACGGCTGGGCACCATGGCTCACACCTGTAATCCCAGCACTTTGGGAGGCCGAGGGGGGTGGATCCCTTGAGGTCAGGAGTTCGAAACCAGCCTGGACAACATGGTGAAATCCCATCTCTACTAAAAATACAAAAATTAGCTGGGTATGTTGGTGGGCACCTGTAATCCCAGCTACTCAGGAGGCTGAGACTAGGAGAATCGCTTGAACCCAGGAGGCAGACGTTGCAGTGAGCTGAGATCACGCCGCTGCACTCCAGCCTGAGCAACAGAGTGAGAATCTGTCTCAAAATAAATGAATAAATAAGTAAGAAGAAATAGTTATCTCAAATGCTTAGTTTTTAGCAAACATCTTAGTATAAAAAGCTATATCAACTTGAAATCCAAATCATGTGACTCCATTGCTGTTTGTTCTCAGTGCCTAATTCAACTTGACCACCTTAGATATAGATGCTAATTCTATTAACATTATAATGCAGCCCTAGATTCTTCATTTTCCCAGCTTAGTTAAATTAACTATACAAATTAAGCCAATAGGCTGACCTAAAAATTTGAAGAGACTAAGATGTTTCAAACAACTTAATTAGTGGTAACTAATAGTGACAGATCTCTATGACCACTGATATATTATAAGATTCATACACTGTATGATGCTAAAAATGTTTGGTGAATGAAGGAATGGTGATAAGAGGCAAGGAAAACACATAGATTCTCAATGCTTTACTTAAATTATTTATCAAACAATTTATGTATGTGTTGTTCACGTTCATTGTATATTATTAGGTGTTGTGTCAATGCCTTCAGCATCTATATCTTTAGTTGTGTTGTAGAAATTATTTCTGTGGGCTGGGCATGGTGGCTCACCCAGGAGATAGAGACCATACTAGCCAACATGGTGAAACCCTGTATCTACTAAAAATACAAAAATTACCTGGGTGTGGTGGCTCATGCCTGTAGTCCCAGCTACTTGGGAGGCTGGGGTAGGAGAATTGCTTGCACCCAGGAGGTGGAGGTTGCAGTAAGCCGAGTTTGTGACACTGTACTCCAGCTTAGCAACAGAGCCAGACTCCAAAAAAAAAAGAAATTACTTCTGTGATACAGAGTGTAAGAAACTCCATTGTATGTTTTAAATTAGAATGTTTGTTTTCTGCTAACATTATAAGAATAAAATAATAATCAGCTGGGACCATTTTCAGGGGTTGGCAGCCTATGTACTGCCACATTCCACATTTGGGCCATTGCTTGTTTTGTAAATAAGATTTATTAGAGTACAACCATGTCCATTTTTTTATGCATTGTCTAAATCTGTTTTTGTGCTACAACTACAGAAATGAGTCATTGCCTCAGAAACTATATGGCTTGAAAATTGTAAAATATTATTTACTGTCTGGCTCTTTAAAGAAAAATTTTACCAATCACTGCCATATATTACAACATTAATATTGATTATCTCACACAACAGAGTCAATTTTTAACTCTGCTTTAAAGTACAGTGGTTAACAAAGCAGGCTTTTACCTTATATCACATAATAAATTCTGACTAAGCAGCAAGTGTGCTCTATGACCCTTGTTAAATTGTTATTTTTTAATTTCATTATTTGAAAATTAAGGGAAGAATACTGTAGACTGTTTACTCATAGATTGTTCATAGAACTTAATATACCCATACAAAAGTATTAGCCTAGCACCTACCACTCAGTAGATACTCACTACAAACTAGTTTATAATAAGAAAGTTGAACTCAAATTCAGTCTTCTTTATGAGGCTTTTATGACCCACTCTGGGAATGGTTTGTAATCTTGACTTTTAAGCATGTGGTTGTATTCTAATTATTTCAATTTTTGTAATAATAGCTTGTTATTGAAAGTTTAAGCATTTCAGTGGTATAATCTATGTCCTCAGATAATAAAAATAAATACTCAAACTCTCTACCAAACATAATTAAGGAAAAGAAGACACAGGTCAACTAGTGAAGTTTATCTAGGAAAAATCCAGGAGGATCTTTTATTTTAGTTTCTTAGCAACTGAAAACGTTCTAGTTGGTATTGGATAGTTGAAGTGACATATTTGTTAAGTTCTAGGATAGAATTTTTAAGGAGATAAAAAGGGGGATGGACAACAAATTGGGTTCAAAGAAAAAAAGAAATTTATTGTGTACAATTTCATGTTATTGTTCTCATTTGCATTATAAATATCTATTTAAAAATCCAATATTAATAATATGTTGAAATAAAATAATGCATTTTTAAGTCACTCACAAAAACAAAATATGTTCTAAGCTAGCTTAAAAATGAGCTACTACATAACTATTATTACCTTAATGCTCTGATCAAATTCTTATCATATTAATGATGTAATTATGTAGCAATAAAATTATGGCATGATTAAGTTTCTATAACTTACTCAAAATCTGAAATGTGAGCAATGAAGACAAATATAATATGTTTAGATATATTTCAATATGATATAATACTGAATTTCATGATTAAAATGGTGATATACCCATGAGATAAAATGCATTCTATGAATATTATTTTCTCCAGAACAATATAATTTTATTAGAAGTTTTCCTATTCTAAAGGGAGAGCATACTCCTAATTTATATTTTCAAAAAAAATACACTTTATTTTACAGCACATGTTTGAAACTGTAAATTGAACATATGTGTACAAACAAATACAGTGTGATGGAAAAAGAAAGTCAAATTTCAATTTAGTGAAAAGAAGAATGTAATTTTCTTAAGGCAGTGATGGTAAGCAGTTTGGTGTCACAAATAATATTTTACAACAATCTATCTTAAGCCACATGGCTGTAAATTTAATGCTGTTATTTAAAATGACATAAAAATAAACACAATAGAGTCTATAGCTAATATTTAAAATGGTAAGCCCCTGTTCCAAAACATTAGATTTTTTTATTATTCAAAGTATTTTTTTGCACTCATAATGACAAGGAAATCTTAGTTTTGGTTTCATTATATCCATAACACATATTTCTGGCATTTTATTCTCTGATTTTTCACTTTTAAAAACAGATAAATAGTCACCTGGTCTTATTTACTTACATTAAAACTACCAGATGATACATAGAGTATAGACCAAGAATGCTAAAGAGAAAGAGAAACTTGATTATATTCTCTTTGTGATTATATTCTATCCACATTACAAGATACATAAAATTCAAAAATTTTATTATGTGGATCTATGTTATATCAACTTTAATAAAATGACAAATTTGCACAAATAGTGCCATGGTTGAATGTTTGAATCCAAATTTTACCTCCTAGTTACAGTGCTGGATTTTTTTATCTAGCCAAAGTAACAAAGGGTACTTATAATTTTATTCATGAAAAATTAATGAATACTGAACACATTCTCCAACCATAAAAACAAACAACAGAAAACTATACAACTGGAAAATACTTAAAGCAACTGTTTTCAGGAATTAGATAGCAAACAACACAGAACTGTTGTCTTTGAGTGTAACAATTAGATAAGCTCAAATGTATTAGTCAGTTCTCCATAAGGACAGAACGAATAGGATATATATATATAAATATATATATTTAAATATATATTTAATTTAATAATTTAAACATTTAAATATATATTTAATTAAATAATTTAAACATTTAAATATATATTTAATTAAATAATTTAAACATTTAAATATATATATTTATATATTTTATATATAATGAATAATTTAAATATATATTTATATATTTATATATTTTAGAAATAATTTAAATATATATTTATATATTTATATATTTTAGAAATAATTTAAATATATATTTATATATTTATATATTTTAGAAATAATTTAAATATATATTTATATATTTTAGAAATAATTTAAATATATATTTATATATTTATATATTTTAGAAATAATTTAAATATATATTTATATATTTATATATCTTAGAAATAATTTAAATATATATTTATATATTTATATATTTTAGAAATAATTTAAATATATATTTATATATTTTAGAAATAATTTAAATATATATTTATATATTTATATATTTTAGAAATAATTTAAATATATATTTATATATTTATATATCTTAGAAATAATTTAAATATATATTTATATATTTATATATTTTAGAAATAATTTAAATATATATTTATATATTTTAGAAATAATTTAAATATATATTTATATATTTTATTAATAATTTAAATATTTATTTATATATTTTATTAATAATTTAAATATATATTTATATATTTATATAATATAAATAATTTAAATATACATTTATATATATATTTACATATATTTTATATATATATATATATAAAAGGGAGTTTATTAAGAGGTATTAACTCAAATGATCACAAGGTCCCACGATAGGCCATCTGCAAGCTGAGGAACAAGGAAGCCAGTCCTAGTTCCAAAGCTGAAGAACTTGGAGTCTCATGTTTGAGGGCAGAAAGTATCCAGAATGGAAGAAAGATGTAAGCTAGGAGGCTAATCCAGTCTAATATCTCCACATTTCTCTGCTTGCTTTTTATTCTGGCTGCACTGGCAGCTGATTAGATGGTGCTCACCCAGATTAAGTGTGGATCTGCCTCTCTCAGTCCACTGACTCAAATGTTAATCTCCTTTGGCAACATCCTCACAGACACACCCAGGATCAATACTTTGCATCCTCAATCCAATCAAGTTGACACTCAGTCTTAACCATCAAAAGACCACTCTTTGTCAAGTTGGACCCATACAAGTCTCCTGAGATCATACATAATCTTCAAATAAAAACAGTAAGACCATAATTATGCGTAACATGATACAGCTCTTCTTCATACAACCAGAAATGTACCTATCCCCAATTCAAATGCTATTACATAAAGTTAACAACACTTAAATGCTGATACGCAGTCAATAAATCTTATGTCACATGATAAAGGAAAAAGGAAATAAAATGAAGATATTTCCTTAATACAAGTGTATACATGGCACAAACATGTTTTTTAACAAAAGAAGAAGGAAATACTCATGACAATTACAGTCTTTGTTTCTGAAACTGGTCATGTGGTCATAGCTAGTATTAATGACTACCTTCTTCTCTGTATTCCCTTTGCCATCAGCAAGCACCTCAGGAGGTCGTGGTTTTTTCCTGGTAGAATGACCCAGACTTTCATTCCTGAAGTGTCTGGGTCATTTACAGTCCTGCCTGGATTGGGTTGTTGTAGTTTCTTTTTGATCTTAATCAGAGGGGTTGGTAATACTAAGATATGCCCCAAGAGATCTCCTGTATGCCACACATACTCTTCCTTACCTACATTGTGGAGTAATCAATTTCATCTTGATAGTCTGGGTCAATCACCCCAGCCAACACTTTAACTCTCTTCTTAGCCTGTTTACTTGAAGGTAGGAGGAGTCCAAAGTGTCCGGGTGGCAGTCTTGACTGCCAGTTTAATGGAATCATTGATATGTCTCCTGGTGGCAGTGTTCCTCCCTCTGGAACTAAGAACTCTAGTCCAGCAGAACACAATGTTGTGGGAAAGGGAAGCAAAAATTTTGTTAGTAGATCACTAGGCTTGACAAGGAGTGGTGCCACATCCACTTCCACCCCTTGATTTCTGAACCCATGGATCCTGGCTTTGGGAGAAACAGAGTACCATATATCATACACTGATTTTCCATGATTTCAGTTTTTTTCTCTACAGGAGATAAGACTTTCACTCAGGGCAATCTTAGCAGATTTGAGGCTCAGCATCTGGTTCTGAAGTTGAGAGTTAGAATCCCTGAGTTCATCATTTTTTTCCATCGCTTTGTCCAGTGAACTTAGGAGCAACAAACCAACTTCATTATGTTCCTTGTTTCTCCACATATGGTCAAAGGTATTACATATAGAGTCACTAAACTCCTTGCCTCTCATAAGCAGTGAATCAGGGGTGTCAAATTCATTTATTTTGCATAACTCTCTAAACAGTTCCCACTAAGGACTCTCAGTGTTCTCCATACTATTAGAAGTAGAGTCCTTAGTATTTTGGGGTCTAATCATATTAAGTAGCCAACTCCAGAAACCCTAAAAGCAACAAAAGAACTTCATCCTTAATATTCTGTTCCTCTAGTACTACTCCTGGTACCAAAATCTGTATTAGTCAGGACTGTCTAGAGGGACAGAACTAATGGACTATATCCATATATATAGAGATAGATGATGATAGATAGATAGATAGACAGACAGATATGAGAGTTTATTAAGAAGTGTTAACTCACATGATCACAAGTTTCCACAATAGGCTGTCTTCAAGCTAAGGAGCAAGGAAGCCAGTCCAACTTCCAAAGCTGAGGAACTTGGAGTCCCATGTTCAAGGGCAGGAAGTATCCAGCACCAGAGAACGATATAGGCTGGGAGGCTAAGCCAGTCTAATCTCTCCACATTCCTCTGCCTGCTTTCTATTCTGCCTGCAGGGACTGAGGATTGGTCTGCCTCCCCTAGTCTACTGACTCAAATGTTAATCTTCTTTGCCAACACCCTCACAGACAAACCCAGGAACAATACTTTGCATCCTTCAATCCAATCAAGTTGACACTTAGTATTAACCATTGCATCAAATAAACACTAGCTTTCTACTGGGGAGGTGGGGGCATTCCAGAGTGGCATAGAGAAGTAAACCCCAAACAGAGAGTAGGAGTCCAGAAAAGCGGAGAAAACAGAGACTAGTGATTGGGCCTAGAAGGCAGATCAACTATAGGAGGCAAAAACATGGAGATGTGCCACAAAAACAAAAGTCCTTCTTTTCTAAAGGAAGATAAGAGAATTCAGAATCTCAACAATGTAGCATTGTGACAGTTAATTTTATGTGTCATTTGAGTGGGTCACAGGGGTGGCCACATTAAATATTGTTTCTACATGCGTCTGTGAGGGTGTTTCTGGGCGAGATTAGCATTTGAATTGGTAAACTTAGTATATTGCCTTCACCATCGAAGTTGGGCCTCATCACATCCACTGAGGGCTTGAATAGAACAAAAGGCAGAGTAAGAAGGACTCCTTTTCTTTACCTTCACTGTTGAGCTGGGACATCTCATCTCAGCTCTATGCTCTCAAACTGGAATTTACATTATTGACTCCTCTAGTTTTTAGGCCTTTGGACTGAGACTGAACTATACCACTGGCTTTCCTGGATGTCCAGCTGTCAGATTGCAGATTGTGGCACTTATTCTCCATAATCATGCGAGCTAATTCCATATTTATATAATTATATATGTGTATAACATATATATATGTGTGTGTGTGTATATATATATATAGAATTAGCTCTCATGATACATGATATATATATATATGCATATATTAATCACCCACATGTATTCACATACACACACACAACACAAACATATCTCGGAGACATTGTGGCTTCTATTTCATATCACCATAATAAAGCAAATATTGCAGTAAAGCCAAACACACAAATTGTTTAGTCTCCTAGAGTATATAAAAGTTATATTTATACTATATTATAGATTCTGAAGTGTGCAATAGCATTATGTTTAAAAGAAAAATATATATACTTCAATTATTTAAAAACTTTATTGCTAAAAAATGCTAGCGATCATTTGAGCCTTCAGCAAGTGTAAACTGTTTGCTGGTGGCGTAACCTGCCTTGATGTTGATAGTTGCTGAATGATCAGGATAGTGGTTGCAAAAGATTGGGGTGGCTGTGAATTTTTTTTAAAATGTAAGACAACAGTGAAGTTTGCTGCATCAGTTAACTCTTCCTTTCATAAATGGTTCTTCTGCAGCATTCTGTGCTGTTGCATAGCATTTTACAAGCAGTAGAACTTCTCTCAAAATAGAAGTTAATCTTTCATATACTGCCACTACTTTATTTACTAAGTTTGTGGAATATTTCAAATCCTTCGTTATCATTTCAACAATGTCTACGGTGTCTTCATCAGGAGTAAATTCTTCTCAAAAAATCACTTTATTCGCTCATTCATAAAAAGCAACTCCTCATTCATTGAAGTTTTATCATGAGATGGCAGCAATTCAGTCACATCTTCAGGCTCAACTTCTAATTCTATTTCTCTTGCCATTTCTACCACATCTGCAGTGAGTTCCTCCACTGAAGTTGTGAACCCCTCAAAGTCATTCATGAGGGTTGGAATCAACTTATTCCAAACTCCTGTTAATGCTGATATTTTGACCTCCACTCATGAATCATAAATGTTCTAGAATGGTATCTCGAATAGCAAATTCTCCCCAGAAGGTTTTCCATTCCCTTTGACCAGATTTATCAGTGAGATCACTAACTTTATAAAATATATTTCTTAAATAATAAGACTTGAGGGTCAAAATTACTATTTGACATATGGGATGGAGAATGGATGTTGTATTTGTGGGCATGAGGTTAACGTTAATCACCTTTCACATCTCCGTCAGAGCTTTTGAATGGCCAAGTACATTGTCAATGAACAGTAATATTGTGATAGGAATCTTTTTTTTCTGAGCAGTAGTTCTCAAACAGGGCTTCAAATACTCAGTAAATCACGCTATAAACGTAGGTGCTGTAATCCAGACTTTGTTGTTCCATTCATAAAGCACAGGCAGAGTAGATTTAGGATAATTATTGAGAGCCCTAGGATTGTCAGGATGGTAAATGAGTATTGGTTTCAACTTAAAGTCACCAACGGCATGAGGCCCTAATCAGAAATTCAACCTTTCTTTTGAAGTTTTAAAGCCAGGCATTGACTTCTCCTCTCTAGCTAGGAACGTTCTAAATGGCATCTTCTTCCAGTAGGAAGTTCTTTTGTCTAAAAGGAAAATCTGTTATTAAGTGAAGCCATCTCCATCAATGATCTTAGCTATATCTTCTGGATAACTTGCTGCAGCTTCTAAATTCACACTTCCTGCTTCACCTTGCACTTTCATGTTATGGAGATGGCTTCTTAAACCTATGAACCACCTATACTACCTTCAGACTTTTCTTCTGCAGCCTCCTCAACTCCCTGAGATGTCACAGAATTTAAGAAGTGAGGGCTTTGCTCTGGATTAGGCTCTGGCTTAATCGAATGCTGTGGCTGGTTTGATCTATCCAGACCACTAAAACTTTCTCCATACCAACTATAAGCCTGTTTTGCTTTCTTATCATGTGTGTATTCTCTGGAGTAGCACTTTTAATTTCCTTTTGTATCCACAGCACGGCCAGCTCTTTGACACAAAAGGGCTAGCTCTTGACCAATCTCAGCTTTAAATATGCTTTCCTCACTACACTTAATAATTTCTATCTTTTGATTTAATGTAAGAGATGTGAAACTTTTTCTTTCATTTGGACAGTTAGAGGCCATTGTAGGGTTATTAATTGACCTAATTTTAAGATTGTCATGTTTCAGGGAATAGGTTGGCCCAATGAAAGGCAGAGAGATAGGGGAACAGTTGATCAATGGAGAAGTCAGCACACAAACAACACTTATCCATTAAGTTCACCATCTCATATGACAGTGGTACAATCACTCCCAAACAATGGTAATAGTAACATCAAAAATCACTGATCTCAGATAACCATAATTGACATAACAGAAATAAAAAAGTTTGAAGTATTATGAGAATTACCAAAATATAACATAGATACATGAAGTTAGCACAATGTGTTGGAAAAATAGCTCCTATAGTCTTGTTCAATGCATGGTTCCCACAAGCCTTCGGTTTGTAAACAGAATCTCCTAGTGGTTCTGTTTTTCTGGAGAACACTGACTGACAAAAGTGTCTAGTACACCAAGCATAAAACCAGTGTGTAATGTATACAAAGAAAGGCAAAAAATATATACAAGAAAAAGGAAACAATCGCAGAGACAAAATGAGAAGTGATACAGATGTTAGAATTAATAAGTAACTTAAACTAGGCATTATAAATAGGTTTATTGATATAACAGAAAAAAAGAATATTATGAGTAAAGAAAAGGATAATATTAACACAGAAATAAAAAGTTTAAAAATGTATCAAGTGGACAATGTAAGTGGGAAAAAATAAAATATCTGAAACAAAAATACCATTAGATGCACTTAGAAAAGATTAAAAGCTGCATGAGAAATGATCAATTGCATAGGAAATAGAAAATTTGCAAACAAAAGCATAAAGATGTAATAAATCTTTTAAAAAGAGAAATAAATAAGAAAAATAAAGTAAATGAACAGCGTCTCAATGGCTCATGGGATTATATTAAGACGTCTAACACTTTGTAATTGGAGTCCTGAAAGAAAATTAGAGAAGTAAAATATTGGTACAGAAAAATATTGAATGAAATAATGGCTCCAAAGTTTTCAAACTTGTTTAGAAATGTTAACATACAGATCTAATAAGGTAACTGAACCCAAGGCTGTACAAACATAAATATATATAATCCACACCAAGGCATATCAGACCCAAATTATAATAAGCAAAAGAGAGAGAAAAAAAGAAAAAAAAAACACCAATAAGAGAAAAAAGAAACCCTGTAAAGAGGGGAATGATAAATATGACTGTTGAATTTTCATCAGAAACAATGGAAGTAAGAAAACAACCAATGCCACCTCTTAGCTTCTGGTCGGGAGGACATCAACCTAGAAGTTTACATGAAACCAAAATATCAGTTTTCAAAAAGTGAAAAATAAAGATGCATTATGATAAACAAAATATGAATGAATTTAAAATGAGAGAAAAAAGTTGAAAAACTGTTCATATTAAAGGGTGTGATACTAGAGAGAAAATAAGATTTACTGAAAGAATAATATTTACTAGAAATGATACATAGGTAAATATAATGCAGTTTTTTTCTCATCTTAATTTCTTTAAATGTAAATCAACATTGAAGAAAACATAAGAATGTACTTCTAGGTGTATAATGTGTGTGAAATTAATGTATCTAAGAGTTCCCTTTTCCCCACATTCTCACCAGTGTCTATTTTGTCTTTTAAAGAATAGCCATTCTAACTGGGGTAAGATGATATCTCACTGCAGTTTTGATTTGCATTTCTCTAATGATAAGTGATGTTGAGCATTTTTTCTCATGTCATTCTTGAACATTTGAATGCCTTTTTTGGATAAATGTTTACTCATATCCTTTGTCCACTTTTTAATGGAATTATTTGTGTTTTTTTTTACTGTTGAGTTATTTTGTATAGTCTGAATATTAAAAGTCTATATGTAAATGAAAATGACCTAACACAATATCTGAGGCCTTACACTGCCTTATTTCAAGAATTATTGTGTGACAGAGTAATCAGATTGTGTGGTATTGGTGCAAAAATTAAAAAATAGATCAACAGAACTAAAAAAACTAAGTAGATAATACAGAGATAGATCAGCACCATATAGTCAGTTCAAAAGCACTAACCATTAAACAAAACAACAAACAATTTAAAATTAGGCTATATCTCATTATAAAATTTCTTGTCATTAGAAAACACCATTAAAATACCATATCTTAGGGAAATATTTATTGTAGCTTTTCAGACTATATAGAGCGAAAGGTGCAAATAGATATTATGCAAAGTTATATATGCTATGTGAGTTTATCATTTGACATCAGGGAAGTGCAAATTAAAACACAATGTGATATATTATAAAATCTGTAGAAAGGCTAAAATTATTTTTAAATGTCTAGTAACACTAGATTTGTTTGGTGAGATTATGGAGCATCCAGAACTCTCATATACAGCTGGAGGTAAGGTAACATGTGCAATGACTCTGGAGAAAGTTTAGGCAGAGTTTTGCAAATTAGATGTAAACATCCTTTATAAGACAGCCATTCAGTCCTAGAAATTCATCCAAGAAAAATTAAAACACATGTTCCAAGCATATTCAAGAAGATTAATACTGTCTCTTCTCATAACAGATGCAAGCTAGCAACAACACAAATATCTATCAATGGAGCATGCATAAATAAATTGAAGCATTTTTAAAATAATAAATGAAATATTATCTGGCAATGAAAAGCAATGAGCCATGGACACATAAACATCATAAATGAATCTCCAAGACATTATGTATAGAGAAAGAATCTGGACACATGTATACACACACACAGGCACACACATCTACTTTGATATGAGTCAGAAAAATAGTTTCCTTTGGTGAGAGGAGAGGGCTGCTTGGGGAGTATCACCAGTAACCTTTCTTTGTTGACAGAGGCATTTGCTGATCAGGATATGACTTACACTGGCATATGCATTTGTCCAAACTCTTTGAACTGTACATTTAAGATTTATGTATTCCATTACTTGCGAATTTTACTTAATTTTTTGCACATGAAAAATTATATTACTGGAAATAATATTAATTCATGTTGCTGACTGGGACTTTCAGAAAAGAAAGAGTAATTTTCACTTCTCCTCCAGATTGAGAGATATTTACTAAGGAGAATACTGGAGAGAGATCTGCCTTCCAACTTCTCGTTTTGTGAGATGGGTGGGATACTGCTTTCTTTCTGGTCCTTTCCTCCTTTCAATCCCTTTCTTGCTGAAGTTATAATAATAAGGGAGCAAGTAAGTAATAGATTTACACTTAAATACATGAGTTTGTGCCATTTTCCCCAGTAATAATTGGGCCATTATTACTTTCTCTTGTGTGTCATCATTCTGATAATCTCTTCCTATCTTCCTTTCTCTTCCATAATTTATTTTTAACAAGAAAAAGTTAACGTTCAACTTTCATAAAAGCTCTTTATACTTTTTCATTCTGCAAATATTCCTTCTCCATCAGTGTCACACATACTCATTATACTATTCCAAGAGGCAGTAATTGTTGGGTAATTATATACAAATCCTACATAATATTTTAATGCTTTATAATTTAAAGACATGTTTATGCTTTCTTTTTTCTTGACTCCTGTAACAGTACAAGGACTGCTTTAGTTGATTAAGAAATAGTTTTTATCGCAAACTTGTGACAAATTCAACAAGTAGTAAGTAGAAGATCATGAATTTGAATAAACTTGGGATAAAAAGGAGAAGGTAAAAACGTGAATCTTTGCTTCCAACATAGAAAAATTCTTCTCAATAAAAGGTCAAATAAAATGGATACATAAGAAAATAGCATATGCTGCCTAATGCTTTTTGTCATAAGAACCAGAACGCTGGATATTGGTAGATACGATGAGTATGCAGTGGTTATCCCAGAGGTAAATCAGTTGGAAAGATTATAGGTTATGTAATCCTATAGAACAAGTAAATTGCATTTTGATCTTAATCCTGTAGCCACTTTTAAGCTTGTGTTTTGGTTTGTCTCGTGGATCTCCTGAAATCATCTTACCTTATCAAGTTTGGCTCAACAACCTGACATTTATTTCCAAATCCATGTCTCATATACTCGCTCTGCTTAGTAATTTATTGTCTTCTTTGTTTATATCTTTGAATAATATTCTTAGCCTTGGACAACACCCTTACTCAAGTTAATTCTGTCATAGTGACTTTGCAGAAAATTTGTAAAGAAGTC
Source organism: Homo sapiens (assembly GCF_000001405.40). Lineage (NCBI taxonomy): Eukaryota > Metazoa > Chordata > Mammalia > Primates > Hominidae > Homo > Homo sapiens. The sequence goes on along the minus strand of NC_000012.12, from coordinate 60,629,655 downwards.
TTTATTTTCTCAGGATTAGACTGCTTGAATAAAGTGTAAAAAATTTTGGATTTAAAACAATTAGCTACAGTTATTAATTGATATTTTGTCATTTATTCATCATGTTCTGTGATATGAAATTAGAGTTTGGTTCATACTGTCAACTTCATTTAGAGTTATGGGTTAGGAACCATATAGTTTTATGTAAATTTTAGTATATAAAGCTAGGCTACATCAAAAAATGAAGTATGGTACTTGGGGGGAAATAAGCCTTGATTTAGGTCTCAGGAACAATAAAAGGAAGTGTATATAAAAAGAACAAGTTACATGAGCAACTGTATTCTATGACTGATTTTATTCCTAGCTTCTCCATCTGTAAAACTAGGGGGCTGAATTTTTAAATGACCTCTACAGGCTCTTTGAATTCAAAAATTATGTAATCTGATTTCATGTAATTCATCAATTTTATTTTCACAAGTAAACTACTACTCTCACTTATCTATCATTTTTTTCTGATTAAGCTAACAACTTTGTTGAGAACACAAAATCTTGGTGCAGTTATATAAATTCATGCAAAATACTTGAGATTAAGGGTAATACATTCCCTTTGAGAAACCTGAGGTGATAAAATAGAGTAGCTCTGCTTATCTAACAGGGATACATTCCAGGACCCCCAGTGGATGCCTGAAGCTGCAGATAGTATCAAACCTATATACATATATTGACTTTCATATACCTCACACCTCTGATAAAGATAATTGATAAATTAGGCACAGTAAGAACTTAACAACAATAGTTAATAATAAACTAGAACTATTATAACAATATATTGTAATAAAAGTAATGTGAATGTACTCTCTCTCTCTCTCAAGATGTCTTATTGTATGTAATATTTTCAGAACACAGTAACCATGGGTAATTAAAACCATGAAAGCTGAAATCACAGATAAGGAGGACTACTGCAATATAGTATGATGGTGTGTCAAATTAGATTTTAAGCCTTTTTCTTGAAACTAAAAATTAAGTTCCACAGTGATTTACAGAATAATGTATTAGAATTTTATTTTCTTATGCTTAAATTACATCTACAGCAGATCAGTATTTTTGCTTGCTAATTTGTTGATGTTATTGCCGTTTTTGTTGTTTTAACATTATATTCTTGGAGACCCAATCAAGATTTGGCTGCATAATCATAGTTGTCCAAATTTTGCTATCATGTATTTTTCTCTATGCATGACTTTCTTTGATTGAGCTTTAATTTAGTTTACTTTTATTACAAAATTTGGCACTTTACCAAGTATTTTCTATTTCTAATCATTTTAAACCCTCATACATCAAATAAAAGCTGTTTGGGGCTGGGCATGGTGGCTCATCCCTGTAATCCCAATAGTTTGGGAGGGATAAGCAGGAAGATGACTTGAAGCCAGGAGTTCAAGAAAAGCCTGAGCAACACAGTAAGACCCCCATCTCTACAAAACAGTGAACAAAAGTTAGCTGGATATAGTGTCATACTTGTAGTCCCAGCCACCCACAAGGCTAAGGCAGGGAGATCACTGGAGCTCAGGAGGTCAAGGCTGAAGTGAGCTCTGATTGCACCACTGCACTCCAAGTTGGGTAAAAGAGGGAGACCTTGTCTCTAAACAATAATACAATAATAAATAATAAAACCATTTCCTTTTCTCTCCTTGAAACCAACAACTTCAGTATATTTATGTGTACATCAGTAGTTATCTCTCATTGAGATGACATTCAGAAAGTTCTTCTAATGGTTCAAACATTGTATTTATATCTCCCATAGCTACAAATTTACTTATACTGATGCTAAGAAATATTGTTAAAGATTAGCATAACTATCTTTATGGCTTGCCTTGTTACAATTTTTATCCAACTGCAATACATTATTAAGCATTGTTAATTGAAAGGAATTTTATTTAAAAACCTTGGAAGTTTAAATTTTGCTCAGCAGCAAATATGGCTCACAATTTCCAAAGGCTTTCATTGTTTTAATGTCAGGCTAAGTTCTTAGCAAGGCCTACCATGTATACACAGAAATAAAGTAGATTAGAATGCTGTGTTTGCCTTCCATATTAACAGAATGACCACCCATTAGAGTGAATAACTTGTTTGAGAAATTCTGTAAAACATGGGAGAACACTTTTTGTTCTAGCTTCTTTGAGATTTAGAAATCACTATGTGTTATGGGGTTTAATCACACTCATTCTTCACAGAGACAACTGCAAATGACTTTGACCATAAAATAATCTTTCTTCCTTAAAATTTCAGTTACCTTCTTGAATTTAATACGTTTATCCATTAGTGAAATTAGCCTCCAATGAAACACTATTTCTTTAAATTAATTTAAATAAATTTCTACATTAAAAGTGGAATTAGCTTTTTTATAACTTTGCATTGTAGATATCTATCAGAAACAATTATTGATGTAGTATTTATTAAAAATAGAAAGAAGTAAATCATGAAATCAGTTGAATATCAAATAGTTTTTAAAAAGTTTTGGTAATTGCATGTAATCTCAATTGTCACATGTAAATTCCCTCTACTTGTTCCTCTTGAAGTAAAATAATACTAGTAAATAAGCCCTTCTCTAAAAATTATGTGCCTCTAACCTCACTAAAGAAATTTTCTACACTATGCTTTCTAATATGAAAGAGATAAATTGGATGATTTTTACTTCTTGCCTGTTTTATCTGAGTGAGGTGAGTACACGTACAGAAGCCATAAATATCCCATAAACAATTATCTGTGCATGCAGATGTTCCAATGCCGTATATTAGGTTGATTATATAGAATACATTAAACTATGTAGTATGAAGTTACATTGCTTATAACATAGATATAATTAGAAATACTATATTGTCTTATGCTCCCAGAATATTCCTATAAGCCATATACAAATCAATGCATTGCAAATAATGCAGCCATAGACTATCCTAAACATGAATGACACCAGTCATGTTGGAGTAGGGCCCATCCATATTACCTCATTTAATGTTAGTTTTCTTTGTGAAGACCCAATTGCCAAATACAGTCAAATTTTGAGATACCGGAAGATAGGACTTCAACGTATAAATTTTGGGGAGACAAAATTCAATCCAAAATACATTCATAGAACCATCACTACTACAATGCTTAACATCTTCCCTTTAAATGTTAAACAATGCAGTAACAAAAGTTTGGGATTTTTCCATCTTTGTGAGAGGACATCTAGACCCCCTTAACATCTAATGCTAGGTGGTTTCAAACAGCTGTGCCCTTGTCCTTAAGGATTTATTTTCTTTATTTGGCTGATCTAGCCTCTTCTCATTATTAGTGCTTTAACCTTTTGACTCAGCAAAACTGATTTGCCATATTTCCTGAGTTACATACGGATCATTTCTAAAATTCCATTTCATTTTTCATAATTGAGGTGAAATTTACATAAAATTAACAATTTCCAAGTAAATGAATAAGTGGCATTTAGTAAAATCATGATGTTGTACAACGATTATCTCTATCTAGTTCCAAAACATTTTCTTCATACCCCCCAGAAAATCCCATACATATTAAGCACTTATTCCATATTCCTCTCTTTCTCCAGGGCCTGACAACCATCAGTCAGCTTTCTGTCTCTATATGAACTTCGTATCAGGCTTCTTTCACCTAGCATAAGGTTTTAGTTTCAGTCACATTAAAATAGGTGTCAATACTTCATTATTGTTAAAGCTGAATAATACTCTATTCTATGTATATGCCACACCTGGTTAGTCATTCATTGTTGAAAGACACTTAAGTTGTTTCCACCTTTCAGCTATTGTAAAAGTACTTATGTGACATGTGTGAAGATGTATGTATTTGAGTACCTCTTTTTAATTATGTGGGGTATAGGCCTAGGAGTGGCAGTTTTGGGTCATAGGTTTATTTTATGTTTAACTATTAGAGCAACTACCAGGCTTTTTTTCATAGAGGCTAAACCATTCTATATTCTGACCAGGAAATCACGAGGCTTCCAAATTCTCCACATCCTTACCAACATGAGTTATTTTCAGTAGTATTATTGTTATTGCAATGCTAGTGGATATAAAATATTGTCTCATTAGTTTTGATTTGCATTTCCCTAATGAGTAATAATGTTGAGAATCTCTTTATTGTCTTTAGCCCATCTGTATACCTTCTTTGGGGAAATGTCCATTAAGTATTATGGCTATTTTCTAATTGGGATGTTGATCCTATGTTGTTGACTTATAATTATTCTTCATATGTTCTGGATATTAGACCTTTATCAAATGAATTGTAAACTAAAAAATAAAATCACAAGCTCCCCCAACCATCTGAATGGACACATTCTTTCTGCAAAGTGCATTCCAAAGTTAACCTGAAAAACTAGTTCAGGTCATGATAGGAAGAGGAAGTCAAACATGCACCTTTATGCCCTCCTTCCTTTGGAACTCAGGCACAGCTGACCAGCATTAACATTAAAACAGATATTTTAAAGACATTTTTGTAGGAAAAATGCCTTAAGAAAGCAAGTTTCAGCCTGACCTTAGTATGGCATCACATGATCAATAGCAGATTCTGAGGGAAATAAAAATATTTTACCCTGAAATATATTTATTTATTTTAAAAAGGCCCTGCAAAGCTGTCTCTTTTGGGGAAAAATCTACATTCTGTAGAGAATTGCTTTTCCTTTTAAGGTCTGTCCCCTGATCCAGGAGACAATTAACTCTCCTGGAATAAAACAAAGAGTCTGGCACCTTTTTTAAGTCTGATAAGAAATATTTACAATCTATTATCTCTGAAGTCTGCTACCTGGAGCCTTCATCTGCATAAGAACATTGGTCTCCACAACCATTATCTTAACCAAGACCCTCTCTTCTATGGATTCCAGGTCTTTAAATTAACTTTTTCAACCAATTGCCAACTGGAAAATTTTTGAATCCACCTATGTCTTGGAAGCCCCCACTTCGTGTTGTCCTGATGGTCTAGACTGAACCAATGTACATCTTACATGCATTAATTTATGTCTTATGTCTCCCTAAAATGTATAAAACCAAACCATGTGCCCTATCACCTTTGGCACAGGTTGGTAGAACCTCCTAAGGCTGTCATGGGCATGTCCTTAACCTTGGCAAAATAAACTTCTACATTGATTGAGACTTGTCTCAGATACATTTTGGTTTACATGTATGATTTATATATATGTACTGTTAAGAAGTAGGTTATTTAATTTCCCAGTCCATTGGCTGTCTTTTTCACTTTCTTCCTTTTTCTTTTTCTTTTTCTTTTTTTGTATTTTACTTTAAGTCCTGGGATGCATGTGCAGAACATGAAGGTTTGTTACATAGGCATACACATGCTATAGTGGCTTGCTGCACCCATCAACCCATCATCTACATTAGGTATTTCTCCCAATGCTATCCCTACCCTATCTCCCCAACACCCCTACAGGCCCCGGTGTGTGATGTTCCCCTCCATGTGTCCATGTGTTCTCACTGTTCAACTCCCACTTATGAGTGAGAACATGCAGTGTTTGCTTTTCTGTTCTTGTGTTAGTTTGCTGAGAATGATGGTTTTCAGCTTCATCCCTGTCCCAGCAAAGGACATGAACTCATCCTTTTTTGTGGCAGCATAGTATTTCATGGAGTATATGTGCCAGATTTTCTTCATCCAGTCTATCATTAATGGGATTTGGGTTGGTTCGAAGTCTATGCTATTTGAATAGTGCTGTGATAAACATACATGTGCATGTGTCTTTATAGTAGAATGATTTATAATTCTTTGGGTATACATCCAGTAATGGGATTGCTGGGTCAAATGGTATTTCTGGTTCTAGATCCTTGAGGAATCGCCACACTGTCTTCCACAATGATTGAACTAATTTACACCCCCACCAATTGTGTAGAAGTGTTCCTATTTCTCCACATCCTCTTCAGCACCTATTGTTTCCTGACTTTTTAATGATCACCATTCTAACTGGCGTGAGATGGTATCTCATTGTGACTTTGATTTGTATTTCTCTAATGACCAGTGATGATGAGCTTTTTCATCTGATTGTTGGCTGCATAAATGTCTTCTTTTGACAAGTGTCTGTTCATATCCTTCACCCACTTTTTGATAAAGTTGTTTGTTTTTTTCTTGTAAATTTGTTTAATTTTACATTGGTGGATAAGCTTTTTGATGTGTTGGTGGTTTGTTTGCCAGTATTTTATTGAGAATTTTCACATTGATACTCATCAGGGATATTGGCCTGAAATCTTTTTTGTTGTTGTCTCTGCCAGGTTTTGGTATCAGGATGATGCTGCCCTCATAAAATGAGTTAGGAAGGAGTCCATCTTTTTCTACTGTTTGGAATAGTTTCAGAAGGAATTGTACCAGCTCCCCTTTGAACCTCTGGTAGAATTCAGCTGTGAATCTGTCTGATCCTGGACTTTTTTTGGTTGGTAGGCTATTGATTGATTACTGCCTCAATTTCAGAACTTGTTATTGGTCTATTCAGGAATTTGACTTTTTTCTGCTTTAGTCTTGGGAGGGTGTATATGTCCAGGAATCTATTCATTTCTTCTAGATTTTGTAGCATATTTGTGTAGAGTTGTTTATAGTATTCTCTGATGGCAGTTTGTATTTCTATGGGATCAGTGGTGATATCCCCTTTATTATTTTTATTGTGTCTATTTGATTCTTCTCTCTTTTCTTCTTTATTATTTTGGGTAGTGGTCTATTTTGTTGATCTTTTTCAAAAATCAGCTCCTGGATTAATTTTTTGAAGGGTTTTTCATGTCTCTACTCCTTCAGTTATGCTCTGGTCTTAGTTATGTCTTGTCTTCTGCTAGCTTTTGAATTTGTTCACTCTTCCTTCTCTAGTTCTTTTAATTGTGATGTTAGGGGGTCAATTTTAGAACTTTCCTGCTTTCTCCTGTGGGCATTTAGTGCTATACATTTTCCTCTAAACACTGCTTTAACTGAGTCCCAGGGATTCTGTTACATTGTGTCTTTGTTCTCCTCGGTTTCAAGGAATTTATTTGTTTCTGCCTTGATTTCATTATTTACCCAGTAGTCATTCAGGAGCAGGTTGTTCAGTTTCCATGTAGTTGTGCAGTTTTGAGTGAGTTTCTTAATCCTGAGTTCTAATTTGATTGCACTGTGGTGTGAAAGACTGTTTTGATTTCCATTCTTTTCCATTTCCTGAGGAGTGTTTTACTTCCAATTATGTGGTCAATTTTAGAATGAGTGTGAAGTGGTGCTGAGAAGAATGTAAATTCTGTTGATTTGGGGTGGAGTGTTCTGTAGATGTCTATTAGGTCTGCTTGGTCCAGACCTGAGTTCACATCCTGTATGTACTTGTTAATTTTCTGTCTCATTGATCTAATTTTCACAGTGTGGTGTTAAAGTCTCCCATATTATTTTGTGGAAGTGTAAGTCTCTTTGTGGGTCTCTAAGAACTTGCTTTATAAATCTGGGTGCTCCTGCATTGGGTGTGTATATATTTAGGATAGTTAGCTCTTCTTGTTGCATTTATCCCTTTACCATTATGTAATGCCGTTCTTTGTCTTTTTTGATCTTTGTTGGTTTAAAGTCTGTTGTGTCAAAGACTAGGGTTGCAACTCCCGCTTTCTTTGGCTTTCTATTTGCTTGGTAAATATTTCTCCATGCCTTTATTTTGAGCCTATGTATATCTTTCCACATAAGATGTGTCTCCTGAATACAGCACACTGATGGGTCTTGACTCTATCCAATTTGGCAGTCTGTGTTTTTTAATTGGTGCATTTAGCCAGTTTACATTTAAGGTTAATATTGTTATGTGTGAATTTGATCCTGTCATTATGATGCCAGCTGGTTGTTTTGCCAGTTAGTTGATGCAATTTCTTCATAGTGTTGATGGTCTTCACAATTTGGTATTTTTTTAGTGTGGCTGTTACTGGTTTTTTCTTTCCATCTTTAGTGCTTCCTGCAGGAGCTCTTGTAAGGCAGGCCTGGTGGTGACAAAAATCTCTCAGCATTTGCTTGTCTGTAGAGGATTTTATTTCTCCTTCACTTATGTAGCTTAGTTTGGCTGAATATAAAATTCTGGGATGAAAATTCTGTTCCTTAAGAATGTTGAATATTGGCCTCCACTGGCTTCTTGCTTGTAGGGTTTTGCAGAGAGATCCACTGTTAGTTTGATCGGCTTCCCTTTGTGGGTAACCCAACCTTTCTCTCTGGCTGCACTTAACATTTTTTCCTTTATTTCAACCTTGGTGAATCTGACGATTATGTGTCTTGGGGTTGTCCTTCTCAAGGAGTATCTTTGTGGTGTTCTCTGTATTTCCTGAATTTGAATGTTGGCCTGTCTTGCTAGGTTGGGGAAGTTCTCCTGGATAATATCCTGAAGAGTGTTTTCCAACTCGTTTCCATTCTCCCCATCATTCTCTGTTACACCAATCGAATGTAGGTTTGGTCTTTTCACATAGTCCCATATTTCTTGGAGGCTTTGTTTCTTTTCATTCTTTTTTCTCTAATCTTGTCTTCATGCTTTATTTCATTAAGTTGATCTTCAATCTCTGATATCCTTTCTTCTACTTGATCCATTTGGCTATTGATACTTGTGTATGCTTCACAAAGTTCTCGTGCTGTGTTTTTCAGCTCCAACAGGTGATTTATATTCTTCTCTAAACTGTTTATTCTAGTTAGCAATTCCTCTAATCTTTTTTCAAATTTCTTAGCTTCCTTGCATTGGGTTAGAACATGCTCTTTTAGCTCGGAGGAGTTTGGTATTACCCACCTTCTGAAGCCTACTTCTGTCAATTTGTCGAAATTATTCTCCATCCAGTTTTGTTCCCTTGCTGGTGAGGAGCTGTGATTCTTTGATGGAGAAGAGGCATTCTGGTTTTTGGAATTTGTAGCTTCTTTGCATTGGTTTTCCTCATCTTCGTGGATTTATCGTTGATGTTGGTGATGTTTGGATGAGATTTCTTTGTGGACTTCCTTTTTGTTGATGTTGATGCTATTCCTTTCTGTTTGTTAGTTTCCTTCTGTCAGGCCCCTCTGCTGCAGGTCTGCTGGAGTTTGCTGGAGGTCCACTTCAGACCCTGTTTGCCTGAGTGTCACCTGCAGAGGCTGCAGGACAGCAAAGATTGCTGCCTGTTTCTTCCTATGGAAGCTCCGTTCCAGAGGGGCAGCTGCCAGATGCCAGCCAGAGCTCTCCGGTATGAGGTGTCTGTTGACCCCTGATGGGAGGTTTCTCTCAGTCAGGAGGCATAGGGTTCAGGGACTGACTTGAGAAGGCAATCTGCCCCTTAGCAGAACTTGAGTGCTGTGGTGAGAGATCCACTGCTCTCTTCAGAGCCAGCATGCAGGAACGTTTGTCTGCTGAAGCTGAGACCACAGCTGCCCCTTCCTCCAGGTGCACTGTCCCAGGGAGATGGGAGTTTTATCTGTAAGCCTCTGACTAGGGCTGCTGCCTTTCTTTCAGAGATGCCCTGCCCAGAGAGGAGGAATCTAGACAAGCAGTATGGCTTTGCAGGGCTGAGGTAGGCTCTGCCCAGTTCTAACTTCCTGGAGGCTTTGTTTACACTGTGAAGGGAAAACTGCCTACTCAAGCCTCAGTAATGGCAGATGCCCTTCCCCCTCCATGTTTTCCATGCTTGGTAAATTTTCCTCCATTCCACTTATTTTGAGCCTATATGTGTTTGCATGTGAGATGTGTCTCTTGAGTACAGCACACCAATGGGTCTTGTCCTTTTATCCAGCTTGCCATTCTGTGTCTTTTCATTGGGCATTTAGCCCATTTACATTTAAGGTTAATATTGTTATGTGTGAATTTGATATTGTCATCACAATTCTGGTTGGCTAATTTTGCAGACTTGTCAATGTAGTTGCTTCATAGTGATTGGTCTATGTACTTCAGTGTCTTTTTGTAGTGGCTGGTAAAGGTTTTTTCCTTTCCATGTTTAGTGCTTCCTTCAGGAGCTCTTGCAAGGCAGGCCCGGTGATGACAAAATCCCTCAGCATTTGGTTGTCTGAAAAAGATTTTTTTCTCCTCTGCTTATAAAGCTTAGTTTGACTGGATATGAAATTCTGAGTTGGAAATTCTTCTCTTTAAGAATGTTGAATATTGGCCTTCAATTTTACCTGGCTATTAGGGTTTCTGCTGAGAGGTACACTCTTAGTCTGATGAGTTTCCTGTTGCAGGCAACCTTGCCTTGCTCTCTGGCTGCCCTTTACATTTTTTCCTTCATTCTGACCTCTGAGAATCTGATGATTTTGTGTCTGGGGTTGATCTTCTTGCAGAGTATATTATTGGGGTTCTCTGGATTTCCTGAAATTGAATGTTGGTCTGTCTTGCTAAGTTTGGGAACCTTTCCTTATTGATATCCTGAAGTGTGTTTTCCACCTTGGTTCCATTCTCTCCATGTCTTTCAGCTATTCTAATCAGTCATAGGTTTGGTGCTTTTACATAGTTCTTTGAATTTTCTTTTTTCATTCCTTTTCATTATTTTTTCTCTAACCTTGTCTGCATGCCTTATTTCACCAAGGTAGTCTTCAAGCTCTGATATTCTTTATTCTGCTTGATGGATTTGGCTATTTTTACTTGTGTTTGCATCATGAAGTCTTTGTGCTATGGCATTTAGCACTTTCAGGTCATTTATGTTTCTCTGCAAACTTGTTATTCTAGTTAACGTCTCCTGTAATGTTTAGTCATGGTTCTTAGCTTCTTTGCATTCAGTTAGAACATAATCCTTTAACTCAGTGAAGTTCGTTATCACCCACTTTCTGAAGCCTACGTCTGTCAGTTCATCCATCTCAGTTTCAGCCCAGTTCTGTGCCCTTGATGGAGAGGTGTTGCAATCATTTGGAGGAGAAGCAGTATTCTGGTTTTTGGAATTTTCAGCATTTTTGCATTGATTTTTCCTCATCTTCATGGATTTATCTACCTTTGCTCTTTGAGGCTATTGACCTTTAGATGGGAATTTTTGGGGTTTGTTGTTGTTGTTGCTGTTGTTGTCATTGCTTTCTCTTTGTTTCTTTCTCCTCTAATGGTCAGGCCCTTTTCTTGCAGGTCTGCTGCAGTTTTCTGGGGGTCCACTCCAGTCCTTGTTCACCCAGGTATCACCAGTAGAGGCTGCAGAACAGCAAAGATTGCTGCCTGCTTTTTCCTCCAGAAGCTTCATCCCAGAGGGGCACCAACCTGATGCCAGCTGGAACTCCCCTGTATGCATTGTCTGGCTACCCCTGATGGGAGATCAGGAGACACGAGATCAGGGGGAAGAGCTGGTGCACTGTGCTGGGGGAAATTCTCCTGGTCCAGACTGTCTGGACTTTTCTGAGCCAGCATGAGGAAAGATTAAGTCTGCTGAACCTGAGACTGTAGTCACCCCTCCCCCCAGGTACTCTGTCCCAGGGCGGTGAAAGTTCTGTCTGAAAGCCCCTGGCTAGAGTTGCTGGAATTCCTGCATGGAGGCCCTATTTGGTGATGAGGGATAAATCCAGGTTCTGCCAAAGAAGAAGTCTGGCCATAATCTGCCACAGCCACTGTGCTGCACTGTGGGGAATACCACCCAGCCCAAACTGCCCAGTCTCCCTAGCACTGGCAATGGAAACTGCCAACTAGAGCTGCAATCGTGATGGTTGTCCTTCTCCTTGGCTACTCAGTCATCTTAGGCAGACTCCAGGCTGTTGTGGTGGCCAGTGGGGATTCCAGGCCAGTGGGTCTTAGCTTGCATATTTCAATGGGGGTGAGACCCACTGAGCTAGTTGGCTCCCTGGCTTCGGAGTGGATGGCTCTCCTGCCACCCTGTAGTTCTGGGAGCTGCAGGAGTATGTAAATCTCCTGCAGCTCAGTACCTACCCTAATAGCTGCCAGTTGGTGCAGCTGCCTTGGGTCTGCCCAGTTTTGTGCTTGAGACCCAAGGCCCTGGTGGTGTAGGCACATGAGGGAATCTTCTGATCCACAGATTGCAAAAATTTGTGGGAAAAGTGTAGAACTCTGGGTGGGTAGCACAGTACTTCACCATTTCCCTTGACTGGGGGAGGGAGGTCCCTTTGCCCCACACAGCTCCTGGGTGGACCATCTCCCCAACCTGATTGACCGTGATATCCGTAGGTCACGCCAATTGCCCAGTAAGTCCCAATGAGAAAATCTGCGTACCTCAGTTGGAGATGCAGAAATCACTCACCATTTGCATTTGTCTCAGTGGAAACTGCAGACCAGAGCTGTTTATACGTGGCCATCTTGACCCCTCCCTAAAGCAAGCTTTCTTTTTCTTTCTTTTTCTCTTCTTCTTCTGAGATATTTATTATGTATATTGATTTACTTGATGGTGTACCATAGTTACTATAGGCTTTCTTCACTCTTTTTTCCTTTTGGTTCCTCTGACAGGGTAATTTCAGATAGCCCTTTGACAATCAGTCTGTCCTGAGATTCTCAGAAGTTTGTGAAGTGTGGTCTGTATGTGGGATTACCATTACAGTCCTAAGGCCACTCTCCTGGAGTAAGCAGGAGGATAGAGTTGGCATTTGTTTCTGTAGGGCTGGGCCTAGAATCTGGGTTTACTGCAGTAGGCATGAAATTGACTCTGCTAGGGCAGGCCTGGGTTTTGGGTCCACAGAGGTCAACCAGAAGCCTGGGTGCATGAGGGACAATATGGATCTGGGGTGAACCTTGAACCTGAGTCTGTAATCACTGGACTGGTTATAAGATGGGCCTTCAGGCTTGGTGTGTAAAAACAGCCCTTGAGCCTGAGTCCACAGGGGTAAGTCTTCTGTTGGGGAAGCCCTGGAGCTTATGTCCATGGGGACTGGCCTGGTGCCATCTTCTCCTGGACCTTGAATCTAAACCTGATGCCATGGGGATGAGCCCAGAGCGTGGAGACACAAGTGCTGACCTAGTGCCTTGACCAACAGGGGCTTCCCTGGAGCTTGGATTTATGGCACTGCCCTAAATACTGAGGGCACAGGTCCTGGTTTGGAGGCTAGGTTTGTGAGGGATGGCCAGTAGCCTGGGATCCTGGTGGCTGGCTTGGCTTTGGTGGGCCTAGAGTCTGTGTCTGTGGAGGTTGGCCTGGGTTCTTGGGTCACACAGTACAAGCCCAAAAGCTGTGTCTACTAGGGTGTTCTTTGAACTTGGCTCTGTGGGGACCAGCCCAGCACTGGGGCTTACAGGGATGAGCTTGGACCCTGAGTCTTCTGAAGCAATCCTAGCCCTTGGGTCTTCATGGATCAACCTAGCACAGAAGTTACAGGTTGACCCTTCATGGGTCAACCACCATGAGGCTGCAAGAGTGAACCTAATACTGAGTGAGCCTGAAGCCTGTGTCCACGGGGGTTGCCCTAGAGGTTAGATTTGTCAGTACCACCTTGATGCCATAAACCAGAGTGGCCAGCATAGAGTTTGCTCTCCATAGGTGTCAACCCAGCACTAGGGTTGGCCTGGAGGCTGGGTATATGTGAATCAGCCTGGTGTTGGGTTGCTCTAGTGTATGGGTTGGGGCTTAACCTGTATTTTGAGGTTGAGGGTGCTGGTGTGGTGCCTGAAAACACAGAAGTTAGCCTGGCACTGAAGTGGACTGGGTCCTGGTTCAGCAGGTCCTAGCTTGAAACTGAAGTCTGTGGGTGCTGACCTGATATTGGGGAGGACCTGGAAGCTATGGGTCCTAATCTGGAGTCTGGGGCTGAGAGGCTGGCCCTGTGCTAGGGTAGGTATAGAGGCTGGGTCCAGGTGAAGTTCTAGGCTTTGGAATTTCAAATACTGGCTTGCTACCTGGGGCCAAGGAGCTAGCAAATAGTCTGGGTCCATGGATGCCAGCCTGGTAACTAACACTGTGGAGACTGGCTTGGCCCTGAGGAAGGCCTCAGACTCATTGCTGAGGAAGGCATCTGACTCAGTGCTGAGGACAGTCGGGAGCCTAGTACCACTGGTGTTGGTCTGGTAGTAGAGTGGGCCTTGACCCTAAGTTTGCAGGTGCTTGCTAGGGCTAGGCTTCTGGAGCTACCCTAGCCCTGTGATGGACCTGGAGCCTAAGCCTGTGGGGCCAGCTTAGTGAAGGGGTAGGTCTAGAAACTAAGTCTGCAGTTTGTTAGCATAAAGTCTAGAGCTGTAAGGGTCAGACAGGTGCTGGGATGAACCTAATGCCTTGAGACTGTGGGGGCCAGCCTGGCAGTGGAGCAGACCTGAAGGTTTTGTCCTCAGATACTGGCCTGGAGCTGTGAGGACCTGCTTGGTGTTAGATTTTACTACAGTAGGCTCAGTGTCGGGGTCCAAGACAAACTCTAGTGCTCAGGTTACAGTCTTTTCTCTATGTGGAGGATATTTCTCTCCATACTGTGTTGCATGGGGTTGGGACAGGTAAAATGCAAGCAATGTAAAACTGTCCATCCTACCCTCTTTCAGGCATCTTTTAAAAATTATTTTTGTACTACAGTCAGGAGCTGTAATTTCTCACCTGGTTTCCACAGCTCTTGCAAAGGTAACTTTTGTGGTTGAATAGTTGTGCACTGATATTTCTATAAGGGCAAGAGTCCTGGAAAGACCTATTCATCCATCTTGCTGATGTCACTTCCCATTGTAATTTTAATATGAAGTTTGTCATGAAGTGTATCATGCAACGTTGCCTTGATGTCATTTTAATCAAGAAACATATGCTAATGTATCATTTATTTTGTTTTTTTCAATTGCTCCTTGGGTTTTTCAATAGATCCATTCTTTAAGTATAATTTTCAAATCTCATCTCATTAATGTCAGATTGCTGCATGTATAATCACATTCATTAGTTTAAATAGGTTATTTCATTTTTTTGTCTCACACATGTAGATTCCAATTTTGAGAGTTCCTCAAACTCCTTGATTCATCACTCTTCATAATTTTCAGGCTATGAAGTAAAGGTTACCATAAATTTTTTATATCAAAAGTTACGTTAGTAAATTCTTGAGATATGACCAAGATTTTCTCTGCCACTTGGTGACATAGTTGATGGCTTTGAGAGTTCCCAAAATATCTATTTCATAAGCAAATTGAAATTTAATAGAATATTTTATTTTTCTTTATTTCACATATCTTGTAAAATACCAAATTTTTCATAAATAAGTACAAATTTACAATATAGAGGTTGTGAATATAATGTAGTAGGTCAGAATCAATGATGAATATATTAAATGAGAAAATATTTTCAAAACAGGTGAAGGAACTGACAATTTCCACAAAGAACTAGATTCCTTAAAAATCATTTAAAATAATATCTAAAATTAATCACTTGCTAAACTCATTGAACAGCAGCATACTTGATTAGTGAACTCAAAGGCAGATAAATAGAACATATAGAAATTGAAATGTAAAAAAAAGAATACTTTTTAAAAATGCTGTATAAAGGAAGTATAAGAATCAACAAAATGTCTAATACACTTGTTATATGAGTTACATAATGAGAAATAAAAATAGGAGCAAAAGGACTTTCTGAGAATATAATGAATGAAAATTTTCCAAAAATTAAAGGTTTTTAATCATAGACTCAGTAATCTAAGATAACTCCAAGTAGAATAAATTCTAAAACAAAATGAACAAACAAAAAATGAACACAGCGTAGTTAAATGGCTTAAAATTGGGAATGTAAATTTGTACAGCCTCTATGAAAAATAGCACAGAGATTATTTAAAGAACTAAAAGTAGATCTACAATTTGATCCAGCAATCTCACTACTTTCTTGTCCCAAAGGAAAAGAAATCATTATATTTAAAAGTCACATGAACATGTATTTTTATTGCAAACCAATTCACAATTGCAAATATATAAAACCAAACTAAGTGCCCATCAACCAATGAATGGATAGAGAAAATGTGGTATATATACACCATGGAATACTACTCAGCCATAAAAAAAATGAAATAATTTCTTTTGCAGTAACTTGGATAGAGATCAAGGTCATTATTCTAAGTGAAGTAACTCAGGAATGGAAAACCAAATACCATATGTTCTCACTTATAAGTGAGAGCTAAGCTATGAATATGCAAAGGCACATAGAGTGATTTAATGGACTTTGGAGACTCAGAAGCAGGTGGCTGAGAGGGGGGTGTGGGCTACAAAAGTATATATTAGGTACAACATACACTATTTGAGTGATGGTACACTAAAATCTCTGAATTTATCACTATATAATATATCCATGTAATCAAAAACCACTCATATCCCAAAAGCAACTGAAATTTTAAAAATTAAAAAATGAATTAATTAAAAGAATGGCTGAAAATCAAAGACAAAGAGACAATCTTAAAAGAGTCAGATGGAAAAACAAATTAACTTCAGTGGAACTGGTGTCTCAGCAGGAAAGCCAAAATATGATAATGGGACAACATCAACAAAGTGCAGGAGAAGAAAAGGGGGCGCTAACTTTATTTTTCCATACCAACGTAAAATTCTGTTTAAATATTAAGGCAAAATATAGACATTTAAGACTAACCAAAACTGTATCACCAACTGTATCACCAAAAATTTATCACCAACAGGCCTATACCAAAAGAGTTACTAGTAGTTCTTTAGGCCTGAGAACAGTAAGCCAGGATTAAAGTAGTTAGTGAAAAAAGAACAGTATCTAAAGTAAAGATGTGGCAAATATTAATATATATTGACAGTGCAAAATAATTCATTGTGTGAAATACACACACATGCACACACACACATTAAAGAGAGAGAGAAGGCTTACATATATGAAATAATGTAAAACACAGGAAATATATATTTACTTTAAAGGTTCAAAATTTTTATTGAGTTGAGGAAGTTAAAAAAGTAATGATTGGTCCTAACCCCATAATGAGTCAGGGACGCATATGGTAGCCTCTAGTGTAATCACTAAAATCAGGTAAAAAAAAAAGCGTAACCGACAAGTTATAGGAGGAAAAAAAGCAATGATAATTTTGAATAATCTAAGTCATCAAGACAGAAAAGATACTAGAATATAAAAAGTATGAGACATATAGAAAATGAATAGTAAGATAGTAGATCTAAACAGATATATTAATTACAGTAAATAAAAAATGTATTAAGAAAAATTTAAAATTGTCAGATCAGATAAAAATTTATCTCCATTTATTGTGGCTTACAAAAACAACGCTCTGTAAATCTACACAGAATGAAGCAATGTACGTGCAAGCATTAACCCAAAAAAGCTGGTAGACTTACCATATTATGGAACGACAATTGTAAGGTAAGAATCTTTAATCCAGATAAATAGGAACACTCCATAATAATAAAAGGAATTAGTTCCATAGGAAATATTATAAATTCTCTTGACATACCTCCCAGAGTTAGTCTACTCAAGGAATTATTATGCCAGTACATAAATATGCCATTACGATCCAAAGTCTTTTCAGCCTATGAAACTGTCTCTACGATACATATTGTTAACCAGTATGAACACTTAAGTATTAAAATTCATGAATCTTAATTGATTAGTTGCTTTATCCTTGAAGCTGGTTTGAAAGTCTCTAGGATAAGTTAATGATAAACACTGGAGTTACTTCTCAGATGACAGTATTATGCTGGATACAAATTTTCTTATTGTATCCATAAAAAATGGCAAAATACCCTTGGTTTTGATTGTCTATTATCTTTCTCTTCCAGAGGTATACATTTTGGAAGAGTTAATGAATCACATTTACAAGTTTATTACTTAAGTTTACCACATAGGCATTTTTACTTACTTCCATTACATTTTGTAATTGGCTACTGCTACTTAATGCAAGTAATATTGATTTGGTTTGTTTTTATTTTCCAAGAAATTCTGAAAAAAATGTGAATTTTCCATTTGGAGAATCACATTGTCTTTGGCGTTTCTAAATTTAAATGTTTGCACTTTGTATTTTGATTTTAAAGGTAAGAAATGGTCACTGAAAAGCCTTTGACAACACATGCTACAGAATTTTTCCCACACCTAAATACTAAAAATATTTTTAAAATATTTAAAAACATCATCAACAAAATTTTAAAAATCTAATAACCAATTAATGGTGTGAACATTTTCAAGAAGTCATAGTTTAAAACATAAAATTTATTAATTTGTAGAGTCTCCCTTTCAAGTAAAAACAACACTAATAATTGCAAATTATTATCTTAACAAATCTTAAACTAATTAGTAAATCTTTTGCTTTGTCAAATCTATAAGCAGAGAATAATTGATTCAAAATTGCAAAGAATTTGTTCTAGTTACTAGAATTGTAATCGAGAATGGATACTCAAATTTAAAAACCTATCAGAGTTCTCTTGTCTACCAACTTGAAAATTTCAGAGATATAGTTTATCATTTATCCAATACCTCCTGCTGTTATATTAAAAAATGCTTGGCTTTTGTGAGTAATCCAACTTGCCAATAATGATAATTATATTATCATTATTGGGTCTATACAACATTCTATTCTATTTTTGTAGGATTTAATAGGTGTTTGTGTTTTATTCCATTGCTATGAAAAGCCATTAAAACTATTTAAGCAAGAGAATGACTGATAATCTGATATATATACTTTAGAAAAGGAAATGTCATCCTTGTGTGGATTATAAACTATTTTGGGGACAAAAAGGAAAACAAAGAAAGCCAGAGAGGAGACTATTGAACTAGGACATGTCAGAGATGATAAATTGGTCTTGGAGTAAAACAAGGAAAATAATGAGAAGTGACTAGATTAATAATCTATTTTAGTAGTAATGCCAACAGGACAACTAATGAACTAACTATCTAACTGGAGGGACACAAATTGAACAAGGGTGCCACCTGAAGTTTTGGTGTAAGCAATGGGATGGATGATGCTATCTTGTGCTGCGATGGGGAAGACTGAAGAAGTAGTTGTCTTGTGAAATGGAAGTGAGAGGAGTGATACAACATGTTTTCAAATCTTTTTGTATTTTGCATGACTCTGATAAGCTTGAATAAATTATTGGAAACCTGGAGGACCCATTTTGCTTTGTATAGAAGAGAGTGAGCAGTAGAGATGGGCAAGGGGACAAAGCAGAAAATTTAAATATAGGAAAGACCTAACCATGTTTAAAAACTGAAGGAAAGGAATGAGCAGTAATAGAAAGAATGGGAGAGAGTAGATGACAAATGAGCAAAGTCCCAGAAGAGACAAGAAGATGGACATTAGATGCATATATATATGCATGCTATAATACTTGAAGAAGAGCAGTAAAGATTGATTTGAATGAAGTGATGGGGGTATCAAAGGAGAAAAAAACAAAAGATATTATGCATAAACGTGATCTACTGAGAATTATAAAAGGATTTAAGAGGAAATTTAAAGACTATAATGTCTAAAATCACTGTTAAAGGCAATGCCAATAAAAAGATTGATGGAGAAGGCTGAAGACCAAACTAAAATATAAAGTCCAACATTCATAATGATGAACATTTTCATGGAAGATAAGTTTCTACAGAAGGTTTTAGCCACCCAAATGCATGATCATAGGTGACATAGTATAGAATCAACATTCAAAGTGTTTAACTGTACAACTGAATCACAGAGATGAAAGGGAAAAACAGTATAGCATGGTGATTAAGCTTATAAATTTCAGAATTATATCTGCGTTTGAATCATGGCTATGGCACCTACAAGTTTGCAAGCCATAAAATACCACTTAAACTCTTTAAGCCTCAGTTTTCAAATCTGTAAGATGGAATATAGATATCTACTTTGCAATTCTATTATAAATATTACATCTGATAATATCTATACAGTACTCAGCAGTGTTCTTTGTCCTAGTGGTCACCAAATAAATAGAAACTGCATTAGTAGAATTTAAGAGATCAATTCAGAAAATAACCCATGGGTTATTTTCTATCCTGGGGTAGACTTTTTAAAGATTATAAAAAAGAAAGACAAACAGTAGATTTTAAACGTTTTCATCACACACAAACACAAAAAGTACGTAAGGTGATGGATTTGTTTTAATCATGCTTTAGTCATGAAATCATTTAATCCCAGTTTAATCATTCCACATTGTAAACATATATCAAAACATTAAATTGTACCCCATAAATATATATATATATCTGTCAATTCAAAATAAAATTAAATAATTTAAAAAGAGAGTGCAAGATAGGTTTGATAATGCAGTGAAACTATGTACTCTATAACCTAATATTGCAAGAATAAATTCACAATTTATTTTATAATTTCTAAATCAGAGATTTGGCAAATTATTACCAGTGCTATGCCAGGTTTCCAAATCCTGTTCTTCTGTCAAACAAAAGAAGAACATGGCAAAAGTGGCAAATATGATTACAGGGTAAATAGAAAGGAGATGGCACTAAATGACCTTTACATCAGTAAAAATTGTACTTCATTGGGAAGTTTACAAATAAACTCTTTAGACTTTGCTATATCCTTGAAAGAGCATAGTACGCATGTTCTCTGGAGCAGCATATATGCTAATCAGCCAAAACGTAAACCTATATCTGTATTTTTCTTTTACTTATAGCTAATCAAATTCGTCAGTGGTTTTCTAAAAACAACATCTTAAACAGGCACTTTGAGTTGTTATCAGCTTTTAAGTTACTAAATGCCTTCTTTGAGATTCTAATATAAATATTTTATAATGGCCAACAGAGTCTTTAATCCATCACAGGAACAAATAATGACATGTAAACAGAGCAGAGGAAAAATACAGGAGAGGCACAGTAGAGGTAAAGAGGAGAGGACATGCAAAGGAGAAAGAAAAGTCATTTAAATATATCTCTCACTCTTATAGTACTCAGATATTTTTTATTCTCATATAGTAAAATATAATATTTGTCGATTTTCCAATATTTTAGCTACAGCAGACCCCTGTACAGTTGTGTAACTTATTTCAAATAAACTGCATTGTATAATAGCATATGTTATTAATGAGTCATTACTGGTTTTTTTTGTTTTGTTTTTGAGACACGATGTTGCTCTGTCACCCAAGCTGGAGTGCAGTGGCGCGATCTCAGCTCACTGCAACCTCCACCTCCTGGGTTCAAGTGGTTCTCTTGCCTTCGCCTCCTGAGTAGCTGGGATTACAAGTTCATTACTTTTTCTTTGATGTTTTGATACAGCAAGAATGTAAAAATCCTTGTAGTAATGAACATCAGTTAATAATTCAGGGCATTTAAACATTTTCAGAAAGAGAGGGAGCTTTAAGAGAGCTGATTAGAGGAATGGGCACTATGCCCCCCACAAAGAAGAACCAAAATAGTGAGTAGATAATCACACTATGAATACAGCATCTAAGAGAGAACACTGGAATTCAGCAGATAAATGACAGGAAACACCTAAGGCATGGAAGGAAGTGAAATGAGGCAGACAGCCCAGGTGGAATCAACTGGGATCATGGAGAGGCTCCTCACTTCAGAGAAAGGGTAACTAAGAGATTCTCAGCAGTCCACATTGCTATTAATACTATAGACTCCTGCAATTCTAGCCATAAGAGAGCCTCTTTGCCATTGCAGACCTGGAGACTGGTATAGGGAGCTGCCTGGAGCCTATGGCATTGCTCCACAGAAAGAGTTCAAAATGTGTCCCACATGTGCCCCAAGACCAAAGAAGCTGAAGCATGGAGACATTTTCAGAGCTGAACCTTCACCAGATTGCATTCTAACTTGGGACCCAACAGCCTCTTCATCTCCATATCCTTGGAGGCCCTTTGACACATATGTGTCCACCCAGAGGGCTGCATTGACACTACACTGGTTGAACGCAGCAATGCAGTGAGTTTCCCAGCACCCTCACACACAGTGTTCTATGTACTGGGAAATAGGTGATGTAGCGCACTGGGAAGGCTGTCATAGGACAAAGTAAGCCAAAATGTGTGTTCCCCAAAGCCTGAGAGCCACCAGCCTGGGATGGTTACTACTGAGAGCAAACCCAGCCCCACAGAGGCAGTGCTGTCAGGTACTTGCATGTGTCCTGATAACAGGATCTCCCTGTCTTCCACTGATACTACCATCTCCACTGAAACATGCTGCCCAAGAGCCCATACATTTATTCAAAGCAAATATTAAAGTGAAAGATACATTTACTTTAATGCAATAATAGTCAGGGACTTCAAGGCCCCGCTCTGAACATTGGACAGATCATCTAGAGAGGAAATCAACAAAGAAACATATGTTAGGCCACAAAGCAAGTCTCAACAAATTTACAAAAATAAAAATTATATCAAGTGTCTTCTCAGACAGCAATGGAATAAAACTATAAAACAATAATAAAAGAAACTTTAAAAACTACACAAATACACAGAAATTAAATAACATGCTCCTGAACAACTGATATAATTTAGATGTTTGTCCATATCTCACGTTGAAATGTGATCTCCAATGTTGGACATGGGGCTTAAAGGGAGATGTTTGAGTCATGGAAGCAGATCCCTCTTGAATGACTTGGTAATCTCCTTGTGGTAATGAATGAGTTCTCATTCTGTCAGTTCATGTGAGGGCTGGTTGTTTAAAAGATCATTTTTGATTTTTAATAAATGTATGTATGTGCAAACATCATCACAAATGACTTTCAGAATATTTTCATCATTCACAAAAGTTTTCTCATATGAATTTACTGTCACTTATGACTTCTACTTCCAACCCAGGCAACCACCCATAAGCTTTCTCATTTGACATTTTAAGGAATGCCACATTAATAAATTAGACAATGTGCACTGTTTGCAACTGATTTATTTCACTTAGCATAATAATTGTGGTGTTAATCTATGTTGCAGCATGTACCAGTAGTTTATTTCTTTTGTGCTGAAAAATAGTCCATTTCAGCAATATTCGTTTATCCATTCACCTGTTGAAATGTAGAGGCCATTATCCTAAGCAAATTAATACAGAAACAGAAAACCAAATACTGCATGTTCTCACTTATAAGTAGGAACTAATCGTGTCATACACATGGACATATTGATATAGACAATAGACCCTGGGGACTCAAAAAGGGAAGAGGAAGGGAGAGGGGCAAGGATTGAAAAACTGCCTATTGGGTACTGTGTTTGCAATCTGGGTTATGGGTTAAACTGAAGCCCAAACCTAAGCATCATGCAATACCTCCATGTAATAAACCTGCATATATACTCCCTGAATCTAATATATATAATATATATAGCCTTTCAATCCATGAACATAGAACATGTTTTATTTCCTTATATATTTTAAATTTTTTAGCAATGTTTTGTAGTTTTAACTGTACAAGTCTTTCACCTCCTTAGTTAATTCCTATGTATTTTATTTTTCTTGCTGCAATTACAAATGGAATTTAAAATTTTTTTTTCAGATTGTTCATTGTTAGTACATAGAAATTAAATTGATTTTTGAGTGCTTACTTTGTATCCTGCTTTTTAAAATTCATTTATTAGTTCTCACATATTTTTATGTACTTTTAAAATTTTCTACACACAACATAGTAACATCTGTCAAGATAGACAATTTTTCCTTTCTTTCCTATTTGGTTGTGTTTATTTCCTAATTGTGCTGACTAGAACTTTCCATAATATGTTGAATAAAGGTGGTGAAATTGAGCATCTCTACTTTGTTTCTGATTTTATTAAAAATAATTTCATTCTTTTACCATTGAGTGTAATATTTGCTGTGAGTTTTTAATCTATGGTCTTTATTGTGTTGAGGTAGCTTTTTTCTATTTAGTTTATTGAGTCTTTTTATCATAAAGTGATGTTGAATTTTTTCAAATACATTTTCTCCAAAAATTGAGATGATTTTGTATTATTTTCTTTATTCTGTTATTGTGGTATTGATTAGTTTTCCTGTATTGAACTATCTTTGCATTCCAGAAATAAATGATTTTGGTCAGTATATAATCCTTTCAATATGCTGCTGGATTCAGTTTGCTAGTATTTTCTTGATGATTTTTGCATCAATGTTTATAAAGAGTATTATTATTATTAGTTTTTTCTTGAGACAGAAAGTCACTCTGTCACCTAGGCCAGAGTGCAATGGTGCAATCTTGGCTCAATGCAACCTCCACTTCCATGGTTCAAATAATTCTCCTGCCTCAGCCTCTTGAGTAGCTGGGATTACAGGTGTGAGCTACCATGCCTGGCTAATTTTTGTATTTTTAGTAGAGATGGGGTTACACCATGTTTGCCAGGCTGGTTTTGAACTTCTGACCTCAGGTGATCCACTTGCCTTGGCCTCCCAAAGTGGTGGAATTGCAGGTGTGAGCCACCATACCCATCCTGTTCATAAACGTTATTGATCTGTATTGTTCATTTTCTGTTTTGTCTTTTTCTGGCTTTGGTATCCAGGTGATAATGGCCTCATAGAATGAGATAGGAAGTGTTTTATATTATTCCATTTTTTGAAATGTCCGAGAAATATTGGTGTTAATTCTTAAAATATTTGGTATAATTCATCCATAAAGCCATCAAATTCAGGCATTTTCTTTGTTTAGAGTTTATTATTATTATTATTATTATTATTATTATTATGGTTTAAATCTTCTTACTAGTTGAAGGTATATTCAGATTTTCTATTTCATCATTATTTATCTTGAAAAATGTTGTCCTCCTAGGCATTTTTTACTGGATTTAGGTTATCCAATTTGTTGTGACATAATTTTTCATAGTACTCTCTTATAATCCTGTTTATTTCTATATGATTGATAAATATTAATGTCCCCATTTTATTTCTAATTGTATTAGTATGAGTCTTCTCTTTTTATTTTTATTTCATCTAGTTAAAGGCTTGTTGATTTTCTTCTTCCTTTCAAAGAATAACTTATGGTTTCATTAATTTAATCTGTTGTTTTTCTTTTTTCTATTTCATTTGTGTCTGCTCTAATTTTTATTATTTTGTTCTTCTGCTAGATTTGGATTTAGTTTGCTTTTCTTTTCTAGTTCCTTAAGTTGTAAAGTTAGGTTTTTGATTTGAAATCTTACTTGTTTTTTAATCTAACTATTGATAGATATAAATTTTCCCTTAGCACTACTTTTGTTGCAACTCATAAAGTTTAATGTATTTTGTTTTCATTTTCATTTATCTCTAGGTATTTTCTAATTTTCTTTACAATTTTGTCTTTAATTCATTTGTTGCCTTAGAGTGTGTTATTTAATTTCCACAATTTAAAAAAAAATTCCAGTTTTACATCTGTTATTAATGTCTACCTTTATCCTATTGTGGTCAGAGAGAATATTTTTTATATCTTTTTAAATCTATTGAGACTTACTCTATGGCCTAAGATATGGTCCAGCCTGAAAAATGTCTCATGTGCACTTTAGAAGAATGCATACACTGCTGCTGTTTGTCAGAATGGGCTTTATATGTATAGTAGATGTAGTTGATTTATTGAGTTGCTTGATTTCCTTACTTTCTGTCAGGTGTTCCATCCATTATTTGTTGCGGGAAGTCAGGGACCCTGAATGGAGGGACTGGCTGAAGCCATGGCAGAAGAACAATAAATGATGAAGATTTCATGGAAATTTGTTAGTTCCCCAAATTAATACTTTTATAATTTCTTAAGCCTGTCTTTACTGCAGTCTCTGAACATAAATTGTGAAGATTTCATGGACATTTATTACTTCCCCAATCAATACTCTTATAATTTCCTATGCCTATCTTTATTGCAATCTCTGAACATAAATTGTGAAGATTTCATGGACATTTATCACTTCCCCAGTCAATACTCTTATAATTTCCTATGCCTGTCTTTACTTTAATCACTTAATCCTGTCATCTTCATAGGCTGAGGATGTATGTGGCCTCAGGACACTGTGATGATTGCATTAACTGTACAAATTGTTTGTAAAGCATGTGTGTTTGAACAATATGAAATCTGGGCACCTTGAAAAGAACAGGATAACAGCAATTTTCAGGGAACAAGGGAGATAATCATAAAGTCTGACTGCCTGTAGGGCCGGGCAGAACAGAGTCCTATTTCTCTACTTTCAGAAAGTGAATAGGAGAAATATCGCTGAATTCTTTTCTCAGCAAGGAATAACCCTGGGAAAACGAATGCATTCCCAGGGGGAGGTCTCCAAAATGGCCACTCTGGTAGTGTCTGTCTTATGCAGTTGTAGATAAGGGATAAAATACACCCTGGTCTCCTGCAGAGCCCCCAGGCTTGCTAGGATTAGGAAATTCCAGCCTGGCGAATTCTAGTCAGACCAGTTGTCTGTTCTCAAACTCTGTTTCCTGTTAAGATGTTTATCAATGACAATGCATGCACAGCGGGACATGGAACCTCATTAGTAATTCTAATTTCACCCTGGCCTTGAGATCCTGCTCTGCCCCCATTTGCCTTGTGATCTTTTATTGCCATTTGAAGCATGTGATCTCTGTGACCCACTCCCTATTCGTACCCCCCTCCCCTTTTGAAATCCCTAATAAAAACTTGCTGGTTTTGCAGCTCAGGTGGGCATCATGGAACCTGCTGACATGTGATGTCACCCCTTGAGACCCAGCTGTAAAATTTCTTTCTTTTGTACTCTTTCTCTTTATTTCTCAGACCAGACGACACTTAGGGAAAATAGAAAAGAACCTATGTTGAAATATTGGGGGCTAGTTCCCCTGATAATTATTGAGAGTGAAATTTTGAAGTCTCTAACCATTATGGTAGAATTGTCTTTTTCAACCTTCAATTTTGTTTGATTTTGCTTCACATATTTTGATGGTCTTTTATCAGGTGCATAAATACTTACAGTATTTTTTACATCTTATTATATATTAAACATTTTATGAAAATATGATGTCCTTCTTTGTCTCTTGTAATGCTTTCTTTAATTTTAAGTTTATTTAATCATATTAGATAGCCACCCCTGCAATCTTTTGTTACTATTTGCATAGAATATATTTTTCCATTCTTTTACTTTCAATTTATACATGGTTTTCAGTCTAAAGTCATTCTATTGTACACAGCATATAGTTGGATTCTTTGTGGGTATTTTTTGTTGTTGTTTTTTGCTTATTCAGCTAATCTTTTGATTGGTGAGTTTAATCCACGTACATTTAAAATAATTACTGATAATGAGAGACTTACTTCTGTCATTTTGCTATTTGTTTTCTGTTTAATTCATTACTTTTTGTTCCTCATTTTCTGAATTACTCTTTATGTTTTATTGCTTTTTGTAATAAAGCATTTAAATTTCTTTCTCTTTTTTGTGTATCTTCTATAGCTATTTTCTTTGTAGTTACCATGAGAATTACATTGAACACTAAAGTTATAAAACTCAAATTTAAATTTATACATATGTGACTTCAGTAACTTTCAAAAACTGTTTATTTAACAACTCCATCCCCATTTCTTTTAGTTTCTAATATTAGAAAATTTTACTTTTATATATTGTTTGTTGCACATCATAAAATAATAATTGTTATAAGTGTGATAGTTTCACACATTATGTAAAAACAAAAGTAGAGTTATAAACTGTTTTACAGTTTAATTTAACTTTTATAATTGTTTGTATATTTGCCTCTTTTGAGATCTTTCATTCTTTATATGGCTTCAAGTCAGTGTCTAATTTTGGGGAAATTTTTGTTTGCTTGTTGGTTTCTTTTTTCCATTTCACTCTGCAGGACTCCCTTCATATGTCACACAGAAGGTCTAATGATAACAAACTTCCTGATATTTCATTTATCTGGGAATGTCTTAATTTCCTCACTTTTGAAGAAACATTTTGCCAGATATAGGATTCTTAGCTGATAGTTTTTTCCTTTTAGCACTTTGAACATATTTATTGTCTTTTGACCTCCAACATTTCACATTAGAAATCTGTCCATACTTTTCTGTTTCATTTTCTGCTTGATTTTTTTTTTAAACTGGACATTTGAATCTAATAGGTGATAAATCTGGAAACCTAATTCTTACTCTTTCTCTGTGTTTTCTGTTTTTCTTATTGTTATTGCTTTTGTAATTTTTTTTTGAGCCTTTCCCTGGGCATGTCCATACACTTTCTAATTTCTTCATATATGCAATTGTTTCTTTTTTTTTTAAGTATTTTTGTCTTTAATGCCTAGCTCCCCAAGAAGCTAAACAATAAAAAATAAAGGTGGCAAAGGGTACCAGCCTTTTAATACCCAGAAATTTTAGCTGAAAGGGGAAGGGTTACAACTATAGGGAGAGGTGCAACATCAGTGAAAACCTGTTTCTTTGTGTGTACCACTGTGATCAGAAGGAGCAATCAGGTAGGGGGCAGTGGCTCAGGCCTGTCATCCCAGCACTTTTGGAGGCTGAGGTAGGTGGATCACTTGAGGTCAGGAGTTTGAAACCATCCTGGCCAACATGGTGAAACCCCATCTTTACTAAAAAAATAAAAATTAGCCAAGTGTGGTAGGGCATGCCTGTAGTCTCAGCTACTCAGTAGGCTGAGGCAGGAGAATCACTTCAACCCAAAAGGCAGAGGCCGCAGTCAGTGGAGATCACACCACTACACTCTAGCCTGGGCGACAGAACAAGACTCTGTCAAAAAAAAAAAAAAAAAAAAAAAAGCAACCAGAGACCAGATCCCTAGTATGTGGAAGATAGGGTCCTTTCTGTCCATGGCATGTGCAGGTTTCTCCAGGAGCAGATGTACTTCTGCCTCCCATGTGCCTGGAGAAGGATGGATAGTCACCACTCTACAAAGAGCTGAAACTGAAAAATTAACTGCAATTTTTGGTCCAAGCCTTCCTTTCAAAATTGCAAGCCTTTAATAGACTACAGAGTTCAAAAATAATTATATTGGACAGCTTGTGCCAGTGCAATAGTTGTCTAGGTGAGGAGACACATTCCTGAGGCTTCCTACACTTCCACATTCCAAGAATCCTCTCCCTTAGGAGTAATTTTTAAGTGCATACTTTTATAACTTGATGAAGTCAATTTATCAGTTTTTTTTAATGAATAGAATTCTTGGCATCATTTTTTTTTTTAAAAATCATGGCTTAACTCAGTATTGCCAAGATTTTTTTTCTATGTTTTTTCTAAAAGTTTTATAGTTTTACATTTTACATTTAGATCTATGATCTATTTTGAGTTAATTTTAGGATATGCTGGGAAGAAAGTGGCAGATTTTAGTATTTTTTTTGCATATGGACATCCAATTACCTAAGCACTATATGCAAATAAGGCTATTGTCTATCCCATTGAATTTGCTAGCCACCTTTTAAAAAAATCAATTGACCACACAGGCAAGGGTTTATTTTTGAATATTTGTTCTGATCCATTGATCTATCTTTGTATATAATGTCTTGATTACTATGGTTTTATAGTAGTTTTTAAATCAATCAGTGTAAGTCTTCTAACTTTGTTCTCCTTTAAAAAATGTAAACATCCTAGATTTTTAAATTTCCATTAAAAATTTAGAATCAATTTCAATTTCTACAAAAAGACTGGCAGGAAGTTAATAGCATTGTGTTGAATACATGGATATATATGGAGAGAATTTAGCCCAAATAACAATAGAAACACTTCCAATCCATGACTCTGTTCGATATCATTATCAAATTTTATCTTCTTTAGTTAGTTTCAGTAATGTTTTACAAGTTTTTGTGTATAGGCATTCTACTTCTGTCAAAATTTACTTCTAATCTGTTTTTTAATGCTATTGTGAATGGAATTGTCTTCTTAATCTCATTTCTGAGTTACATCATCAAGCACATAGAAATATAGTTTTTAAAATATATTAATCATGTATCTTGTGAATTTCCTAAACTTCTGTATTAGTTTGTTGGTTTTTGTAGACATTTGTGATTTTCTATATACACCAACTGAATTATAAATAATAACAGTCTTACTTTTTGTGTTCCAGTCTGCATGTCTTTATTTTTTATGCTTTATTGCGTGGCTAAAACTACCAATGCAATGTTGAATGTAAACTATGAGAGAAGAGTTTCTTACCTTTTTCTGTATTAGAGTGAAAGCATCCAGTCTTTATGAATTACCTATGATGTTAGCCTAGACTTTTCACTGATATCCTTTATCATGTTGGAGATGTATCCTTTTATTCCTAGCTGATACTTTTAATTTTCTAATATGTACAACTTACTGCTTCCCAACATGAAATCCATCATCATTTTTTATCACAGTGTTACATTATCCTTAGTATTTTAACTACTGTGTTATAAATTCCTTGAGGACAAATACAGTTTTATTTATTTTTAATTTTTTTATTATTCATTTATTATTTATTTCATTTCAAAACATTTTTATAATTCTTTGAACAATATTGTATTTATAAGATACAGTAAATAAATACTATTTTATTGAATGCAGTTGCAATCTTTTATTCCAACTTAATTTTTAAGTTAAAGAATTTCTTTAAATTTATGTTGAAATCCTTCAGAAAGCAAGCTTTATTCCAAGACTGTTGGCAAAATATCTTCTTCTAGACATATTTTCTCTATAGATGCTTCTCTTTGTTTTGTGTCGGCATGACAGACGATCACAGACTGGCTAATTTATAAACATAGGAATTAATTTTGCTTATGTTTCTGGAGATTGGGAAGTCCTGAATCTAGCAAGGGCCTTCTTGCTGCATCATCCCATGGCAGAAGGGCAAAGAGAGAGTAAGGAAAAATAAGAGAGCATGTGTGCTCAAGAGAGGCGGCCAAACTCACTTTTATAACTGGCCCACTCCTGTGATAACAACATTAATCTATTCATGAAAGCAGAGCCCTCATGACCTAATCACCTCTTAAAGGTTCCACCTCTCAATATTTGCATTGGATATTAAGATTTCAACACATAAACTTTGGAGGGCATATTGAAACCATAGCAGTGCTTGTTCAGTGCTTTTAACCTTTCACATACAATGCAAACATTTAAACTCTTATATATATTTCATTTTTTGGATTTCAAATTTTAATATGATTTTGTTTTTTGGAGACAGTGTCTTGCTCTGTTGCCTACACTGGAGTTGAATATATCTTTTGAAATGTATGTACTTATAATAAATGTGCTTAAAATAAATGTACTTCTGTTAACTATAGCTTTACTGATATTGCATAAAAGCAAAAACATTTTAAGCTTGTTTAAAACAAGGAGAGATTCAAAACACTCTATTCATCCTATGTAAAACATACTCAATCCTTTGTGAAACACTGAGATATTTACGAAAGAGAATGAGGGGTTTTAACAGAATGTTTGAAGTTTAGGTTGTTTATTCAAATAAGTAAACCCGTTGTGATTCAACTGCTATTAATTAAAACGTTTTTAATATTCAAATTCATCTTAAGAATTCTGGCATAAACCTAGAAAATTTTAAAAAGTTACTAACTTCCAAGTTTGTATTCAAGTTTGAAATATATTTAAAAATTTATTAGTAATATTATTGTATTTAAAAACTTATTTTATAAGTATACCAGAGATTATAATCTTCACTATCAATTTAAATTTCCCTTATGTAGGTTTTTCATTCATCTAAAGGAAGAGAAATGATAAAAATTGAGCTTAGACAGCCGGTGAAATTAACCTCCCTTTTAGTGTGCCAACCTAAGGAACAAAATGTAGTAACCAGAGCCCATTTTGGAAAAGAAAAGAAATTGTTTATTGACTATAACCACTGATCTTGGTGAATAACTATTATTATTAATTATCATTAATCTTATCAATTTTACTAATCAATTTAACCAACTTTTAAAAGACTGTGCCTGAGTTTGCTCCAGAAAAAAACTACACGTTTTCAAAATGAATATTGTAAAAAAATGGTAGAAGGGCAGGTGTTTGAAAAGAAAGATTAGGAGTAAAATGAGAGGGAGAGTAGTGGGAATCTGGCACAATTCTGAAGAGCACAGGTGTAGTGTATAATAACTAAATTGAATTCACGTAAGTTAAGGCTCTTGGTTTCCAAACACAAATAGTGGCTTCAGTTTCCTTAAGTAAGAATTTTCTTACACCACAGAATCAAAGGAAAATCTCAAGAACCAAGTTTCAGAAAATATGGAGACCAGAGAAAAAATGAGTATCTAGTTACTAATACCTAATGGGCAAAGAATGTCATCTGAAGAGTGGAGAAAACAAGGACAATATATTTTCCCATAGCAAAGTTGAAGGTCGGCTACCAAATGACAAAGATATACAGGCTAAACAGACAAAACTGAAAACTTTTAGGGAAGCTTTTAGATTACGTGGTCTTACCATTTATGCCCTCAGTAATTTGGGGAAAGTTTATTTCTCTCAATGTTGATTTCCTCCATTTTAGAACAAGCAATACTGTTATAGTTTGGATATACAGCTGGCCCAAATTTCATGTTGAATTGCAATCCCCAATGTTGAGGCAGGACCTGTTAGGAGGTAACTGGAGGTCCCTCACGGCTGGTGAGTGAGAGCTAATGAGACTTAGCTTTTTCGTAAGTGTGGCACCTGCCCCTGTCTCTGTCTCTCTCTTTCCTGCTCCTTCCATATAATGTGCCTTCATAATTGCTACAAAGAGAATAAAATACATAGGAACACATCTTCCAAGGGACGTGAAGGACCTCTTCAAGGAGAACTACAAACCACTGCTCAAGGAAATAAGAGAGGACACAAATAGAAAAACATTCCATGCTCATGGATAGGAAAAATCAATATCGTAAAAATGCCCATGTTGCCCAAAGTAATTTACAGATTTAATGCAATTCCCATCAAGCTACCATTGACTTTCTTCACAGAATTAGATTTTAAGACTTTTTAAGGAAACATTTAAGCTGTAGTTATTTAAAAGTACACATTTAAAGCAAAGTTAAGTTTCATTCTTTCTTGAAATCAAAGAACAACAGCTCCCCGATATAATTTGGCTGTGGCCCCACCCAAATCTCATCTTGAATTATATCTCCCATAATTCTCTTTGTTTTGGGAGGGACCTGGTGGTAGATAATTGAATAATGGTAGTGGCTTCCCCCATACTGTTCTCATAGTAGTGAATAAGCCTCATGATATCTGACGGTTTTATAAGGGGAAACCCCTTTTGCTTGGTTCTCATTGTCTCTTTGCCACTATCCATATAAGAGGTGACTTGCTCCTCCCTGCCTTCCACCATGATTGTGAGTCTTCCCCAGCCACGTGGAACTGTAAGTTCAATTAAACCTCTTTCTTTTGTAAATTGCCCAGTCTCGGGTATGTATTTATCAGCAGCATGAAAATGGACTAATACATCCCCTTCATTCCCTAATCATCTAGGTCTCAAAGATCTGTGACTGAAAAATCAGCACCACTGTCTCTATTTGATTAAGAAAAAAATGCTTAGCTTATATTTATATGTCATTGTTATTAATATAATACCACTCTCCAAATGTCAAGAATTCTTACAGGTCAACAAGATTAATAAATGATACTTAGTATTAGATCTCCTGAGAGTTACTTGGTTTGACTCAGGCAAGTCTCTTATCACCGAAAATAGGAAGAACTAGAGAAGAATGTGAAGATAATCTCATTCCAATTAACCCATCATTAGTTGCTATGAAAGTTACAGTTTTGTAGGATTTATAGTCTCTATTTTCATTGAATATGATTCATTATAGGTAGTTTTATGTAAAAACACTGGTGTTTGTGTAAATATGTAGAATGAAGAATACTCACATTGAACAAAAAAATCAGCATCAGATGTTGTACTCTTCCAGCCTAGGCTGTAATTGAATCTACTTTTATTTTCAGAATGTCTAGTTAGCATCCAACAAACAAAGACATTTCTATATCAAAGTATACTGACAAAAACGGGGTCTAGGGACACAATTGGACTCAGACATTTTTAATGGCCTAAAAACAAGAATGACATGGTAGGATTTTATATGTTAGAATATAGCTATTGGCTTATCTCATTTGGCATAAGATTTGCTGTTTCTTCCATTATAGTTAGTATTTATTTACAATGCCTTCAAAACACATTTCTGTCTACCTCTGACAACACATCCAGCCTGCCTGCCTTGATCTTAGCACTAAGGCAAAGATTCTCTGGGTGCTCAAATGTATCCAGTGCTGCTGGATGCATAGATGATGATGTTTTCAGAGTACATAGACACTCTACAATCTATTAAAATAGAAAGCTCCTTTGGCTCCAGATAAACTATGGTCATTTACATTTAGCCTAAAATCTTTACCATTGACACATAAGTGAGCAGACCCTGATAAACATTCTAAAAGTGATTCTTTGAATTCTAAATCACATGCTGCTAAAAAATTAAACAGAAACAGTAATATCACAAAGATCTAATTCCAACAACATGAAATATCTGAAAATTAGGTCTTTAATGTAGTCACTTTTATCTGTTATTCAGGCCAAATATCAAAACTTACATTTGGATTGAAGTTATTCTTGCAGCTGCTAATCATAAACACACTTTAGGAATGTTGACATATTTTTATCCACAATATTAATAGAAGTTGAATAACACATTTTAAGGTCAATTCGTCCCTTCAATGCCTAAGAAGTCACATCTCTTATGATCAATAAATCTGCTTTCAAGTCTGTTCTTAAAGGTGGCATGAAAACGTGAATAAGACATTCTCTGAAAAATGTCTTGTAGCATACAGCTACTTTGGTAAGTAATATTAATGACTGGAAGGTGATTAATATTCAATACCTAATATGACACTTTTCCATCAATTTCAATTAACAATAATTCCCAATGGCTGTAAGAATTTTTGTCTAATTCTGACTAGCCTCTTTCTTTGAAGACGTATCCAGAGATTCAACCAATGCCTGTATTAGTTTCCCAGGGCTGCAGTAGCTATGTACTACTGATAGTGGCATGAGACAGACAAATTACTAGGCAGATACAGGAGGGTACCCAGTGAAACCTGACCTTCAAGCCAAAGGCAGACTGAAGCCTGAATGTTGGACTGTCAGTTTGAGGCCGAGTTTATGACTGGAGTGAGAACTTCCTCGATGCCTTTTAGCCAATCAAATGGTGCTTTTTCCAGGCCTACCCATGGACCAATCAGCATGCACTCCCCAATTCTGAGCCCATAAAAACCCCAGACTCAGCTACACGTGGGGATTACCTGTTTTGGGGCCCCCTCTCACATAGAGGGCTACCAACTTTAAGTCCCCTCTCATTTTGAGAGCTGTTCTCTCGCTCAATAAAACCCTTATCCACCTTGCTCACTCTCTGGTGTTCGCGTAACCTCATTCTTCTTGGATGAGGGACCAGAACCCAGGACCCGCAGAACAGCAGGTGTGAAATGAGCTATAACACTGTAGCCCTCCTGCCTTCTGCTAGTGCTGGGCAGCTGCCCCACATGACAGGAAGTGGCAGTGGGACTGGGCCAGCCCAGTAGCCATGGGAACTAGAGTGGGGAGGTGGAACTAAACAAGCTGTAACACGGACAAGCTGAAACACCAACCCCCACCCCCCGTTTGCTGCGCTGTGGGCGGTTGGAAGGAGAAAGAGCTGTAATGGTTCTTCAGGGCTCAGACCTTGGGACTCGCCAGGCAAGAGCCATAAAACCCCTTGGGCTTCCATGTTTGTTGGCATCTCCGAGTTTTCGGGAGCAGCTGCTTCCCCCTTTTCCAGAGGCTGGCGCCCAAGACAGAAGATGGTTGTGGCACACCCGGACTGCAAGTTGAGCACAGAACCATGGGCAGGCATGGAACCTGTGCCCATAGTATGAGCTGAGTGCAGCCTGCTGGGCCAAGTGGGTGGAGCAACCCCAGTTGTGAGCCTGAAGCTTAGTGAGGCCCGGGCAGGGGCACCACTGGAGGTGGCAATTTTTGGCTGGAGAAGTGGCACCAAAAGGATGTGTGTCACTACAAACTGAGTGGACAACAGTTTAATGTCTCAGTGTGCAAGCTCAGGGTCCAAAATCAAGGTGTCAACAGGGACATGCTTCCTCTGAAACTTGTAGAAAATCTTTCCTTGCCTCTTCCTACCTTCTGATAGTTCAGTGGCCATCTTTGGCCTTTTTTTTTTTGTCTTGCAGCAGCATAATTCCACTCTATATCATCATCCTCACTTGGCATTCCTCCTGTGTGTCTCTGTCTTTGTATGGCTATCTTTGTATAAAAATAATAACTGTATCTTATTAGGGGCTTATCATTCTTCAGTGTGACCTTATATTTAGTAATTAAAATCGGTAAAGATCCTATCTCTAAATAAGGTTAAATTCTGGGACACTGGGGTTTGGTACCTGCTTTCTTGATTTTCTTTCTATCTCATTCTCTGTACATTTTCAGTATCTTTGCAATTTTCCCTTAACTTTTTTCTTAACCTCCAAATGTGGGAACATTCCAAACCTCAGCTCCTGCATTTTGGTACTCACTTTTCAGGTGAGTGCAATCAATAAGTCAATGGCTCCCAAATTAAATCTTCATTTCCAAATTATTTCTTTAACCTTGTATAACCAACTGCCAGATCTACCTGGATATATAACAAGCCCTTCAAACTTTCTGCAACCAAATGTCACCAAAATTAATAATAATAATTCATGCACTTTCCAAACCCTACTGACTACTATGGCACCAGCCCAACAAATCAGCACATTATTCACCCATGTCCTCAAACTAAAGCCTTAAGCCCATCATGGGTTCTATTTCTCTTGCTTCCTATA
Source organism: Homo sapiens (assembly GCF_000001405.40). Classification (NCBI taxonomy): domain Eukaryota; kingdom Metazoa; phylum Chordata; class Mammalia; order Primates; family Hominidae; genus Homo; species Homo sapiens. Next base: position 60,593,271 of record NC_000012.12, on the reverse strand, counting down.
CTCAAATCCTCAATCCATCATTAGATCTGCTTTCAGAGTATATATATCTTGATTCTAGGCACTTCTTTCTATTCTCACCGCTATTCCTGTAGACTGACCCATGGTCCCCTCTAACTCAGATAATTTGATTAAATATTCAAGTAGTTTCCCTCTTCCCTCTCTTCCTCACTTTATTCTTTGCAAAATAGCCAAAATAAAGAATGTACCACATCCCTTTTAAATCACATCACACTATTTTGTTTGGGAGAATTAAAATACTCATTATGACCTAAAATGTTTCGCGTAGCTTGTCCTCAAGATCCTTCTACCACCTCATCTTTTTTTAACCACATTAATTTTCTGTCACTTGGTCAAGCCATACTGACTTCCTTGCTATTCTCGGGTTCACAGGCCTTTTCTTCATTGGCTCTCTCTAGCTGGCATATTCTTCCTCCAGATATTCACATCCCTTGCTCCCACATTTCATTTAGATTTGTTAAAAAAAATTATAATTCTACTCTCTATGGTACCCCTCTTCCATCACTTTCAAATTTCATGAAGTTGCTCTTCAATCTAAATATCCTACATTACTAAGAAACAGATTAACTCAAGCAGGTTTTATATTGGGTCATGTGATATTGTACTCAACAACATTTCCTATGTTTTCCATAGTGTTAAAAGCAAGTATTGTTTTCTGTTTTATCAGTTAATTAAATGTCTCAATTTGAGAGGATCCAGCTAAAGGAAGTAGATCCATAGCTACGTCATTTATTATTTATAGCTTGTCCCTCATTTTTATTTAATAGCCTGACAAAATACCAGAAATATTTCTCTAAATTAAAGACCCTATATGCTGTTTTCTATGCATCTTCTATGTTTCTGAAAAATAGAGCAGCAATACAAAACGTAGCTTTGAAAATCAATAGAAATATTACATTTTAGGTTATTTCTGCATACAGTTTTCTTGAAACTAATCACCAAATTTATGAAGTCTATGGAAATTAAAATTATGCTTTGAAGCTAATTTTATCTGAGTATAATTAGTAAATCTAAATCACCATTCCAAGGTTTGTTTTTCTTTTACTTTCTTTTTTAAATGATTTGGTTCCCTAGCATGGAAAAATAACTAGCAGAGACTTTGACAAGTTGAGGGACTGTAGCATATGCACTATAAATACACATTACTTAAAAATCGAGATATAAATTATCCCAATTGCTAAAATATTCACAGGCATAATCTAGTCCCCCCATCTGTTTCCAAGGAGGCAATATAAAATAGTGAAAAGACAATAGCATTAGACTGGTATCCCTATTCTCCCATTTGCAACTAGTGTAAATTTTAGCAAATTCCCTAATCTTTCTGAGTTTTAGTTTCCATATCTGCAAAGTGGTTGTTAAAAATATTTGTTCATTGTTGTAGTGCATGTAAATCTTGAAGAAAGTTCTTTATGATTTTGCATTTCTTATTTGTATACAAGGGGTGATATATGCAGTTAATGAACAGTTCACCAGACCAACCTCACTTTGACACCAACTGCAGTATTTATGGGGGCTCCTGAAACTACCCCAGCTTCAATAATTTACTAGAAAGACTCATGGAACTTATCAAAAGTTGTTATACTCACAGATATGGTTTATTACAGTGAAATGATACAAATTAGAATCACCTAAGGAAACAAGCACATTGGAAAGTGTCTAGGTTTCCAAAGACAGACTTTCAAATTCCAGCCTTTACTCCACAGATTCATGGACAGTGTTAACTCCTCTCATCAGTGATATATGACAATGTGCATGGAGTATTGCCAACCAGGGAAGCTTACCCAAGGCTGGTGTCCAGAGTAAGATGTCCCCTTTATGGGGACTCCATGTTCAACCGCTCTTGTGGCTGACCTCTATCTCCAGCCTCTCCAGAGGTTAATCTAATACCATGTGACTCAAAATGCTCCCATAAATCATGTTAGACCTTCTGGTGTGAATCAAAACCCTCAGGTAAACAAAAATGCTCTTATCAGGCAAGATATTCCAAGAGTTCAGAGATCCCTCCAGGTAGCCAACAGCAAAAGTGACTTTTCTTAGGGCAAAGTTAAATTCTTTGCTACACAATATACATCTCATAGTTTTGTTGGGAGTATTGAAAGGGATAATGGATGTAAAGCTTTTGAAATTCTGCCTAGAAAAAGTAAACATTCAAGAATTATCTATTGTGAAAAACGCTGAAAAACTGAACATTTTCCACTGATCCTAGCAAAACTTTTACTCCCAAATGTTCTCTTTATCCCTTTTGCTAAGCCCAAAGTCATCAATCAATGGCTACAAAACTGGGTAAACGCTTATTTACCCCCTCCCCATAAAAATCTTTAAACCCCTTGCTCCTTGCAGAGTACTCATCTCATAATTGATTTCATATTGCAAACTTTTAATAAAGACTGGAGTGAAAAACTTTATTTCTCTCTTTCCACAGTATTATTTTATACATATATATATATATATACACACACACACACACACACATACATAAGATGGCAAGTCATTTACATATATTGTGAATTAAATTTATATTAATTTCCTTTTTTCCTTTTTTGGTCAGTATTCTTTATTTTTTCACATTTAAGCCATCTTTAATAATAGTTAATCTCAGAAGTGGTGGTATAAAAAACGTTTCTTCTGATGACTTTTAACCAAAGAAGTGGAAAACAAACTTGGAGGAAAAATAAATAAAAGAGAGAGGTATTTTCAAGAAAATTTGGGGTTGTTTATAGCTTCATTGAGGTAGAAATGATAAATAAAAGTTATGATATTCAAGGTAAACAATGTGGTATTATAAATTGCCTATAAATTGTGAAATGATGATCACAACCAAGCTAATTAACATATCCATCACCTCACATATTTAGAATGTTTTTGATGATAAGGGTACTTAAGGTCTACTTTCTTAGCAAATTTCAAGTATACAATACATTATTATGAGCTATAGTCACTATATAGTACATTAGGTCTCCAGAACTTATTCATCTTGTAACTGCAAGTTTGCATCTTTTGACCAATGCTTTATTTTCTCCATTTCTCAACTCATGATAACCACCCATCTACTCTGTTTTTATTAGTTGGACACATCTAAAACTGAGATTATGCAGTATTTGTCTTTCTTGGGGGGGTCGGCTTTTTCACTTAGTATAATGACCTTCAAGTTCATCCATGTTGTTTTAAATGGCAGATTTTGTTCTCTTATAAGGTTGAATAATATTCGTGTGTGTGTGTGTGTGTGTGTGTGTGTAGTGTATGTATCACATTTTCTTTATTCATTTATCAGGGGACACTAAGGTTGATTTCCTATCTTTGCCATTGCCTGGTACATTTTTTAGGATACCTGCAAGTCCTCAAATCTGCCACAACCCACCATGTATCATAATTTTGAGATGTCTTTACTCAAAGTGAGGCATAGTCAGGCCAGAGGTTTTAGAATAAGATAACCCTTAAAAAACACATTTGGCTGTAACAATAATAGTTATGTGAACACAGTTAGACAATATGTAATATTTCCTAGGTTAGGTTTGTTTTAGTGACAATAAATTTTTCATATGCTTAACCTGCAGAGGACAAGTCTTGTTTCAGCTACTTAATGGCATATGCATCTCAAATTATCAATCCATGATTTTTTAATAAGGTCAGCACTAAGGCTGACATATTTCATTTAGACAGAGGAGATTCCTGAGGTCAACATGTGCCTGAAAAAGAGAAATTATCCAGCCAACTGAATTATGTGCAAAAAGAAGTCATTCTCCCTGCATCAATTTATTATCTGTCCAGCACCTTTCCTAAGCTACTTCAAGTCTGACACTTTTACTGACTTCAAAAGGAGTTTGGCAACATATTAGCTTTGAGGGAGCATGCAACCAGGCCAAGACATAGTACCTGCTGACATTAAAAGCAGCCTATGAGCCATATTTAAAAATAACTGTCTATAAAGAAGAGATAGCTACTTGTGGAGAGGAATCAAGAGCATGTACAAGGAAATTATATTTGGTAATTGATGAATTATAAAAGATAAATATTGTACATAATGAATATATGAAAAAGAACTACACCATTTAATTCATAACTTCATCTCCACGAGAGTTTGAGCGTAATAGTATTACTCATGAGGTGTTAATATAACTATAGGTGTATGAAGTGGCTCTGAGTACAGTGAGAGACAATTTGCTCTCATACTATGGCCATCAGTTTGTATTGTATTGTCTATGGATGGCCATCTATCTTTGAATAGGCACTTTTCTTTCCAGAGAAACACAGTTACACTATTACCTTCTGGGTAGAATACACATGCTAGAAGCTCAGGTTTTACACATGGGGAGAAGAAAAATGAGTAATAGAAATCAGTAATTAAGTGGGGACCTTCACAGCATTTCATATGTGTAGCATTTTGTGGAAGAAAAAAAAAGATTATTTGACCAAAATATTGTTAACCATTTAAATGGTTAGCACCATAGTGGTGAAATTTTAATTCTCCTAGCAAAAATGCAGTAAAAATAGTCTTGTTTTCTACAAGTCTGTCTATGAAGATCTACAAGTTCAGAACAGCTGAGAGTCACCTTAAATACACAAAGTTATCTGGAAAAAAATGGACAAAGAGATAGGAATGAACCAATGTATTATTGACTCCTTTGTTTACCCTTTCAACATAACCCATTCCCCTGCTCCTGGGGACCACTGCAAATGTCCCAGGATTCCTAATATTCCTCATTGTTAATTGTTGTTATTCCATGTTTTCTTTTTAAGTTTTACTGAGGTATAACTGATGTACAAAAATGTACATAATCAATGTATATATAATGTATACACTTTGATGAATTTGGACATATGTATATATCCACGATAACATCATCAAAATGCTGCTAAACATATCCATCACCTACAAAAATTTCTTTGTGATCTTCTGTGTGTGTATATAAAGTTTAACATATTTGAAAGTACACAATATTATGTAATTAACTGTAGGTACTGTTATATAGCAGATATCTAGAATTTGTTCATCTGGCATAACTGAGACTTTTAAGTTTTTAAAAATTATTCTTTTATTATTTTATTTTTATATTTTTTTCTATATGTATATTATTACACTTTAAGTTCTGGGGTACACTTGCAGAACATGCAGTTTTGTTACATAGGTATACACGTGGTATAGTGGTTTGCTACACCCATCAACCCGTCACCTACATTAGGTATTTCTCCAAATGTTATCCCTCCCCTAGCCCCCCATGCCCCAATAAGCCCAGGTGTATGATGTTCCCCTCCCTATGTCCATGTGTTCTCAATGTTCAACTCCCAGTTAGTAGTGAGAACATGCAGTGTTGGTTTTCCTGTTCTTGTGATAGTTTGCTGAGAATGATGGTTTCCAGCTTCATCAAAGGACATAAACTCATCCTTTTTTATGGCTGCATAGTATTCCATGGTGTATATGTGTCATATTTTCTTTATCCAGTCTATTATCGATGGACATTTGTGTTGTTTCCAAGTCTTTGCTATTGTGAATAGCTGCAATAAACATACATGTGCATGTATCTTTATAGTAGAATGATTTATAATCCTTTTGGTATATACCCAGTAATGGGATTGCTGGGTCAAATGGTATTTCTGGTTCTAGATCCTTGAGGAATTGCTACACTGTCTTCCACAATGGTTGAACTAATTTACACTCCCACCAACAGTGTAAAAGCATTCCTATTTCTCCACCTCCTCTCCAGCATCTCTTGTTTCCTGACTTTTTAATGATCGCCTTTCTAACTGGCATGAGGTAGTATCTCATTATGGTTTTTATTTGCATTTTTCTAATGACCGGTGATGATAAGCATTTTTTTTCATATGTCTGTTGGCTGCATAAATGTCTTCTTTTGAGAATTTTCTGTTCATATCCTTTGCCCACTTTTTGATGGTGTTTTTTCTTATAAATTTGTTTAAGTTCTTTGTAGATTCTGGATATTAGCCCTTTGTCAGACGGATAGATTGCAAAAATTTTCTCCCATTCTGTAGGTTGCCTGTTCACTCTGCTGACAGTTTCTTTTGCCGTGCAGAAGCTGTTTAGTTTAATTAGATCCCATTTGTCAATTTTGGCTTTTGTTGCCATTACTTTTAGTGTTTTAGTCATGAAGTTTTTGCCCATGCCTATGTCCTGAATGGTATTGCTGAGGTTTTCTCCTAGGGTTTTTATGGTCCTAGGTCTTACGTTTAAGTCTTTGATCCATCTTGTGTTGATTTTTGTATAAGGTGTAAGGAACGAGTCCAGTTTCAGTTATCTGCATATGGCTAGCCAGCTTTCTCAACACCATTTATTAAATAGGGAATCTTTTCCCTATTGCTAGTTTGTGTCAGAGTTTTCAAAGACCAGATAGTTGTAGATGTGTGGTGTTATGTCTGAGGGCTCTGTTCTGTTCCATTGGTCTATATATCTGTTTTGGTACCAGTACCATGCTGTTTTGGTTACTGTAGGCTTGTAGTATAGTTTCAAGTCAGGTAGCGTGATGCCTCCAGCTTTGTTCTTCTTGCCCAGGATTGTCTTGGCTATGCAGGCTCTTTTTTGGTTCCATATGAAGTTTAAAGTAGTTTTTTCCAATTCTGTGAAGAAAGTCAGTGGTAGCTTGATGAGAATAGCATTTAATCTATAAATTACTTTGGGCAGCATGGCCATTTTCACAATATTGATTCTTCCTATCTGTGAGCATGGAATGTTTTTCCATTTTTTTGTGTCCTCTCTTATTTCACTGAGCAGTGGTTTGTAGTTCTCCTTGAAGAGGTTCTTCACATCCCTTGTAAGTTGGATTCCTAGGTATTGTATTCTCTTTGTAACAATTGTGAATGGAAGACTACTCTTGATTTGGCTCTCTGTTTGTCTGTTGTTGGTGTATAGGAATGCTTTTGATTTTTTGCACATCGATTTTGTATCCTGAGACTTTACTGAAGTTGCTTATCAGCTTAAGGAGATTTTGGGCTGAGACGATGGGGTTTTCTAAATATACAATCATGTCATCTGCAAACAGAGACAATTTGACTTCCTTTTTTTCCTATTTGAATACCTTTTATTTCTTTCTCTTGCCTGATTTCCCTGGCCAGAAGTTCTAATACTATGTTGAATAGGAGTGATGAAAGAGGGCATCCCTGTCTTGTGCCGGTTTTCAAAAGGAATGCTTCCAATTTTTGCCCATTCAGTATGATATTGGCTATGGGTTTGTCATAAATAGCTCTTATTATTTTGAGATACATTCCATCAATACCTAGTTTATTGAGACTTTTTAGCATGAAGGGGTGTTGAATTTTCGTGAAGGCCTTTTCTGCATCTATTGAGATAATCATGTGGTTTTTGTCATTGTTTCTGTTCATGTGATGGATTACATTCATTGATTTGCATATGTTAAACAAGGCTTACATCCCAGAGATGAAGCTGACTTGATCGTGGTAGATAAGCTTTTTGATGTGCTGCTGGATTTGGTTTGCCAGTATTTTACTGAGGATTTTCACATCGATGTTCATCAGGGATATTGGCCTGAAATTTTCTTTTTTTGTTGCGTCTCTGCCAGGCTTTAGTATCAAGATGACGTTGCTCTCATAAAATGAGTTAGGGAGGATTCCCTCTTTTTTTGTTGTTTGGAGTAGAAACTATTTTATTTTTTTGAGACAGGGTGTAGTGTGTGCAGTGGCATGAACACAGCTCTCTGGAGCCTTGACCTCCTGGGCTCAATGGATCCATCGTCTTTAATTACTTCATCAGTGTTTTGTAGATTGTAGTACCTCATTATTGATCTTTTAAAACTATTTAAAATAAAATTATGTAAAATTAGATGTGAAACCTAATATCTGAGTGTCTGTTGGCATTAACTTTTGTATTGGTGTTTTTTATCTTACTGACAGAGACAGGAAAGAGCCAAATGCCAGGGAGGTCATTGTGCACAGGGGGCTTGACTAAACGTGTCCATGATGAAAAATTCTGTCCCTTAACACATGTGCAGAAAGAGAAATAAATCAACGTGGAGTGGCTCAGACTAAGGGTGCCCCTGCACACTGGGAGAATGGGTGGAGCTACTGGGAATTCACGCCTTATTCAAGGGGAGGAGCCCGGCCACTTCAGCTCATGTGTGGTGGCCTGGTACTCAGCCTGAGTGGTGGTAACCTGTTGACAGGACCTTCCCACTTTTTTTTTTTTTTCACTGACAGCTTTCTTTTAATAAATTCTGCCCTCCTTACCATTTAATGTGTTCATGTGCCTAATTTCTTCTGGCTGTGAGACAAGAACACGAACTTTAGCTAAACTAAGGGGGAAGAAAATCTTTCATCATTACCAATGATGTGTAAGACACGATAAGATAAAGCTCCTACTTCAGCACCTCTCTGTTCAAAGGCAGCCCTTGCAGCAACAGGTAAGAAAATTACAGAGTAAATATGATTATGTTTCTAAGAAGTAAAATTTAAGAAGATTGAATCCTGCTACCACATTAGTCCTAGGTTTTAACTAATTCAAAGGAATGGTAGCTTTATAAAAATATATTTTTTCCTTGAAAACATGTAGATATCAGTTTGGGGTAGATGGGTTATTTGTTAAAATATAGAATAAATCACTTTTAATAGAGTATCAGAAATAAAAATTTCAGAAGTTTATTTTTGCTTAGCTTTCTAAATAAGTCATATATGTTTTCCTAGGCGTAGATTAATTTAATGAGAACAGTTGTATCTTATTGCAATTAAAGACAAATGAAACACAAACAAAAATATTGAGAGAAATCAATTAAATTTGGGGTTCTCTAAAGTAAAATTAGAAACATTTTAATTACAATAAGGTGATATAAATACCCATTTAATAAGTTATGGGTAGATATTTAATATTTAGTGACTATGTTTTAAATGTTTTATTCAAAACACAGATCCACTTAAAAAGTAAATCTACTATCTAATAAGATATATTTCCATGTCAACATATTTAAAAAGCAATCAATATCTCACCTGACACCTCTCATTTTGTCTCAATTAAAATGAAATATAAGTCCACAAAAGTAATTTGAGAAATGGTTTGAGCAAAATAAATTCTGACAAACCCAAAAGATCACTGGTATTTGTCTTAAATCTTGTTACTGTGCAAATCTTTTTTCTGTAGCATAATATAAAAGTATCTATAGCACTACTTAATAGAAGAGAAAGCCCTTCCAAAATTAACTCTAAAGCACTGTTTTATAAAAAGAGAATAACATTTCAGTAAGCTTGGTTACAATTGTGATTTAGTGATTTTAACTTGAGAATCTGACATTAAAAGCAAGAAACTAAGGAAGAAGCCACCAGTAATCATGTTTTATTAAATGTAATATTTTTTCTATCTTCTAATTTTTTTATAGATTTTCTGCAGCTTAGTTTATACATCCAAAAGTGTGTTTTATAACATTCACACTCTGTAACATCAAATCTTACTTGGCAATGGGAAAGAGGTTATTTTCACATCTTCTTTGTCAGGAAGTAAAATAAGAAAAAAACTTTTAAAATTGATATACATATATATGGTTATTATTATTATTTTTTTAATACTGGAAATACTAGATATCAGATTTTGTATATTGTATACAATATACATTTTGTGTGCTGACAAATAAGCATTTCTAATGACAATAAACTTAGTTTTTACCATTTCTTGGTGTTAGACACACATTAAAAATTATAATTGGCTATTAATATTTTAAAGAGTGGTTAGGCCAGGTATGGTGGCTCACACCTGTAATCCTAGCACTTTGGGAGGCCGAGGTGAGTGGATTGCCTGAGATCAGGAGTTTGAGGCCAGACTGGGCACACGATGAAAACCCGTCTCTATTAAAATACAAAAAATTAGCTGGGCATGGTGGTGTGCACCTGTAGTCCCAGCTACTTGGGAGGCTGAGGCAGGAGAACTGCTAGAACCCGGGAGGTGGAGGTTGCAGTGAGCCAAGATCTCACCACTGCACTCCAGCCTGGGTGACAGAGCGAGACTCCATCTCTTAAAAAAAAATTAAAAGAGTGGTTATAAGAAATGGGAGACATAAAAGAAGAAAGAAGATGAAGACAAAAGAGATATTACCTATACAGCACACTAATATATATTAGTTTAGTGAATCTGCAAAATAACTAACTCAGTTTCTACAGAAGAAGTTTACGTTAAGTTAAATAACGGCTGCATGTGGTAAACAGTAAGCAATTTCAAGAGTAACTCAGATATAGACTAAATCCCAATTGTCCTACTATTGATTTTATGGTTTGGCAAACTATTTGATTCTCTGAGTTTTGACCTCATCAGATATACAATGAGATAAATAATGTTTGCATTAAAATTATATTAGAGAAGAAAATAACAAGTATAAAATGCTTAATACAATGTGTAGCTCATAGTAAATGATCAATACATGCATTTGTCTCTCTTTGCAATGCCACAGAACTTATATGTTGTAACATAAAAAAAATTTGAATTCAGAGATCTCTCCCTTTATTACCTATACTTAAGTAATCTATGGAGATATATATTTAATATTTATAATATGAAAGTGAATAATTACTGAATTATTTTATAAGTATATTTTAGAAGATATCTATAAATACTTAGTAAAGAAATCTTTAATTGTATTAGATATCTGAATTAATATTTTGCTAAACTTTAGAATCAATTAGAAATGTAAACATTTAGGTATTGATCAAACACAAAAATGCATTTATAATTAGTCCTCTATGAGTCAAAATTAATTATAACTTTAATAATAAAATAATTAGGATATTATCTAGAAATTATTATGTGCATTCGAATAGAAAATATTCGAAAGTGATAGAAATAGCATCTCCGTAAACCTCTTTACCAAAGCAACCCTGTTCTCACATTTCACAAATGAGACAGTTTCACAGTTGGAATGTTTTTAAACATTTAGGTAAAGTTATCCAGTATCACCCAATGAAGCCTACACATCTTCTAGCCACTGCATACCAGCCCTATGTTCTCTTTTAGACACTATTTTTTGAAAGTTTCTCACAGACACAAGATAACTCATGCTTTTAGTAATTAGCATGTTTATGGTAAAATTCATTACCAGAGTTTCCCAGGAATTCCTTAGACTCTTTACCTGCCAGACAGTTCCTTCTATGCAGATTAAAGAGAGGGCATTTTGAACTTTACAAGTATGTAAGATGTTGGGGGTAGTGTTTATAGAGAGAAAAGCTGTATATTTCAAGGAAATGTCATTAATTCAACAACAGATTTGGCATGGTATATGAAAATCAGTATGATTGTTCACACCCAGATAATATCACAGCCTCTGTAGTCAGAAGACTTGGAGTCAAGACCTAGGTAAGCATATAGTAACTAACAGATGTTACTCAATCACTGATACTCTGACATCCTATTTATTTGTTAAAAATGAAGATTTTTAAAAATCCCTGTTTTCCAGGTTTGTGAGATTCAATTACAGTAATGGTTGTAAAGGGCCCTGAAAGACAGTTTGGAAAACTCAGATCTCAAACACAGAACCACCTCTCTGCGATTAGGCCAAAGATATTTGATTCCTTTCCTTTGTGCCTTTACTTCCCCAAGTATAAATCAAGGGTTAAAATACTACTACTTCACATGGTTTTATAAAAATGAAATATGCTAATTACTGTAGGCAAAGAGCCTGACACTTAATAAGTGCTCAGTTAGTATTAGCTATTAAATTGTGTTATGAGGGTTTTCAGATTCCTCCTTATTTTCTACTCATTCATTCTCCAAAACAAACCTAAACAAAATAAAATAAATTGTTTATACACATATTTTTTCTTTATACTATATAGTTTCCTTAAGGCAGGGATCATTCAACTTTGTATACTCTCTACCAGCTCATAGAGTACTTTACATTATAGATATGCAATGAAATTTGAGAAGATTAATAAATATATGCATTGGCCTCACTGCCTAAAAATAACATCAGTGGAAATCCTTCTTTGGGTTCTTCTGATATGTAACTTTTATAGGACTCTAGCTCTTTAAAAAATTATTTTTGTTACATATTTTGTTTCAGATAATAAAACTAAATACATAAATTTACCTATAGCTTCTCTATTATCAGCTCATATCTGAAGAAATGGGATTTGTAAAAATATACAACTTAATAAAAGATACGCACAAGAAAATGAATTAAAAATCAACTTAAACCTTTTAAGCAATGACCTAAATGTTTGAAATATGAAATAAAAAGCATTGCCATACATCTTAGCCACCAATATAATTTTTAAATGGTGTTACAATTTATCTCTACCAGTTTTAAGTGTAGCTAACACTTTGTTTTGTATTATAGTCCATTAAAATATTATTCAGGATATGATCTAAATCATCCTTTTAGTTCTTCAGTACAAATGCTACAAAAATTGCATTTGAAATCCTGTGTAGAAATAAAGATCCTACATTAACAATGACAAATAAAGTAATCTGAGAAAAGCAGATACCAATATCTTGTATTTGTCTAAATAGAAATGAGAACATGTTAAAAATCATTTCAAGACAAAGAAAGGCAACAGAAAGTTATACAATTATTCATTGAATTCAGGTTTTCTTAATAGACAATTAAACTTGTCCAGGCAAAACAAATCCTAATATATGGTTTGAACATAATATAATGGAGCTAAACAATAGCCATAGACTTGCAAGCACAGAAGAGCCTTATAATAATATGAATGCAAAATATATGCTCATGTGGTTCAAAATGCAGGGTGTTAGAATTTTGAAACACTGAGCTGGGCATGAAATATCAAGAAAATATTTCTAGCTATATTTCTAAGTATATCTACAAAGCAGTTTGCAATGTGAGCAAAATAGTGCAAAGAAAAGAAACAGTAGACTGAAAATGAGGAAGCCTGCTTTCTAGAAGCCATTCTATTATAAAACACAGTAGAACCATGTCATGTCACATCCACTCTCTATCCCTCAGCCTCTTAAATACTCAAATTAGGAGTCTGGAGTGCATTGCCTTTAGGCAAAACTTTGATCATCTATTTATGAAAAATGGTTTGTGAATTAAAAGCTACTTGTTTCTTAAATAGTACCTAAGCCCACATGCTCCAATAGTTACCAATGTAGAGTAAAACCCAGAGAAACAAGGTAATTTTCATTATAGATAAATGCACATTGACAGAATTTTGACTTTAGGCTCTGTGTCGAAGAAGGTAGTTTGATTTAAATAAGTAGTACTGGAATTCATTAGTCTCTTTCTAGTACATTTTTAGAAAGAATTGTAATCTTTGATATTTTTAAACATAACATTACAAATGTGACCCATAATAAAATGCATTTCAAAATTATGATTTTTTCTGAAATGTAAAAAATGGCATAATTTTCTATTGCTGAACAGAATATTTTCTAATTAGAGATGTTCAGTCAATATTGCAATGCTAAGGCTGACCTAACAGAGTTATTTTGTCTCCTCCATCCTCCAATTTTTATGAGAATTATGTGCATTTCTCTGAAAGTCATTTGCAGAGGATAAAGCAACTCCATCTTGGATGTGAATCCACCATGTTAACTTCTCACTAACCCCTGTTCCAGAATGCTTATACACGTTCTATTTATATACTGTTATCATAAATCTCGTCCTCAAGATAAAACAACCTTGACCAAATCCCCTTCCCCTAGGCAGATGCACATAGCATTCTTACCTTTCCTTGAAGGGTCGACTTAAGTTGTCCCACACATCCCTTTCCTATGGCGTATAAGCCCTGCGTCTGGTGGGAAGTGGCACAGGGACCCACCATCTCTCTAGTGACCATTGAAGTCTATAGACTATGGCTCCTGTTTGTGAGTCCCTATTACATGTTTTTTTTCTGTTTGTTTGTCTGTTTGTATGTTTTCTGAGACACTGAGTATATTAACCTCCTTCTTTGGCCCCTCAGCCTTCGGGAGGTAGGTTGCATAGACTTGCTCCCTGTGGTACGTCACTTTTGCTAATTATTAAAGTTACTGTTCTAAAGAGATGTGAGGAAATAATTTAGATACTGAAATATCAAACTAAATATGAGTCTGATATGATAGTCTTTTTCACTAAGGAACTACAAAACAAGCTGACCATAAAATTAATTATATTTTAATAAGTCCCAAAGATAATAGCCTATTGAGGGTAAATCTGATAATATGACGTACAGGAGAAAAAACTGAGAAAATGGATACAACTAAAAGTATTGAACCCGTCGATTTTGGATGATTCTAATGGACTTTTGACTTGAAAATAACACGAAGAGATATTTTATTAAAAGTAAAATTTTGATACCACAAAATAGCTCATAGGCTACTATTTAGAGTTTTCCATTTAAAAATATTAAGGGCGATAGAAATCAATACAAATTATTTTATGTTAAACCAACAAATAATCTAGACAGTTTTAAAGATTAAGATTAAACCAACAAATCTGATTTGATTGCTAGGCCTCCTTTTAAGTATTTTGACTGGTAATTTCTGTTGTTCTTATTTTATTTCCTTAAAATATAAGTATTTCCTTGATTGCACAAATTATCAATAAATTTAAATAATATCTCTGTTTTTTAATACATAGTTGGAGTGTAGTTGCTATGGAAAGCTGTTTCACAGTTCACCAAAAAGTTACATGTATGGTTAGTGTATGACCTAGTAATTACACTCCTAGGTTTTACTCATGTTATTTTTAAACATATTAACACCATAACTCATATTTGAATATTTATATAAGGATTATTGATCATAGTCCAAAAGTAGAATAATGCAAATGTCCATCTACTGATGAATAAATGAACAAAATATAGCATATCTATTCAATGGAATATTATTCTGCAATAAAAAGAATAAAATACTGATTCACATTATGAGAGATGAATTATAAAAATGTATGCTAATTGAAGGAAGACAGTCACCAAAAGCTACATATTGCATTAATACATTAATGTGAAATGTTCAGAATAAAAATCTATGGATTCTAAAAGTAGATTCATGGTTGCCTACGCGTTGCTAGGTTTGGAGAAATTAATAGACAGTCACTGCTAATGGAAGTAGAATTTCTTGTTAATGTGATGAAAACTTAAACTTATATGGTTGAGGTAGCCCTCCTCACAAGTGGGCATTAGCTGCAGGGGTCTGCACGCAGACCCTGACCCAAACGACGGATGAATAAAACGTACATTGACATACAGATATTCTCTTTTGCCAGTCCAGCTGAGTGTCCGACCGCCTGCACACCAAGAGAGGTTTGTCACTGCGGCCAGCCCTGAATAGCTCGCACTCCAGGCATTTATTTAGTAAACAATTAACAACAGGAGCTTTGAGTAAACACACTGTCTAGTGACAGTGTGTGTGGGGATAATTAACGTGGTTAAGAGAGTAGTTCTACCAATGATTAAAGCTCAGGTACGAGGTCTAAAGTGAATACCATTAGAGGGTAATTTCCCTGGTTGACCTCCCCGGGAGAGGGCCACCCAGCTCAAAGGTTAATTAATGGAGGCAGGATAAACAGACTTACTATGGAAGCCTATCTTGTCCCTAGTATTTACCCTATGACCTAATGCATTAAGATAAGAGTTGGCTGCCTTCAGCCTGTTCAGTTATTACAAGCTATGTAACCTTTCGGTCTTCCAAAAGGTTTGTGACTATTCCCTATAACTTTCCCTAATATTTCCCTTAAATATTTCTGCCACCATCCTGAGTGAATCACAACATATGGTGGGGGCATATAAAAGTCTATGAATATACCAAAAATAAATTAAATTGTAAAATTTAAATAGTAAATTTTGTACTATGTTATATCTCAATAAAACTGTTAAAAAAAGAGAATTAAGGTCAAAATGAAGCTCCATAAATATCCCTATAGCTACCTATTGATTACATGAATCTGAATTTTTTGCTTGCCCTGATAATGGAGAATGCTATCAAGACAGTCTGATATGACAGTATCTCTGAGGAGGAATGACAAGACCAGTGACAGTTACTGAGAACTTGAGATATGATTTAATAATGGTCTTTTAATGGGAACTGAGGAGTTGTTGGATTATGATCAGGTAAGAATCATAATATGATCATCTAGGATTGGTGGATACAATCTTGGGGAAAATATAAAAATAAAACATTTTTGGCTAACTCAGATAATTCTCTCCACAAATGAAGAAAAGAAAGAAAGCAATATTAATTAGAGAATCAACATTAAGCCATGCTGTGATGTACATCACAGGCAACATGCTAATGAGGTTGCAAAGGAAAATGAAATCTCAACCATTTATGTAACCACACAGATATAATTCACTGCATACATGTTTTCAAGATATAGCACCATTTGCCACATATTCTTTCATAGTTCACCCTAACTTTACCTGATAAACAGGATCGCCATTTGTGTTAGATAATTTCCTTCATTTAAAGGAAAACAAAATTTTTATTTTTATGAAAAGCTTGAAGCAAGAACTGTAAGCTAAACTCGTCATGGTGACAGAAATGGGTCCTATCTTCCTTGATGTTTACATTTCAAAGAACATGGCTCCCAGACCCTTAAGGAAAACATTACTGAGTTGTAATGTTGGCAAGACCTTATTTAGCCTTTAAAAACATGTACATATATAAAAGAGATAAATAAATGATTTAGAATTATACATTTTCTTAAGGAACTCTTTAAAAAAAAAAGGGAGAGGACAAAAGGTCACTTTTCCTTTTGAAAACATGGACTTTTTAAAAAACCCTCATAGCACCAAAGAGGAATTTGTGGCTAGGAGTGAAAAGACTATTAGAATTTGAAGGTAGCAACCATCAGAAGAGCTGACATGTTTATTAAAGAGTTGATAAGCTCTAGTTCATTCCAGAAGCTTCAGGAATGAAAATAAAATTATTTTCCACTTTTCTATTCCTGAGTGAGTGTCCCCTGGAACAGAAATGTTATGCTAATAAACAGTGAAATAGTAATGTCAACTTAATAAAGTAATTCCTTAATTAGCAAACTGTGGCCTTTGGACCAAATCCTGCCTACAGCCTGTTTTTGTACATCCTACAAACTAAGAATGCTTTAATATTTGAATGGTTGAAAAAAACTTTAAAGAATAATATTTTGTGGCACATGAAAATATGCATTTCAAGTTTCAGTGTCCATAAATCAAGGTTTGTTTGTATAGTCACATTCATCCTTTACATGTTTTTTCTATGACAACTTTCATAGTGCAATGACAGAGTTGAGTAGTTGGGACTGAGACTGCTCTGCAGTACCTAAAAGACCCTCTACATCAAGCTTGTCCAACTTATGGTCCATGGGGCTCACGCAGCCCAGGGCAGCTTTGAATACAGCCCAGCAGAAATTCTTAAACTTTCTTAAAACATTATGCAATTTTTTTGTGACTTTTCCCAGCTCATTAGTTAGTTATCATTAGTGTTAGTGTATTTTATGTGTGGCCCAAGACAATTCTTCCAATGTGACCCTGGGAAGTCGAAAGATTGGACACCCCTGTTTTAGGTCAAATATAGTGTCCTGATTCAAACCCTACCTAAAAGTGAAGACGATGTGAAATCATTTTCGGGGCTCTTCATGTCTGTTTTATAACAACCTATCTAAATAAGCTTTAAAGTTCTGTAAAGGTAAGGCGAAATTATTTTTAGATTGAAAGTATTCAATATCCAGAGCTTCCAAAGAGACACACACTTTCTTGAATTGAATTGAAAAGGATAAACTGCATCATTTGCAGGGATAAACTAGAAGAATCCCTTCAAACTCAGTGAATGGGTAAAAGACAACAAAATCTCTGCTATAGGAAATGTATTGCTTATAGTAAGAAAAAGTAAGAAGATTAAAAAAAAAGAAAAAGACATTTCAGTCTAGAATGATGGATTATTAGTTTAAGAACCACCTACTGTTAAATTTTCAAATCTTTATACGCTATGTATTAGAAGCTGAACATAAATGTACACTTAAAAAAACTCATGAAGATGTATTAATAATAGTAAATTATAATCCAAAGTGTTGGTGCTGACATCAACAGTAAAGTGTATTTTTTAAAAAACATTGTCCTGAACAATACTGGGAAATCTTATTTTATAAAATGCCATATTTCCTGCAGCAACAATCAAAAACAAAATAAAACCTTTGTAATGATTGCTCTCATTTTCAGTTTTTCTAGAGTCCATTTAAACAGAATTCATTAATACTAAAAAATGTATTTTAAAGTACACTGATTTAAAATTTACATTGTCCATAACTAAACCAAGTAAGTTTCATTATAATATAATAATCATTCTATTTCTAAAATTATTATATTTTTAAAGGATACAGCAACTTTGGGCAGTAGCTTCCCAGCTTGAGACACACTCTTCCTTGATGGAATCTATTAGTACATTAAAGTGATTGCCTGTATCTGTTGTTAACACCTTAAAGCTCTGCAAAAGTTGCTACTTTATTCTCATGTAGAAAGAAAACATTTATTCCCGAGTGACAGAAGGGTAAGAGCAATTTATGTTACATATTTTGCTGAAACGACCTAATCCAATTTGGTTTTAAAAGAATAAGTTCATTTTATTAGTTGCCAATGAATAGATGTGGGCAAACGGTATTTCTACACAGCTTGCATACAAGGATATTAGGAAACAAATCCAAGACAAAAATCTGCCCCTTAGATATTAAATAAGCACTAGGAAGCACCCACAGAGTTCACACAACCTGTGTTTTAAGTTTCGTAAGATACCAGGCTGTGTGTGTGTGTGTGTGTGTGTGTGTGTGTGTGTGTGTGTGAATGTGCATATGTGTTTAAGACTTTGTTTTTGTTAGGTTTAGGTTGACAATAAAATTGAGAAGTGCACAGATATCCTATATTACCTCCTGCACCCACACATGCATACCCTCCAACTTTATCAGCAGTTCTCACCAGAGTGATACCTTTGTTATAACTGATGAAGCTACATTTGGTGCTCTTCATTCTGTAGGTTTGCATAAATGTATAATGACACATATCTAACATTATAATATCATTTAGAGTATTTTCAATGCCCTAAAAGTCCTATGCACTTTATCTATTCATCTCTCCCTCCCCACTAACTTCTGGCAAAAACTAATCATTTTACTGTCTTCTAAGTTTTGCCTTTTCCAAAATGTCATATAGTGGAATCACATAGTATGTAACGTTTTCAGACTTACTTATTTCATTTAGTAACATACGTTAGAGTTTCCCTAATATCTTTTAATGGCTTTATAGCTCATTTCATTTAGCACTTAATATAATATTCCATCATTTGAATGTCCCAGTCTATTAACCTACTGAAGTTCATCTAGGTTGCTTCAAAGTTTTTGCAATTATGAATAAAACTGCTATAAACATACATCTGTAGGTTTTTGTGCGGACCTGTTTTCAACTTCTTTGGGTAAATACCAAAGTATGTGATTGCTGGATTATATGGTAAGAGTATGTTTAGGTTTCTAAGAATCCATTCATTCTCTTCTATAATGGTTACAAAATGTCACAAGGTAACAGTATCATTGGCATTCTCACCAGCCATGAGAGTTCCTGTTGCTCCACATCTTCGCCAGTACTTGGTGCTCAGTGTTCTAGATTTGGGCCATTCTAAGTATGCAGTGGTATCTTATTGTTTTACTTTCCATTATCCTAACAATATATGATGCGGAGCATCTTTGCATATGCTTATTTGCCATCTGTATATCTTTTTTGGTGATATGTCTGTTGAGGTCTTTGGTTTGTTTTTTTTTAGTTTTATTCACATGTAATTGACAAAATTTTATAAACTTAATGTGTAAAACATAATGTTTTAATGTATGTGTATATTGGGAAATGATTACTCCAATCAAGCTAGTTATTATATCCATCAGCTCACTTAGTTATCTCTTTTTTGTTGTTGTTTGTGTGTGACAAGAACACTTAAGATCTACTCTCTTTGCAAATTACTACTATACAATACAGAATGACTAAATGTAGTCACCATACTGTACATTAGATCTCCAGGACATCTTCCCATTTTCCTCACCCCTCAACTCCTATTCACCAGCATTCTACTTTCTGCTTGCTTCTATGAGTTAGACTCACCAGCATTCTACTCTCTGCTTGCTTCTATGAGTTTGATTCATACGTAGGTGGGTGAGTTCATGTAACATTTGCCTTTCTGTGTATGGCTTATTTCATTTAGTATATTGCCCTTCAGGTTCATTCAGGTTGTCTCAAATGGCAAGATTTCCTTCTTTTTTAAGGCTGAATAATATTCTTGTGTATGGTGGTGGGTGTTTGTGGGGGGTAGGTAGGTGTGAGTGTTACACTTTCTTTATTCATTCATCCATTGGTGGACAATTAGGTTGTTTCCATTTTTGGGCTATTGGGAATAATGCTGTAATATGCATGAGATTACAGACATCTCTTCAAGGTAATGATTTCACACACACACACACACGCGCGCGCGCACACACACACACAATACATATATAAAATTTCCCCACAGTGGGGAAATAATGGCTTCTTCAATAAGTGGTATTGGGAAAACTGGATATCCACATACAGAAGAAATTGGACCCTTATGTCATATCATATGCAAAAAATCAAGTCAAAGTACTTAAAGCTTTAAATGTAAGGCCTGAAACTGCAAAACTATTAGAACACAGAGATAAAGCTTCTTGACATTGGTCTGGACAATTATTTTTTGGATATGACCGCAAAAGCACAGGCAATAAAAGCAAAGATAGACAAATGTGATTGTATCAAATTTAAAAAAGCTTTTGCAGAGCAAAGGAAGCAATCAATAGAGTGAAACTAAATCCTACAGTATTGGAGAAAATATGTGCACACCATACACTTGAGTCGGCCCATTTTTTAATTGGGTTATTTGTTTCCTTATTGCTAAGTTTTAATAGTTCTTTGCATATTTCAGGTAGCAGTCCTTCATAACAGTCCTTCCTAATAGGTATTTTGTGAATATTTTCTTTGAGTATATGGCTTTTTTTTAATTTTCTTCACTGTGTTTTGCAAAGCAGACATTTTCTATTTTAATAATGTCCAGCTTATCAATTATTCCATTCATGGATGTCTTTGGTGGTGTATCTAAAAATTCATCACTAGATCCAAGTTTAAGTACATTTTATCCTATCTTCTAGGAGTTTTATAGTTTTGCATTTTATGTTTAGATCTGTGATTTGTTTTGAGTTAATTTTTGTGAAAGGTGAAAGATTTGTCCATATTTGCATGTTTAAATGTAGATGGCGAGTTGTTCTAGCACTTCATGTTGAAAAGACTCTCTTTGCTCCATTGTATTGTCTTTGCCTCTTTGTAAAAATTCAGCTGACTCTATTTATGTGGGTCAATTTCTGGGCTCTCTATTCTATTCCCTTTTTCTGTTTGTCCATTCTTTGGTCAATATCACACTGTCTTAATTACTGTACTTTTTTTGTTTTGTTTTGTTTTGAGATGGAGTCTGGCTCTGTTGCCCAGGCTGGAGTGCAGTGGCACGATCTCGGCTCACTGCAAGCTCTGCCTCCCAGGTTCACACCATTCTCCTGCCTCAGCCTCCCAAGTAGCTGGGACTACAGGCGCCTGCCACCATGCCCAGCTAATTTTTTGTACTTTTAGTAGAGACGGGGCTTCACTGCTTTAGCCAGGATGGTCTCGATCTCCCGACCTCGTGATCCACCCGCCACGGCCTCCTAAAGTGCTGGGATTACAGGCGTGAGCCACCGCGCTGGGCCTTAATTACTGTACTTTTATTGTAAGTCTTGAAGTCAAGTAGTGTCAGTCTTCCAATTTTGTTCTCTCCTTCAAATTTGTATTACCTACTATAAATAATAAATATATATAAACTTAAACTCTATATGAGTTTATTAATAAACATATATATATGAATTTATTAAGGAGTATTAAACTCAGAGAATCACAAGGCCCCACAATTGGCAATCTGCAAGCTGAGGAGCAAAGAAGCCAGTTCGAGTCCCAAAGCTGAAGAACTTGGAGTACGATGTTTTAGAGCAGGAAGCATCCAGGATGGGAGAATGACGTAGGTTGGGAAGCTAAGCCATCTAGCCTTTTCATGTTTTTCTGCCCGCTTTATATTCACTGTCAGCTAATTAGATGGTTCCCACCCAGACTAAGGGTGGGTCTACCTTCCCCAGCTCACCGACTCAAATGTTAATCTCCTTTGGCAACACCCTCACAGATGCACCCAGGATCAATACTTTGTATCTTTCAATCCAATCAAGTTGACACTCAGTATTAATCATCACACCTACTTTAGGACTTTTGCCTTTTTGTATAAACTTTAGAATTTATTTGGTGATATCCACAAAATAACTTCCTGGGATTTTGATTGGAACTTCATTAAATCTGTAGATAAAGTTGGGAATAACAGACATTTAATAATATTGAGTCTTCTATTCCATGGACATGACATGGAATATCTCTTTGTTTATTTAATTATTCCTTGATTTCTTTTATCAGTATTTTGTAGGGTTCCTCATATAGGTCTTATGAAAAATTGGTTAGATTTATAACTATTTCATTTTTGTGTGCGCTATTTAAATGATATTGTGTTTTCAATTTCAGATTCTACTTGTTCATTGCTAGTATAAGGGAAAGTGACTTACTTTATACATTTACTTTGTATTCTGTAATTTTGTTGTAATGTTGCTATAATCACTTACCAGCTCCAGGAGTATTTTTGTCATTTTGATGTTTTACATAGATGATGATTGCAATTATTCTAATAAAAGACACAAAGTTGACTTAAATAATTGGGAAGACATAATATGTTTTTGACAAGAGAACAATTCTTTTTTTTTTCATTTGATGTTGAGAAGCGGTCTTGCTCTGTTTCCCATGCTGGAGTACAGAGGCACAACTATAGCTCAAAGCCTCAAATGTTGGGCTTAAGCAATCCTTCCCCTCAGCTTCCCTAATAGGTACAAATACAGGAGTACAACACGGCACCTGGCAGAGAACTCAATTCTTTAGATGTCATTTTGCCCTTACTAAATTTATAAATGTGGTGCAATTCCAATAAAAATGCTATGTATTTATCTCTTGGAACTATATTATATGAAGTTGGCATGAAAATAAATTAATAAGAAAAGATTGTCAAAATTTTGGGGAAAAGAGCAATGTGGGAGGCTAATCGCATCAAATATTTAAAACATTATAAAATCTCTATAGTCAAAGCTTTATGATATTGACATCTGGTAGAGAAATAGACCAAAGTTTATGTTTGAATAAGAAATCAAAAAATAGAATCATATGGTTATGAAAATTTAATAAATATTATCTCAAGTGATGGGGGCATTTTGGATTCTTTAATAAATTACACTGAGCTTCAAAATCAAATCAATTATTGTAAAAAATTAACCAGATTATATAAAAATAGTAAAGAAAAATGTTTTTATACCCTACTTAATTTTTGGCTAACAGTTATGCTTAGTAATATTTGAGCATGTGAATTTACTTTTGCAGCTATAACTTACATGAAATCTAAATACAGACTATTTTTCTAATTTAAGGATAGCTTCCAAATTGAGATGTGCTATATTTCAATGTGTATTCCAATACACATTGAATGTCTAAATATGAAAATAACTATAAAAAATTCATTAATATTTTTAAAAGTGATTCAAAATTTAAATGCTAATATTTTGAGTTTATTGGTTTAAATAACATATATTAATAACATTAATTTTACTTTTTAAACTTTTATTAATGATGCCACCAAAACTGTTAAATAATATGGTGTTTATTATATTTTTACTGCACATCACAACTTTATTTAAAAATAAATCATATCACTAATGGTAACCCATATCACATTTCCAATGTTTTAGTTGATGAACTACATATTTGGCCAATAAAAACTAATTTCCAATGTTCATTCTGTTATTATGAAAGACACCAGTGTTGATTGAGATAAATATGGTCAAGGTATAGATAGTAGCTATCAGAAACATTTATCTTTGTGGTCTTTGGATTAAATGCTAGCTGGTTACCTCTGGATTAGAATTTGTGATTAGCACCTCGCTTTTTCTAGAATATGGTTTAAACAAACACATATATTTGTACAATTATGTTTCTGTAGAAATACTTTAAGTAACTTATAGGTATTGTAACTGCTGTAGCCCCACTTGAAGCACTGCGATTTAATATGATGAATGCTGGCAATAAAACTTTAAATATGTGTACTAGTCTGTTCTCACACTGCTATAAATAAAAATATCTGAGACTAGGTAATTTACAAAGTAAACAGATTTAATTGGTTCCACAGGCTTTACAGGAAGCATGACAGCTTCTGCTCAGCTTCTGGAGAGGACTCAGGAAACTTACAATCTTGGTGGAAGGCAAAGGGGAGCAAGGCACATCACATAGCTGGAGTAAGAGACAGATAGAGAAGGTGGAGGGAGATGCTACATGCTTTTAAACAACTTGATCTCACAATAAAGTGCACACTCACTATGAGAAGAGCAGCACAAAGCAGATGGTGCCAGACCATGGGCAACTATACCCATAATTCAGCCACAGCCCACCAGGCCTTATCTCAAACATTATGAATTACAATTCAACATCAGATTTTGGGAGACAGACAGACAAAAACCACGTCATTCTTCCCCTGGCCCCTCCCAAATTTCATGTTCTCCTCACATTGCAACATACAATTAATGCCTTCCCAACTGTCCCCCAAAGTCTTAACTCATTTCAGCATCAACTCAAAAGTCCAAAATCCAAAGTCTCATCTGAGACAAGGCAAGTAAGTCCCTTTTGCCAATGAGCTGGTAAAATCAAAAACAAATTGGTTACTTTCAAAATACAATGTGGGGTATAGGCATTGGGTAACTACTCCTTTTCCCAAAGGGAGAACTTGGCCAAAAGAAAGGGGCTACAGGCCCCATGCAAATCCAAAACCTAAAAGGGAAGTCATTAAATCTTAAAGTTCCAAAATAATCTTCTTTTACTCCATATCCCACCTCCAAAGTATGCGAGTGTAAGGAGTGGTCTCCCAAAGACTTGGGTAGCTCTGCCCCTGAGACTATAGAGTTTAGCCCCCATGGCTGCTCTCATTGGCTGGCATTGGTGTTGAGTGCTTACTGGTCTTGCAGAACCTGAGTTCAAGCTGCCGGCGGATCTACTATTCTGGGGTCTGGAGGACAATGACCACCTTCTCACAGCTCCACTAGGCAGTGCTCCAGTGGAGACTCTATGTGGGGGCTCCAACCCCAGATTTTCGCTCTGCAAGACCCTAGTAGAGGTTCTCTGTGAGGGCTCCTCCCCTGGAGCAGGCTCCTGCCTGGATATCCAGGCTTTGCTATACGTCTTCTGAAATCTAGGTGGAGGCTCCCAAGCCTCAACTCTTGCACTCTGCATGCCTGCAGGCCTAACAACACATTGGAAGCTCTCAAGGCTTATTATTCATATTATTTGTACCCTCTGTACCTGAACCCCTTTTAGCCACAACTGGAGCTGGAGTGGCTGGGATGCAGGCAGCCATGCCTTGAGACTATGCAGCATAACAGGGCCCTGGTTCTGGCATAGAAAAACATTTAATTCTCCTCGGCCTTGGGGCCTGTGATGGGAGAGGCTGTCACAAAGGTCTCTGAAATGCCTTGGAGGCCTCTTCCCCATTGTTTTGGCTATAAACATTTGACTCCTTTTTACTTATGCAAATTTCTGCAACCAGCTTGAATTCCTCCCCAGAAAGCGTTTTTGTTGTTGTTGTTGTTGTTGTTTAATACCATATGGCTGGGCTGCAAATTTTCCAAACCTTTATGTTCTGTTTTTCTTTTAAATATAAGTTCCAGTTTCAGGTCATTTTTTTTTTGCTCACACATGTCAGTATAGGTTGTTAGAAGCAGCTAGGTCACCTCTTGAATGCTTTGCTGCTTAGGAATTTCTTCTGCCAAATACCCTAAATCATTACTGCCAAGTTCAAAGTCCCACAGATCCTTAGGGTAGGAGCACAATGTCTTCAGCCTCTTTGCTAATGCATAAAAAAGTGACCTTTGCTTTAGTGACTAATAAGTTTCTTATTTCCATCTGAGACCTCTGCAGTCTGGCCTTCACTGTCCATATTAGTATCAGTATTTTGCTCACAACAATTTAACAATTCTCTAGGAAGTTCCAAACCACTTTTAAACAACAAAATCTCATGACAACCCACTTGCTCATTATTATGAGAACAGCATCAAGGCAATTGTGCTAAACCATGAGAAACCACTCCCATGATTCAACCGCCTTTCACCAGGTCCAACATCCAACATTGCAGATTATAATTCAACATAAGATTTGGGTGGGGATACAGATCTAAACCTTATCAATATCTTTATAACCTTTTGTCCAATGTGAATTATAACCTAAATGTAACAAAACATGCAATAGTAGAACCACATGGTTTTAAACAGAATTTTTGTCTATACTTCTCATTGGAAGAGACCTAAAACAAAATGCCATAAGCATAATAATAGAGGAAGGGTATATTCTTTCTTCTTATATTCTTATTTTTTATGCCAAATATAAATATGCAAATAAATTGTGTGTTATGGGATATACATATTTAACTTTATTTTTTGTTTATTATTTTTATAATAGATATAATAACATCAAAACTTCAGATGCAAATATTTTGAGATAAATTTTCTAAATAGTCAAAAATATATCCACTGATTCTAGGATTCTTAGGCTCCCTATAATTTATAATTTTCTTTTCAAATAGTTATTGAATATGTGACCTCCTTTATTGTTCTACATTATTTGATTCTTAAAATTGATGGTTTAAAAAATACTTTAATAAAATTTTCATTTTAGAAATGTTTTATATTTACATAAAATTTAAAGATAGGGCAGAGTTCACATATATGTCATACCCAGGTTTCCCTAATATTAGTGTGGTACATTAGTTAAATTAATAAAGCAATAGAGATATACTATCATTAACCAAAGTCTATAATTTCTTCCTATTTTATTAGATTTTTTGTAATGTCCTTTTTTCCTGTTTCAGGATCTCATCTAGGATATCATATTACATTTAGTCATCATGTCTTAGGTTTATCTTGGCTGTGACAAGTTCTCAGAATTTACTTATTGTTGATAACTTTGACATTTTTGAGACATATTGGTCTGATAATTTGTAGAATGTTACTTCATTAGGATTTATCTGATGTTTTCTCATAATTTATTTGGTGTTATGTGTTTTGGGGAAGAAGTTGAGATATAAAGCTACATTCTCAACACATCATATCAAGGGTACATGCTATCAACATAACATTACAGTAATGTTAACTTTTATCACATGACAAAAGTATTATTTTTCAGGTTTCTCCACTGTAAAGTATATTTTCTCCTCCTTTCTATGCTATAGACTTTGAAAGCAAATGACTGGGAATAGCATACACTTAAGAAATAGGGAATTATGTTCCAATTACTTAAGGGAGGATGTGTCTACATAATTCATTTGAATTCTTCTATATTAAAGACATTTATTAAGTACAAATTATATCTTCTCTACTAAATCATAATCTTTCTGAAGTCATTATCTTAAGACTTTGCGAACTCTGTGGCAAGATGGTTGACTAAGCGCAGCCAGGAGGATCATCTGCCACTGAGGAATTGGGAAGTCAGAAAGACTGGTGCACTCCCGGCAATCTTCGGAGGGAAGGCATTGAGAGTGCATGGAGGGAAGACACAGATGCTAGTATAAAGGGGGAGGAAGTTGGGAACCCCATATAAAGCTATTGCACACCAAGACTTGTTCCCGGGGAAGGAATGAGGTGAACAGGCAAGGAGAGACCCACTCTCTACATGGACCTCTGGAACCCTAGCAGTAGGGGAACCCATGACCCCATAAATACTGCTTAAAGAGGTGGTGGAGGCAGGACACCAGCTTATGCAGAGCCCAGAGGATTTGGTGTAAGAATTTCTCTAGTGAAGCACGGCCAAGGATACCCAACCCTCAAGACTTGCCATGCTCCCCTAGGATACTTTAGCCTTAGAGAATCTGCCAGACCCAAACAGAGTAGAATGTTCTTGCCTATGAGATGGGGCCAGTGAGATATGAGCACCCCACTGTCTGCTGGCCATGCACACTTGCAGTGCAGCCTCAGATCCCCAACTGGAGTTCCTCCCTGGAGCCCACATCATTGCTCCTTTGCCAGCGGATTGTGCCTGACCATTGGAGAGCTCTACCAGAGAAGCCACCACCAATGTACACGAGTACAGCTGCAGCTTCCGCCCACTGCAGCCTCCCCAAACAACTTTGTCAGGACACAGTAGCCCACAGCCACCCTCCCACTGCTTTGGTGGCTTGTGTGCACACAGACAGACCTTGTCTCCAGTTCCCCACTGGTGTGCATGTGTACCCACTAGGCCACTGCTGCCAGAGTGAGTACATATCCCTGGGCTCCCCCAACTAGCAAGAGCCAGTGCCAACCCAGGTTCCAACACTGCCACTGATACAAATGTGCACACAGAGGTTGGCATACCTACCAGCACCCTGCAGCAGCCAACAAGCATGCACCCCACTGTGCTCCCACTGCTGCTGGCATGTGCAGTTGAGCACAAATCATGCTGTCACCTCCCTGATGAAGCACTTTGAGAGGCACGACCCATAGGAATATTGTGGTCAGCAGTCTGGGAATACCACAGCACCTCCGGCACACAGGTTACTAACCTTGAGAGGCTAGAGAACAAAGCTGTGGGCCTAATACCCGTGCTCCGGAGTTTGATCATGCAGACCAGGAGTGCTGAGCTGAGCCTTGTCTCCCTATAATCTTCCAAAAATAAAGCCAGTTGACTAAACCCACCTTATACCACAATCAAACATGTAAAGGCAACAGAGAAGGTAAAAGCAAAAGAGCCCAACCAAAGGACAGCAACTTCAAAAACTGAAGGAACATCAGCACACACAGATGAGAAAGAACCAGCAAAAGAATTCTGGAAACTCAAAAAGCCAGAGTGTCTTCTTACCTTCAAATGACCACACTAGTTCCCTAGCATTGGCTCTTAAACAGGCCATAATGGCTGAAATGACAGTAATAGAATTCAGAATATATATAAGAAGGAAAATCATTGAGTTTCCGAAGAAAGTCAAAACTCAATCCAAACTTTCTAAGGAATACAATAAAATTATACAGGAGATGAAAGACAAAATGGCCATCTTAAGAAAGAACCAAATTTTTCTGATAGAGCAGAAAACCTCACTTCAAGAATTTCAGAATACAATCACAACAATTAATAGCATAATAGCATAATAAACCAGGCTGAGGAAAGAATCTCAGAGTTTGAAGCCTGTTTTTTTTTTAATAACTCAGCCAAACATAAAGAAAAATGATTAAAGAAGAATCAACAAAACCTCTGAGAAATATGGAATTATAAAAGAGACCAAACCCTTGGAGGAAATGGAGAGAAAGCAAGCAACTTGGCAAACATATTTTAGGATATCGTCCATGAGAATGTCCTCAACCTCACTAGAGGGTTCAGCATTCAAATTCAGAGAACTCCTGTGAGATACTACACAAGAAACCATCATCAAGACACATAGTCATCAGATTCTCCAAGATCAAAATAAATGATGAAAATTTAAAGAAAGAGAGGAGGAGACAGTCAAGTACAAATAAAATCCCATTAGGCTAACAGTAGGACTTTCAGCAGAAATCTTAGAAGCCAGAAGAGGTCAGGGGCCTATATTCAGCATTCTGAAAGAAAGGAAACTTCAATCAAGATTTTCATATCTAGTCAAACTGAGCTTTATGAGTAAAGGAGAAATAAGAACCTTTTCAGACCAGCAAATTCTAAGGAAATTCTTTACCACCAGACCTGCCTTAAAAGAGATCCTGAAGGGAGTGCTAAATATAGAAAGGAAAGAGAGTTACCAGCCACTACAAAAGCACACTTAAATGCATACACTATTGACACTATAAAGCAACTACACAATCAAGTCTGTATAATAATCAGTTAACAACATGATGACAGGGTCAAATTCATATATCTAAATATTAACCCTGAATGTAAATGGGCTAAATGTCCCAATTAAAAGTCACAGAGTGGCAAATTAGATAAAGCAGCAAGACTCAATGGTATGCTGTCTTAAAGAGACTCATTTCTCATGCACTAACACCCATAGACTCAAAGTAAAGAAATGGAGAAAAATCTACCAAGAAAATTATAAACAGTCAAGAGCGGAGGTTACTATTCTAATTTAACAACAAAAATCAGACTTTAAACCAATAAAGATTAAAAAAAAAACACAAGGAAGGGTATTACATAATGTTCAAGGGTTCATTTCAACAAGAAAATAGAAATATTGTAAATATATATGTGCCCAACACAGTAACACCCATATTCATAAAGCAAGTTCTTAGACACCTATAAAGAGACTTAAATTACCACACAATAATCTTGGCAGATTTCAACACACCACTGACAATATTAGACAGATCGTCAAGCCAGAAGATTAACAAAGATACTGTGGCCTTGAACTCAACACTTGACCAAATGGACCTAATAGATACAGAACACTCCATTCAAAAATAACAGAATATAAATTCTTCTCATTTGTACGTGGCACACACTCTAAAATTGACCACATGATTGGACATAAGGTAATTCTTGTAAAATTCAATAAAACCAAAATTATACCAACCATACCCTTGGACCAAAGCACAACAAAAACAAAAAACAATGTTAAGAAGATTGCTCAAAACCACAGAATTACATGGAAAATAAACAATGTGCTTCTGAATGACTTTTGAGTAAACAATGAAATTAAGGCAGAAATCAAGATTTTTTTTGAAAATTAATGAGAACAAAGATACAACATACCAGAATCTCTGGCACATAGCTAGAGGAGTGTTAAGAGGGAAGTTTATAGTGCTAAACGCACACATCAAAAAGTTAGAAAAATCTCAAAT
The DNA here is from genome assembly GCF_000001405.40 of Homo sapiens. Lineage (NCBI taxonomy): Eukaryota > Metazoa > Chordata > Mammalia > Primates > Hominidae > Homo > Homo sapiens. The sequence continues at coordinate 60,562,432 of NC_000012.12, read as the reverse complement.
TAACAACCCACCACTACACCTAAGGGAACTAGAGAAACAAGAGCAAGCCAACTCCAAAGCTATCAGAAGACAAGAAATAACCAAAGTCAAAACTGATCTGAAGGAAACTGAGATGCAGAAAACCATACAAAAGATCAATGAATCAGCCAGGCACAGTGGCTCACGCCTGTAGTCTCAGCACTTTGGGAGGCTGAGGCGGGTGGATCACGAGCTCAGGAGACTGAGACCATCCTGGTGAACACGGTGAAACCCCATCTCTACTAAATATACAAAAAAAAAATTAGCCGGGCATGGTGGCAGGCACCTGTAGTCCCAGCTACTCGGGAGGCTGAGGCAGGTGAATGGCATGAACCTGGGGGTCAGAGCTTGCAGTGAGCAGAGATCACGCCACTGCACTCCAGCCTGGGAGACAGCGAGACTCTGTCGGAAAAAAAAAAGAATCAATGAATCCAGGAGTTTGTTTTTTGAAAGAATAAATAAGGTAGATATACCACTAGCTGGACTAATAAAAAAAATGAAAATCCAAAAAACATAATCAGAAATGTCAAAAGAGACATTACCACAGGTCCCACAGAAATTAAAAAAAGAAAAAAACCCACACACTCTGAGACTACTATAAACAACTCTATGCACACAAACTAGAAAACCTAGAAGAAATGGATAAATTCCTGGAAATATACAGCGTCCCAAGATTAAACTAGGAAGATATTAAATCCCTGAACAGGTTAATATTGATTCCTGAAATTGAATCAATAATAAAAAGCCTAACAACTATAAAAAGCCCAGGACCAGAAAGATTCACAGCTAACTTCTACAAGATGGGTAAAAAAGAGCTGTTACCATTCCTACCAAAACTATTCCAAAAAATTGAAGAGGAGGGACTCCTCCTCCATAACTCATTTTATGAGGCCAGCATTATCCAGATACCAAAACCTGGCAGAGACAAAAAAAAAAGGCAAAAAAAAAAACAACTTCAGATCAATATCCTTGATGTACATAGGTGCAAAAATCTTCAACAAAATATTAGCAAAAATAATTCAGCAGCAAATGAAAAAGCTAAACAATCACAACCAAGCAGGTTTTATCCATGGGATGCAAGGTTGATTCAGCATACAAATTAGTAAATATGATTCATCACATAAACAGAGCTAAAAACAAAAACCACATGGTCATCCCAATATATGCAGTAAAGGCTTTCAAATAAATTCAATATCCTTTCATGGTTAAAAACCCTCAACAAACTATGCATTGAAGAAATATACCTCAAATTAATAAGAGACATCTACAACAAACCCACAGCCAACATCATACTGATTGGGCAAAAGTTGGAAGCATTTCTCTTTAACAAGACAAGGATGCTCTCTCTCACCACTTCTACTCAACATAATATTGGAAGTCCTAGCCAAAGCAATCAGGCAACAGAAAGAAATGAAAGGCATATAAATAGAAAGAAAGGAAGTTAAGTATTCTTATTTGCAGATAATATGATCCTGTATCTAGAAAACTACATAGTTTCTGCTCAAAAACTTCTTGATCTGATAAATAATATCAGCAACGTTTCAAGATTTAAAAAATACACAAAAATCAGTAGCATTTCTATATACCAACATAAAAGTTGAGAGCCAATTCAAAAGTACAATGTTATTCACAATAACCACAAAAAAGAAGAAATACCTAGGAATACAGCTAACTACAGAGTTGAAAATCTCCACAATGAGAATGACAAAACACTGTTCAAAATAATCAGAGATGACACAAACAAATGGGAAAACAGCCCAGGCTCATGAATAGAAACAATCAATATTGTTAAAATGGATGTACTGCCACAAACAATTTATACATTTAATGTTATTCCTATCAAACTACCAATGACATGGCATACTTCACAGAATTAGAAAGCAAACTATTTGGGCTGGGCGTGGTGGCTCATGATTGTAATCCCAGCACTTTGGGTGGCCGAGGTGGGCAGATCAGAAGGTCAGGAGTTTGAGATCAGCCTGGCCAATATGGTGAAACCCTATCTCTACTGAATGTACAAAATTTAGCCAGGCGTGGTAGTGGGCGCCTGTAGTTTAAGCTAGTAGGGAGGCTGAGGCAGGAGAATCGCTTGAACCCAGGAGGCAAAGTTTGCAGTGAGCCGAGATAATGCCACTGCACTCCAGCTTGAGCAACAGAGTGAGACTCCCTCTTAAAAAAAGGAAAAAAAAAAAACTATTTTAAAATTCATGTGGAACCAAAAAGGAGCCCAAATACCCAGGGCAAGCCTAAGGAAAAATCAAAAGTGGAGGCACCACATTACGTGACTTGACACTATACTGAAAGGCTACATACAGTATCCAAAATTTCAAGAAACTGGTTCAAATACAGACACATAGACCAACAGAATAGAATAGAGAGCCCAGGAGTGATTTTGGACACCTACAACTACTTGATGTTCAACAAAGTCAACAATAACAAGCAATGGGGAAAGGACTCCCTATTCAATAAATGGTGCAAGGATAACTGGCTAGGCATACGCAGAAGATTTAAACTGGACCTCTTCCTTATATGAGATATGAAAAAACTCAAGTTAAATGAAAGACTTAAATGTAAAACTAAAACCATAACAAACTTGGCAAATAATCTAGGAAATACCATTCTGGACATAAGACTGGTCAAAGACTTAATGATGAAGATGCCAAAAGCAATTGCAACGAAAACAACAACAACAACAAACTGACAAATGGGATCTAAACTAAAGTGCTTCTGGATAGCAAAAGAAACTATCAACAGAATAAGCTGACAGCCTACAGAATGGAAGAAACTATTTGCAAACTATGCATCTGACAAAGGTGTAATATCCAGAATCTATAAAGAACTTAAATTAACAAGCACAAAACAACCTCATTAAAATGTGAGCAAAGAACATGAACATTTTCCAAAAGAAGACATACATGTGGCCAAACAGCATATGAAAAAATGCTCAACATTACTATTCATTATAGTAATCTGAATCAAAACCACCCTGAGATCCCATCTCACATCAGTCATAATAGTCATCAGACTATTATTAAAAAGTCAAAAAACAACAGATGCTGATGAGGTTGTGGAGAAGAGGGAAGACTTACACACTGCAGGTGGGAATATAAATTAGTTCAGCAATGTGTAAAGCAGTTTGGAGATTTCTCAGAAAACTTACAACTACCATTTGGCCCAGCAACCCCATTATTGGGTATATACTCAAAGAAATATAAATTATTCTATCATAAAGACACATGCATGTGTATGTTCATCACAGCACTATTCACAACAGCAAAGACATAGAATCAAACTAAATGCCCATACATAGTAGGCTTGATAAAGTAAATGTGGTACATATACACCAAAGAATACTACACAGTCATAAAAAAGAATGAGATCATGTCCTTTGCAGCAACATGAATGTAGCTGGAGGCCATTATCCTAAAAAAACTAACACAGTAACAGAAAACCAAATATGGCATGTTCTTCCTTGTAAGTAGGAGTTAAACTTTGACTACATATGGACAAAGAGAAGGGAACAACAGACACCAGGGCCTACTTGAGAGTGGAGTGTGGAAGAAAGGTAAAGATTGCAAAACCACCTATTGTGTAATAAGCTTATTACCTGGGTGACAAAATAATCTCTACACCAAACTCCCATGATGTGAAATTTACCTATATAAAAAAATCTGCACATATACCCCTGAACCTAAAATAAAATTAAAAAGAGAAAAAAGAAAGACCTTGTAGTCCTAGGACTATCATAGTCTATATAAAATTATGTTTTTCCGGCCGGGCATGGTGGCTCACGCCTGTAATCCCAGCACTTTGGGAGGCCAAGGTGGGCGGATCATGAGGTCAGGAGATTGGGACCATCCTGGCTAACACAGTGAAATCCCGTCTCTACTAAAAATACAATAAATTAGTGAGGCGTGGGGGCAGGCGCCTGTAGTACCAGCTATTCGGGAGGCTGAGGCAGGAGAATGGCACGAACCCGGGAGGCGGAGCTTGGAGTGAGCAGAGATTGCGCCACTGCACTCCAGCCTGGGAGACAGAGCAAGACTCCGTCTCAAAGAAAAAAAAAAAAAATTTCCATTAATATTAGTAGAATGAGGAATACAAAAGTTACTATTTATGGAGAAGAAAACTTTTCCCTAGTTTTAAAAGGAAAAGAGTACTATATAGTTTTTCTTATATAATATCTAAATCACTAAAAACCTATGGGCTTCAATAATTAACTTTGTTCTGAATTTTTTAATGCACTCCTTGCAGGTAATGCCTTCAGAAGAGTGAACAGCAATGACAGTGGCTGGCTCGTTCATTATTTTTTGATATGGCCAGTTTAAAAGATGTTCAAGGACCGAGGGTACAATGTTTTGCTGTAGAGTAAGATTAGTCCATAAGAAGACCAAGTAACATGGGCAGTGGGGAATGTGAGAGAAATACAAAAATATACTTTTCTATGGGGGTATATACATATATTTCCTTTTCTACAATAGGGGATGGGCTACAGAGATTTGATAGGCAAGAAAGTCTGACATGTAGAAGGCTTTCCTAATATGTATTTGCTTTAAAATTAATAGACTCAGGGTCTTGTGGTTATTTTAACATCATTACTTTTCTCATTGTTTCACTTCACTTGACTTTTTCATATATAATCATAAAGACTCATACTTGTCAAAGTGTAATAATCTAAAGATTTATGTGTGTGTGTGTGTGTGTGTGTGTGTGTGTGTGTGTGTTATTATAATTTTCAGAATGACAGGGGCTGCACTGGCCCTAAATTATGAGTCCATGAAAGACCTGAAATTGAGTCGATGGAAAGCAAAGCGAGCATATCAGGATGTACAGACTTAAATATGCTGTTTGGGAGATCATTTTATTATGACTGCTAAACGATTCTGTGGATAGAACCATTAAAAACAACAACAACAAAAACCAAAACACCTCACATAATTGTATGTTCCTTACTGGTTCAATCACAAAGCTATTTTTATGTAATTGTTATAAGCTTAATATTTACAATTACCAAATTATTTGTTCCTGTTGGAATCTCCAGAATATTCTAACTCACACTAAAGCTAAATTGAGCCAAAGATTAAGTGGTACTGTATAACAATTACGCAGATTAATTCTATTATTAAATGACTACCCCCCAAATCATTTGTTTTGGTAGTGAAGGAGAAATTTAAAAAATAAATAATAAAATAAAACAGCAGAACTTTATTTAATCTTTTATTAAATACTGGACTTTGTGGAAAAGATTTTTATTTTTCTTGGCCACGTGAAGATTTCCCTAGCATTAAAGATTCTCATAGATTTCAATGGAACTGATCTGCAAGATAGGGAGTGAAGTGAAAAACTAAACCTGTCTGATGTTTCTGCTTTTGTCAGATATTTACTTTCTATGTTTGTTTTACTCTTTGTCAGGACAACTCCAAAGCAACACTTTACATCAGAAAGTCACTTTCTTGCTTCAACTTTCAGCTCCCTGATTTGCAAAGGGAGTAGTTTTTGCGAGGAGTAACTAAAGACTCGCTAAGCTTCTTGAGGTCTAAGTATCAAATAAATTTCATATTTACAATCATCTACACAGTAGTAAATGAACAGATCAGCTTGAAGAAATAACGAAAGCAGTGGCAACGTGTCTACCCTATTCACTTCATTCAGAAAGTATTTATTCCAATTCAGAGTTTCTGCTCATCAGGTTTCTCCAATGATATGCATGTGATAAGAAAACATTTTTCAGTTTTTATAGAAGTACATGTGTAGTGCCTGCAATTCTGTTATTTCACCACCCTTCTTTCTTCCACAGATATTTGAAAAACAGACCTTATTTATTCCTGCCTCCGGGGAAAAGACCCTTCCTAAAATATGGAAAAAATCTTACTGGTCATTAAACAAAAACATGTAGAAGAAAGTTTGAATAGCCACTAACACAGCAACTTTTGGGAGGAGAACTAAATATAGAAATCTCTAGAATGAGGTTTTTTGTCTAAATCAGGGATCAGCAAACTATAGTCCACAAACCAAATTTGATTTAATAGCTACTTTTGTATAGTTCCTATTGATATTTTTTTACATTTTTAGATGGTTGAAAAAAGTTGAGTAGGCCGGGCACAGTGGCTCGCGTCTGTAATCTTAGCACTTTGGGAGGCTGAGGCAGGTGCTTCATGAGGTCAGGAGATTGAGACCATCCTGGCTAACACGGTGACACCCCGTCTCTACTAAAAATACAAAAAAAAAAAAAAAAAAAAAATTAGCCGGACGTGGTGGCGGGTGCCTGTAGTCCCAGCTACTCGGGAGGCTGAGGCAGGACAATGGCATGAACCCGGGAGGCGGAGCTTGCAGTGAGCGGAGACCGTGCCACTGCGCTCCAGCATGGGTGACAGAACAAGACTCCATCTCAAAAAAAAAAAAAAGTTGAGTCATTATTTCTAACATAAAAATTATGTGAAATTCAAATTTTATTGTCTATAAACAAAGTTTTATTGGAACATAGCCATGCTCCTTAATTTATATATTGTTCATGGTTGTTTTTCCAAATCGGGGCAGAGGTTAGAAGCTGCAGAAAAGAATATATGGCCTGCAAAACATGAAATATTCACTACCTGGTCCTTACCAGAAAAAAGAAAAAAAGTTCTTTAACTTCTAATGTAAACTTTTCCCATCCACTCTCTTTAACTTTACTAAATATGATCATGTATCATGATAATGTGCTTGACTGCTCCAGAGCTTCACTCTACCTGCATACTCAAGTCAGGGTATGATAAAATACTTATCTTCATTGTTACTGAGTTATTGTTTACATAGGAAGAAATGTTAAGAAAGCAGCACGGTATAGAGTGATGTGAATTTTGAAATCACAAAGAGTGGAAATAAAGATACACAAAACAGATAAGAGAATGGGATGTGATAAAAATAACACAATTTCATGGTCCTTATTTGACTCCAAATGCTCTTCTAAATACTTTTTACAACTGTAAATCCATTGAAGACTTACAACAATTTATGTGTTATTTACTAATATTGGTCCATTTTATAATGTAGAAACTGAGGCAGAGAAAACACATACTATGACCATGTCCTATGTCCAATAGATGACAAAACCCACAGTCAAAGCCAGGAAAGTCTGTCCTTGACAATTTTGTCATTCTGCATGATTAAGGAGAAAACCCAATCTTACATTTGCTAGTTGCGTGGTCTTTTTTTAATGAAAAAAATTAATTAATTTATTATGATTCCATTAACAAACCTTATTTTATTTTAAAAAGTTTTATTTTAGGTTCAGAAGTATATGTACAGGTTTGTTATATAGGTAAACTACATGTCACAAGAGTCTGGTGTACAGATTATTTTGTTACCCACATTATAAGCATAGTACCCAATAGGTAGTTAAGTTGTGTGGTCTTAAAGAAGTTAGGTATGCTCTCTGAATACTGTCATTATGGTCTGTATGTGGAATTACAATAATTAATAAACTTTGCAGAGTTGAAAGAAAATAAGAAATTTCTAAGAAGTTAAATTAATTAATGCACATAAAGCATCTCTCCCAGGACCTGTCAAATTGTAGATACTAAATATAATTATCATTTTCTCCATAGGTATTGTCAGCATCAATGTCATCACATGTTAAAGAAAAATATACATGGAAATGCAAAGTAATGAATATCAGCCCCTGAAAACTGTAAAAGAGATAGAGAAAATAAGATCAAAGACATAGGAGGATGACCATGAGAGAAAAATCTACTTGATAAGACAGATGGTAATCAATCAACTACAATAGCACACTGACAAACAACAGAGACATTTACAAAGTGCTGCAGGAAAGAAGCAAAAAAAGAAAGGTCTTATATTCGCCTTCAAAAAGAAGATAAAACTTCTCAAAGATATTGAAACTGCAGCATACGTATTGAAGTTTGAATAAATGTTCACTACGCAGATAAGAATAATCCATACTAAAATAACATAATTTCCTAATTTCCAAATGAAGAAAGGAAAGAATATGTGTTACTTGGAGCAGTCTGATATCTGCATCATGTATCTGGTGCTCAGACAATGAAAAAGAGGAGCTGAGATAATCTATAGATACAATAAGTAGATGCAGATTTTGAAAGGTCAGTGCCATAATAAATAACTTGGAAAGTATATAAGCTTGGAAAGCCATTAAAGAAATTTGGCAGGAAAATGGTATTATCGAGTTTGTCATCATAAAGAGCATTAAGATGATGGTGAGGAAAATGAATTGCAGAATGGTGGTTCCACAAGGAAAATATATCAGTGAAGAGGTCATTGCAACATTCTGAAAGAAAGAAATCCTTTGGTGCTGGGAAAAAGGAGAAATTGGTAATATATCAGAAGATACTTAGAATCCATCTTGACTTGGTATTCCAATTCCTTTCCCTTGTATGGTCAGCCAAGGAGAGGTGCTTTCCTGGCCTAGGGCATACCCAAACACTTTGAAGGGACTTGGGGCATGTGAATGTTATGGAAAATGTTCCTGACTTCAATGTCAGACATAGAGAAAATATATAACATCAGAAATTGCGCCAGAAGTGGAAGCCATATTACAAAAATGAGAGAGGAAGAGTAAGGGAGAGAAGTATATGAGGGATATATGAACTTAAGTGATCAACATTCCATAAAAATATATAAAATGTTTAACACATATGAATATGTATAAGGAAAGCGTATTTCTAGTGGAATGCAAATACCTTCTTATCAAAATGTATTTCATTTACCTTTGTAATTTCTGCTTTTGATAAATACTGAACAAAGGGGTTAGAACCAGTATTACAGACTGAATGATTACACAGTGGGTAGAATATAATTAAAATAAATTATCTTTGGACTCAGAATAAATACGGCTTCAGATATTTTTATTTAATTATAGGCTGTTCATTTATTTCATTCACCTTATTTCAAGAGAGCACGTGAGAGTAGTGAGTGGCCTTCTCATTGTGATGATTATGGAAAGCTGGATTTAAGTAAGTTAAAGAACTGATCCTGATAAACACAAAAACAGCCAAATGACGGTTATTTTTTAAACACTATGCCACAAAATTACAGCCATTTAAACTTCTTTGTTTTATGGATTTCTAATAACTATGAAGAAGAATGTACAGATCTATAAAATGGTCAGAATATAACTGAGTTTACTATATTTATGAGCATATAACATAATCCCATATATCCTGAAGGATAAAATATTCATTAAGAGTGAGCAGATGCTTCCTTTGATATGTAACAGACATCAAATCTCATTGTAGGAGACAGAAAAGAATTCCTCAACATATTCATGTTATTTATTTTTTCAATATTAACAAAAAATTTCATAAGCTGCCATAGGTTACAAAAAGGTAAATAAATTCTACTTTGAAAGTAATATTGCATGTGAGTACTATATGTTCATATATAACAGGATGACAAAAAATGTAATAATTTAGGTGAATTAGACTATCTCTGGCAATTGCTTGTTCAGTGTTGAATTCTAACAGGGCATGAAAACATGCTGTGGGAACATATGTTGCAGGAAAACCTATAAAATATTTTATTCTGAATAGAATTATTTCTTTATATTCAATAGCTTTTTTATTGCAGTAAAATTCACATGTGTACAATTCAACATTTTAAAGAGTAATTCAGTGACTTTTATAACAGTCACCATATTTTTGCAACCTTCACCATTATCTTATTCCAGAAATTTTTCTTTATTCCAAAGGGAAATCTATATCCATTAAAGCAGTCACTCCCTATTCTCATCCTCCTTCAGCATGTGGCAACTGCTAATTTGCTGTTTTGTCCCTGTGGATTTGTCTAGTCTGGATAATATCATATAACTGGAGTTATAGAATAAGTGACCTTTTGTATCTGGCCTCTTGCCATAATTTTTCTAATGTTAATTAATGTTACAGCATTTATTAGGATTTCTTTCCTTTTTATGATTGAATAATGTTCCATTGAATGGTATACAATATATTGTTTACTCAATGTCCACCACTTGACATTTGGATTGGTTTCCATCTTTAGCTGTTGTAAATAGGGCTGCTATAAACATTTTTGTAGAAGTTCTTTTTGGCCACCTCTTTTTAGATATTTTGGGTACATAACCTGGAGGAGAATTGATCGACCATATTGAAAGACTATGTTTCACTTACAGGGGAAGTGCCAAACTGTTTTCAAACGTGGCTGTGTCATTTTACGTTCCTATTGGCATTGCATGAGGTCTAATTTCTCTAAATCTTCAAAACTTTTAATTTTCAAATTTTAAAATAATTATATTCTTTTGGGTGGTGAGGAGTATCTCACAGAGGTTTTGATATGTATTTCTCTAGTTATTAATGATGTTGAACATCTTACCCTGTGCCCATTGTTCAAATATATTTCTTCTTCAGAGAAATGTCTGCTCAAGACTTTGACAAAATTTTAATTGGGTTGTCTTTTTGTTGTTAACTTGAAATAGTTTTTAAAAATATTTTCTGGAAAATAGACCCTTATCAGATATATGATTTACGAATATTTTCTCTCATTTTGTGGGTTGTATTTTTACTCCATCGATAGTGCCCTTTGATGCACAGAAGTTTTAAATTTTGATCAACACCAATTTACCTTTTTTATTGTTTGTGCTTTTGGTAGCATATCTAAAAAAATGAGTGCTAAATCCAAGGTATTAAAGATTTAACCCTGTATTTTCTTCTACGTGTTTTATAGTTTTAGCTCTTATAGTTATTTGATCTATTTTGAATTGTATTTTATACAGTGTGGGATCAGTATACAACTTTATTTTTATGCCTATGGATAACTAGCTGTCTCAGCACCATTTGTTGAAGAGACTATTCTCTTCCCATTGAGTGATCTTTGCATTCTAGTTAAAAATGAATTTGCTGTAGATGAGAGAGTTTATTTTTGGACTCTCAATTCTATTCCATTGATATATATGTTCATCCTTACACCATACTGGTTTGATTACTGCGGCTTAATAGTAAATAATGAAATCAGTACTTCTGAAAAAAGTTTTTATGGGCCCTATTTTCAAGTGACATACATACTTCTATCCATATTGGTGACAAATCAGTTATTTGACCATATCTTATTGAAAGAGAGAATGATAAATTTAGTCTAGCTATACAGTCATGAAGTAAAGGCAATTCACTTTTAGAGAGCATCTAGTCAATTGTTACCACACCCATTAATATTAGTCTTGCATTTTATGGACCCCAAGATATATAATCCCCTCAAGGGTGCCATTGAAAATTAATTTTTAAGCTTATTTACAATCTTTCACTACCTCCAAAGTTAATGTTGTGAGAGTAGTCAATATGTAACATCCACACTGGACAGGTAACCACTGAAAGAAAATACACTATTTTAGTGTTAATCATGTTGCCCTCACAGGTATTGATGCTGATATATTAAAATAAATGTATATAAAGGTAATAAAAATACTTGTTTATGAGATTTTATTGGCATCACTTATTCTTGGAAAATCAGACTAAGTCATTTTTGGAAAAAATTTGTTACATTATATATCTAATAATAGAATAAATAATTTTTTATGGACCATTAGCAAGCTTATTGGTCATTATAAAATGCATAATTTATGTTTTCTGAAAATCTAGATTTTTTAAATCAACAATATCTGAAACCTACATCTTAATCTTCTGGCATCATTTACACACAAATTATTTAAGCACCCTGGAATTTAATTGAAAATTATAAAATTAAATGATTTTAAAGTTTTTTTCTTTATCATTTTCCTCAGAACTGCTTTTTTTCCCTCAACGACGTACTTTCTTCTTTTTCTAGTTATGACTCTTTCAAAGATCTGATTTGGCGCTCTATATTTCTCTAGGCCTCATCATGTATAGAGTTTCATGATGCATCACTGGCTTTTGCCCTTAATTTGATAATTCAGGTTAATAAAACGTCTTAGGTCACTCTCTTACCTATAATCCCACAGCAATGTCTACTACCAGTTACAGAAGAATACGAACCTAACAATAATTCTGGAGAAAAATTATCGGTAAAAACTAATGATTTGAGGCCGGGCGTGCCTGTAATCACAGCACTTTGGGAGGCCGAGGCAGGCAGATCACGAGGTCAAGAGATGGAGACCATCTTGGCCAACATGGTGAAACCCCGTCTCTACTGAAATACAAAAAATTAGCCAGGCGTGGTGGCGCATTCCTGTAATCCCAGCTACTTGGGAGGCTGAAGCAGGGGAATTGCTTGAACCCGGGAGGCAGAAGTTGCAGTGAGCTGAGATCGCGCCACTGCGCGTGGGTCTGGAGACAATAGCAAGACTCCATTAAAAAAAAAAACAAAAAAAAAAAACCCAACCGACCAAAGCGAAAAACAAAAAACTGATGGTTTGAAAGAGGTATCTCTATAGGAATGTGTGTGATTTTTTTTTTTTTTTTTTTTTTTTTTTTTTTTTTTTTTTTGAGTCAGAGTTTCGCTCTAGATGTCCAGTCTGGAAGTGCAACAGTATGATATCGGCTCACTGCAACCTCTCCCTCCCCGGTTCAAGCGATTCTTCTGCCTCAGCCTCCCGTGTAGCTGGGATTATAGGCGCCCGCCACCAGCCCACCTAATTTTTATATTTTTGGTAGAGACGGGGTTTCACCGTATTGGCCAGGCTGGTATCGAACTCCTAATGTCAGGTGATCCACCTGCCTCAGCCTCCCAAAGTTCTGGGATTGCAGGCATGAGCCACCACGCCTGGCCACAATTAAAGCTTTCTATGGTGAGCTAGAGGTCCCTAGAATAATGTTAATCACAGGAGCTATTTATGAACCAGGCTTGGGAATTTTAAGGGTTCAGGTAATGTTAGCAAAAATGAAGCCATTCCACCTTTTGTTAATGTTTTTCCCAAATTGTAAAATCATCATACGTTTCACTTGGCTTTTTTACACAACATGATTTTTAAAATGCAAATTCATTCCTAAATCTAACTATATTATTACCAGCTATTCTTGCTAATGCTCAAAAGAAGTTCATGTTTGCTTGCAGCAATGAGCTACAAACGGTTGATTGCATACTTGTGTATAGAGATGTAATAATCTTTGAAAGTATTATACAAATAGTGTAAAATGTACTCAATATTGGCACTGCTCTACCAGATGTGGTGGCTATGTAGACAGTGGGGAAGTCACCAAAACCCTTAGACTCAGACACTTCTTCAGCAAAAATTTATTCAGTGCCTATTTTGTGTTCATATTCCATACAAAGCAATTGGGGATCCAGAAATAAATCTAAAATGTTTTGGAACATTAAAAAACTTATAATTTAGTGGTGAGCCATATAAATATTATCAAATGACTGACATCACATGACATGAATTTAAAAAATCAACAGAGGTTTATTGAACAATTAATATGTATCAGTGATTGGCTCTGATAAAAATATATTTGAGATTCATCGGATTCTCAAAACAAAGAGGGTCTCCTTCCACTACAATACTCATACAAGTCTTATAAAAGAAGTAATACATGAGTTACATCTTCAAAGAAAGGCAAATGTGATCCAAGCTGACAGGAGGTGGTAATGATGGAGAAAGACATTCAAGGCAAGAGAAAAAAACTAAGCTGTTATAATAAACCCTCCATTAAAGTACTTCTAAGACTTCTTTTTGATTAAAAATTTAATATTATTAAATGAAATGCTGGACAATGTAATATTAAAGTAGACTGAAATTTGAGTAAATGAAAAATGAGAAGAAATGTTTTAAGCATTTTACTCTCTGTCATGGAGTCTTGTAATCAAACTAGAAAAAGATTAGAAAGAAACATTCAGCATCAAGAGCATTAAAAACAATGCAGGCATGTCATTCAACTTTTTTAAAGTTTGACTTCTCATTTAATATTAAGAATAAGAAATTAACATAAAAATATTTGTTGTTAAAATATGATTTAAAATAGTACATGTAGAGGCATGCAGAAGATTGAGAGCATATATTTTTGTAAGCACTTAATTTTTTATAAATTGTTTTGAAATGTTTTATGAATTGAATTTCATGAAAATGAAACAGAAAAGTATTTTGATCTCTCATTTACTTCTGCAAGATTTATTGCAAGATTACAGTAATTAAGAAATATATTAAAACTCTTGTGAGTTAGTCTAATATGTGAAAACACAATTGAAACTTCAAATAAATCAATTTATTTTCATCAATCTCAAAAAGGCATACAATATTTAAAGCAAAAACAACCCCCCCTTTTTTTTTTTGAAATGGAGTCTCACTCTGTCACCAGGCCTGAGTGCAGTGGCACAATCTCGGCTCACTGCAAGCTCTGCCTCCCAGGTTCAAGTGATTCTCCTGCCTCAGCCACCTGAGTAGCTGGGACTACAAGAGCACGCCACCATGCCCAGCTAATTTATGTATTTTTAGTAGACACGGGGTTTCACTATGTTGGCCAGGATGGTCTCCATCTCTTGACCTTGTGATCTGCCCACCTCAGCCTCCCAAAGTTCTGGGATTACAGTGAGCCACCACACCCGGCCCCCAATTTTTTACTGTGCCAAATAAATGTTATATGTCATTTTTCAGAACTTTAAATAATGGAGAAATATAATAAGAGTCGATAAAACACTTCAGACCCTGAAGCAGTTCTTATCACATTCCTTTGCACATGGTAGGCATTTAAAAATATTCATTGATTGATTTTTAAAACTTTAAAAATAAACTTCATTTTTCAGAACACTTTTATATTTATATAAATTACAAAGCTTTTATAGAGTGCCCATTAACCACATACACAGTTTCTCCTGTTATTAAATTTTATATTAGGATGGTATACTGCTTACAATTAATGAACCAATATTGATACATTATTGTTAAATAAAATCCCTCCTTTATTCAGATTTCATTTTATCTAATATAATTTTTCTGTTCCAGGATTTCATTCAGGATACATTACATTCAGACATCACGTCTTCTAACATTTCTCCTAGCTATGACAATTTCTCACTCTTTTCATCTTTGGGGGTGACCTTGAGACTTCTGGGGAGCACTGCTCATGTAGTCTGTAAAGCAGTAGCCCCCAACTTTTTGGCACCAGAGACCAGTTTCATGGAAGACTATTTTTCCACAGACTGTGGGGAATAGTTTCGGGATGATTCAAGTGCATTATATTTATTGTGCACATTATTTGTATTATTATTACATTGTAATATATAATGAAATAACTATACAACTCACCATAATGTAGAATCAATGGCGCTCTGAGATGACGGTAATGGGAGACTGTGATAGATCATCAGGCATTAGATTCTCATAAGGAGCGCACAACCTAGATCCCTCACATGCACATTTCACAATATGGTTACTGCTCCCATGAGAATCTAACACTGGAGCTTAGGCAGTAATGCAAGTGATGGGGAGCGGCTGTAAATACAGATGAAAATTTGTTTGCTGGCCCACTGCTCACTGCCTGTTGTGCGGCCAGGCTACCAGTGGTCTGTGGACAGGGGCTGGGGACCCCTGCTGTAGAGTATCACTCTATTGTGATTTGTCTGGTTTATTCTCATAACTAGACTATGCTTATAGGTTTGGAGAGGGAGAACATTGAACTGTTTTTATTTCATTATAGGATGACATGACTTATAATTGTGGATGTTGACTTTGATCATCTGGCTGAAATAGAGTATGTTAGGTTTCTCCACTGCAAAGCTACGCCTTTTCCTCCCTATTCACATGGCAGTCTTTGGAAGGAAGTCACTTTGTGCAAACTACACCTAAGGAGTAAATAGTTATACTTCCTAGAGGGCAGAGTTTCTACCAACAATATCTGGAATTCTTCTGCATGGGACATTCATTTCTTCTCCCTCATTTATTTATTTATTGAATCATTGATCTACAGTAGTGTGGATCTTAGTAAGTAAATATTTATATTTAGGCTTTTAAACCAATATTATCAAAACTGCTTTGGTGGTGTTCAAATTGTCCCATCTTGGACCACTGGGAAAACTTTCAGTTGAGTGTTGTTTCTTTGACAGCTTATTAATATGTTTGCTTGTTGGTTGATTGGTCTTTAGCACTTCCTTGATCTCTGCAGCATTACAGAAAGCTCCAGGCTCATCTTTTATAGTTTCTTCCCTAGTCCTAGGAAACCTATGTATCCAAGAATACCTGATTTGTCTTCATGGAGAAAAGTATAAATATCATTAATATCTGGGTACGAGGTATAGTCACTGCTGCCAGTGAGTTCTTCCTTGTAGGCATTTCCAGCTGACAAATCAAGGAGATAAATGTTTATATACTAATTCAAGTATATATACATATTTATAAACAGCTCTCTATTTAAATAGCTGTATCTATATAAAGTTAATCATGAGTTCATACTGATATCTCCAAATGTAATCGATGACCACATCAATAATTCTATCTTCTTCCCCTTACTTATCTGTGACCTTCCATTTCAGCATTCAGAAATCTCCCACCATCTACCCTACGTTTATATAAAGTTTAAATTCATATACATGTGTAGCACTATAAAAATATTTAATCCATACTTGCCTAGGAACAACTTTATTGACTAGAAAAGTGGGCTTCTGCATAGGTTTTTTGTGGTTGTTGTTGTTGCTTGTTTTGCCTTAAACTGTAAAGACTCCACCAATTCCAAAGGTTATATAGTTCGGTATTTTTCCATTCCCATCCACTTCAGTGAGGCTGTTTCATACATTTGTTACACAGTTTATTTTGACATATATTGAATCCACCCTGAGATCACCCCACGAAAACTTATAGTTTTGTTTTCTTTTTTACTTTGGGTATATTCAGGTTCACTCTTCTGTACTGGAAAGTTCTATGAGTTAGTAAATGTCTAGTGTCACATGGCTACTATTACAGCATCATACAGAATAGATATAATGCTCCAAATAATCCCCTGTGCCTTATCCATTTAGCCCTTCCTCCTCTTCCCTAAACCTCTGGCAACCATTGATATTTTACTGTCATTATAATTTTATCTTTTCAAAATTTTGGGAATGTCACATAGTTGATATCGTACAGAATGTAGCATTTTCAAACTGACTGCTTTTAATTAGTAATGTGCATTTAGGATTTGTCTATGTATATTTTTGGCTTTATAGTTTATTTCTTTTATCACTGAATAATATTCAAGTGACGGAAATATACATATGCAATGTAAATTTGTATGGCTATACCATAGTTTGTTTACACATTCATTTGTGCAGGACATCTTGATTATTTCCAGTTTGGGGTGATTATTAATAAAGCTGCTATAAACTTTCACGAGCAGGTTTTTTTGTGGCCGTAGGTTTTCAAATAAGTTGGGTAAATACCTAACAGCATATTGCTGGATGATACGAGAACACCGTGTGTATGTTTAACCTTGCATGAAACTGACAACCTTCCAAAGTTCCTGAACCATTTTGCATTCTCACAATGAATTAGAGTTCCTATTGCTCTGCATTCTTGGAGATAAGGGAGCTGTCAGAGTTTTTGATTTTAACTATTCTAATAGGTCTATGTTAATTTTGGTTTGAAATTTCCTAGTGAAAAATAATGTTGGGTCTTTTCATATTTGTTATTAGTATATCTTCTTTGGCATGGTGTCTGTTAATACCCTTCTCCTATTTTTTTTTAATACGGTTGCTGATTTTCTTATTGTTATGTTTTAAGAGTTTGAGTATGTTTTAGATACAAGTTTTTTACAATAAAGATATCTTAGAAATATTTTATTTCAATCTATTCTTAACTGATTATTCTCTTAATACTGTGGTTTACAGAGCAGAAATTTTTATTTTTCATAGGGTTCAAATTTTCAATGTCTTCTTTCATGGATTATGCTTTTGGCATTGTATCTAAAAATTAATTTTCAAATCCAAGGTCACTTAGATATATGCATATAATTATAAAAACATAAAATTTTATTTTATTTATTAGTTCCAGAAGTTTGTTGATTCATTGGAATTTTCTTCACAGATAATTATGTCATCTACAAAAAAGAGATAGTTTCGTTTTTTCATTTCCATTCTGCGTCTCTTATTTCCTTTTTATTGTCTTAAAAAATTCCCATTATTTTCAATTCCTTTCCTAAGTAACACTTCCATTACCATGTGAAATAGTAATGGTAGGAGAGGATAATTTTGCCTTGTTTCCAAGAATATGGAAAGACATCTGGTTTCTCATCATTCAGTGTGATGTTAGCTGTATTCCGTCTGTAGATTAAAAAAAATCAAATTGGGAAAGTATCTTCTGTTACTCTTTGGCTAGGAGGTATTGTTTATGATGAATGGCTGTTAGATTTTTGTCAAATGCTTTATTCATCAGTTGATAGAACCATGTGATATTTTCTCTTTTTCTTGTTGATATGGTATATTGTATTGATTTTTGATGTCGTACCAACTCTGCAAACCTGGACTAAAATCTCTTTGATCCTGGTATATAATCCTTATAATCACTGTTGAATTTACCTTGTAAATGTTTTGTTCAGAAATTTGCATCTATGTTAATAAGAAATATTGCCCTGTAGCTTTCCTTTCTTATAATGATTTTATCTGTTTTTAATATTAGGTATTCCTAACTCATGAATAAGTTAGGAAGTATTACTTCAGCCTTTATTTCCTTAAAATGTTTTCATAGAATCTTTTTTTTCCTTAAAGATTTGGTAGTATTCACTAGCAAAATCATCTTGGTCTGGTGCTTTAATTTTTGGAAGCTAACTAATTAATGATTCCATTTTCCCAGGCCTTTCATACTGTCTATTTCTTATTGTGTACATTTTGGTAGTTTATGTCTTTCAAGGAATTGGTCCATTTCAGCTAAGTTAATAAATTTGTAGGCACGGTAGTTTTGTAGACATTTTAATGTCCATAGCCTCAGTAGTGATGATCTGTCTTTCATTTTGATATTCACAACTTGCATCTTCATTGTTTCTCTGCTAATGTTTCCAGAGGTTTATAATTTCTGTTGATTATTTTTTAAAGATCAGGCTTTGGGTTTATTGAATTTTGGTATTGTTTTTCTGCTTTCAATTTTATTGATTTCTGCTCTAATATTATATCTTTTGTAATATTTGCTTTGGGGCTAAATTGTTTTGCATCTCTAATTTCCTAAGGTGGAAGCTCCAGTTATTGATTTACATCCTCTTTTAGTCCTACGAATTTCCCCTTTACATTTATCACTGCTATCACTGCAACACACAAATTTTGATAAATTATATTTTGAATTTAATTTTGTTCGTTAAAGAATTCTCTTGAGAGCTTTCTTTGACCTGTGTGCTACTTATATTATTTAACCATCACATATTTTAGGCATATTTTAGATTTTTCTGACTTTCTTTTACTGATTTTTATCTGAATTTCATTGTGGTTTGAGAATATACATTATAAAAAGTTAACGCTTTTAAGTTTGTTAAGATGTGTTTTATGACCTGGAATGTGCTCCATCTTTGTTAATGTTCTATTTGAATTTTAAAGGAATGTGTATTATGCTCTTGTTGAGTAAATCATTGTATAAATGCTAGTTGGATCATACCGATAATGCTGTTGAAGTCTTCTATATCATTACTGATTGTTTATCTGCTTTATTTATCAATTACTAAAAAAGGAACATTAGTCTCCCACTGTAGTACTGAATTTATATATTTCCTTTGCAGTTTTATCAGTCGTTGCTTCATGCACTTTGACACTCTTGTTAGAGAAATACACATTTGAAATTGTTATGTTTTCTTGGATAATTGACTTACTATGAATTAACCTCACTTTTTTATAATCTTTGTTCTGATGTCAGCTTTATCCAAAATAGAGGTACTCCAGCTATTTTTGAATTGGTGTTAACATGGTATACATATTTCTTTACTTTTAACTTGTGTGAGTGCTTATATTTAAGGTAGGTTTCTCACAGACAATATATATTTGATCTTTTATTCACTCTGAAGATCTGTCCTTTAATTGTTGTATTTACCATTCACATTTAATGTGATTGTTGATATAGTTGGGTTCATATCTACCATCTTTCAACTATTCTATATAAATTGTATTTCTTATTTCTCTCTTTTTTTTCCTTATGTGGTTTTAATTGAGCATTTTATATGATTTCATTTTATTTTCCTTTTTAGAATAATATAAATCTCTCTCTCTTTCTGTGTGTGTGTGTGTGTGTGTGTGTGTGTGTGTGTGTGTGTGTGTCCTAGACTTTGCAATATACATTTTTAACTAATGTAAGTTGACCTTTAAGCAAAACTACCTGCTTCATGGGTATCACCATTATCTTATAACAGTATTCTCAATCTCTCCCAAACATTTTACTGGCATTGATTTTACTTATCCATATGCAATAGTAACCAATACAATTTTACTATTATTGCTTTAAACAAACTTTGTTTAAGATCTGCTTAGAATAATAAAATAAAATGTTTTATTTTATTATTGTTCTGATAATCTTTTCTTTCCTTTTGTGAATTTGTTTCTTTCCTATATCATTTTCTTTCTCTCTGAGGAATCTCCTTTAACATTTCCTGTATAGAAGATCTGCCAGCAGTAAATTTCATCAGTGTTTGTTTGTCTGAGAAATTATCTCTCTTTCTGTTTTGAAAGATAATTTCTCTAGATATATGATTCCTCTTGCTTGCATGGTTTCTGATGAGAAGTCATCTGTGATTCTTATCCATTTTCACCATAGGTAAAATAAATATTTATCTTCTCACTTATTTCAACGTTTTATTTTCATCACACTGTTATGTGGTTTGCATATACTATGCCTAGCTGTAAGTACATATATAGTATATAATGTGTGTGTTTGTGTGTGTGTGTGTGTGTGTGTGTGTGTATTTATATGTTTATTTATTCTGCTTGAAAGTTTCTGAGTTTCCCAGATTTTTAGATTTGGGTCTGTCATTAATTTTGGAAAATTCTTGGCCATTATTTCTCCAAAAATATCTTTTTGACAATTTTATCTTTCTTTTCTTTCTGATATTTCAATCGTGTTTGTATTATACATTTCAAAATTGTTCCACAGATCTTACATGCTTTGTTGCAGGTTTATTTTTCTTGTTTTTTTTTTCTATTTGCCTTTAAGTTTAATAAGTGTTTATTGACATGTCTTCAAGGTAATCAATTCTTTCTTTCACTGAATTTAATCTACTGCCATCAAAGGCATACTTTACTTCTGCTACAGTGTTTTTCTATTTTTGCATTTTCTTTTGAAATCCAACAGAACAAGACTTTTAAGTATTCTTTGTTATTTAGTTTCCATCTTAGTTTATATCACCTCTCTATTCTTGTGTGTTGTCTACTTTATCCATTAGGGCCCTAATATCTTAGTCATTGTTATTTTAAACTATCCAATAAGTTCAAAATCTTTATCAAATTGAAATCTAATTCTGAATCAGTCTCTTTGGATCACTTTTTGTTTTTTCTGTCTTTTAGCATGTTTTTAATTTTGTGTTTAATCTTGGTCTTCATGTATCAGGTAATAAAAACTGGGGTAAACAAACTTTTAGTATTAGGTTTTATGTTTATCAGGCAAGGGTTTGAACTGTCTTTAATTTTTGTTGTTTCTCTAGGACCAGAGACTTGGAATTTCTTTAGTGTTTTCGTTGTCTTATCTGTTGACTTTGGGCTTCCCTAAGAACTTCTTTTCAGATATAAGTTTGAACTCCTTTAGCTATAATTCACTTTTGTTATGCTGAAACTCTATGAATATGATGGTGAGGTATGAGGGAGAAGTGTTTCTTTTAATCTTTTAATTAAACATCAGTCTTTTGTGGGCCTCAGTATATGGACTATGACCTTTCCACATGTATCTTAGCTTTCTTCCCCTCTTACCTTAGCTGAGATCAGAAAGCCAAAAGGGGCTGGGCGCGGTGGCTCACACCTGTAATCCCAGCACTTTGGGAGGCCAAGGTGGGTGGATCACGAGGTCAGGAGAGCGAGACCATCCTGGCTAACACAGTGAAACCCCATCTCTACTAAAAATACAAAAAATTAGCCGGGTGTGGTGGGGGCGCCTGTAGTCCCAGCTACTCCAGGGGCTGAGGCAGGAGAATGGCATGAACCCGGGAGCTTGCAGTGAGCTGAGATGGCGCCAATGCACTCCAGCCTGGGCAACAGAGCGAGACTCCATCTAAAAAAAAAAAAAAAAAAAAAAAGCCAAAAGGAGCTGCAGTGGAATAAATGATCTTCCCCCAGATGAGATAAGACTCTGGTAGTCTTTTACCTAGAGAGTAGTGCTTTGTTACAGAAGACATCCTTGGGCATTTAATAATATTTACTTTTCTTCTCTTCTTGCCAGAGCCATGAGGGTATCCTTATTGGCTTTTGTTGTAATACCTGGTGGAATTACTGTTAATTATGCTAGGAGTGATAATGCATGAACACAGAACACCATCTTTAAACCAGCACTTTAGGGAGTATCTTTTGAAAATGGATAACTTTCCTTTTTATAACTTAGATACTATTAAACAAAAACTTCAGATAAATTAAATTTAGCTGAGTTTATTCGAGCAAAAAACTATTTATGAATTGAGAAGCACTCAGAACCAGAAGAGGCTGAAAGCTCCAGCAACATGGACAGACAGTATTTGTAAACCGAAAATGGAAGTGACATACAGAAACAGCTTGATTGATTATAGCCGGGCATTTTCCTTATTTGAGTGTGTTGTGATAAGGCATTTGCCTCATAAGGACATGATCTGGTCAGCTGGCAGCCTGTAAACAGCTGAAACTCACTCGTTGTGATTGGCTGAGACTCAGCTATTTGTTACAAGATTGTACTCTTAGGCTACAGCTTGTTTACAAACTAAGTTGGGTTTCAGTTTGCTATGTAGGGATTCAAAGTATCGAGACACCTTAGGCAAAACTTAATTGAATTTAATAATACAAATATGTTTTATTTAAAAAATGTATGTGAAAATCAAAACATCTTGAGAACCAGGCACCTCATGTACTGCAGAAAGTGAAATTGCACAGCACATTAAGAAACACATAAAAAAGAAAAGTGGGAATGTAAAATGATACAGCAGCTATGGGACACAGTACTGAGATCAAAAATTTAAAAGCAAACCTACCATGTGATTCAGCAATTCTGCTTCTAAGTATACATTCAAAAGAATTGAAATCAGGATCTTAAAGAGATACCCACACCTCCATGTTCACCGCAGCACTATTCACAATAGCCAAGATATGGAAACACTTCAAGTATTCATCACTGGATGAGTGGATACAGAAAACCTGTGTGTATATATATGTACACATAGATAGATAGATAGATAGATAGATAGATAGATAGATAGATAGATAGATAGAGATCTGTAACAGAATATTATTCAGCCTTAGAAAGGAAATCCTGCCATTTGCAACAACATGGATGAACATGGGGGACATTATGCTAAGCAAAATAAACCATATATAGCATAGTAGCTGTAGTTAACAATAGGGTATGGTGTATGTCAAAATTTGTTGAGGGTAAGTCTCAGGTTAAATGTTTTTATTCACAGATAAAGGGAGGAGGAACACAAGGAAACTTTGGGAGGTGATGGATATGTCTATTATCTTGATTGTGGTAATGGTATGACAGGTGTTTGCATATGTCCCAAATCATAAAATTGTACACATTAAATCCATGCAATTATTTGCCTATCAAATATACCTTAATAAAGCTATTTAGAAAAGGAAATTTATGAATATCATCTGATAGGTTAAGTCTTACTTGAATGTGGAGCTGTTCTAAATACACTGGGTATCATTTACTTTCAAAATCTATTAAAAACTATGTTTTATTAATATTTGAAATTCTAATAACTTGATACCAAAAGTATCAAATACAACACTTAGAAAAAAATTGTTATTATAAAGCTTGAAAAGACTTAAAACTCACAATTGAGTTAAATATGACTTAAAAAGATATTTTATTACTGTACCAGTTCACTCTTTTCTATTTTGAGGGTGTAGAAGTGGCTAAGAGATATGAAATTGGAATGGGTTTAGAAAAAAAAAAAAAAGAGAGAGACAAGAGTTCTACTGTTTTCATTCAATCCTCAGTAATAATAGGTACCAAACAAAATATTGGAAACTTGAACCATCAAACAACATAGATGGTTCTGATTTAATATTGTTATGGTTTAATCAGACAAGAAATGATGTGCTATTGTGTTTCCTGTGTTCAGACCATTTAGTATAAACCAGTTTTTTATTGTTAAATAAAGGGCATAAACAAAGTGATAAACTGATACAGAAAAAAAAATCACCTAAAATGTTTTGGCAAGATGGGGTAAATTATGGCCTCATGGGTTTATCATTTCAGATAAAAAGCAGTACAAACCCAAGTGGCATTAAACACTGTGAATTTTTAAGAAATATTCATGCTTTGCCCTTTGGTTCTAATGTACTGTATAAATTCACAATCCTCTCTAATGGCCTCTGCATTTCTCATTTCTTTTACACAGTGGGGCAGTATTATTTTTGCAATCCTATTCTGAAATAGAACTTTGGATGCAAGGAAAAAATATACGTATATATTTGTAATTTGCATTTTTGCTATTATTTAAAAAAGATACAAAATAGTTAAGCTATTTTCTGAAAGAATAAAAAAATAGAATTACTCTGTTATTTCTACATTTTCTCCAAGTGTAAGTCATATCCCACCCAAATAGAGAAGCTGCAATTCTATTTTACTTGGTAGAACTAATTCAAATATCTAATTTTTTAAATTTATAAACCTAAAACTTAATTTTTACACATATAAATTTTTTTAATTTTTACCCAGATTTTCATGTTATGGGTCTGAAATTTTTAGCTAGCTTTGTAGTCTCCTGAGATCAAAAGGTTATTACCTAAAATAAATCAAAAAGAAAACCTATGAGTTTGTATGCATGAAACAAAAGAACCTACATAATTTGGTCAGTAGAATTCAGCTTCTGTCAGAGTAAGACAGAAAAGGGTGGAGGTCAGTTCCTAGAAGCAAACAGGAAATATCCTTCATACAGTGTGTGCTGATGTTGCCACATTGATACACAGAACCAATTGAACAGGTTACTGACTTCTCAGCTGTAATCAGAAACCGCACATCATACATAGATCAAAACATATTTCTTCTTTGTACTTTCAAGGTTTGGAGACTTTAGTGAAATTTTCTTTTTATCTCCTTTTTGTGGCCTTTGTTTTTGGAGTCTGACACAATATCGAAAATATAAAAATGAGAACAACATTAAGGCCAGAGCATATTACAAACAAAGTATATTTCCCAAACATTTTCTTTTCTCTTCTTTTCTTTTGGGACAGGGTCTCGCTCTGTAGCCCAGGATGGCATGCAGTGTTGTGGTCATGGCTTACTGCAGCCTCAACTTCCTGTGCTCAAACAATCCTTCTGCCTCAATTTCCCAAGTAGCTGGGATGACAGGTGCACACCACCACACCCTACTAATTAAAAAAAAAAATTGTAGAGACAGGGTCTCACTCTGTTGCCCAGGCTGGTCTCAAACTCCTGGGCTCAAGCAACGCTCCTGCCTTAGCCTCCCAAAGTACTGGGGTCACAGGCTTGAGCCACCATGCCTGGCCTCCAAACATTTTCTTCATCTGCTATATATCCAGATTCTATGAACTTTCTAGATAGCGCAACAATAATGAAATTCTTAATATGATATCCTGCCACATATAATTTTAAGAGGAAGATTTTTTTTTTTCCTGAGACAGGGTCTCACTCTGTCACCCAGGTGGGTGTGCAGTGGCATGATCACAGCTCACTTCATCCTTGACCTCCCAGACTCAAGTGATCCAAATGTAAGTCATATCCCACCCAAATAGAGACGCTGCAATTCTATTTTACTTGGTAGAACTCAGTCTCTTGGTAGAGACCTCAGTCTCTCTAGTAGCTGGAACTACAGGTGCATGCTGCCATGTCCGGCTAACTTTTCTGTGTGTGTGTATATGTTTTGTAGAGGTGGGGCTTCTCCATGTTGTCCAGGCTGATCTGGAACTCCAGAGCTTAAGTGGTCTGCCCACCTCAGCCTCCTAAAGTGCTGGGATTATAGGTGTGAGCCACCACGCCAAGAGGAAGATTTTAATTTACACTAATATGAAGAATGTGAACGTGTATACAAGACCTTCAAATAAATTTAGTTGCCTTTCTTCTAATTCACATACACATGCACACATACACACACACGCACATATATATTACATGAAGATTTAGAGGCTAGCTTTGGAATGTTTTTTACTTTTATTTTAAAATAATTTTTCAAATATTATATTATTTTAAAATTAAAAGGACTAATTGCACTATATCCTGAACATGTCATTAAACACAATATTAAGTGATTGTCAATGGATTAACTTGAGTGTTCAGATTTCAATACTCATGGATCTGATTAGCAAATAGCTGTCTTACTCTTTCCAGTGTATTGGAGAAATTTGAGAAAATATTTCTACTTTTAGCATGACTTCAAAGAATCAATTT
Organism: Homo sapiens; assembly: GCF_000001405.40. Classification (NCBI taxonomy): domain Eukaryota; kingdom Metazoa; phylum Chordata; class Mammalia; order Primates; family Hominidae; genus Homo; species Homo sapiens. The sequence continues at coordinate 60,536,013 of NC_000012.12, read as the reverse complement.
CTGTCTTTTTATGTTTATTCCCTTCTGCTAGCCCAGGAAAACAGAAATTCCAAACAAATCAGGAGCAGATGTTTTTTATCCTGACTTCCAGTTGGTGAAGCAGTTCAATAATTCTGGAAATAACATAGCTTCATGCACTTTTTTCCCCTTCATTTGGCTGATGGTCCCTTTCTATTGTTGAATTGAAATCCGTTCTTTCCTTGAGGGCCTATTCATATCTCTAATGCCAAAGTGTGAATGGTTTATAATAAGCCAGGGCAGGGGTTTTATTCTACAGCTGTTTTCAGTTATTCAAAACCACCATGCATGTAAGAGAAAATACTAACCTTGGACAATGTCATTGCTTCCTCCCAACCCCCAACCCATTATTACCAATGAGCCATTGTGCAGATTCTGCTACTTAAGCAATCTGTTCTAGTTATAATCATGGCCATTCTGTCCCCTAACAAGCACACTAAGTCCATTCCTTCCAGCAACTGGTTGTGCTATTCAATCTAGTTAGTTTTTATGATGCAATCTTCTGAAAATATTGCTTGCTTAAAACAAGAAAATGAACAGATATTTGAATTGTAGATGCTTGTTTGCAGTTACATAATGGAATGGAAATAAAATCAATATGTCATTATAAAGGAGCATCTAACAAAAGATACCAGAAGTATGTAAACAAATGGGAATCAACTACCAAAAGATTGCTTGAGACAAGGGTAATATTACCTCATAACTATAGGACAGTTTGTACTGGATTATGATATGAATCAAAATAAAACAAACTGTATAGTTTTTCAAAGGACAGACAAAATGTCATTATTTTTAATTCCAGAAGGAGGGAGATGTAGAGGGAAGGGATATAAAACAAACTCTTAACAATGTGGGTAAAAGTTACTTTGACTTCAATAGAAAAACATTTCGTAATGTGATTATGGTTTGCCACAGACTGCAGAAAACATGCTGCTTGGTGGATTACTTTTTATGTATGTATCTAACATACAAATGTATTATTATAATTCTTGTTATTATTGAAGGAGTTAAAGGGTTAGACAACATTCAAACACTGTGTTTCTGCATGTCTTGTGAGCAAGTTACTTTGTCTTTTATCATCTCTTTAAAGATGTTTGGATAGCAAATGGCCTTTGGAGAGAGAGACATCTCCAGAGCCAAGAGAAGGTTATTTACTGCATTGTATATGAATGCTTTCCCTCTAGATAAAAGGGAAATTGGCTTATTACCTATTATAAAAGATTTAGGTTCCTTAAACAAAGTGTTTCCCTCATATAATGTCACACATTGTAGTGTGTAGGTGGCATATGGTCCATTCTGTGACATTCTGTGAGAACAGGAACTTTTGGAGCAGATGTAAGAATGCTGATATTCTGGCTACTGTTATTTCTATGAGTAATAAACTGGACTTCATCTTTGATCCAGGAATCTTGTGTCTTCTACCAGCATCCACAAAAATGTGGTAGACTGATTTATTAGCTTGCAAATAGGATAAAAAATCTCAGACCCTTCATGGTTCTTCATAGTCAATATTCAGAAATAAAGAAGGTTAGAATTAGTGTCACAAAGAGGAGGTATAGTAGTGTCACATTTCGAATTTGGGGGCACTTTGAAAATATTGACCTTTTTAAGATGGTCAAGGTATGTCCTAAATTACGTTTTTTTTTTCCACAGAAAAAGAAATGTATGTAAATGATACTTAACACAAGATGAATATTACTGCATATTAACCTTTTCCATGCTAATCCTCTAAAGAGACTTGCTTAGTATCATCCAGTTGCCACAATCCAGTCAATATACATTCACTTTCATCTTTAGCCCTTAAACTTATAAGAATTATAAAGATGTTAATGAATTATAAATAGGTTATGGAATTAAGTTAGGGGCAGGTATATAAGGCAAAGTGAGAGGTGAGGCAATAAAAATTATTTAGATTTATCAGACTTATTTATTGAGATACTACACAATTTATGTATCTGACCTAAAAAGAAAATTCAATCTCCGTAATCCTGGAGATTAGGAAATTTATAATTAAGTATTCACAGTAATACAAATACAGTAATACAAATTTACTCAGTATAAAACACTGCAAAACAGGCATTTCTGTTTTATGGATGAATAAGATGACACTCCAGAAAAATTAAGGAAACATACTTAAAATGCTTTCATTTTTACACAGAAGAAATGAAAATGTGGACTCATTTTTGTTGTACTTAAATTTTCATGTGTTTTGACACTATTTCACTGTAAGAAACATAACAGCAGAATGCAGCATTGGCTGATTCAGATTAATCAATGTTGCAAAGACACAGCAGCTATAACAGAAGTATGTACTGAACACAGGTATATTAAATATCAGTGTGTACAGTGAACTGCATGCGGGCATCTGGCTCCTCCACAAATATGAACATACAAAACAGATTATAAGAAGTGAAATGCACACTTCAGTGTAGCTTAAAGAACTGAACTCAGGAGCACATAAAAACAACTTTCTGAGGATTCTCTGAAATACTTTCATGAGGGACTGGCCTTTCTATAATTGTTGGATAGAGAAAAATAGAGATAGTATCTTACCATTGTTAGTGCGGCCCTGGTTTTAGTAGTCAATTCTGGTGGCTGGGGAAACAAACAGTTATATCTCTCTTTCTCTCTTCTCCAATTGATTATAAGTTTTTAAGGATAAGGTCTCTATGCTAGTCATCTGTGTATTCCCAGAAATTAATACAGTGATTGTCCCGTAACAGCTGCTAAATAAATGTTTAATAAATAAATGAATAATGATAAGTGAAAATTATCTATTACTCCAAAGCTTAATATAATGTTAAAGTTAAATGTTAAAGTTAAAAGCTTACTTTTAATAATGTTAAATGTTCAAGTTAAAGTTAAAAGCTTACTTTAAATAATGTTAAAACTATCCAACTTTTGATTGAGAGAAAATAAAGGCAAAGAAGAAAAAAAATGAATATTAAGCTACTAGATTGTTTTGCTTGATGAATCACAGATCAGGATTTGCAATGCAAAAGATACCTTAATGATATGATTACATTAGATTCTTTTTTTATAATTAGCAAGTTTTCAGCAAGCTTAGGTTGGACAGCTAATCTATGTCATAGGTAGCTTTGAGGATACTATATTCTATAGGATTGTATAAAGATAAGTAAATAATACTACAGCCATGAATTGTAACAAAATCTAGTAGAGAAGAAAGAGACACAAACTAATGGTAATAATGCCACATCTAGGACAATGAGCAAGCTCAGTAAAGAGGAAAGAGTGGCACCAGTGCCTCAGAAAAGGCTCTTCAGATGAGATAATGCTGGAGATCAGTAACTATCCCCATGACAAAATGGTGTTCACCTACACAGTTTCATACCTAAATATTTTCACTTCTCCATGAGAGACCTTATCTGTAAATACTTACAATCCCTTTAGGTCCTCCTCACTCTCTCATCAGAGCACATTCAAATCCATTTTATCTTTGTAATTTTCACAGAAACCTTGCAAATGTATGTGTATGTTGAGAGGGAGTCAGGGAAGTAGTAAGAATTATTACTGGCTTAATAGTAAGAAAAGGAAAACATAGTAAGAAAAGTGACATTAGCAGGGTGGCGGAATAGGAGTTCCCTGGCTCTGGTCCCACTAAAGTAAATCCAACTAGCAACTATCCACAGATAATAATATCTTCGTGAATATTCCAAACTCAGGAGTGAGGCTGATACAACCTTTTAAGCCACAGAACTGAGAAAAGTTGCATTAGAAGACTAAGGATTAGTTTGACCTTGACCATGCCTCCCACAAACTGGCACAGCACCAGAGAGGATTCTCCTGGGCTTATAGTTTCTACAATGGAAGAAAGAGCTGAAAGCAGACATCTAGCATCCCTAGCATTCTGGGACAATTCACAGGAGGCTCATTTCTGTCTAACTTGTCCTAGTCTGTTTTCTGTTACTATAACAGAATACCACAGACTAGATAACTTATGAAGAAAAGATATTTATTTCTGACAGTTCTGGATGCTGAGAAGTTCAAGATTAAGGGTCCACATCCAGCGTGGGCCTTCTTGCTGTGTCATAACATAAAAGAGGGCATCACATGGTGAGAAGGCAAGAGCTTCTGTGTTAGCCCAGATCTCTCTTCCTTACCCTACAAAGCCACAAGTCTCATTGAGAGGTCCCACCCTGATTACTTTATCTAATCCTAATTGCCTACCAAGAGTCCAAGCTCCAAATACCATCAACATATTAATTAGAGTATTAAGTTTCCAATATGTGAAAATGAGAGACACATTCAAACCATAGCATCACCTCAAAGGAAATATTGGCAGTATCAGCAGGTGTAGGCCACCAGGGGCCAGCTAGAAACCAAGAAGCGAGATGGAGTTAATCGTGCCCGGACTTTGGCTGTGGCTCTGCATTCCAGCCAACCGAGGTGCCTGACTGAAAAAAAAAGCAGGCAAGAGAATCACTCTACGGAAAGCATGGCCAACAGGTCTGCCAGGCTCTAGTCCTTAGTCAGGTTTTCTGCTGAACCTTTGTCTCCTGCATAATAAGGCTTCTCCAGGCCAGGAGACAAGACTGTGATTGTGCATATATGAAACTACCAGAAAATAAAATTACAAGCCAATATCTAAGATAAAAATAGATTTAAAAATCCCCACAAAAATACTAGCAAACTGATTTCTACAACATATTAAAAGATTCACCGTGATCAAGTGGGACTCATCCCCATGGTGCAAGAATTGTTCAACATTTGCAAGTCAATAAATATGATATACCACATTAACAGGTTAAAAAATAAAAATTGTACAATTATCTCAATAGATGCAGAAAAAGCATTTGAAAATAAAGTCAACATTCATTAAGGCGACAACTCTCGAAAATATGTATGTAAGAAATGTATCTCAACACAGTAAAAGTCATATATGCAAGCTCACTGCTAACATACTCAGCAGTAAAAAAGTTGAAAGCTTTATCTTTAAAATCAAGAAAAAGACAAAGATTCCCACACTCTCACTACTTCTTTCCAAAATAATACTGGAAGGCCAAGTCAGATGAATTAGACAAGGGAGTGAAAGAAAAGAAATCCTAGTATGAAATGAAGACATGAAAATGTGTCCGTTTGCTAATTCCATGATTTTGTATATAGAAAACTCTAAAGATTACACACATACACACACATATACAGAGAGAGAGAGAGAGAGAGTTAGAACTGACAAGTTTAGTAAAGTTTTAGGATAAAAAATCAACATATAAAAATCAGTAGCATCTCTGTACACTAAGAACAAACTATCTGTGTTAGGCTGATCTTGCTTTGCTATAAAGAAATACCTGAGACTGGGAAACATATAAAGAAAAGGGGTTTAATTGGCTCACAGTTTTGCAGGGAGTACAAGCATGGCTCTTGCATCTGCTACCTTCTGGGGAGGACTCAGATTTTACTCGTGATGGAAGATTAAGCAGGGGCAGGTATATCAAATGGTGAAAGCAGGAGAAAAACAAGAGACAGTGTAGCGGGGGAGGTGCCACATACTTTAAAATGACCAGGTCTTGCAAGAACTCACTATTACGAAGATCCGCCAAGTCATGAGGGATCTGCCTCCATGACCCAAACCAGACCATGCTTCCAGCATTGGGAATTATAATTCAACATGAGATTGAGGCAGGGACAGATATTCAGACTGTATCATTTCACCCCTGGCCCCTGTCAAATATTGTCCTTCTCACATTGCAAAATACAATTATGCCATTCCAATAGTTTCCCAAAGTCTTAACTCATTCCAGGATTAACTCAAATGTTTAAAGCCCAAAGTCTCATCTGAGACAAGGCAAATCTTTTCCTCTTATGAGTTTAAGAAATTCAAAACAAGTTATTTACTTCCAAAATATAATGTGAGTACAGGCATTGAGTAAACATTCCCATTCCAAAAAAGAGAAATCAGCCAAAAGAAAGGGGCAAAGGGCCCTATGCAAGTCTAAAACCCACCAGGGCAGTCACTAAATTGTAAACCTCCAAAATAATCTTTGACTCCATATGTCCTGCATCCAGGTGCACACTGGGCATCCTGGGCACACTGGTGCAAGGGTGTACTTCAAAGGCCTTGGGCATCTCTCTCTTTGTGGCTTTGTAGGGTGCTGCCCCAGTGGGTGGTCTCATGGGTTAGCATTGAGTAGAGTACCTGCAGCTGTTCCATTCTGAGGGGGCAAGCTGTCAATGAATCTACCATTCTGGGGGCTGAAGGATGGCGGCCCTCTTCACATAACTCCAATGGGAAGTGCCTCAATTTGGACTCTGTGTGGGGCTTCACATTCCCCCTCTTCACTTCCCTAGGAGGGGTTTTCTGTAAAAACTCCACCCCTGCAACAGACTTCTACCTGGACACCTAGGCTTTTTCATACATCCTCTGAAATCTAGGTAGAGGCTAAAAGGCATTCTTCACTCATCCATTCTGTGCACCTACAAGCTTACCATCACATGGAAGCTGGCAAGGATTATGGCTTGCATTCTCCAAAGTGGCAGCCCAAGATGTGTCTGGGGCCCTTTGAGTCAGAGCAGCTGGAATGTGAAGAGCACTGTCCTGAGGCCATACAGGGCATCAGGGCTCTGGGCCTGGCTCATGAAACCACTTTTACCTCCTTGGCCTCTGGGGCTGTTATGGGAGCACCTGCCACAAAGGTCTTTGGAATGGCTTCAAGATCATTTACCCGCTGATTTGGATATTAGTACTTTGCTCCCTTTTAGTTATGCAAATATCTCTAACAAGTGGTTGCTCCACAGCCTGCTTGAATTCCTCTCCCAAGACAAGCATTTTCTTTCTCTGCCACATGGCTTGGCTATACATTTTCCAAACTTTTAAGCTCTGTTTTCTTTTTAAATACATGTTCTAACTTTGAGTTATTTTATTTTATTTTATTTTATTTTATTTTATTTTATTTTATTTTATTTTTATTGTTTTGAGGTGGAGTCTCGCTCTGTCACTCAGGCTGGAGTACCATGGCATGATCTCAGCACCACAACCTCCACCTCCCAGGTTCAAGTGATTCTCCTGCCTCAGCCTCCTGAGTAGCTGGGATTACAGGCATGCACCACCACGCCCGGCTAATTTTTGTATTTTTTTTTTTTAGTAGAGATGGGGTTTCACCATGTTGGCCAGGCTGGTCTTAAACTCCCGACCTCAAGCGATCCACCTACTTCAGCCTCCCAAAGTGCTGGGATTACAGGCATGAGCCACCGCGCTTGGCCTAAGTCATTCTTTTGCTTCTGCATCTGAGTATAGGCTGTTAGAAACAGCCAGGCCGCATCTAGAATGCTTTACCGCTTGGAAATTTCTTCTGCCAGATACCCTAAATTATCACTTTGAAGCTCAACATTCTGCTGAACCCAAGAGCAGGAGCACAATGCAGCTAAGTTCTTTGCTAAGGCATATCATGGGTGACATTTACTGCAGTTCCAAATAAGTTTCTCATTTCCATCTGAGTATGTTAGCAGTGAGCTTGCATATATGACCTTTATTGTGTTGAGATACATTTCTTACATACATATTTATGGCTCCCTTAACAGCACCAGAGGCCAAGGAGGGAAAAGTGGTTTCATGAGCCAAGCCCAGGGCCCCGATGTCTTGTATGGCCTCAGGACAGTGTTCTCTACCTTCCAGTTGCTCTGGCTCTAGTTGTGGCTCAAAGGGCCCCAGATACAACTTTGGCTGCCACTTGCATACATGCATAAGACTTTCTTATTTTAAAATATGTTATAAAGCAATTATAATAAAAGCAACATGGTATTGGCCTAAAAACAGAAACATGGACCAATGGAAAATGATAGAAAGCCCAGAAATGAACCCATATATTTATAAGAAATTGATTTTCTGCAAAGGTACCAAGTAGACTCAATAGGAAAAGGACACATCCATCAATAAATATAGGGAAGTCCAAATTAAAATCACAATTAGATATCACCTCAGACATGTTAGAAAGGCTATGATCAAAAAGATGCAAGATAAGTGTTGATAGGATGTGGAGAAAAAAGCTGGATACAGAAGCAAAAGAGTGAAGTTAGATCCTTATTTCACAGCAAATATAAACATCAACTCAAAATCGATTAAAGACTAAAATGCAAGATCTGAAACTCTAAAACTACTACAAGAAAACACAGGGTAAAAGCATTGGTCTAGGCATAATTTTTTGGATATAACCCTGAAGGCACAGATGGCAATGGCAAAAATAGACAAATGAGGTTGCATCAAACCTAAAAGCTTCTGCACAACAAAGGAAAAAATATAATGCAGAATTTGCTAGCCAAATAGGTCTGATAAAGGGTTAACATTAATATATAAGGAACTTAACTCAAAAACAAAACAAAACAAAAGAATAACCCAGTTATAAAATAGGCAAAGGACCTAAACAGATATTTCTCAAAATAAGATATACAAATGGCAAATAGGTTTATTAAAAGAAAATGTTTACCATCACTAATCATTAGGGAAGTGCAAATTAAAATCAAAATGAGATATCACCTTACACATGTTAGAATTGCTATGATTAGAAAGATGCCAGATACTTGTTGAAACAACGTAGAGAAAAGGAAACCCTTGTATACTGTTGCTGGGACTACAAATCAATATAGCCATTATGGTTAAGGTATGAAGAATCCCCCCCAAAAAACTTGAAATGGAAATATTATATGATCCAGCAATCCCACTTCTGGGTATATATCCAAATAAAATGAAATCCAAATGAAATGAAATGTATGTCATACAGTGTCTGTACTTCCATGTTTATTACAGCATTATTCACAATAGCAAGGCATGGAATCAATCAAAGTGTCCATCAACGAATGATTGAAGAAAAGGTAGTATGTATACACAATAGAATACTATTCAACCTATTAAAAAATCTGGTATTTGAAATAACAGGTAAACTTAGAGGACATTATACTAAGTAAAATAAGCCAACCACAGAAATACCACACAATCTGACTTACATGTGAAATTTAAAAATGTCAAACTGACAGAAGTGAAGAGTAGAATGGTGGTTACCAGAAGCTGAGATGGGTTGGGGAGATGGGGAAATGTTGGTCAAAGGGTACCAATTTTCAGTTAGATAGCAAGAATAAATTTTTGAGTTCTACTTCACAGCAGGTGACCATATGTAATGATAATTTGTTGTATATTTCAAAATTTTTGAGAGTAAATCTCAAAAATTTTACCACAAAAATGATGAGTAGATGAAGTGATAGATATGTTAGCTTGATTTCATCATCTCACATTGTGTACATACATCAAAACATCACATTCTATACTGTAAATATTTAAAATTGTTTTATATGTAAAATTCATATTTTTAAACAAATACACACAGTAAAGTCAAATAATTTGATTAAGTTTGAACATCTGTTAAATTTTAAAAATTATTTATTTAAAAAGTGGGTGAATTTAAATTAAATGTGACAGATTAGGCAATTTTTTCTCAAACTAATCCCTAGACATCTGGATATTTATCAAACGTGTTTGAACTAAATGCTGAAGGTTATATGTGGGAAAAGCTTATAAACTGTAGCCTCCTCCTTTTTGGATCAGAACTCCCCTTCTTGTTTGTTTTCTATATTGTATTTCTTTTTAATATTTCCTAAAAGTAAATATTTGATGATATCCAAAGCTTGAAGTCTACTTTAGTCTCTACAGAATAACCTCTCTATTGTCACGTTTCTGAAATTTTTCCCCATTCTGACATTCTTCTCAATAAACAATAAACTTTGATTAGTTTTGTAATCTTTCTTTGAATATTTAATTGGTGATCATGATGGGACCTCAAATACACGTCTGTGTATGTATGTTTGCATGCCTGTTTGTTTATACTATAATATCTCTCACGTTGTCATATGAAAATTCTTCAATAGCACATTAATAGTTTATCTTTCCACATGCTGCACACAGCCTTTAGTAACAAATAGACCAAATTTAACTCAATTTATTCCATTCAATTCTGACCATGGGATACAAATTGGCACTGGATTCAGGACAAATAAAATGTATGACAACAGAAATTTTCTAACTTGGGAAATCTTAAAATAGCAAGACATATTAAATGACTTGTAAAAACAAATGTGTAGTTTTCAATTTCTAGTCAATGCTATGTAATTAATATACTTCTTAGTTTTTTAAGTAAAATTGATTATCAAAAAATCTATAGCAAGAGAGGATTCTTGGAAGATGGTGGAGTAGAAATTATCAGACATATGTCTTCCCACCTAGATAGTTGCAGTTTGGATAACATAGATGAAATGAAAAAAAGCCATAGGAAAACAAAACCTTAAAAGACTAAATTACAAATAGTTGGAAAACCTGAATAGAACTATAAGTAGTGAGGAGATTGAATCAGTGATCAAAATATTCCAAGAAAGAAAAGCCCTGAACCTGATGTGTTCATTGGTGAATTCTGCCAAAATTAAAAGAAAAACTAACACTAATTCTTCTCAAACTTTTCCCAATACTTAAAGGTGAGGGAATGCTTACTAATTTATTCAGTGAGTCCACCATTATCTTACCAAAGCTACACAAAGATACAACTGGAAAATAATATGACAGATCAATGTTTCTTGTGAATATTGAAGAAAAATCCACAACAAAATCCTAGCAAACTAAATTCAGCAGCATATTAAAAGGATTATATAAGATGACCATACAGATTTGTTATTGGAATGAAACGATGGTTGAACACATGAAAATTGATCAATGTAACAAGTCACCTTAACAGAAAATACAAAAAAAAGATCATCTCAATTTTTGCAGAAATTGGATTTGACAATATTCAACTCCCTTTCATAAACACTCAACTAACTATAAACAGACATAAAATACTTAAATATAATAAAACCTTATATGTATGAAAAACCTATAGTGAAAATTATATCAATCGTGAAAAGCTAAAAATATTTTTGCTAAGATCAAAAACCAGGCAAGGATGCTCCCTTTTGCCACTTATCTTTAACATGGTATGGGAAGTTCTAGCCAGAGAAATTAGGCAGAAAGAGAAATAACAGGCAACAAAATTGGGAAGGAAGAAGTAAATGTATCTCTACTCATACATGATATCATATCATATTTAGAAAATTCTAAAGCTTTGAGAAAAAAATCTGTTAGAACTAAAAATGATTTTAGAAAAGTAGCAGGAACCTAACTCAACACACAAGAATCAGTTGCATTCTATTAAGTAACAATGCATAATCTAAAAAGAAAATTACAAAAGCAATTTCACTTATAATAGCACTGAAAAGAATAAAACACTTATGAATTAACTTAAGCAAAGATTAACTGGCTTGAATACAAATACTTGTGTAGTGGAAACAAACATTACTGAAAGAAATTTAAAAAGATATTAAGAAATTAAGTTATATACACTCTTAAAAAAACTTAATATTTTTAGGATGTCAATAGTACCCAGTCTACAAATTCAATGCAATTCCCTTCAATATCTTAATTATATTATCTTTTCAGATATAGAATAACCATTCCTATAACTTATGTGGATTTTCAAGAAACCCTGAATGGCAAAAAACAATCTTCAAAAACAGAGTTGGAGGAGTCACACTTCCTGAGTACAAATTTTGCTACAAAACTCTGCTATCCAAACAGGGTGGCACTGGAATAAAAACAAACATATAAAACAATTTAATAAAATAGAAAGAACAAAGAAAAAAAAACTCTTGCATATGGTCAAATGATTTTGATAAAGATGCCAACACCATTTAATGCTGAAAAAACTGTCTATTCAACAAAAGGTGGTGAGAAAATTGGATGTCCACACACCAAAGAATGAAGTTGAGCCATTACCTAACACTATATACAAAAATAAACTCAAGATGAATCAAATACCTAAATATAACAAATAAAAGTATAAACCTTTTTGAAGAAAACTGGACAAAATCTTCAATATATTGGATTTTGCAATGATATTTTAGACATGACACCAAAAGGCACAGAAAGCAAAAGAAAGAGTTGACAAATTTGACTTAATCTTTTTTAAGGAGTATCAAAAGGCACCATATACACAGTAAGAAGGCACCCCACACAATGAGAAAAAATATTTCCAAATCACATAACTGATAAGAACTTAATGTCTAGAAATATGGAGAACTACCAAAACTCAACAATGAAAACAACCAACCTGATTCAAAAATGGGCAAAGGCTAGACATGATGACTCACTTTTGTAATTCCAACACTTCAGGAGGCTGACATGGGAGAATCACTTGAGGCCAAGAGTTTGAGACCAGCCTGGAAAGATAGCAAGACTCCCATCTCCACTAAAATAAAAAAATTATCCAGGCATGGTAGTGTGCTCCCATATTCCTAGCTACTTGAGAGGCTGAGGTGGGAGGATTGCTGAAACCCACAAGCTGAGGCTACAGTGAGCTAGGATAGCACAACTGTACTCTAGCCTCGGTGACAGAGGGAGACCCTGTCTCAAAAAAAAAAAAAAAAAGACGTGAAAACTGAAATACCCATTTCTTTAAAAGAAACAAGCAAATAGCCAAAAGAACATGAAAAGATGCTCTACATCACTAATAATTAGGAAAAGTATATCAAATCCACACAGAAATACCACTTCACATCCACTAGCATACCTATTTAAAAAATCAGAAAATAACAAGTGGCTTTTTAAACGTATATATCCTGCTTTATAAAAATGAAGCTGAATATTTTAGATATCAGGAGATTTGTATTTGTTTAGACAATATAATAGTAGGCTGTTCTTTGAAACACAATTATAACTCTACCATCTTAACAATTCCTCACAGAGTCAGTTCAAGAAGATTGCCAAATCTCATTGACTTTGCTCCAAAACGATTGCACTAAAATACAGAGGATACGGTTTATAGAGATTCAAAAATAAGTAATAATAAAATTTATTCACATCCCCAAATTTCCAAGTAACTATTAAACCTATAATTTTTAAACAAGGTATTACATTTTGCCTGAGTTAAAATTATTTTCAAATTTTAATTTTTAATTTCTATCTGTTTGATTTTAGAATAAAATTCGGAGGCTCTTCCAAGACAATATCTTCCATTTTTTTTACTTCTTTCTAGGCAAATTGATCAGTGGTGTTTTGAGGACTGGCTGTGTGCCCAGTTTCCACAAATGCCAAAGACTCTGTGCACCAAGTTAATTAAAATTCACTGCTTGTTTTAGACAGAAGAAACGGACTGAATGCTGGATAGTTATAAAGAGTGATTCAACAATTTAAGCAAACAGGATAACCTGCCTTCAAGCTAAAGAATAAAAATACTTTACTATGTTGCCTTTGTTCAAATAAAAAGCTTTTTAAAATGTTGTTTTTAATTGAAAAATGTGAAATATATACCTTAGTCAAATTGAAAATGCTATATTACTCATAAAAAAACAAAAAATATGCAAACCATCACTTTCACAAAATCTATAAATTAGACATTTTGACGGCCGATGTTTTACAAAAATATTTGCTTAGGTTACCAATATATGCTAAATTTCTTTTACTACTTTCTATATCAAAAGGCATATTTTCTAAAATTAGGTTCATGCATGTTATCAATTAACATCTAATTTTAAAGGAGGAGACAAAATTTGGAAGCTTAGGAAAACCCAAGCAAACTTATTTTTAATACAGTGAATTGGTATTTAAATACTGAACTGACTTTTAAATAACACTCTAAATGCTTGTGGAAATCCTACAGATTATTTTGCACTAAAGACAGTTACCAACTTACATACTTAATGTATGATGTTAACATGGCTTAATGAGCTGAGGCTTGACTCCGTAACCACAGTTTGGTCATTTTGAGGCAAGAAATGGAAGACTGCTAACATGTACTGAGAGGTTACTAATCAGCAAGGACACTACCAGTTACAGTATATTTAATGCATATTATTGATTTTAATCTCCTCTACAACATTATGAAATGAATATTCATGTGCATATTTTACAGACAATAAAACAGAGAAGCAGAAATGGAAAGTAATTTTATCAATGCCAGAAAACCACTAGGATTAATTTGTATGACTTAATGTTGATTTAATTATTTATTTATAGTTTGAATGAGTCCCTGAATTCATTCTTTTCAGATTCTTTAACTGTTAGTTATGTAGAATGAATTCTTAATTGGGATACCCTAAAGATCCAGTGAGATTTACTGTCAAGAACCAATGAGCTACCTGAAGCCAAATGCTTCCTAATTGCCAATTTCTTTATTCACTTATTCAGAATATAAATATGTTTGAATGCTTTTTGATGCAAAGCATTACATTAGGTTAAGAATACACCTCGTTGGATAATGCTAATAATAATATTAGTAATTATGATAATATTAATGTGCATAAGGCAAAATCTTTGGAAAAACCCTTGTAGTCAAACAAATTCCATTTTCTTTAGCTTACTGCAGAAAGAACTTAATCTAAGGAAATGCAGATTTTTCAGAAAAAGGAAGTTTACATCAATGGCTATAGGATTTGAGATTGTCTTGGATGGTTAAAGAAGAAATGAAGGAATTGGAGGCCTGGTTTGGGCGTGGTGGCTCACGCCTGTAATCCCAGCACTTTGGGAGGCCGAGGCGGGCAGATCACAAGGTCAGGAGATCGAGACCATCCTGGCTACCACGGCGAAACCTCGTCTCTACTAAAAATACAAAAAACTAGCCGGGCATGGCGGCAGGCACCTGTAGTCCCAGCTATTCTGGAGGCTGAGGCAGGAGAATGGCGAGAACCTGGGAGACGGAGCTTGCAGTGAGCCGAGATTGTGCCACTGCACTCCAGCCTGGGCGACACAGCAAGACTCCATGTCAAAAAAAAAAAAAAAAAAAAAAAGAAATTAGAGGCCTGGAATTAAATCTCTTCAGAAGTGGGGTGAATATGGATATATGATATCTTACCAACCATTTAGTTGGTGGAAGAACTAAACAGAGACTACAGTTATAGCTAGTAAAAAAAATAATAAAAAAAAGCAGAAATTGGCCATTTTTGTCTCAAAAGAACTTGTTATTTTTATAGTTATGGAGAACCTTGTCACTGTCTTGTTTCTTTCAGCATAGTAGCATGGCCTTGTCTGTCTTGATATAAAAATGGCTTATGTTCTCTGGTTATCAGCTGAAATATTCTCAATAATAACTAAGGCTGTTTTTTTTCAACTGTTCACTGTATGCCTAGCATAATTCTGAGCTTTTTACCTGTGTTAATTAATTTTAATATTCATAAAATACATAAGATAAATACAATTATTATATTATTTTAAAAATAGAGATGGTGAGACGCAATTATTATATTATTTCAAAAATAGAGAAGGTGAGACAGAGAAAGGATAAGCAACTTGACCAAGGTCACACACCTGGTAAATAGCAAAACTAGACATAAATACTAAATTTTAACTTCCTTTTCTTTCTATCATACAGTCACTGTCCATTTATGTCAATATTTCTCCTAACATGCTATTGCTTTACTCATCAACATATCTCCAGTATAATTATTTATAACTCATAATTTACATGGAACTAAATTAAAACAATTCTGATCATATCATCTTCTCTTTTTATTTTGTTAGTTCCCATTGGTATAGAATAAAGTCTAAATTTTTGAAATTATATTCAATCTTTGTATTATGTAGTCTCACACTTTTCTACATTCCTAACATAACTTTCTGCCCCTTTCATGCACCAACAAATACTTTGTTATAATAGATTTTTGCCAATGGTCTTCCACCTTCCTGTAGGTGCTATTCTCATTAATATCTCAATTGCTTTTAACAGCTATTTTCTACTGTGTTAAATACTTTTGTCCATGTCTTAGAAACCTAATTCAACTTTCAAGCTCAATTATCACTCTCTCTGCAATGTCATCCTCAGTACTCTTAAGCAATTTGTCATTATCATGATTCCTCTTTATCACGATTGTAATTGAATTTGTAACTGAGTACTAGTCAAATGATAGCTACATAGTTAGTGCTCAACTAATATTATGAAATCAATGAATAAAGAAAAAATTAAGTAATATATTTTGAGGAGGATAATGGATTGCATCTATACCTATCTATCATAGGCAAAAGACTTTCTGAAACTTTTAAATCTCAGTTCATGAGCAAATAAGATTGATGTGATCAACATTCTATCTTAGTATTTCCTTGTTCCAATGAAGATTGCCCTCGATATTATGTTATTAGGTAGAAATATTTTGTCCAAATACTGGAATGAGTGGGCATGTCTCACAAAATTGAAAAGATGGAAAGAAACTTAGATATCTTCAAATCTAAAGCCCTTATTCTAATATTAAAATAAAAATATTCTAAGTCATTATTACTTGAGATAAATTTGAGTTACTAATACATGTAGGAGGAATTAAAATAAGTTTACATATTTCCACATCATTCCCCCAACACTGCCCTTCTCCCAGATTCAACAATATCCAGCGAAAAGGAAGCTGAAGGAGCTCACATGCTCCCAATGGTAAAACCCACACATCATCCCCATCTCCATCCCTCATCCCCACCACTAGGACTAGAATATAACCTTGTCACCAGGGCAAATTGGTTAGAAGACCAACTGTGAGAGGGAGGCTATAATAAAAAATATTAATAATCTTTTATCAATAGACCTCTGGGACTAATTATGTCATGCCTTATATATCTTTATGTCATTAACAAAAAACCAGGCCTCCTTTGTACTCCATATAGAATGTAACTTTTATCCTTTTTAGCCTCTGCGTGCCAATTTTGTGCCTATTTTTATACCCATCGCAGATTCCATGAATCCTTTTTACTATGGCCTCTAAAGCTCACACACTACCATCATCAATACCAGCTAAGTCCTCAACCACTTTTTGGAATATTCCCTTGACTTTTTCATTTTTATTGAAATTTTGACTATCCTTTGATGACATTGCATCTCTTGCTACCTTCTGTTTGGTGACTCTTTCACCTCTTATACTCTAACTACCTTGAATTACATGCCCTCGTATTTTATCATCTTCTAGTTCTACTTGTTTCAGTCATCTGTACATCTTTATGGGACATATTTATGATAACTGCTTTAATAGCCTTGTCTGCTAGTTCAATATTTTTCTCCTCATGGTGGTTATGCTTTCCTATTTTTGCATGCATGATAATTCTTGATTGGATGCAGGCCATGATGAGTTTTATATTTTAGGTTCTGGTTTATATACTGGCATATGATTAAATTACAAGAAATTTGATTTATTTTGAGACTTTCTGTTAAGATTTGTTATGGTGAGTCCAGAGCAGTATAATGACTGTCTAGAGAAAATTTAAACCACTAGTAAGGTGATATTCTTCTTAGGATTTTCTCCCATGCCCCATTATCGCAATATCTCTCCTTCTGGCTCATGAGAACACAAATTTTTCCTAGATTTCTGTGAGTTCCTGAAACTGTTTTCCCTACTACTTACAGTGACTTATTTCTCTAGCTTGTGTCATGTCCTCTTAAGCATGTGGCTATCAGTACTGAATCAAAGAATTAAAAATTTCCTAATATCTGCAGAGCTTGCTGCAATTATGCTTACTTTCACTATGCTAGGGACTTGGAAATGATCTCTAGGTAGCAAACTACTACTCTTCTGAAATTCATTTGTTTTCATTCTCTGAGGAATTAGTCCTGTGCTGTATGTTATCCAATTTTGAAAGTCTTCATTTCATATATGCATTTTGTCCACTTTTTTAGTTGTGTATCTACTCCCTCTTACTCTGTCTTGCCCAGAAGTAGTTTCTATACATGTGTTGGTTTTTAATTTTCAGATCTTTGAGGTTCTCAGATTTTCTTTTTGTTGTGAACTGTTAATTTGTATTATTTCTAGAGAACATGAGCTTTACATTACAGATTTTTTAATAATAAGATATGTTTTTAAGGCCTAGTGCATAGTCAGCTTTATAAGCTATTCCATCTGAGTTTATGATGCATGTGTATTCTGTAAATGCTAGGGCCAACGTTTGCAAACCTTTTGTCAATTTTACACAGTTTATTATTTGTATTTCTTCTCTAATTTTCAAAAATTTGGGAAAAAAGTCTTTATTCTTTTTTCTGTCACTTATACTTTTTTTTTTTTTCTCAGCAAGGCAACTTTACTTCTGCAGAAGGGTGCTGCCTGTGTCGGAGGCCACTGCAAGAGTACACTGAGCAGGGGAGGGCAGGGGTTCTTAGCCCTAAAGGAGTTCCTGTTCTTGTGTCCTCTCTCCGTTGGCTGGAGCTGGACAGTGCAATCTAAGCTGACCCAATTGACTACTACTTTGAATTGAATATGGTTAACTAGGCAGGAAGGGAGGGACTGCCCATTACCAATTAGGTGGGAAGGCATGTCTGGATGTGGGAAAGGCGGGAGGGGTTGTTTACAGAACAAGAAAGAATGAGGAAGCTTGAAGAGGAACTTACTGTTCCTGACAATTTTCCCCCTCTTGCTTTTATAGTTTTTCCCCTTCAAATTTTTCTAACATAATTTGGATTTGTTGTTGCTGTTGTTGATCTAAGAGTAGGAGTTTATCCGAATAGGGTGGGGGAGAATTGAGGGAGGTTTTGGTAAGAGCTGTTTCTATAAGCCTTTGCACCAACCCACGAATACAACCTACAAGAATGGGTACACCTGTAACAATTGCAAGAGAAGTAAATATTGAAGTCATGATTAAAAAAATTGTATATCCTCATATAAAGTAAAATATTTCTTATTTCATCAGTTGTTCTGATACATTATAAAGCTGTCAACTAATGCATTAATTTTAAAATATTTTGAATAAAATGCTAATTTTAAAATCTGATTTTAAAATTGCTAATTTGTTCCATTTACATTTAACACAGTTCTTGACAAAGATATATTTCTAAGATATTATTTGCTGCTTTCCACTTAAGCTGCTTGTTTCTCTTTTTCCTCTTTTCTTGTCATCTTTTAAATTATTTCTTCCTTTTTTCTCTGTGTAGTTCAGAATTTATATAATTTGCTGTACCTTCTCTTTCTCACCACTAATATGTTTATATGTATGCTGACAAAGTAAAAAGCTAATGAAAATACTTCTACCTACAAAACAATGCAAAAATTTTGAATCATTTTAATGTCAACTAATATTTTCATTAATATTTAATGCCAGTTCAATATTTTTGTCCATTTGTTTTCAATTTTCACATTTTAACAATTCTATCAATGTATTATCAATTCAATGTTCATTTCATTATAGCATATTTATCAATTTCTTTGTTGTCATTTCTTCCTGCAAATCACTAATTTTTTCTGGGATTATATTTTTCCTTTTCCAGTAGGTTTAGAAATTTCTTTGGTGAGATTTATGTATGGAAAATGCATTTGCCTGAAATGCTTTCATTTTTCTTTGGTGCTAAACAGTCAGCCTTTCTAATTAAAGTACTCTTGTGAAAGGTATTTTTTCTTAATATTTTGAAAAGTAACATTATACTTTTTTCAGGCATCTCTTTTGCCATTGATAAGTCTGGTGTCAGGCTATTATTAGTGCTTAACTAATCAGACTATCATTTCTGTCCTATTTATATTAAAACTTTTCCTTTGTATTAGGTGTTAGTTTAATTGCAACAAGTCTAGGGAATGTGTGTGTAGGTTCTCTTAACTTGGTTCATAATTTAATATCTAAATTTTATTGATTTTTTTTAATTCCAGGAAGTTCTCTTTATATGTTAGCTTATTTCTTTACTCTTTCTTCTACTTTATCCTTCTGAAGTGCTATTTAGATGAGTCTAGAACCTTTTTCATGTTCCTTCAGTTGTTATTTCTAATAATATTTTTTGTTTACTTTTTGTCTTCTAAATTTCATCAGATCTATTAAACAGTTTACTTCTTCAGCTACATCTATTCTATTGCTTCTGTATTGAGCTTTACTTTAAATATAACTTTTATATTTAGAAGTTCTAATTTGCTCTTTTCAAAGTTGCCTAATATTTTATAGTATAGGCTTTTATTACTTAGGTTTTGATTATATGAACTAACCATTTTATTGTATTTATATTATACATATGATAATTCTATTATCTGAGATCCGTATACATCTAAACCATGCTGATAGATTTTTATTTATTTCTCTCAAATATCTCTCATAATTGCTTTTCTCTTGTGTGCTTTACATTAAATTATTAACTTGTGGTTCGTAGGGTTTATCTATTAGAATTTTGAAAGGCCTGATTTCAGATCGTATTTTTAAAAAACTGAATTGCTTCTACTCATGAATAACTCTGGATTCAGGAAAAGCCAATTTATTTTGCTAACTTTTGTTGTGAGGGGCTTTATTTTCTTGCCCTTACAGATAATGTAAATCCCAGTGAAAATATCTTAAGAGAGCCAGGCTTTACTTATGAATTCTCATAAGAATTTTTGGGAAAATGCTATCTTCCTTTGTATTCAGATTTTATGTTTATTTTTATAGAAGTTGTGGCTCTTTAGGAGTCATATCTTTATATAGGAGTCCTAGTTCTAACTCATAATTTATGTAGGTCCAAACCTTAGTTTTCAAAAAAAGTAAGACCAAATTGTTACTGCCAACCCATGAACAAAAATAATGTGGAAACAGAAAACTTCAGTGCTAGCTAAGCTCAATCTATGTTTGTCCCGGAGGCATTTACAGATCTTCATAACCTAGGAATCCGGGATTTAATAACTTTTGGGAACACTTAAGTAGGTCTAAACCTCAAATCCTTTTTCCAACGCAGGCTTCAATTTATGTCGTTGGTGGTCTGCTGTTATTTTGAGTGTTGTGTGGGGTCCAAGGTACTAGAGGGTTTCCAGCTCCACTCTAGGCTTCCAGCTGTCCCCTGTCACCTGTGACAAAGAGATAGTCTCCTCATGCTTTTGCAGGTCCCTAGTGGTGAACTGATGCTTCCAGTTACTCAGTGGTAGACTCATGGTAGGGGAACAGGATTTCTCAGTTCTATTCCAGCTTCAATCTTCAGCAGGTCCTCTGTGCCTGAGCCTTTCAAATCTTTTCTTACATCTATGAGCTTTTGGGAAGAACATTGTTTTCTGTTACTACCCAGATGGAACATACCTTTTATTATCAGGACCCTGGGCCCAAGGGATATTCTGATGATCTTCCATGTAATCCAAAAAGTATATGATTTTTGCTTCTTTCTCTCCCTTAGGAATGGTGGATTTTGCCTAGGATTTGGGGCAATAATATTTCCCACCCTTTTCCTAGTGGTGGAATGTTTTGATTCTGCCTTCCCTTGGGAATGAATCTTCACCTAGTCCTAAGCAGTAGAAGATTTTCTAGTCCTCCATCACTTTAGAGATTTTCATTTGTATGAAACAAGAGTCCAGGAAAGTGGGCCAGGTTTTTTCTCATTGGCAGCCAATACCTACTTGCACGTCGACTCCACCGTTGGGGCTTCTCTTTGGTCTCTTGCTCTGCCTCCAATCTTGTTCAGCAGTACCTGGTACTAGTCTATGGAAATCAGCTTGAAAGTGAGTGCTGTTCAACAGGAATAAAGTTTCTGTTATAGAAGATGAACAAGTTCTAGAGATCTGCTTTGCAACATTGTGTCTATAGCTAACCATACTGTGTCATGCATTTAAATGTTATTAAGAGGGTAGGACTCATGTTAAGTGTTCTTACCACAATTAAAAATATTTCTCTTTAAAGAGAAAAGAACAGAAAGTGGGTGCAGACCCAATCTGGGTCACCCAATTATTCTACACAATCTGGGTCTCCCAATTGTTCTAAACCATTACTGCTCACACTTAGCCCATAAGAATTTGTTAAAATTCAAGTTCCTTTTCCTTACCCTCTTTTAAGATGGTCACTTCTTTCTCCTGGCTTTGCAAAAGATAAAATGGTTTGTGTATTGTGTTTCTCATTGCAGAATTGGGCCACTGGAATTCACTTCTTTTGTTTGCTTGCCAACTACGCTCTCTAAGGGGATGAAGAAAAATTATGACTTCATAGATTGTTTAGCTTGTTCCTATTTTTCAATTGAAATTGGAGCTATACTAATTTAGAATTAAATAGTTAATATATCAATCAAATTACAGTTATATGGTATACAACTTATTTTGATCATACATATTTATTTCATTAAGATTTTATAGTTTTTCATTTGTTTTAAATAATTCTTAGAAATGTATTTCTAAGAATTTTATGGTATGTAGATACTGAAAAGGAAAATTTTCTGATATCAATTTCTAGGTCATAGGTAACAATGTGTTTTAAATCTAAAACTTTATATCAATTATACTGTCAATTTCCATGAATTCAACTGTTTTGATATTTCAGAATCCACAAATAAGTGAGAACCTGCAATCTTTGTCTTTCTGTGCTTGGCTTATTTCATGTAACATACTGACCTCCAGCTTCATCAATATTGTTGCAATGACAAGGTCTCTTTTTCTACGGCTAAATAACACTCCATTGTGTACTACATTTTCTTTATCCGTTCATCTGTTTATGAATCTGTTCTGCTTCCAAATCATGTTATTATAAACAGGGCTACAATAAACATGGGAGTGCAGATATTTCTTTGATATACTGATTTCCTTTCTTTGGATATACACCCAGCAGTGAGATTGCTGGATTGTTTGGTAGCTCTATTTTTCATATTTTGAAGAACGTTCAAACTATTCTCCATAGTGGCTGTACCAATTTGCATTCTCATCAAAAGTGTATGAGGGTTCCCTTTTCTCTACATCCTTGCTATATTCCCTGCCTTTTGGATAGAAGCTATTTAAAGTGGAGTGGGGTATCTCATTGTAGTTTTGATTTGCATTTCTCTGATGAGCAATGATGTTGAGAAACTTTTCATATACCCATTTGCCATTTGTGGGTCTTCTTTTGAGAAATATTATTAGATGTTATTCCTATAGAGTTATTTGACCTCATTATATATTCTGGTTATTAATCCCTTGTCAGATGCATAGCTTGCAAATATTTTCTCCCATTCTGTGGGTTGTCGCTTCACTTTGTTGATTATTTCCTTTGCTGTGCAGAAGCTTTTTAACTTGATATGATCCCATTTGTCCTTTTTTGCTTTGGCTACCTGTGCTTATAGGCTATTACTCAAGAAATCTTTGCCCAGATCCATGTCCTGGAGAGTTTCTCCAAAGTTTTCTTGTAGTAGTTTCATAGTCTGAGTTCTTAGATTCAAGACTTCAATCCATTTTCATTTAATTTTTGTATATGGTGAAAGATAGGGGTCTAGAGTCATTATTTTGCATATGGATATTCAGTTCTCCCAGCATGATTTACTGAAGAGACTGTTTGTTCCCCAATGTATATTCTTGGCACCTTTGTTGAAAATGAGTTTA
Source organism: Homo sapiens (assembly GCF_000001405.40). NCBI lineage: Eukaryota > Metazoa > Chordata > Mammalia > Primates > Hominidae > Homo > Homo sapiens. Next base: position 60,512,745 of record NC_000012.12, on the reverse strand, counting down.
CTATAGGTGGTGTGGATGTGTTTCTGAGTTCTCTATTGTATCTCATCAGTCTATGTGTCTGTTTTTATGCCAGTACCATGTTGTTTTGGTTATATAGCTCTGTAGTATAATTTGAAGTCAGGTCATGTGATCCACTCAGTTTTGTTCTTTTTACTGAGGATAGCTCTAGTTATTCTGGGTCTTTTTTGGTTCCATATAAATTTTAGGATTTTTTTTCTATTTCTGTGAAGAATGTCATTGGTATTTTGATAGAGATTGTGTTGAATCTGTGGATTGCTTTGAGTAGTATGGACATTGTAACAATATTGATTATTCCAACAATGAATATGAAATAACTTTTCTTTTTTTGCTTCCTTTTCCATTTTCTTCATCATTGTTTTGTAGTTTTCATTGTAGAGATCTTTTGTTTATTTGGTTAGGTTAATTCTTGGGTAGTTTATTTCTTGCAGTTGCAAATGGGATTACTTTTTATTTCTTTGTCATAGTGTTTCCTGTTGGCATATAAAAATACTACTGATTTTTTATCTTGCTACTTTACTTATCAGTTCTAATAGTGTTTTGGTGGAGTCTTTAGATATTTACAAATATAAGATTATATTATCTGCAAACAAGGATAATTTGACTTGTTTTCAAATTTGGTGCACTTTTTATCTTTATCTTGTCTGACTGCTCTAGCTAGGACTTCCAGTACTATGTTGAATAACAGTGGTAACAGTGGGTATTCTTGTCATATTGAAGATCTTAGAGGAAAGGCTTTCAGGTTTTCTCCATTCAGCGTGATAGTAGCTGTGGGTGTGTCATCTATAACTTTTATTATGTTGTGGTATTTTTCTTCTATGCCCAGATTTTTTAGGGTTTTTATCAAGAAGGAATGTTGAATTTTATCAAATGCTTTTTCAGCATCAATTGTAATGATTATATGGCTTTTGTTCTTCATTCTGTTTACACAATATACCATATTGATAAATTTGTGTCTATTGAACCCTCCTTGTCTGCTTTGGATAGATCCCACTTGACTGATTAAGAATGATCTTTTTAATGTATTGTGGAATTTGCTTTGTTAGTACTTTGTTGAGGATTTTTGCATCAATTTTCATCAGAGATATTGGCCAGCAGTTCTCCTTTTCTTATTGATATGTCTTTGCCTGGCTTTGGTATGAGGGTAATACTGGCCTTGCAGAATTAATTTAGAAGTGTTCCCCTTTATTTTTCACAACAGCTTAAGTAGGATTGGTATTAGCTCTTCTTTAAAGAAAAACTTGGTAGAATTCAGCAGTGAAGCCATATGGTCCTGGGTGTTTCTTTACTGGGAGACTTTTTATTACAGCTTTGATCTTATTACTTATTTTTGGTCTGTTCAGGCATGGATTTCTTCATAGTTTAATCTTGGTTGATTGTATATATCTAAGAATGCATTTTCTCAAGATTTTCCATTTTATTGGCATATAGTTGCTTACAGTAGCAACCAATAAGCCTTTGACTTTCTGGGGCATTAGTTGTAATATCTCACTTTTTTCACCTCTGATTTATTTTTGTCTTCTCCCTTTTTTCTTCATTAGTCTGGCTAAAGATTTGTCAATTTTGTCTTTTCAAAAAAAAAAAAACAACTTTGTTTCATTCATCTTTTATACTGTTTTCTTCATTTATTTCTTCTCTGATAATTATTATTTCCTTTCTTCTACTAATTTTGTGTTCAGTTTGTGCTTGATTTTCGAGATCTGAAAGATGCATTATTAGGTAATTTACTTGAGGTTTTTCTTTTTTTTTTTATGTAGGCACTTATAGCTACTAATTTTCCTCTTAGAACTGCTTTGCTGTATCCTATAGGTATGGGTATGTTGTGTTTCCATTATCATCTATTTCAAAAAAATTTCCAATTTTATTCTTAATATCTTCATTGACCCACTGGTCATTCAGGAGCATATTGTTTAATTTTCATGTGTTTATATAGTTTTCAAAATTCATCTTATTATTTATTTCTAGTTATATTCAATTGTGATCAGACAAGATATTTGATATAATTTCAATTTTTTGAATGTTTTAAGACTTGTTTTGTGACTTAACATGTAGTCTACCCTTAAGAATGATCCACGTACATAGGGGAATAATGTGTATTCTGCATCCATTGGATAAAATATATTGTAAATATCTATTAGGTACATTTATTCTACAGTACAGATAAGTTTGATATTTCTCTGTGATTTTCCATCTCAGAGATCTGTCCAATGCTGAAAATGGGAAGTTGAGGTCTCCAGCTATTATTGTATTGGGGTATATCTTTTTCTTTACTTCTAATAATATTTGCCTAATATATTTGAGTGCTCTCGTGTTTAGTGTATATATATTTATAATCATTATATCCTCTTGCTGGATTAACCCCTTCATCATAATATAGTGACCTTCTTTGTCTCTTCTCACAGTTTTTTAATATATTTTGTGTGATATAAATATAGCTACTCCTGCTTTTTTTTGCTTTCCACTGACCTGGAAAATCTTTTTCCAGCTCTTTATTTTCAGCCAATGTGTATCTTTATAGGTGAAGTGTGTTTCTTGTAGGTGAAAGATCATGAGGTCTTACTTTTTCATCCATTCAACCACTCTATATCTTTTGATTGGTGAGTTTAGTTCACCTACAGTATTATTATTGATAGTAGGAACTTACTTTTGCCATTTTATTTGTTTTGTGGTTGTTTTGTGCTATTCTTTTTTTCCTTACTCACTGTCTTCCTTTTAGTGGAGGTGATTTTCTCTGGTGATATGATTTAATTTCTTGTTTTTCATTTTTTGTGTATCCATTGTATGTTTTTTATTTGAGGTTACCATGAGGCTGGCAAATACTATCTTATAAGCCATGATTTTTAATGGATGACAACTTCATACTGATTGCAAAAACAAATAAACATGCAAAAGAAAACTAATAAAAACTTTATACTTTAATTTCATTCCCTCACTTTTTAACTGCTGTTTCTCTTTATGTTTTATTATATGCTCTATGTCTTGAAAAATTGTTGTAGTTATTATTTTTGATTTATCATTTAGTCTTTTAATTTAGGGTAGAAGTACATACATACCACAATTACAGTGTTATAATATTCTATACTTTTTTGTGTGTTTACCACTACCACTGAGTTTTGTACTTTTAGATGATATCTTCTTACTCCTTAACATCCTTGTCTTTCAGGTTAAAAAACTACCTTTAGCATTTCTTGTAGGAAGGTCTGGTGTTGATGAACCCTTACCTTATTTTTGTCTGGGAAGGTATTTATTTCTCCTTCATGCTTGAAAGATATTTCACTGGATATAGTATTCTAGGGTAAAAGGGTTTTTTTTTTTTTTTCCTTCAGCACTTTAAATACGTCATGCCACTTTTTCGTGGCCTGTGAGGTTTCCACTGAAAAGTCAGCCACCAGATGTATTGGAGCTCCTTTATATGTTATTTGTTTCTTTTCCCCATCTGCTCTTATAATTCTTTCTTTACCCTTGATCTTTGAGAGCTTGATTATTAAATGCCTTGAGGAAGTCTTCTTTGGGTTAAATCTGATAGGTGTTCTCTAACCTTCTTGTACTTGAATATCTATATATTTCTCTAGGTTAGGGAAATTCTCTGATATTATCCCTTTAAATAAACATTCTACCCCTATCTCTTTCTCTACCTCCTCTTTAAGGCCAATAACTCTTAGATTTGCCATTTTGAGTCTATTTTCTAGATCTCATAGGCATGCTTGCTTTATTCTTTTTAATTTCTTGCTTTTGTCTTCTTGGACTGTATTTTCAAATAGTCTATCTTCAAGCTCACTAATTCTTTCTTCTGCTGGATCAGTTCTGCTATTAAGAGACTCATGCATTCTTCAGTATGTTATTTGCCTTTTTCAACTCAAGAATGTCTGTCTAGTTCTTTTAAATTATTTTAGTATCTTTGTTAAATTTATCTGATAGAATTCTGAATTTCTTCTTTGTGTTATCTTGAATTTGAGTTTCCTCAAAACAGCTATTTTGAATTCTCTATCTGTAGGATCACATATCTCCGTTTCTCCAGGACTGGCCCCTAGTGCCTTATTTAGTTCATTTGGTGAGGGCATGTTATCCTGTATGGTGTTGATGCTATAGATGTTCATTGGTGTCTGGGCATTGATGAGTTAAGTATTGATTGTAGTCTTTCATTCTGGGCTTGTTTTAGTCCATTATTCTTGAGAAGGTTTTCCAGGTATTTGAGGAGTCTTTGGCCCCGAACCTAATATCACTGTGGTTTTTGCAGACTCATTGAGGTACTGCCTCGATGGTCTTGGAAAAAATCCAGAGAAATTATCTGGGAATCAGGCAGAGACTCTTGCTCTTTTTCCTTACTTTCTCACAGTCGCTCTTTGTGATCAGCTGCCTGGAACTAGGGGTGTGGTGATGGAAGCACCTCTGCTTCCACCATTACTGGGACCGTGCTGGATCAGACCTGAAGGCTGCATAGCACTGGGTCGCTCCCAAGGCCCTCTGTAACAACCAGCAGACTACCACCTATGTTCACTCAAGACCCTGGGCCTCTACAATCAGCAGATGGTGAAGCCAACCTGGTATGTTTACTTCCTTTCAAAGTGGTGAGCTGCCACAGGTCCTGGTCAATTCCAGAGATGCTGTCTGGGAGCCAGGAATTGGAGTAAAAAAAAAACCTTAGAAATATACCTGATGTTCTATTCTACTGCAGCTAAGTTGGCACTCAAACCAAAATATGAAGTTCTTCCCACTCTTCCCTCCCTTTTCTACAGGCAGAGGTGCCTCTCCATGTTGCCTCCATCACACCATGCCCACAGAGGTTTCTGCCAGGCCACCACTGCTGTTCACTTAAAGCCCAAGGGCTCTTCCACCGGTTTGTGGTGAATGCTGCCAGGCCTAGGATTCACCCTTCAGGGCAGTGGGCTCCCCTCTGGCCCAGGGTAGGTCCAGAAATGCTGTCCAAGAGCTTAAGCCTGGACTCAGGTTCCCCAGGGGCTTCCTTGTTGCTCTACCTAACTGTGGTTGAGCTGGTACCTAAAGGGCAAGACAAAGTTCACTTTATGATTTCCTCTGCTTTTCTCAAACAGAAGAGGTCTTTCACCATAGTCACCATAGCTAGAAATGTGCTGGGTCACACCTGAATGAAGTCAGCACACAAAGCCCAAGGCCCATGGCATACTACTTGGGAATCACCGCTGGTTATTCAGGATCCAAGGGTTCTCTAGTGAGCAGGTGATGAATTCTGCCAGGACAGGGTCATTCCCTTCAAGGCAGTGGGTTCACTTTTGGTCCAGAATTTATCTACAAATGTCCGTCATGGGCTAGGACTTGGAACTGGGGCCTTAAAACTCTACCCAGTGCCCTATCCTACTGTGGCTGAGCTGGTATCCAACATGCAAGACAAAGTCCTCTTTACTCTTTGCTCTCCTCTCCTTAAACAGAAGAAAGGAGTCACTTCTGTTGCTGGGAACTATGCTCCCTGAGGTTGGGAGAGGAATGGTGTAAGCACTCTCTTAGCCACCCCTGTGGGTAACTCTCTAGGTCATGTGCCACCCTATTCCACTGGTTCTGAGCCCAGCCCAGCATTCCTTGTATTCTAGACTGAGTTTCAAGTTTATCTGGGACCCCAGAGCACTTCAGCCCTCAATAGTGAGGCCTGCTAAAAAACTCAAGGTCCAGCCACTGGGATGAGTGATTTACCTCTGGCTAGGTCTGATCCAAATGCTCACACTGTACAAGGGTACTGGCTGAACCCAGTACAGCCTTGCTCTCCACTGTGACAAGGCAGCACTGAATTCAATGTAAAGGCCCCCAGCCGCTGCGTTCTTCCTCCCCCAAGTGCACAGACTTTCTCTTTTGGAAGGCCACTGCTGAGGGATGGGGGAGTTACGGCATCAATGATTCAAGCTTGTCTCTTCTACCTTCTTCAATGCCTCTTTTAGCAATATAAAGTTAAAACCAGGTAGTGTGATTGCTCTCATGATTTTTGGTTCATGTGACACTTGTGTGTGTGTGTGTGCGCGTGCATATAGTAGTTAAAATTTGGTGTGCCTGTGGGGGAGAGATGAGTGGTTTAGGCTTGTATTCTGTTATCTTGCTCAGCCTCCGTATATAATATTCACTGCTATTTAATTGAGCAAGAGCAATGGAGACCTATATTAATTGAAATGTTTAGCATTTTTAGAAACTTCATTTGTTAAAGTGCCATGTATATGTCCCTTAAAGTAAGCTTGCAGATACAGCAATTTTATGTTTCATGGTTCTGTTTTTGTTTAGCTTGGTTTTGTGAACATAGGTAATTTGTAGACTCGGTTGACAATGATTTGTTTTACTACTACTAATTGCCACTGTATTATTACCATAGGAGAGAAAATAATTGATATCTTTTCTTTTTTATTTCAAGATCATATAAGTAGGGCATTAAAATTCAGAGTAGCAGTAAGATAGACTAATAGCTATGAAGTTTTGAGGGAATCTTTTTTTTCATTTAGAATTAAGGATGGCACAAACATTCCTTGCTCTTTTGTCTGTGAACAGGTAATTTTTTTAAGTCTATCTTTTCCTATGGGATTGAGAATTGGATAATTTTACATAGGATGGAACACAGTTCAAGCTTCCTGCCTCATGCAAGATCAAGTATACAGGTATTGTTTTTTTATTACCCTTCAATTACCAAACTCACCAAAAGCGCAAAGGCTGTTGAAATAGCAACTTTTGCCTATAACTCTGGCTTTTATCATCTATCTTAATAATTTGCCTTTGGGGACATTCATTCCAGCATTATAATGTTAACTACACAAGTAAAAACACATTTGTTCTATTTTGTATAATATTACTAGATGTCATATTAAAAGAAAATCTTTAAAAAATAAACCTTATACCCAGTAATGGGATGGCTGGGTCAAATGGTATTTCTAGTTCTAGATCCCTGAGGAATCGCCACACTGACTTCCACAAGGGTTGAACTAGTTTACATTCCCACCAACAGTGTAAAAGTGTTCCTATTTCTCCACATCCTCTCCAGCACCTGTTGTTTCCTGACTTTTTAATGATTGCCATTCTAACTGGTGTGAGATGGTATCTCATTGTGGTTTTGATTTGCATTTCTCTGATGGCCAGTGATGGTGAGCATTTTTTCATGTGTTTTTTGGCTGCATATATGTCTTCTTCATGCTGCTATAAAGACACATGCACACGTATGTTTATTACAGCACTATTCACAATAGCAAAGACTTGGAACCAACCCAAATGTCCAACAATGATAGACTGGATTAAGAAAATGTGGCACATATACACCATGGAATACTATGCAGCCATAAAAATGATGAGTTCATGTCCTTTGTAGGGACATGGATGAAATTGGAAATCATCATTCTCAGTAAACTATCACAAGAACAAAAAACCAAACACCACATATTCTCACTCATAGGTGGGAATTGAACAGTGAGAACACATGGACACAGGAAGGGGAACATCACACTCTGGGGCCTGTTGTGGGGTGGGTGGAGGGGGGAGGGTTAGCTTTAGGAGATATACCTAATGCTAAATGATGAGTTAATGGGTGCAGCACACCAGCATGGCACATGTATACATATGTAACTAACCTGCACATTGTGCACATGTACCCTAAAACTTAAAGTGTAATAATAATTTAAAAAAACCTTATAAGGTATTCATAAAAAGAAATTCAACAATCTTTCTAAAAGTACTTTTATCATATCTTCCCTTGAAACTTAAAATGGCTCTTCTGTGTTTCCTGAATCACTTTTTTAACCATTAAGTAGTTTTTTTTATTATAGTGATGGGGCCTTGCAATATTGCCTAGGCTGGTCTCAAACTCTTGGGCTCAGGCAATCCTCCCACCTCAACCTCCCAAAGTGCTGGGATTAAAGTCATGTGCCACTGCATCTGACCAATTTTAAGAACCATTATAAGGTGAACTCACACAATATATTTCAATTTTCTCCATACTACTTCCATTCTCTCACCTTTACCCCTGTCAGGTCAACATGCACACTTTTCCTAAACAAGTGATACTATTTCCTTTATTTATACCATTTCCAATGCTAGAATACACTTCACTTAGAATAATTCCATCCTGCTCTATTAATCCAAAATCTGACCAGGTTTTACATAATCAATGCAAGATTTTTCTTTTTTAAGGGGGATTTGTATGGCTCTGCTGCTTTCATGTTAATATACATAGTATCTTCCTGTTGCTATCAATTTTTTCAGATCTTATTTTACTCATGTGAGGATATGAACTTGGTGACTAGATTGCCACATTTAATAAATAAAAAACAAAAACACAGGACTGTTTAATTGAAATTTCAGATAAACAACAAATTTGATTTCTTTGGCAATCCCACTTAGTGACCAAACATATTTTAAATATTTACTTTATGTAAAATTATCCATATGGTAAATACAAATGTTAAGAAAAAATAATAGGTAACACTTGTTAATTTTTGACCAAAGTAAATCTTACACAGAATATTTAAATATACCCCATTGTTTGAGACATGCTTATCAGATGCAATTATGAGAAAAGTTGTCTATGAAATGTATTACTTGCAAAAATATAACTTTATTTGTAAGCAAAGGAACTTATTAAAGCCTCTTATATTTTCTTGATATTTATTAGTCAAAGATAATACTTAAGGTATAATATTTATTCTTCCCACATGATAGTCTGCCTTTCTGAGAGCCTTTGTCATAAAATAGACTAAATGTCGTTTTAACAACTTAAGTTTAACAGTCCTCCTCTATTGGCCTTGCTCATTTAAAAGTTGCTTATTGTTAGTGGATAAGACATTGAGGTAGACTTTCTCTCAGACACCATGAAAAATATTTGTGGGACACATGGACAACTATTCAGAAGCATTACAGAACGTCTTTGAAAAAAGTTTATTCATAATATTCAATGGAAGTAAAAACTTTCTTATGGGAGAGGGTAATTTTTAAATTAATTACTGAAATGTTTTTCAGCCATATCTTTCTGCTGGATGTTCAAAAGAGATGAGCCAGAAGCTGGTACCAAAACAGAGATATAGAACAATGGAACAGAACAGAGCCCTCAGAAATAATGCCACATATCTACAACTATCTGATCTTTGACAAACCTGACAAAAACAAGCAATGCGGAAAGGATTCCACATTTAATAAATGGTGCTGGGAACCTGGCTAGCCATATGTAGAAAGCTGAAACTGGTTCCCTTCCTTACACCTTATACAAAAATTAATTCAAGATGGATTAAAGACTTACATATTAGACCTAAAACCATAAAAGCCCTAGAAGAAAACCTAGGCAATACCTTTCAGGACATAGGCATGGGCAAGGACTTCATGTGTAAAACACCAAAAGCAATGGCAACAAAAGCCAAAATTGACGAATGGGATCTAATTAAACTAAAGAGCTTCTGCACAGCAAAAGAAACTACCATCAGAGCGAACAGGCAACCTACAGAATGGGAGAAAATTTTTGCAACCTACTCGTATGACAAAGGGCTAATAGGCAGAATCTACAATGAACTCAAACAAATTTACAAGAAAAAAACAAACAACCCCATCAAAAAGTGGGCGAAGGATATGAACAGACACTTCTCAAAAGAAGACATTCATGCAGCCAAAAAACACACGAAAAAATGCTCATCATCACTGGCCATCAGAGAAATGCAAATCAAAACCACAATGAGATACCATCACACACCAGTTAGAATGGCAATCATTAAAAAGTCAGGAAACAACAGGTGCTGGAGAGGATGTGGAGAAATAGGAACACTTTTACACTGTTGGTGGGACTGTAAACTAGTTCCCCCATTGTGGAAGTCAGTGTGGCGATTCCTCAGGGATCTAGAACTGGAAATACCATTTGACCTAGCCATCCCATTACTGGGTATATACCCAAAGGATTATAAATCGTGCTGCTGTAAAGACACATGCACACGTATGTTTATTGCGGCACTATTCACAATAGCAAAGACTTGGAATCAACCCAAATGTCCAACAATGATAGACTGGATTAAGAAAATGTGGCACATATACACCATGGAATACTATGCAGCCATAAAAAATGATGAGTTCATGTCCTTTGTAGGGACATGAATGAAGCTGGAAACCATCATTCTCAGCAAACTATCACAAGGACAAAAAACCAAACACCGCGTGTTCTCACACATAGGTGGAAATTGAACAATGAGAACACATGGACACAGGAAGGGGAACATCACACACTGGGGCCTGTTGTGGGGTGGGGGGAGGGGGAGGGATAGCATTAGGATATACCTAATGCTAAATGACGAGTTAATGGGTGCAGCATACCAACATGGCACATGTATACATATGTAACAAACCTGCACATTGTGCACATGTACCCTAAAACTTAAATAATAATAAAGTAAAATACAATAAAAAGGAGATGAGCCAGAAGCCCGCCTGCAAATGCATTTAGATAGAAGTGTTTTAACATCAGAGTTACATCATGTCAGACATGAAAGGGAATTTGCATAATATTTAGTCTAGCATTTGTACTTTTATAAATTAAAAAAGTGTAGCCTAGAGAAGATAACTTTTCTTTACAAACATTAGAAAACTAGCTAATAGTATAGCATAAACAGCAACTGGTGTTTGTGACTGCTATTTGGAACTCTTTCTACAACTACACTATACCTCTTTTATTGGAATGTTAGCAAGTAATGAAAAGAGACTGACTCAGAATAGATACTTTTCCCCCCACTATGTGGATTCCCAATAATTAGAGTTAAAGTGAGCTTTAAATGGTCTTTTGTTAAATTTCATTTGGGTGTCTTAATGTCATTTCACCTATACGCTGTGCAATTTTTAAAATGTTTTTTCTAATTGTTTATGACTTAAAGTAGCTGTTCATTATTTTTGATATTCTGTGGTTCATAGTATTGTTGAAATTTAGGGCTAACAATTTAAAAAATGATTCATTTATTTTTCGAAGTCATCAATGCCTAAATCAACATGGAAATATCAAAAAACAAGAGGGGGAAACAAAATACAAACCCAAAAAACAAAAACAAAACCAGTAATATCTTTATGTAAATATACTGCTTTGCTACATTGTTTCTTGGTTTGAACTATAAAATAGTCTGTATACAGAAATCAGAGGAAATGAGAAAGCAAAACATTGAAGAAAAAGACTCACAGCACAATAGCTCATCAGCACACACATTTATCTGGGGCACAGTGCTTTGAGATTACATCAACAGCATGTGGTTGTGCCCCCATGAGCTTGTTTGCTGAAATGACAGTTCTTCTAATGTGTTTTTCTGGTTTAAAGGACTTGGAAAGTCAGCACCACCTCAAGCCATATTCATTCTGTTTCTCATGTTTCTGGCTTTCAGATTATTGGGAGACCAATGTTTGGCTAACTGCCCTGTGAACCATAGAAACTCCAGATTTTTCTGTCACCACTATAGCTGTTCTCACCCCTGTGGTGAAGCTTTCCCACTCAAAAGCTTTGTAGTTCATGTGTGGCATGAGGTAAGATAAGTTGGTATGGCCCATGTCCCAGAAAACGTCAATCTGTCAAACAGCGCTGTTGTTTCTTTTGGCAAAAATGTCCTCTGCATTCTTCACAGAAGAATAAATATCACCTATTTTAAAGCTCTTTAACCTAGCCACATGTATAAACTAAAATGAGAACTTAAAACCAAAACACTTAGAATGATGGGAGAGTTCCATTTAGGGTAAAACATAATAAATGCAAATTGGGCGCGGTGGCTCATGCCTATAATCCTAACAATTTTGGAGGCCAAGGCAGGAGGATTACTTGAGCCAGGAGTTCAGACCTGCTTGGGCAACATGAGGAGACCTCATCTCTATAAAAAATTTAAATATTAGCAACACATAGTGTCACATGTTTGTAGTCTCAGCTACCACATAGGCTGAGGTAAGAGGATCACTTAAGCCCAGAGATGGAGGCTGCAGTGAGCTGTGACTGTGCCACTGCACCCCAGCCTGGGTGACAGAATATGACCCCATCTCAAAAAAAAAAAAAAGAATAAATGCAATTACCTTTTTAAAAATATTTTCTCTATGAATATAATCTTATATAGTCAAGTTTTTCTTGCTCAGAATGTGTCAGGAGATTTTGCAGAGGCAATGTCTCTTCCTCACTTAACTTTTTCCTGGATAAATCAGAGAAGTATCCTTGGAATTCTGGATATCAGTTTAAAAGGAAGTATTTTTCAAAAACTGCGATATTGACTTTGTATCCTGTTTCTCACCATTGCTTTCTATCCATGACAGCAAGAGAAGCTGCTTCTTCATTTCTAATTTCTAAGCCTATAATATCAGAAGGAGGGCAAGGAATAAATCAGGGATGAGATTTGATTGTACCTAATTACCTTATTTCCTTGTAAGGCAAGTTCAGGGAAGGAAGAAACTTGTTATTTGCCTCAATTGCTGTGTTTTCCTTTTGATTAAAAGAAAGTTTGCCAATGCTTAGTAATAAATATATTTTGTCTAGGTTTCTCTGGTATTAACAAGCCTATTATTCACATTCTCATGTGAACAACACATTTCACTTTATAATACTTCTTACTCTATTCAGGCATATAGTAGCATCAACAATGTAATATAAAATCTGCATACCAGGATGATACAATTTGTATATCCTAATGGGCCTTAAACGTAAAGAATGCTTTAAGAACTCTCCACATAAACATCTTCTCAAGTATATGTGCAGTTGTTCATCTCATCACTATCATTTCAGTGACTGCCTAGAACAGGTGCTCTATATATTTTTGTAGGTGTTTTCTTCAGTGAAACTCCCCTCAGACACAATCATTTCCTGCTGCTTTGCTGCTAGGCAAGCACCTTTCCCGCTAAGCTCTGCCAGTCTCTCACTGGCTTTTTCTTCATTTCCTACAGAGTTGTGAGAAATGTCGGTTCTCAGAGATCAGATGATGTAATTGTCTCTTGAAGTCCCTATTTTTATCTAGTAAAAACTCAAATCAACCCGAGTCTTCATTCACATCTATGAATCTATCCCTTGGAAGAAAATGGGGGAATTTCAGAGATATGTATCTTTGTAACTGTAGGACATGGTGTCTCCAAGTCTAATTTGCAAGTACACAGGAGCAAACATGTGTCTTTGAGGCTGAAAGACCCCATGACTGCCAAGATTGATGACAGTTGTCCTGAAAGTTTCATTACATATCATGCATTGCCACTGTTACCTCCCCGACTTCCACTACTGCTAGTGTAATTTACATAGCCGGAAATTAGGAAATGATCGAGGAGCACAAATATGACTGTGCACGAGTGCACAAAGCATGTCACCATCACAGAAAGAAGATACTCTCTTTCTGATGCATTCCTTTAAAAGATAGAAGATAATTTGAAAAAGTTGGTGCCCCTAAGGTGCCTGGCATAAAGGGCGTGATCTCTGTACAGTAGGGTTACCTTGGTCAGACACTCGGGCAGCCTAAAGCAGCTGAGGCTCTGACAAAGTCACTCATCTCTCACGCTCGTGGCACCTCTGTCATGAAAGTTGGAGGCATGGGGGTAACTTTGCTGAAGGCTGATGGATTCACTTCATCTAGCTTGTTAACTTGCCCAACTCATGGCCACTGATGCATATCTGTGGTAAAACCTCCAGGATGCTAACAGCATAATAAATATTCGTTCAATGAATGAATTCCTAGTGCTACAATGTAAAACACTGCCTTTCTAACTGCTGTATATTCTCAAACGACAATGTTAGTGTGTGGACTCCACATTTTATCAGTCTTTAGATTTATTTTTATAGCCAGTTCTCTATGGTGCAAACTGCTACCAGGAAAACTGGGTCAAAAGTTATCTATCCTCCAGGAAAGTAGACTTTGATAACAATCTGGCTTCTGTCAGTGCCAATATAATTAAACAAAGGGATTATGGAGAATAGATCAGTGGTTGCCAGGGCTTAGAAATAGTGGGAGGGGGTGTTGTGTGGAAGGAAGGGTGAGGTGGTTTTTATAAAAGGGCCACATAAGGAACTTCTGTGGTCACAGAGATATTCAGTATCTTAACTGGGATGTTGAATGACAGATGAGATGAAATCATATACAACCAACACACACACAGGAGTAAAACTGGAGAACTTTGAATAAGATTTGTTGATTGTATTATTTTCAATATCTTCATTGTGATATTGCTACCACTGGTGGAAACTAGGTTAAGGGCACACTATTTCTTAAAACTACATGTAAATTTATAAACTTCTTAATAACAATGTTAATTAAACATTAATACCCCAAGGAAGGAGACTCATGCCCTACCTCCTGTCTTTTAATGCCCTCCCATACCTCTAGGTAGATTCTTGGATGCAAATATATAAAGCACATTGCCAACTCTGTTGGCAATATCCAAACTATAAAGGATAAAGGGTACTTTGGAGATAGGGTATATAAATATAACTACTATATCAGAACCCAGGTCTTGGCACAGATGAAATATCCTATTTCAAGTATTGGAGAAAACTATACTACACAATATCTCCAGAGAATTTAAGGACAATTTAAAGAAAGCAAGCATGAGAATAAAATGGAAAAATTATAAATGATGGAAAAAATCATATTGCTTTGTTTTTATATTACCTCTATAATTTTAATCATTGTATGACTTTGAGAATTACTTAATCTTTATGATAATTTGTTGTCAAAAGAAAAATAGTATCTTCTTTCATAGGTTTGTTGTGGAGGTTAAATAAAATGCTGCCTGAGAAAGCACCTTGCACAATCTCTGATACATAGTAAGAACCTAATATATTTTGGTTGGATTAGAATTGTATCGACTGACAGGAAAAGAAACAAACAAATATAACATAAATCGTTGGAAAGAAAAAGAGGAAGAAAAATTTTTTTTATTATTATACTTTAAGTTCTAGGGTACATGTGCACAACATGCAGGTTTGTTACATATGTATACATGTGCCATGTTGGTGTGCTGCACCCATTAACTCGTCATTTACATTAGGTATATCTCCTAATGCTATCCCGCCCCCCCACTCCCACCCCACAACAGGCCCCAGTGTATGATGTTCACCAGTCTGTGTCCAAGTGTTCTCATTGTTCAATTCCCACCTATGAGTGAGAACATGCGGTATTTGTTTTTTTGTCCTTGCAATAGTTTGTTCAGAATGATGATGTCCAGCTTCATCCATGTCCCTACAAAGGACAACTCATCCTTTTTTATGGCTGCATAGTATTCCATGGTATGTATGTGCCACATTTTCTTAATCCAGTCTATGATCGACATTTGGGTTGGTTCCAAGTCTTTACTATTGTGAATAGTGCCTCAATAAACATATGTGTGCATGTGTCTTTAGAGCAGCATGATTTACAATTCTTTGGGTATATACCCAGTAATGGGATGGCTGGGTCAAATGGTATTTCTAGTTCTAGATCCTTGAGGAATGGCAACACTGTCTTCCACAATGGTTGAACTAGTTTACAGTCCCACCAACAGTGTAAAAGTATTCCTATTTCTCTACATCCTCTCCAGCACCTGTTGTTTCCTGACTTTTTAATGATCACCATTCTAACTGGTGTGAGATAGTATCTTATTGTGGTTTTGATTTGCATTTCTCTGATGGCCAGTGATGATGAGCATTTTTTCATGTGTCTGTTGGCTGCATAAATGTCTTCTTTTGAGAAGTGTCTGTTCATATCCTTTGCCCACTTTTTTTTGATGGGGTTGATTTTCTTATTGTAAATTTAAGTTCTTTGTAGATTCTGGATATTAGCCCTTTGTCAGACGGGTGGATTGTAAAAATTTTCTCCCATTCTGCAGGTTGCCTGTTCACTCTGATGGTAGTTTCTTTTGCTGTGCAGAAGCTCTTTAGTTTAATTAGATCCCATTCGTCAGTTTTGGCCTTTGTTGCCATTGCTTTTAGTGTTTTAGTCATGAAGTCCTTGCCCATGCCTATGTCCTGAATGGTATTGCCTAGGTTTTCTTCTAGAGTTTTTATGGTTTTAGATCTAACATTTAAGTCTTTAAATAATGGAAATCAGCATCTTACTGGAAAACTGTTAGATAAATTAAAATTGAAATAAAAGCTAAAGTCAAAATATCAAAATGTGATATTTGGATCTTAGGCATGATATGCAACTGCTTGAGTGACATTTATCCTTTTAGTTTAATTTTGATAAATCAAATCATTATAAAATATTATTTTAGTATATCCAGTTATTATTATATTGCATGACACATAGTGAGGGCTCAAATTTTTTTAGCAAACAAATTACTTACTTGATAGCAGGTCAATTGAAAAAAATAGTGGGCATTAATAACTATGAGCACTGCAAAGTAACTTCAAATAATGGAATTAGACTATATTCCTGGTAAATATTTAAAAAAATAATAATCTGATATCTTTTATTTGGGAGTTTTGGGTACTATGAGGTAAAAAGGCAAGGGAACAATGTTGTAAAATCTAATAAATCATATAAATATTTATAAAATATGGACCCTTAATTTAAAAAATTCATCTTTGTCATCTAGTCATTTGACAACAGAAGACATTCTTACAGAAGATTGAAGATAACTATCCAGACACTCTCCAGAGGAGAGAAACTAGATGTCTCATGGTATGGTCCATTTGATAGGGTGTTCCCTATGGTAAAATCCAAACTCACATTTGGTTTCAACATGGAAGATATAAGTTATTTTATCTTTGAGACTTGGAGTGGGATTTTACAGGAGAGGTGATATTTGAGCTGGATTTGAATTTTAAATAGTACGAAAAGGAAGATTCTGTGAACAAATATATGGAGTTTATAATATTTTGAGAGAAATCACTAACAGTACTTTGTGGGAGCAGCGTAGTTTATGTAGATGGAAGAGAAAGCTAAAAAGTATTTTGGCTCCAGATACTAAAGAACCATAAAACTCATGAAAGTACTTTAAAGCATGAGGGTAACACTAGATGTATGTTGCATAAACATATTTTTCACTATGTTGAAGAAAGATTAAGAAAGGGAGACAAAAATATGAGGAAGATCAATGAAAAGGTTATTAAATTAAAAAGGGTACAAAATGATAATGGCAATTGAAGAGAAAATTAGCAGAGAAAGCCAATTCAGGAAAGTGTGTGTGTGTGTGTGTGTGTGTGTGTGTGTGTGTTTCAAATTGATAGACTTCCAAAAATAGCTAATTATTTAAAAGAGAGAGTGCAGGAAATGAGAGAAACAGAGAAATCTTACTGTGTGCTTTTTTAAAAAAGGTAGATAGTGATAGTATTCATAAAGATGATAATAATAGTAATAGTAGTAGTAGTACATGTATTATTAGTAATGGTAACAGTAATTACTTACTGTACCACAAACTCTATAAACTGAATGGCGTCATCACCATTTGTCAAGTGACATTGAATAAGTTATGTAACTTCTATGAGACTTATTTATCTTTAAACAGGGTAAGATCATCTGGCATATAATTTAAGTGAAATTAAAGATCTCCATTTTAAAAATTAGAGAAAAAGTCACTTATCTGATAAAGAGTCAAGGTATAATTTCTAAGTGTATTATTCTGTCTATAAGGGAAAGAGAAGAGTGGGGAGTTGGAGAAGGATTAAGAGATAGCGGGATGGAACAATCACCATGAGGATGGTGACGGTGTTGATGATGATGGTGACGACAATGGTGGTGATGATGATACTTGTAGAGTCTATGTGAGGAACCATACGAGTATTTTACATATATTAATTCATGTATCACTACTGAGAAACCTATAAATTAAACACTGTCATTATCATCTCCAATTTAGAGGGCTCCATGGTGGCCCCCAAGTAGATATGTCCATATCCTAGCCCTGGAAACCTAGGAATGTGATTTTCTTTTTGGAAGAGAGGTCTTCTCAGATTTTACTACGTTAAATATTTTGAGATGAGACTATCTTAGATTACACAGATTGGTCCTAAACATGCCCTTACATGAGATAGCAGAAGAAAAAGCCATAGGAAGACAGAGGCAGAGATTGGAGTGAGGTAGTCACATGAAATGCTGATGGCCACCAGAATCTGGAAAAGACAAGGAACAATTCTCCCCTAGAAACTCCCCAAGAAACTGCAGCACCTTGATTTTGTGTTTCTGGCCCACAGAACTGTGAAAGAATGATTTCTACTGTTTTCAGCAAACCAGTTTTTGGTAGTTTGTTACAGAATCTCCTGAAAACGAATGTGCCAATTATCAATTTATTGCTTCTTACGTCCAAATTCAACCTTCCTTTCTGCTCTGTGGAAATTGTTGATGGGCTCTGAATATTTCTCCTTTGCAGTTGGAACAATATTAAGCATTGCCAGTAGGTGGCAATGGACAGACATTATAGGAAGAAGGAGCTTCTCTTCTCAATCCTGGTGTTTTCCTCTCATTTATCCTGCTCCTTCTTTATCTTCTCTTCCTCTTGTTCCTCCTTCTCCTTCTCTTCCTCCTCCTACTCCTTCCCCTGCTTCCTCTGCTTCTCCATCCTTTGTTGCTTTTATGGCATGACTACCAGTGGTTTCTGTGAGCATCCAGTGGAATTCTCTGGCATTGAGTTTCAGCTGCAACCCCACAGGAAGATTCCCAGTGAGACTCCAAGATGCCCCCAAGGTAGACCTCCCAATCTCAGCCTGCCCATACTTCAAAGAGTTATTGCTTGTTTGTTGAATCTGGACACAATTCTCCACCCACCAGCCTCTGCCTAGATAATGTGACCAACTCTGTCCCAGGACTACCCAGTGAACTTCACAATCCATTTGGCTATAGCCCCATCTTCTCTAATGAGTTCTGAATCACAACTGTAGGGAGTGTGGACCCCTTACAAGTTAATTCATTCTTTAGGTATGCTCCTCAGCCCTAGGGTATTTACCCTTTATAAGTAATTGTGTATGGTTCATAATTCTTTATGTTAAATAGCCCCTTTTCAAATCACTATGTGGATCCTGTCTCTTGATTGGACCCTGACAGATATATGCATTTTACATAAGAGAAAACTGAGGCACAAAAAGGTTAAATGACTTGGCCAAGTTGACTCAGCTAGTAGTTGGCAGAATCATTATTCAAACAAACTGGCTTTGACGTTTGTTCTCTCAGCCACTGGTTTGTACCAAACTGACAAGAATGAACTAGATATTTGACATATTAAATTAACTATAGAGAAATATAGTATTTGATTATAGATGCAGTATCTGGGTCATATTTATATTAGTTATTTGACAATTATAATGTATAGATTAAGAGGGGTAGAGGGAAGAATTACAGATTTAGATAATATAAATAAAATAATCTATCATTCCAAAAGAAGTGTTTGGAGTAGTGAGTAAAAACAAAAAAGAGTGGCTCACAGGTTGGAGATGCCCACAAATTTGTTTCATTTGTCCTATAAAGTACTGTCCTTCATGGTGTCTTTGAAACATTCTACTTAGCTCACAACATTTTAAATTCGACAGGTTTCACATAATAATACAGCTTTTAGCTTCTCTGAAGAAAATTAGAATATCACAACCTCAGAGAGGCCTGCTCAAACTGTTAAAAATTATTTCATATCATTCCACACTATTTTGTTAGTTCTGTACTTTGTTTTTTTGTGTGTATTCTTTTGCTTATTTTTATATTATTTATCTTTGTCTGTTGATATAAAAATTGTGTGAGACTGTGTCTTGTCTTGTTTATATTTGTTACTACTGTTACTCAGTACCTAGAGCTATTTCTGATATATATATCATCTCAATATTATTTTATTAAGATTATAGAATCAAAAGCCAATATGTTGTGGGTAAAGGGCAAGTCAGTGAAGGTAGTAAATACAGATTACTAAATATATCAAAATGGCTTTTTATTTTAAAAGAAAAATAACAAAAAATTATGTTGCATACTTATATATGCATGCATTCTGTTATATAAAATATTTTATTTTTTGTTAATGAAACACATTAGAAATATGGAAAGATAATGACTATAACTTTTGATGTTTAATAAATATCTTGCAAGAGCATCTTCCAAGACTTGAACTAAATTGATCTATTATCAAATAACAGTCTAACAAGACATTCCATTTTTTATTGCTAAACTACTGAAATTAAATTCTATACACATACAAAACAACAAAGCACCAATAATAGTCATTACATTCATTCCCAGTTGAATCTTAAATCTAAAAAAAAAAAAACAT
Organism: Homo sapiens; assembly: GCF_000001405.40. Taxonomy (NCBI): domain Eukaryota; kingdom Metazoa; phylum Chordata; class Mammalia; order Primates; family Hominidae; genus Homo; species Homo sapiens. The sequence continues at coordinate 60,492,603 of NC_000012.12, read as the reverse complement.
TTCCTAGTGCTAAAGAACTTTTTTTAAAATTTCAACTCTTTTATTCTTGAAAATTCCTACATGATCAATTTCTAATAACTTTTTAAAAATCATATGTCTGGATAGTTCCAATTTTCCTCTTTTTATAATATTTTCACACTTTGAAACATATCACCCATTTTTATCATACCATTTCTCTTTATTAAAACCTTTTGCTTTACTCTAAAAATGCAACTCAATAATTTTAAAGATAATACTTTTAAAGAAAAGGATTATGTCATATGCTTATTCTAAAAACCACTTTTGCATATTAAATGATGCCTTTATTTCCATATTAAGATACAGAAATAAGATATATAAACTTCTTTATGTAAATATATATTTATATGAGTTATACATTTGCTAAATTATATTTTAGATTTTTTAATTTATCCATTATTAATCAAAAGAGAGGCTACTGCTGAGACTTAATGACAGCTTCTCTATGGTGTTCTTGCAAAAAGATAAATGAAAGACAAGTCAATATTACTTTTTTTCATCCATAAATAGATACAGCCATAAGTATAGATATTTAAATTCATGAAGCTTATATATGCTGAAGAGATTATTCATCGCCATTCTTTGGTTAAAATTATTTTCTGGTCATGAGGAATCTATTTTTTTTATTGTATAAAATCATGTATTTTGACAATTCAAAAATGATTTAATCTCCTATGTTTTTCTCTTATCTTTGTACTGCTTACCCATATTTATTCCCCCATGGAACATTTTACTCTCTACTTTATAATCTCATCTTTTTTCGAATTGTCAGCCTACATTGACCTCTTTAAAATCTGAAGACTCACCTAACATGTATTTGTTTGAGAACAAAGATCTCCTATGTAGTAACTGTCTCAAATCTTCCATTTGCTCTACTTTTTTCACCTTTGCATAAAGGCTGTTTCTCTCTTTGAGAAACACAGTTTCTCAAAGAGAAATACACAGTTGTTGATTATCACAGTTGTTGATTATCACATGGAAAATGGAAAAGGCCATAACTAAATACACTCAAATTTTGAGTTTATTATAATGGAATTAAATAATTTAAAAACAAATCAAGTCTTTGAGTACAAATCTATCATAGCCATAAAAATCCTGGCTATATTTCTAGTCTTTTCAACTCCACTTCTAAAGAGAGATTTAGGTATACGCCACTTAATCTCTGTTACATTATATAGTTAAATATGCAAAAGAATGGATACTGGTAGTGTATAGGTATGCAAAGGTGTCTACAGTATATAATTGAATGCATGCAAATATTTATAGTATATACTTAAATGTGTAGCAATACATGTAGGAGAGATTTGCATATATAGATTATTGTTAGAAACCTTCCAGAATATTTAAAACAAACTTCAAGACTTATATATAATTTTAGAAATTTAATTCTAGCAAAATTTTTAGGAGGTAGGTACTCATTAGCATACTGGAATGAAAATTGAGTAAACCTAAGAATAGGGAGATTAGGTAAATTGAGTATGGCCTCTCAGTAAATAAATCATGGTGCTGAGATTTAAACCAGGCAAAGTAATGCCAGCATTTATCCTCTTAAATATTATACTATACCATGACAAAATTCAGAAAATATTATTTGATTTCACTGATCAATGGATGGAGTGTCTTAGATATAAATAATAATTAACTATGAAAACACTGATATGTACAGAGAAAGTACATAAAAGCTCATCACAGTTTTATTCTTGTCATTCCTAATTAGCTTTAAACTTAGGTATAAACCTAGAATAAAGATAGCTTTTGAGCAAAGCTGAAACTAATTATGATGGTGTCTGTATATTATAACTTATTTGCCACTTCTCGTTTGCTGAATATCTCTGAAAATAATAAGAGTTAAGGCCGGGCGTGGTGGCTCACATCTGTAATCCTAGCACTTTGGGAGGCCGAGATGGGCAGATCACCTAAGGTCAGGAGTTCAAGACCAGCCTGGCCAACATGGTGAAACCCCGTATCTACTAAAATACAAAAATTAGCTGGCATGATGGTGGATGCCTGTAATCCCAGCTACTTGGGAGGCTGAGAGAGGAGAATCACTTGAACCCGGGAGACAGTGGTTGCAGTGAGCCGAGATCAGGCCACTGCACTCAGCATGGGTGGCTGAGCAAGACTTCGTCTCAAAAATAAATAAATAAATACATAAATAAGAGTTAATTGCCACATAGAAAGTACTTAATATATTTCCAAAGGTTGGGGAAATTTTTCCACTATTAACCATGAGAAAAGCCACTGCTGTGACTTAATGGTAGCTTCTGGTTGTTGTTCTTGCAAAAAAAGATAAATGAGACACAAGTCAATCTTACTTTTATTCAGAGTTGAAATGCTGAGATCTGTTGACCTATTTACTATATAATCATAAAGCGGAGATGAGAACTACAATAGAATTCATGTCTTGAAGAGTATGAACATGTATGAATCTTACTTCAGAAAGATTATTTTCTGCACCAAACAACATTATAGAATATGAAACACAATAACACTTGGTCTCTTTTTGTTCACCGCAAATATATCTTCTTTCCTTGCTCTGTGCTCTGTTGTAAAGTATGGTATGGTCCTGTAATCCAGCTTATATGTGAGGGTATAGAAGCAAAGTTAGAGGAGAATTCTTTGTAACCTTTCATTCTTCAGTTTTAACACCTCTGTTCTTTGCCCTCAGGTGGAAACAGATTCTCATATACATTTCACTGACTCTTTAATTTCCTAGCCTTGACTTGGAATCCATTTTACAGCCTCATAATTCTTTTAGTTTATAGTATCAAAAGAGATGTCATCAATACTTATAGACCTCTTTAAATCATTTATGAAATCAGAAAGTATAGGATAGGTCCCTTTTCAGTGCTTGTATAAGCTCACATGCAAGTGATTATATACAACATTTTCACAGCAGCTTCTCTCCCCTCCTTCCATCTTCAGGTTCCAGGACAACAGTTATAAACCCTTTTGCTATGACTCTCATAAATCTGTAGTAATAGCTTTTTTCAAAATATGCATCATAACAAATGTTAACAGCAATATATGAACTGATAAAGGTATACTTTCTTAATATCAATAGAATGTAAATATATTATAAAGTAAACATGTATTAAAAGTTTAACAGAAACTAGATGTTTCCTTTTGCACCAATTTATTATCTAAAAGCAAGGTAACAATCTCCTTGAGCTTGACAAAGAGAAGCTTTTTTTTTTTTTTTTTTTTACTTCTGAGAATCTCTCTGTATCTAGGATTTGTGTTTTCCTTCATATTTATTTTCTCTTATACTTACAATACTTATAAGTATAACATGCAATACATCTGAGTCAGAATTCCTGCCCTACAATTTATTAGTCATGGTGATACTGAGCAAGTTACTTGACTTAGAATATATTCCCTCTTCTCTTATAAAAGGTTAATAATACCCACTTCATAGAATTTTTATAAAATTAAAACAAGTTCAAACACTTAAAATACTTTGTAGAGTGTTTAGCATATATTGTACTCATTTCATAATAGTAGGTGCCACTGTTATTGTTTGTGACATTGTGAGATCTAAAATGGCTTTAATCAATAGCTAGTATAATCTTAGAAAAAAAGAATAAAAAAACCCTCAACTTTTAATTTATTACAGCCTTACTTCTTTTCATCTGGCTAGCTAAAGTTCTGTTCAGCAACTTCCATAGAAGTACAATGATATATATAGATATATAGATATAGATATAACATATATGTATGTATACTCATATGTAGTCATTTATAAATATAAATATAAATATAAATATAAATAAATAAATACATAAAACCAATGATAGTTATAAAGCTTAAAGTGAATCCAGAAAAGTTTTTCTCATTTTCCCATAGGGCAATTGGGGGTCCACTGTCTGAAAAAAAAAAAAGGCATTGCTCTATAATAAGTGCCATGCACTTAAGTAGTAAAATTACGCTTTAGTGGCTAGAAATACTAAAGAATATTAGGACAATAGTTAACCTATCCACATAGATAAAATTGCTAAGCACAAAACTTCCCTTGAGACTCTGGAAATGTAATTTTCACATTGAAACACATATTTTTAAAGTATGAGACCACACCCTTTATCTATGTATTTAGTATTATCAAACATTGGAGGACCAGATAAAAAAAAATTCAAATTTAGTGTCTTTTCATTATGATTAGGGAACTACAAAAACATGATACAAATATATTTCACAGATATCAATTACCAGAAGGAAAAAACAAAGCATAACAAAACATTGGTCTAGGAGTGTCTGAAGAACTTGATTTCAGCAGAATCCATTTACAATCTTCAAAGTGACACTGACTCTATTAGAGGCCAAGTGTAAGTAAATGATCAAGCTTAACAGAAGTGCTTAAAGAGCCATAAATCAGGAAGGGTTTGAAAGTGAGGGGATTATTAAGGTTAATTGTTGTAAGATAAGGAGGTGAGAAACCTTGACAGAGCAACAAGATAGTTATCATGGCTTTAAGGTAAAAATCATTACTTGAGAAGGGGAATTTAATTTGTTCCAAAATAAAAGAAGATTGATTTTAGTTTTCATTTTGTAGGCTTTATTTTCCTATTGAAATTCCAAGCTGGGGATTGAGGGTGGTTGGAATGATAAAAATACTGATGCATTGAAAAAAATCTTGTTAAGAGAAATTCATATGTATGTGTTCGTTATGTGATCATTAAGAATTGAAAAATACAAGTCCCCAAACAATCTGCAACCTATTTTCATTTAATTTACATCACAATTAAGTTTGCAACACTAGAAAATTCATGAAATGAGGAAAAATATTAGAAGAGAGATAAGCCCAGGGGATTGCCAACTTTTTGCAATTACCTGAACTTAGTTATTTTACTAATGTAAGTAATTACTAATAATAGCAAAATGATACTAATAAAATCTTCAGATATGCTTTATATCTATCTCTAAAAGAAATTAGAAGGTGGTTTTTATTTTCAAGATGGGAATCAGGATTCAAATAGCTCTTTCCTAATAAAGTGGGAATGGTTTTCAATTGCCTTTGGTAGAATCTAATCTTCAAAATACAATGAAGCTAAATTGACAGAAAAACACATACACAGAAAAATACAAATACAATGAATAAACACTGAGTCAGCAAAGTGAACAGTCTAGTTTTTTTCCCTCTAGCTTTTAAAGTGACTATTGTAACTTAGCAAGAGGTTTGACTAGATTTTTTCGTTTCTTAAAATTTGCAATAAAAAAATATCTCTTGCATACTGACTTTGGGCTGTGATGGGTTAGGTATTATATTAAGCACTAAAACTATAAATGTAAATTAAACATAGTTTGTGCTCTAAGAAACTTACAGTTTACAAATATGTCAAAATAATGAATGCCTTATTATGAAGTGAGTATTTTAATAGAGTACTTGAATTATCCTTTAAAAATGGACGTAATTATTGAATTACTTCTCTTCATTTTTTCACTACTACCATCACTGTCAAAAAGTTTAATAATGTAGCAAATTAAAAACATTAGCTCAGTGAAAGTCAGTGGCTTTAAAAATCATTTCCAGCTATTTCAAATTTGCATGTGGTAGAATACACCTTTGACCTTTCACAATTGATTTATCTTTCCTCGATACTGTTATATTAGGTTTGTGCCCCCAACCTCAACCATATATCATATAGATTATGTTGTTTTACTAAGCTTTGCATTTATTTCAGAGTCTTATGACACACTAGAGGCTTGACCATTGCTACAGAAATTCTGGTCACTTCAGCTACTGAGCATTATGTGGTATTTTCATATAAAAATTCCCAAATATCAGGGAATTTGTATTTATTACCAAGTTGAACTGTATTAGAAGAATAACATCCAGGGATGCAACTGAATCCTGAGAGGATTGAAACTCAGAGGGAGTTTTATAGCCTACATACTCTACCCTCAGACACCAAGGGGCTGGTGGGATGCTGAGAATAATTTTCTTATTAAATTTTCAGCCAGTTAATTCCACTTTGTCTTACATTCTTTTAATCTTTGAGCACTCCCCAGTCTGAAACCCTTTAGGCCATCACCACACTCTACCCATACTCTACCTTGCACCTTTGCTGTACTCTTGCTCTTATTTGATTTTTTCTAATCCTACAAAACATGCTCTCTGAAAATCCTAGTTTATGGATAATAGTTTTCCCTAAATCCTCAGGCTCTTCATTTTTGTTCTTCTTTGAGCAATGATCTGTTAATGAAAAAATTGCTTGCCATGAAGTCTTTTCAAGCCCCACCTTCAATGAACACCAAAATTGTGACCTACGGTTTTTCTGCTTTGATGCCTCCAGGCTGTTTCATTTACTTACTTATGAGTAGAGAGTGATAATTAAATGCTGTTACTTTGAGACTTAGTCCACTTAACTAAAAATACCTTCTCCTCATCTTTGTCTTAAACTCTTGTCACTTTTTCTAATAAAGACTTTAGAACTTAATGGTCTTTCTTTCCATACAATGTCAATTGCTATCCTGACTTAACAATTTCATTTTAATCATTGTCAAATATATTTTCCACACATCATTTCAACAACCAATGAAGGTGCCTTCCCCCTTGTTCTGGTCCTTGAAATAATAAATTAAGACTCCTATCCTTTAGTTACCCAACTCCACTATTTTGACTCCCTTATTATCCAACTCCAGTATTCTTCTGTGTGGATTTGACTGCATCCTCTTTTTCTAGCCTTAAGTTGCACCCTGAAGATCTGCAGCTTTTGGTATGCAGTCTCCTCCCATAATGGACTAGGACTGGTCTGTGTGAGAATAGGATGTGGCAAAAGTGATAATATGTAACTTCTAAGATTAGATCAAAAAGTCACTACAACTTCTATTCTATCTTCTCTATGAGCACTTGGTATGGGGAAATCCATGTTGTGAACAGCAATATGGAAAGGTCCTCCTGGGGAAGCTTCACTAAGCCTCACGCAACAGCCCTCTGAATAAGCATGGAAGGGAAGCCTTCAACCTTCATCAACTCTTCAGAAACTAACTGAAATGCAACTTCATGAGAGATTCTGATCAAGAGCCACAGAGCTAAGCTTCCCACAGATTCCTGGCACATAATAACAGTTTGTTATCTTAAACTGCTAAGGATTAGGGTAATTAGTTACATAGCAATAATACAGTTGCTGAGCCCTGGTGGGGAAAATAAGACAACTCTAAAAATTGGGATTAATTTTTTTTTGTCTGTAATTGTGTTAGTCTGTTTTCATACTGCTAATAAAGACATACTGGATTAATTGACTCAGAGTTCCACATGGCTGGGGAGGCCTCACAATCATGGTGGAAGACAAAGGAAGAGCAAAGGGATGTCTTACATGGTGGCAGGCAAAGAGAAAGCTTGTGTGAGGGAACTCCCATTTATAAAACCATCAGATCTTGTGAGACTTATTCAATATCATGAGAACAGCATGGAAAAGACCTGCCCCCATGATTCAATTACCTACCACTGGGTTCCTCCCATGACATATGGGAATTATGGGAGCTACAATTCAAGATGAGGTTTGGGTGGGGACACAGCCAAACCACATGAGTACTCTCAATTAAGTCTTCAAGTAGTGCATTTTATTAAATAAGTCTCTCTCTAGTGTTTCCAATGTATTTTTTATAAATTTCTTCCCATTCATCAAAGCTCTAAACTCTGCCTCTTTCCTACAAAAGAACATTCTATTTTATACATCTTGATGATATGTATAAAATGAGATGTTTAAAATTAACTATAAATTTTTTCCATTTTCTTCCATTAAAATGAGCTTATATGTTATATAAGATATGCTATATATACTTATATGTCTAACTATACATCAACTTTTTCCTATTTGTTTCTTACAGTTAACATTTATACCTACTTCATATCCCATGGCCTCTTTTAACTCTAATTCCTTGTTCAGTTAAAGCACTAGTTAATTCCCTTCAAAGTCACACTTCTATAGTTATGTATGTTTTTCTCATTATATGTATATGTTTTTCTCATTATTTCCTCTTTTCATATTATTCTTCACCAATTGCAATTTGGCCTCTGTTCTTAATATTTTATTAATTTTTTTCTTACCACAATTGTGATGGTTAATACTGAGTGTCAACTTGATTGGATTCAGGGATACAAAGCATTAATTAACATTTGAGTCAGTGGGCTGGGGATATAAGCCTCACTTCAATAACTGCCAGTTAGCAAACACAGATGGCCTAATCACATTGACCAACCCCCCCTGTAATGCCCTCAGTAAATTTCCATTAGCTGACCAAGGCACACTATAGGATTTTAGTTCAGCAAAGTTGAATTCAGTCTCTCCTAAGGCCTCTCCAGTCTGCTGAGGGCACACCACCAGCCTGTCTCTCATTTTCACATTTTTCAACCTGCTTTATATTCACTGGAAGCTGATTAGATCATGCCCACAAGACTAAGGATGGATCTGCCTTCCCCAGCCCACTGAATTCAGTCTCTTTTCCCATGTTGCAATAGTACTGCTGAACTTATCTGGTGCAATTTCTATTTGACAGCACCTCTGTGAATTTGGTGGAGCACCTTGGTACACTACTGGGGCAGCATTGTCCTCATTTGGCTTTTAATTCCATGGGGTGAAAAGGAAGAAGGAAGAGTAACAAAACAAACAAACACAAATCAAAGCAAAACAAAGAAAATTGTTTATAGAATTTTGTGTCTCCCGAATCCCCCAGACTATCTCTCTTCTCCTAATTTTTACCCCTACCTAACCTCAGTTGTAAAATAAGCTGCTACAGAGAAAAGTTAGAGAACGGGACTGGAGCTTTGGAATTCTATTCAAAACAAAGGACAGTTTTTCCTCTATCCATTTCTTACATTTTAATGTACCTCAGGATTCTCTCCTAGCTCTTTTCTCATTCAACAAAATTCTGCTAAATAACCTCATCTCCTGCCATTCTTTTAATTGCTATCAATCAGTTATTTCAAATGGCAAGAGGGTGATGTATCTTCCACTGGAAAAGAGAAGGCTTAGATCAAATTCATTCAAATTCATCAAAAGGTATTTCCAAATTATATGTCGCTTCTTCACGACTTTACACAATATTGTCTCCCATAGAGGATTCTTGCCTTCCGATTGGGGATCATTCTTACAGTGAACTAATGCCATGGAAAAGTCTGTTTCAGAAAGAATATTGGTAACTGTTGAATGTTGGTGACCCTCAACTTTATTTCAACAGCTAACATTTTTCTTATGGTCCATAAACATATTTTCTATATGTATGGATGTCTGATGGACACTTCAGACCCAATATATTCAAAGTGAAATTACCATTTTCTTTCTCAAATTAATTCTGCATCTTACTTTCCCTAGAGCAATGAATGTCATGGGTCAAATTAATTCTACTTCAAAAAAAATATTGAATATAATGACTTTCCTTCATAGACACTAGTGCTACTCAAGGTCAGGTCACCAGGTTTCTCATCTGGATTTTTATGAGTATTATTATTGTTGTACCTTTCATATTTCTTTTAAAATATTTATAAATTATGATAAAAAACATAACATAGACTTTACCATCTTAATCACTTTTAAGTGTACATTCAAGTAGTTTTACTATAGTTGCATTTTTTGTGCAACAGATCTGCATAATTTTTCACCTTACAAAATTGAAACTGTGTTAACTGCCCATTTTTCCCTCTCCCAGCCCTTGATAACCATGGCTTTACTTTCCTATGTATTTGACTAGTTTAGATATGTAACTGGGATCATACTGTGTTTATCATTTTTGTGACATTCTTTTACTTCACTTAGCATAACTTCTTCAAATTTGATCCATGTTATAGCATGTCACAGGATAAGCATCCTTTAAAGGCTGAATAATAGTCCTTTGTATGCATATAACACATTTCGTTTAGCTCTCTCATTTCCAATTCTGAAGTCTGAATAAATTGTATGAAATATAAATGTAATATCACTCACTTGCTCAACTTATTTTTATAGACCTTATTCAACTTGATGTCTTCCATTTATTCTGTATCCTTATCCTTTCCAGTCCTGATTCAACTTGATGTTTTGTATTGATTCTATAATACCACACTATTATTTTTTCATTTAATTCTCTGGATTTGGATCCTCTGCCTCCTTTGCTGATCCCTTGGTTAAAGAAACACTCTGTAGAAAATTTCCACTTGTTGCTGTCCTTCCACCAATTAAAACAGATACTTTATAACTATCCCACTTCTACTACACCTTTGGTAGCATCCTTTGACATCTGGATATTGTTAAATATAACTGGCATAGGATTAGTTAGTACTTTGATCTGTTCTTTCTTATACATATAGCTTAATCTCTCACCATTCTCCCTGCCTTGCCTGCCTTGTCACCAACACTTTATTTATGGTAAACTTCCTTTAGTTTCTCAAACTCATTAGAATTGTTCTCATTTCTGAGCTTTGGTTTATATTGTCCTCTCTGTCATGAACATTCTACCTATTTTTGTTTAGCAAATTCTTCTCATGTTTTATATAATCGCTTAAATGTTACTTTCTTTGGGAACTTTTTTATAACTACTCTGGAATGAGTCATGCACTCCTTTACATGTTCTTATAGCACCCTGAATGTTCCTGTTAAAGTGATTTTCACACTCTGCTACAACATCCTATCTTATTCTTTCTCTCACACTAGGCTGCATATTTGAGGATAGCAATAACGCCTACATTTTTTATTATCTTATTCCCAGAAGCTAACAAAATAATTGCTTGTTGAATGATTAATGAATAATTTGAATACTGAATGAATTAAATAATAAATGAGGATTCAGCTTAGCCAGTAATTTTTTAATAAACTATATTTAAAATATAGTGAAATAAATTGCATTTTATTTTACTAATCTACTAAGACATAAGATTTTAAGAATAAATTTTTGTGACATAATATAGGACATTGTTCAAAAATGTTTGAGGCAAGTTTTGCAATTAACCAAGAACTCAAATTACCAGAAATTTCCATTCCACAAGCATTGAATTTGATTAAGAATTTATCAGTGGTACCAGATTGAGATGATGCATTAAAAAATTATTGATGTCTAGCTCCAATTCTCTGGCTCCTTGGGTTTTCAGAACAAATATTTTCTTGGCAGGTGAATACAGTACTGCAACTCAGAAACAAATACACGTTCTTGTTTTTCTGGCTCTGGCTTGATGAATTCATTTTATGATTGAGTCCTTGATAGTTTTTACTAAGTCCAAGTATATGTTTTCACACAATTTCAGCTACTTTAGGTTACTTCTAACTTTCAGTAAGCTTTACTGACTTCCTGGGAAATGAAATTTATCCTAAACTCCACTTCCATGGCTCATATGCATCGTGTTATGCCTGATCTCGCTTACACTGAGTGACTGCCGGTGTCCTGGGAGCCTCACATATCCTCTGCAGTTGACAACCCATTACGTTGGTATGCCCATACCTGCTTTCCTTAAATATCAGCTGCCACTATATTCACTTGCGTCTTTGCTCAACCTTCCTGTATATGGAGGTTTATTTATTTATTCAACAAATCTTTGAGTGCTGACCATGAAGATGGCACAAAGGCAAAACTGCAACTGTGAGAAGTGTCATGAAAGACCATTAGTGTGAAGTACAATTAACTTTTTAAATCACAGATTTTACAACTAGGTTGTCTAGGTTTGAATCTCATATCTGTTACTCATGAGTTATTTGCTCTTGGGCAGTTTACTTAAATTGTCTCTTCTGATTCTTTGCTTGATATGCTCAGGCCACAAAGGGGAAAAAATTCTTATGCATGTCTATAAATACCTTAGAGCTAACCAGAATCCTTGCTTTGAAGTTTGTAAAGATTCCATCCATGGATCTTGAGAAACAGCAACTATGCCTGAAGATAAATTCATCTATTAGGAAAAAATCATTTTTTTCTTAAGGATACCAGCTGGGAACACAATGGGCATATATCTTAATGGCACAGAAGAAGAAGAACTCCAGGCCTAAGAAACTTCATCAGAAAGGAGATTGGGATACAGTTAGCACCAAAGCCTATCTCTGAGCCGTCTGAGACCACCACTTTTAGTTATGCTGGGGGAACAAGCAAGGGAACCCAACATGCCTCCACATATACTTTGTTCATTGAATGCCCTGTATATTCACCTGAAATATAAGCTATACCGTGATAGCAGTTATACAAACTTCAGGGCCTGCCACAGGGCAATAGCAAGGACTACAGTATCAACTGATACCATAGCAAACTAAAGATTATTTATTTACCAGTCTTCATCCAAACATGAAACCAACAGAGTGAACAAAAATAAATAAATAGACAAGGCCAGAGCATCCCAGGAGGCAGCAGACATAGGTCCTTTATAAAGATACTTCCCCCATTTCTGGTCCTCAGTGGAGTTCTCTGCTCTCTCTTCTATTTAATAGGTTTCCAAGTTACTGTCCCTTTGTTCTCAAGTTTCACAACACCAGTCATCTTCAGCTCTCTACCTTTTGCTCTCTATATGATTGCCTCCATATTGCTATGCCTTGACAATCTTAAACACAATGTCCATATCTCACTCACGTAATGAGACCACTACGTTTGTAGTAAGAGAGACTTTGAATTCCTCAAGAAGAAGCCAGTGCTGCCAGGTTTCTTACTTGCAGAACTTAAGCTAGGTATAGATGGGTTTCTAATGAACTATTAAAATATTATAGGTTTCTATTCAGGGGAATGTGACTGGTACTTTTTTTTAAGTGGAGGACCTAATGGAGTTCAAGTGATCTTTTAATTATCACCTATGAATTGTGAAAAAAAACAACTAAACTAACCTTAAAAACAAAATAGAAGATTTACACTATTTTCTAGAGGATTAAAATGCCTTGGAAGTTACCAAATTAGTAAAAATAGTTTATCCAAAGAAAGCCGTATGTTTTACCCTCTTATAAGAAGAGACCAGTAACTTTTTTGGGACTTAGGAGTTACAGGTCTCAGGTGTTTATTACAGCCACAGCTGGTATATCTCATGATTGCATTTCTTTTTGAAGAATGTATGTTTCTAATTTTTGTTATATACACAAAGAGAGAAATTTTATCTTTTCTGTTGAAATCTGCTTCTTGCATAGTACAATGTACCATTTACAAAGGCTTAAAGAGATTTCTTGTAGTAAAGAGAACTTCCCAGCCCTAGTATAATAATGTTTGTGGACAATATATACAATTTTCCTTACAGTGATTGCCTCCATAACGTTGGCAGCAAAGCCTATCTCTGAGCTGTCTGAGCTGTATCATCATGAAAAAAGATAGTTTAGGACAGATATTTGCAAATTGTATTTCCTAAACAAACAGTGCAGTCCTCAATGTACTTTTCCCTAAACAGCAGTGGGAATTCATTAAATTAATTTACTGGGATGCATACAATTCAGTTTCAGCACCATAGAGATCAGGTGTAAAATATATATATATATATATATAACTTGAATTTTTAAAATTCTGATTTGAAATAATAATATTTAAATGAGTGGGAAAACTATTTATTACAAAAAGGACCAAGAAAGAGAGAAAGCTTGTCTTTGATTTAGTACTGTATTGTCCACTAAAGCCATATTTCATTTTCTCAGTAGTTTTATTTCTACCTTTGTTTTTCCTGATCTTTCACATGCCACAAGAGTTAATATATTTATTAATGTCAAGATGAGCTCCTGATAAGACTGAGAATATACCTTCCCCACAAGATGATCTCCATTCCCATTGCTAAGATGTTTTAGTCTGGGGGATTTGTTTGTTTGCTTGTTTTTTTTATTGTGGGCAGTAGAGAGAATCCAGGGAGAGAACAAACTTTCATAGCTTTCATAGAAGAGTGTCTTTAGTGACAATCCCTTAGGTGGCATAAACATGATCATGTGTTCTAGGCCATTTAATATTCTAGAATCAGCAGCCTCAGAGAGGAAAATAAATGATCAAGAGCAAAGAATTTCTGAATAAGGTGAATCTGAATTTCTCTTGGGATTTAAAATTGACTGGGATGTTACCTTCCCTATTCCTCCAAAGAGGGCAGATAAATTCATTTAAAGAAGGATGCTATGGTCTGCAGGTGGTAGGATTGAATAGAGACAGAGTTATATATAACTTACTGAATTTAGAGATTGGAAGCCAGCAGAATATTTGTCCTTTCAGCAAACATCAGGGGGAGGCAATCCCCAAAATCAAAGTTAGTAGTGTATGTTTCAGGACTGAATAAGACTGATCTAAGTCTAACCATTTCACAACCTCTCTACTGATATCATAGAATTATATAAGATAGGCACTCAGAAATAACCCCAGGGAGAAGGGAAATTGGGCTTGGAGTTTTAAACCTAACACAATTAAAAAATATCTTTGAATTTTATTTAGTTTTTCTAGCAATGACTAAATTAGGTTTTTGGCAGAAGGTTGAAATAAACATGAAGTTCCAATATAAATGAAAACCGACAGTTCTGATTTTTGCACATATGAATATGTGGCTTATAAAAACCATAATCACTATGCTTTGCATGTGAGTTGGCTAGTACACCACATAAGAATTCCCTTTTGATAGAAAGTTTGATAGAAGTTATTCTATTTAGATAGCCTCAGAGTGCATATGAAATTTCTGGTTATCTTACTATCTTGGCTTATAATGAGCTTACAGTAAACTAAGCTTTCTAAACATTCTTCAAATGATTTTTAATGAACTTCTACCTGAGCTGTTACTTTTAAAAAATCACATAATTGTATGAGCTTAGGTCTATGCCCCTCCTTACCTTAAAATGAAAAAATAAAAAATTCCAACATGAAGCATAGTAGAAAGTATATGAAAATTAGAATTCAATGAACTTGTGTTTGAATCTCAGTTGATCACTTAAATAAGAAAATGTATGTAAATTGTCTAGCACAAAGGATATATAAAATATTATTTTTCTTCTTTCCATTCTTTATGCTATATTAAATTTGATTCATTATTCACAACTATAAGATATTTAAATGTTTTGATTCTATTGATGTTATCAGTCTCTGAAATCTGTAAATTTAATGAATGCAGATTTAATACCTGTTTTAATAATTTGCTCATTATTCATTCCCTCAGTTTCTCTTGAAGATGGAATGCTAAAATTAATCCAGAACAGGCTTATCTTAATACTCACATTCACAGTCTCTCTTAATGCAGTGAATGGCCATATGCCATGGAGAAGTCTTATTAATGGAACACTAGTGTGGGTTTTTTATAAAGCTATTGCCTTTCTGATTAAGGAAGATGTTGTGGCTGGGGTTATTGGCCACCCTTTTACTCACCACTTTCTGTATTGAACACTACATTGTAATTGTTCTTTTAATTATCACCTATGGATTATAACTGCCACTCCAATTGTGTTTTATTACTGAAATTGTGGATGATCTAGACTAATTAATAATATTTCATCTCTACATTAACCCAAGTAACTGAAGTTAATATCATAAAGTATATGAATAATAAAGCTCTGTCACTCTTGCAAGGACATTTTTGAGTTTGATGTGAATTTATTATTTAATACATCCTATGTACAATTGTTAAGCAATTTATAAATATGTGTAACCCAAACACAATGGTTAGTATCATATGAAATTTTTATTTTTAAAAAGTACTTTAAAATATTTAAGTAATAAAAGTATATAAAAATTAAATTAGACAAAAGTTTTAAAATAAGAAAGTAGTCCCTCACCCATTAGGATGGCTACAATAAAAAAATTAAAAACAGGTGTTGAAGATATGGAGAAATTGGAACCTGTATGAAGTACTTGCAGTAGTCAAATTCACAGCGACAGTAAAATGGAACAGTGGTTGCCTAGGATGGGTGGGAAGAGGAAATGGGAATTCTTGTTCAATGGGTATAGAACTGCAAGATAAAAGAGTTCTGGAAATGTTGTATAACAACGTGAATGTACTTTACTGAGCAGTAGACATAAAATGGCTAAGATGGTAAATTTTATGTTATGTGTATTTTTATCACAATTAGTAGTTCCTAAACCCTGAGTTCCCCTAATATTTCCTATTGATTTTTCCTACAGAAATTCACTGTGTATTTCAAAATACAAATAAACATTTTACTGTTTTTTTAATTAATTTCCACATTATGTACAGAATTTCTCTCAAGAAAAAATGAGGATTTAACATTGGTATAATTACTAACTCAGATACATACTTCTTTTTCCATCTGTCTTAAAATTTTGTGTGTATGTATTTTTGTAGGTATACACATACATAGTTTTAAATTCACTCAATCTTCAATATTTATTCTGCCTATTTATGTGCTGTTTACTGCTGACTCAAGTAGTGAACCACGATCACTTTTCCTATATTCAATAATATTTTTGAACTTCCTGGAGTTAATCGTTAACTTGATTGGTACCTCTTTTGTTTCCTATGTCACTGTCTCTAATTCTTTCTAATGAAATTATAAATCTCTGTTAATAATATTCTCCATATCGTGTTACGCATCAGGTATTCAGTCTTTACTTTCTCCTCACTCCATCATCATGAAGCCCCATGAAGACCTTCATCTTCCCTCTCCAGTCTGCACTGTTTTCACTCTAGGCTTGATAAGCAGCTTTTTCCCTGAGACTATCTTACCTCAGTCCTGTGTTGAATAGCTTCTCAGATTCCTTGCTAATTTCTTTCCTGTTTGCTTCTACCATTGTAATGCATCACATTCTTCAAAGTTCCTTAAGAAGAGGAATTACCTGTTTTAACAATTTCTCTGTTTATAAATTACTTCTTTTTTTAAAAATATACTCTTCTGTTTTTTGTCGGGGAGGGGAGAACTCAGTATAGATTTTTAGATCACATATTTTGCTCAGAATTTTAAAGAACACTTTCCCTGTCTTCTGTTATAATATGTTTTGTTGTTAATAAGAGATCCTTTCCAATTTGGACTTTTTATCTTCGGTAAGTAACATATTTACCCCCACCCAGGCTTTAACCTTTGCCAGTGTTTTGAAATTTTATAATGGGATATATTGCTGTTGTTTCCTCCCTCCAGTCATCTAATCATTTATAGTCTTGACACTCAATGGTGTTTTCAAATTACAAATATGCCTTTTCATGCTAAATAAATTTATTTTATTACTTGATGATATTTGCCCTTCCATATTCTTTTGCCTCTCTGTAACTCTTAGTATTCAGATATGAAACGTGAAGTAAATCTGTCTTTTTACTTAACCTGCCTTAATTTGACTTTCTATCACTTCTGTTGAATTGTCTTATTCCTGTAACTATATTTTTAATTCCCAGCAGCTTTAACTTAAAATATTTTTAATAACATTGAATGATTTTTCATGAATATAGTTCATTCTTTTAGCTCTCTTAGGATATATTATATACTCTTATTCTTATATTTCTTACCTCATGTCTGAGTGTTCTCAAGCTCCTCTCTCTTTCTTTAATTTTTGGTGTTGGTTTCTGTGAACTTTGTCCTAGATGTGTTTCTCAAATGTCTGGAAATCTTTGCTGTCCATCGTATAGTGTTTGAAATCAGTGTGCATGAGGAAAGCAAATCACCTAGTGTGCCTCACTGTAAAATGATTAGTTGAGAACCCACATATCAGAATTCATAGCTTTTTCATTTTTTGTGTGTCCTTTGAGGCTACTCATTTTCTCTAAAGAATTCTCTCATTTTCTTCTGGAGGATGCACGATTGGGTGGATTTTAGTATTCTTGAAGCCTAGCCATGCAAAAGGGTGAGGGATGAAGACTTTCACTTATTCCTGTTCCTCTATGCCACCTTTCCCTAGCTTTTCACGGTGTCTTACGTCCCTAGCACTCTAATTTCTTTATTCCAATCTATTTACAGAAAAATATATCAGTCTTTGTCGGAGGAGAGGTTATTCTGCAGATGTATCAGACAATGGAGGGGACCTGAGGATCTTACTACTACTTATAGAGGAGCTCATCCATTTTCCCTGTTTTTAGACAACTGACTCACCTTGCCTTCATCATTAGCTGCTGGCTTCAAACTCTAAATTTCTCTGGGAATATGTGGTTGATTTTTTTTTTTTTTTTTTTTTTTTTGAGACAGAGTCTTGCTCTGTCACACAGCCTGGAGTGCAGTGGCATGATCTCAGCTCACTGCAACCTCTGCCTCCTGGGTTCAAGCGATTCTCCTGCCTCAGCCTCCTCAGTAGCTGGGACTATAGGCGTGCACCACTGTGCCTAGCTAATTTTTGTATTTTTTTTAGTAGAGATGGGGTTTCACCATATTGGCCAGGTTGGTCTTGAACTCCTGATCTTGTGTTCTGCCCGCCTCGGCTTCCCAAAGTGCTGGGATTACAGGTGTGAGCCACCGCGCCCAGTGAATTGTCATTCTTGTCAATAATGTCCCCCTGTGCAGGCTCTTGGTTTAGAATTTTCATCTATGCTAAATCTTATTATTTATTTCCACTACCTATTGATAATTTTTATTCATCACTGTCTTCTCTTTTCTATTACTCTGTTTCTTTTCATATGTTTATATATTGTTTTCTTTTTGTTGCTGTCACATTAGCAAGATTTTAGTATGGTAGAAGAGATAAACAGTTTTGTTTAATTTGCTATGTGCCAGGAATTCCATATATTTTATACTGGGCTGATTTGGAAGATTTAATGAGAAAAATGTAATGAAAACATGTATAAACTCTTAAATATTACAAAATCTAATATTATACTTAAGAATATCATGCTCAGCAGTTAAAAGCTTTAAAGGAATCTATTATTTCCTCCTTTCTTTTTACAAAAATTTAAAACAATTATTGAAATCCTGATACTGCTTCTACTTTTCATTTATTTCTCAAAGCTTATAGTATGATTAAGCTTACTAGATTTGGTTTTCTAGTGTTTAGTTACATGTAGATCTACATATACTACCTTATTTAAAATAGTAAACAGATTCATCTTTCCTTCTTTACCTATCATATACTATTCACTTTTTAAAAACCTATCATGGTATTTATTCACTCTTAATCACATTAAATTTCATTGTTCCCTTTTATAAGGAATAGTCTATATTTTCTATGATACATCATTCTATTTGATAAGAAGACCAATTTTCCTGAGATATGAAATGTTTGTTTGAAATAAGTTATTTTCTAGAGAAAATAAGATAAAAATTATTGCCCAAGCAATTTTTGCAATTTTCTTTATGCATACAATATTAAAACTATGATAGAACAGGACCAATAAAATTTAAAAAGGAAGTCCACAAAATGTAGATCACCATAAACACATTCAGTTCAAGTTACAAGATAATTAATTTTTTTTACAATAATAATAATGCTTGGTGCTCTAATTGGTTTTACATGCATATATAATGACATTCAATATTTCACTTTCCTAAATTCATGTGAATTCTTACAAGAAAGGGAATTCTCCTGAAATGGATGTAGGAATCAGTCATAGTACAAGTCCAAATTTAAAACAAAATAATGAGTCTTTTATGCTAAGCCAATTCAATACTCATGCTTGAGCTAATTATTTTTCAGATTTTAACTTTATAAGAAATTTGAACAAAAAGAACAAAATTCTGTTTTTTCATGTCCACATTTTGACTATTAATATGATGGTGATAAAATAATGTTTGACTATTTAAATTAAGTTTACTATCTGTTTTCTCTGCAGATATTACTTGTTTTATATATATCTAGTAAGATTGTTGTCTAGTAAGACAGCGTATCAAAAATGTTTAATAAAATTATCTCAAAAGCTATTAATATTTATATTTTCAATGTTGTATACTGAAAATTTCTACAAATGTAAATGTTAGATGCACATTTTGAAAATATTACTATCTTAATTTTACTTTTGCAAGAAGCAAACCTTCACAAGGTCAGAACTTTTGTTCTTAAGAACATCTGAACATTTATGTTTATAATTCTGTTTGGTTTTAAAAACACACTTATTTGGCATAGCTTTTTAGTAAATATCTGCCACACCGAGATAGAGATTACATATATAGATTTTTAAAAGGATATTTTTAATGTTTGCTTTAGAGAACACCTTAAATTACATTTCTGCTAAATAAAGACAAGGTTAATCTGGAGGAATTTTTCTATTTAGGAATATTCTATCTAGCTAAGTCTATATCCATGTATACTTTTAATGGCAAAAACCGCAATTACTTTTGCACCAACTTAATATTTATATTTTTATTTTGAATAAGTGAACAGTATAAATTTTTAAACTTCAGCCAAAAAAAAGTATTAGAATGAGTTCAGGGGTCAGTAGCACTGTATCAGGATTTTATTCCTAACTTTGTCATTTCTCTGCATAATTCTGATAAATAAATTTTACCATTTTGTGCTTAATTTGTCAATTTTCATAATAAAGAGATTGGAGTTCACGTATGCTGTTTGTTTCCTTGTAAGTTCAACATTCCATATATCTATCATATTTGGAAAATTTCAGATTACAGTGAGTGTGCATGAAGGTAATAACAGTGTGAGATTTATCTGAAGAATCACTCAAATTATTCAATAATGATGCTATTAAATGGTGTGTGATGTAATTCAGCCCAGAAATAAATTGAACTTTATGTGTTTCATATTCATGCAAGGATAATACTCATTTCCTCCCAAAGGTCATCTCTCAGGTTTTCTTTATCCCTCGGATTCCTTCTGTGATTTTCCTATGCCTTCTTAAGCCATGATATTCTAATAGATGCTCTTTTGCTTAGATGAAAACTGGTTCTGCATGTTAAGATTAGAGTAAGTCTCCTACTTCTGAGCAGGAGCTAATAACTAGAATAGCAAAGAAGGCATTTCCACTGAATATACTCAGGGCAGCACTAAACACCTAGAATCAAAAAAAGTTGAATTTATAGAGTCCAGGGTAGAATGGTGGTAACCAGAAGCTGAGAAGCAGGCAGAAGTGGACTGGAGAAGGGTAGACGTTAGTCAACAGGTATAAAGTTACAGTTAGCTAGGAGGAAAACGTTCTGGTGTTCTATGGCAACAGCAAGGTGACCAGATAATAATTAATGTATTGTATATTTAAAAATAGCTAAAAGAGAGGATGTTAAATATTCTCATCATTAAAAAAAATAGGTATTTGAGGTGATTAATATGCTAATTAACTTTGAGAGAGATCTTTTATATCCTGTCCCTTCTTGACTAAGTTTAGTGTTTCTGTTTTTATTTGGTTTTGAGGGAGAAAAAAGAGATTGTTATTAATCATGATGTTTCTCTGAGTCATAGAGAGACTATTATTGGACAATTAGTTCTCTGTACCTATCTGAAATAAAATGCTACTGAACACTTTAGAAGAAAAAAAAGTAACCTATTGATGAATATGACAATAAATAATAAAAATTTTCTACCAAGCCAGAGAAAGCTATTTATGAAGGTATTTCAATTGTTTCAGAAGTGAAGAAGATGTGGATACTGATTGATACCAAATCATGTTTCACACACAGCTCTACAAAGAATGAAGAACTGACTGGAGTTAGAATATCGATCTTTACTTTCCAATTTTTTTTCTAAAATTTTTAATGAAAACTATGTAAATAGTTTGTTAAGGGAGAAATTAAATAAAAGGTCTGAATTTTACCAAGGTATAACCAAGACAATACAGGTGAATTGCAATATAATTTCTAAATAGAATTAATTCAGCAAAACAGGAGCTCAGGCCAGCAGCAATCATGCTAATGTGAACTCCAGGGAATGTATAACAGTGTTTAAGAGGGCAAAGATCTTCTGCAGGGATTTAAATAGATATTTTTCAAATATTAAGGGACAAAAAGATCATAGCTAACATTTGACTTAAAAGTACGTAACTATTATTTGTCCTCCAAGTATTTTCCAAGGTAGTTTAAGGAACTGAGAATTCCCGCATAACCTAAATATTGAAAATTAGTTGAACAGTATTTTTGCTTCCAGGATGACACTGAAATGTATTTTTTGTGTGTAAAATTATTCACCTTAATAATCCAAGATACTTTCATGTGTTCAGAAATAGATGTTCTTATAGACACAGTAGGAACAAATTTCTATGAAAATAATTGAGGAGCAGCTATAGCAGAGTAGTAAGATTGAAACTGATATTGGGTATAGAGAATATAAACCCAAATAACTATGTTTGAAAGTAACGGTCTGGGGCAATACAGTCTTGAAAAATTTGAAAACATTGTTCTAAATATTAAAATATTTGAGGGTCACTGTATCTGTTCTTCCTAAAAGGAAAATTCTTACCATATCCTACTGAAATTCGTTGGAGAAAAGCCCACTGATCATGCTTACATAAATGGTGCCAGTGTGTGGACTGTATCTCTTAAATTTGAACTTGTTTTTGCATCTAATAATTATGGTCTATGCGACATGAAACATTCACTCAACCATATATTTATATGTTGGTAATTTTATTTACATTGATCCATTGGAGTTTTCTTTTTACTGTTATTTTATTTAAATAGAACCAGTTTATAGGTCACTGCATTTATATGCTTGTATCTGCTACCTAAAAAAATTCTCATATGAGAAAATAACAAACACAGGATTTACATAAGTAAATAATATAAATAGGTATTTAATGGGAATTTAATTTCCTCCCATGAAGAAACATCTCCTCTACCAATGCCAACAGACTTTTATTTCTTGTGTACTCTTATACTGTGTGCATAAGCAAACATAATACAGATATTTATATATGTACAGATAGACATATGACATAAATAATCACAATTTTAACAACAATGGATGTATATACATTACATGTATCACACCTCGATTTTTTGTTTGATAGAGCTTAGAGAAATCTTTTTCTCAGGACATGAGCATATACTTTTCAAAAGAAAGCATACATGCAGCAAATAAGCATATGAAAAAAGCTCAACATAACTGATCATTAGAGAAATGCAAATCACAATGACAATGATATACCATCTTACATCAGTCAGAATGGCTACTATTAAAAACTCAGAAAATAACAGATGCTGGTGAGGTTGCAAAGGAAAGGGAACACTATTGGTGGGAGTGTAAATTATAGATTGGTGGAAAAGCAATTGGGGTCTCAAACTCATTACTGAGTATATATTCCCAAAGGAATATAAATTGTTCTTTCATAAAGACACATGCACATATATGTTCATTGAAGCACTATTCACAATAGCAAAGACATGGAATCAACCTAAATGCCCATCAGTAATAGACTGGATGAAGATAATGTGGTAAATATACATCATGGAATACTGTGCAGCCATAAAAAAGAATGAGATCATGTCCACTGAAAGAACATGGATGAAGCTGGAGGCCATTATTCTCAGCAAACTAGCAGAAACAGAAAAACAAATACCACATGTTCTCACTTATAAGGAGAGCTAACTTATGAGAACACCTAGATACATAGAGGAGAACAACAGACACTGAGACCTACCAGGGGGTGGAGGGTGAGAGGAGGGAAAGGATAAGGAAAAATAGCTAATGGATACTAGGCTTAATATTTTGGCAATAATCAGTACAACAAACTCCTATGACCTATTAACTCCTGTTTACCTATATAACAAACCTGCACATGCACCCCTGAACTTAAAAAAAAGTTATAAAAAAAGTAAGGAAATTGGGAAGTAGTTCAAAGGAGTGGTTTAAGATTTAAGATTTTTTATTATTATTTTTAAGGCTGTAAGAGACCTGAGCTTGCAGGTAAAAAAATTTAAAAAGTTAAAGCCAGAGAAATTTGAATATATTAATATAAAAGTAAACAAAATCATTTGTATATTTCTATGCATTTAAAATGCTCTGTAATAAAAGTTTTGTTAAAGAAAAGGAAATGTCTTTTTGTCAATGGGTGCATATGTTTAGAATTAAAGTCATTTAGGAATGTGATCTAATGTGCTAGCCAGCTCCTATTCAATGATATTTAGATAGTTTGATAGTTTGCGGTTTTTTGTTTGAAGACTAAAATGAGCGCGTGTGTGCGTGTGTATGTACGCACATGTTTGACCACATCTGTGATATACTTAAGAATTTCTGCATCAGTGTTGTATTTATCATTAATATTAATAGACTTTGTCATACTCTTCTTCCAAAGAATATGCATTATAATATCAAATAACATTAATAATGTATGGGGGTTTCAGTTTCTCCAAAGTTTGTCAAAATTGTGTATTATTAAATTTTTTACCTTTGTACAGTTGATAAGTAAAAATGTAGTCATAGTGGATGGCACGTATGATTGACCAAGATCCAATTTACCTGATGTAAATGTAGGCTGATAACTCACAACTACCCCCCATTCTTCTGACAATTACCTTCAGCCAAAAGGGAGCCTCCTTGCCTGGGAGTTTTGCCCTCATGTGCAAAGACATTGCAACACCAATGTAAATGTGTATAGCAGAGCTTTCCCCAGGCCTTCCCCAAAGGGACCTAGAGTCATTTACTTGGGTAATCATTTATGAGGGAAAGGGAAATGCCCAGACCCTTCTAGGATTATTGTATATTAAGTCTATCTAAGTAGATATTTAAACCAAGAAAACCCATAGCTGGGGACATCATGGCCTCCCAGTTAGAACAGGTGTAGAAGAGGGCCAAGTAATGAAGTTCCATCTTATATTTGTTTCACAGTGTGCCTATTGGGTTCACAGACCTACTCAATTGCCATTTCTCTAGCTTGCAAATGTATAATTAGAAAGCATATGATAGTATTTAGCAGAATGTTCCCATAAGTTCTTTGATCTGTAGAGAGTCCTCATCCTCTTACCATGATATAAATGTTTTTAATCATAATAATATCAGGTCATAGGCACAGGGCAGAGATTAGTACCACTTTCAGAGTTAAAGAATAGAAGAATGTTGGTTCCATGTTATTCTCATTTTATTCATCTGGACAAATAATGGATAGATTATGGCAAACAATGATGGGCTGCTATAAATTTAACCAAATATTAATCCCAGTTGTATTTGCTTTGCTAGATGTATTACCCTAGCAAACAGACTCAATTATATAGAATGCAGGAAATAATATAGTGGATTTGTTCTTTTCCTTAAACTTCAAGGAGAATCAGAAGCTGTCACACTCACTTGGGGTGAACAAGTATATATGTTTCTGGTCTAGGCCCAGGATAAATATGCAGAAGATATAAAATTTATGTATCTTGATAGAGACTTCCATAAATGCTAAAATTTGTGCATTTTTAAGAGGTTCCTATGGCTCATTAGTGTGAAGGCCAACTCAATTATATAAAGATGAACTGTAGTATTACATAACATAGTTTCTTTACTTTAATATTTTATAGAGTTAGGAAATTCTGACTGAAGCTTCAAATTTTATGCTAAAATATTTTCTCTAATTATCTGTAGTTACTAGAACAGAAGCTGCTGAGATTCATAATTTTACAAGTTTAATTCAAATTTTACTGACTCAAAACATGATTTAAAAGTAACTCTAGAGTTTCAGCTCTTTTTTTTTTTTTTTTTGACTATGTGTAAAGAGATACCATAAAAGTAACTGGTCCTTTTTATTTAGTAATCAAAACGCTGTGTTACAAACTATTCCTATAAAAAAGGATTCTGATTTGAATGTTTTCAGGTCAAGGTCATACTAAAAAAATACTACCTGTTTATATCAGAATCTCTACAGAAACAATGCAAATTATTTAACTGCAGGTTGATAAGTTTCCAAACCTCAATAGAGTATCATCAAACAGTATTCACTATATAGGAAGATACTTCAAACATACTTTTTCCCCCTAAGATATTGCCTATGCCAAGAATTTGAAATTTTACATATCTAGATATGTACACATACACACATATATACATATATTTATATATGCCTATGTATGTCTGTGCATATATACTACATATAGTATATACACACAACATATATTTATATATGCATAATATATATTATAAACAGCATTTACTGACATATCTGCCCAGGTTTGACCACCTAGAGCAATAATCTATGCATTTCAAATCAGAGGACAGTGAAAATTCTCCCTAAAGGGTCACACAGTAAAAATTTTAAGCTTTGCAGACCGTATGAACTCTGTAGCAACTATTCAACCCTGTCATTTTAGCATGAAAACAGCCACAGACAATACATAAATGAATGAATGTGGCTGTATTGCAATTTAAAACTTTCTTAATAAAAACTGATGGTGGGCTGGATATGGCCCTAAGGTTAGTTTCCTAGGCCTACCATGATAAATGACCACAAATTTGGTGGCTTGAAATAACAGGATTTTATGCTTTCTCCATTCTGAAGCCTAGAGGTCTAAAATCAAGCTGCCTGCAAGGTTAGTTCCTTCTGGGCTCTCTGGAGGACATTCTTTTCAATGCTTCTCTTTTAGCTTCTGGTGGTTGCCAGCCATCTTTGACATTGCTTTGCTTGTAGACATTATCACTCAAATCTCTGCCTTCTTTGTGATACAGTATTCTCCCTGTGTTTGTCTCTTCATCCCTTCTCTTTTTATAAAGACAACCACTGATATTGGATTAGGACCCACACATATCCAGTATAAACTCATCTTAGCTTTGTACTCTGACACTCTATTTCCAAATAAGGTCACGGTCACAGGTACTAGGGGTTAGGACTTCAGCGTATTTTTATGAGGGACATAATTTAACTCATAGCGATCCCATGACTGGTTTCCTGATCCATGGTTTGCGTAATATAAGATTTTAGAATGGGCGGTAAGAGGTAAAAATAATACAAAAAGATAAATATATAAAATGCCAAACTCCGGCAGAACCATCACTACAATCAACATTGTGATCATGTAGTTTACCCTGCCAAGTTCCTTCGTGCCCCTCTGTAATCTCTGCTTCCCACTTCTTATTTCCCTCCTTCAACTCTTTAAGAAACCACACACTCACTTTCCATCACTATGTATTCTTCTGCATTTACTAGAGCATTATATAAAATTAGACAGACAGTATGTACTTTTATATTAAGAGTTTATGCAGTTTACAATTCACTTAGTCAAAGAGCCTCAAAACTTTGCTATTTTTGTTTTCAGGTTTTTGTTAGGATTCTCGCTTACATTAAAATATTTTAAATACATAAAAACATTTTTATTTCATAACTTTGAACTTATATAATTAATTTGCCTTAAATTGTTCCACCAAAAGCTCAAATAACTCTCTTAAATATGGTATATGCAAATTTTATATAAGACATTTCATTTGCACATTATATTCTTAGAAAATATACAGCATAAAGGCCTAAGTGACATAATATGCCACTTATGATTTTGAGTTAAAAGAAAAATTAAAAGTGAAATATGAGAAGACTATAATCAATTATTTTCCTTTAACACTTTTCCCAAATAATAATTTTTTCTCAATAAGAAAAAAAATATTTTGAATTCTTAATTCATTGGAGCAAACTCAATTTGTGAAGAAAAACAGATTTTTGAAATAATGATGACATCAGCACTGAGAATATAAACCCAGGTGCTTTATTTTCAGTGTGGATTAGATCACAAATCTACTATTTCAGTGGAGATGATTATACCTTTTACAACTGGAGAAGTGGAGAGCAACTTACTTGTCTTTAATTAGAGGTAGAACAAATAATTTTCTTTCTTTATCCCAGATTTCCTACATGGAGGGTATTTTACAGTTCTTTCTAATGTCCTTTCCATTCTCTGAAATTTTGATATCAAAATTAATTTGAATGCTTTTTAAATAATGTTGGTTAAAGTAAAGCTGAATCCACACTACTAAATGTTAAAGTCAAAAGAAATGTCATAATATTAATTGTTCAAGATATGAACACAAGTGAAACTCTTCAAAACTAAAGGAAAGAATACTTTAACATAAAAAACAAATGGTGTTTCAGAGTAGAATTTAAAGCAAAGTAAGGTAATATTTACTCAAATAATGAGTTTTTTAAATGGGTTAACTAAACACTACTGCAAAACCTACAGAAACTTTCTAAAGTTTCACAGGGAATGTCAGCCTATTGATGATCACTAAATTAATTTGTCTACTTTATGCCTCAACTTGAATTGTTCAATTAAATAATTAGAGTGAATGAGCCAGAATCTGGTCAATAATGAGGTATTGAAGGTTAGACGTGATGCCTAGAGGAGTGGCTTTCCCTGACATCATTTCCAATATCCACTGAAAATGTAGCTTTGTTTAAGTACTAGAAGCTGCTCCCTGCAATCAATGAACTAAGTGATGAAACTGTCACAAGTTTTAAAAGATCCATAATCATATCAGAAGCAATTACACTATCCTAATGACTTGTTCCAACCAATTGCTCCCCCTAGTAAGTGAATTTTAGGACCTTGGAAGAAAAAACAGATTCATATATGTGTATTTTGCATTGGTTAATTTGTTTTATGCTAGGTGAAGGGAACAGTGAAGAAAATTCATCATTCTCTGGACATATGGGTGACGCATATCAATGAAAACAAATGTGACATTAGTGCTAAGACCAAACAAACAAACAGAACTGTCTCAATAAATGTGTGCTCTTTAAAAATACTGTGATTCTGGTTTTTGTATGCCTCCAAAAAAGTTGCTTTGCAAACTGTTTCTCTTTTTGGGTAATTTCACTCTTACCTCTCATCAAAGGATATTTGCATTATAAGTACACTCTATAATTATATAAGGATGGGTTTGCATCCTAATCACTAAGAGAGATATATTGTTGACTCCCTGAATATAATTATGTAGAAACATAGCTTAAGAATGGGACAAGCTTCTTAATAGAATTGTAAGTAGCACAAAGTATTTGGGATGGGGTTAAATGAGTGAGTCATGGATGGAGCACTTCCATAACTCACTCATTCTTAGGAGAACTCATATGTAGGTTAAGAATAAATAAAATTATGCTTTCAATATCAACTATTTAAACACAAAAATGTTTTTGTTTAATATAAACTATATAACTACATGTTCAACCTTACATGCCATTTTGGAAATTTAACAGAGATTTAGATGTTATTTTTATTTTTAACTTTTTTTGAGACAGGATCTCACTTTATCAGCCATGCTGGAGTGCAGTGGTGCAATCATGGCTCACTTCAGTGTTGACCTCCTGGGCTCAAGTGATCCTCCTGCCTTAGCTTTCCAAGTATCTGGGAATACAGGTGCGTGCCACTATACCTGGTTAATTTTAAAAGGTTTGTAGAGATGAGGTCTCAGTATGTTACCCAGGCCAATTCAAACTCCTGAACTCAAGTGATTCTCCCACCTTAGCATCTCAAAGTTTTGGGGTTATAGGCATGAGCTACCATGCCTGGCCACATTTAGATATTATTAATCAAATATTTAATTAGAATAAAAAGTCTCAAGACTTAAGGAGAAGTGTCCAAGTTAAAAAAAAAAAAAAGACCATCATACTCGATTGTCTAAATCTTTTTTAGGCTCTATTGATTTTCTCCATAATTATTCAGAAATGGATTCATTTCTCCTTGAAACATTATTTTTTTCTAAAATAATAAGCACTGGTCAATTGCTAGATCCTAAGAAAATAATTTTTTAAAAATGAAACATGCCTAACCTTATTGAGGTTTCATAAACAAGTAAAATGTTCAGTATTATTTTAAATAGTTTTGAATTCAGTAAGAGTACATATCACAGAGTGAGGGGTACAGAATTTCGATGAGGATGTGTACTGTTTTAGTTATGTTATGGATCAAATATTTGTGTCCCAAAATTTCAAACATTGATACCTCCAATATTGCTCTATTTGGAGATGGTGCCTCAAAGGAAGTAATTACAGTTAAATGACATCATAAGGATGAATCCTTGATCTGAAAAGATTAGTGCTTTTACAGAAGAGACACAAGACAGGTTGTTCCCTCTCTCTCAGCACACACACACTGGCTATATGAAGACGCAGTGAGAAGACAGCTGTCTGAAAACCAGAAAGAGAGCTCTCACCACAAACAAAATTTGCCATGATCTTGAACTTTGACTTCCCAGACTCTAAAACTGTGAAAAATGAATTTGTCCCATGTAAGCCACCCAGCTTTTAGTATTCTGTTATAGCATCCTGAGCAGACTAAGACAAGTGATAAAGAAGACTTTTCTCTGAAGTTCACACTAGGTATGTTTCTCAAATGAGCTAAGATATAAATAATGTAAAGAAATGAACCGGTTAGGACATGGAGCACTTGAGAAGAATTTCATGGAAAGAAAACAGTAACAGTAAAATTCTAAAGTGTGAATCCGATTAATATAATTGACAAAGATCAAGAAGCCCCATCTAGCTCATCTGGAATATTATAGGCTGAATACACCATGGTTGAAAATCAGAGAAGTTGGCAGAGATCAGATCATGTAAGGCCTTCTAAAGCAATTACCAGAATTTGGGATTTTAGTTCAAGAATGTTTTGAAGTGTTTAAAATATTTTGAGCAAAATAAAGGTGTACTCTGATTTCTATTTTAGAAAGTCAATGTAACAGTCATATGATTAATAGGCATGGGTGGATTCAAAGAGGTTAATACAGGAAATTCTGAAACATTTCACATGCTACCTTAGATAAATACTTCATTTTGCTAAATGGCAGATAAGACAATAAAATCTCACTTAAACAGGATGTTGAGATGTGTGGGAGCGATAGCAGTGATGCTCCAAATTAACGAGAAACTCTTCTAGTATCTTTTAAAAAAATTGAAAGCACCAACTTTAATAAATAATTTGTGATCAGTTCAGATCTGTGTCCAGTCTTAGGGCAGAAGGTAGAGAAAAAAATGTGAAATATTTATCATATATATCCATATAATCTCTATCTATCTATACACAAAGATATATATAAAAATATATGTATTTTTACAATTACAGTAAAAATATGTATGGATATATATAGAGATCAATAAATTACACAATTATATATTCTGTATATGAAGATGCCCATAAGAAGAAGTCACATGGTATTATGACTTGGATAATATGACTCTAAAAGATACCTTAGGTTCTTGCAGTATAATTATAAGTTTATGCCTTAGAAATAGTAGAGAGAAAAGAAAAAAACTAAGTTCTGAACTTTTTAGAAATAGCATCAGGACATGAAAAAGCCAATAGCAGATAGAAAGAGAGAGGATGAAAATTTTGAATAGTGAAAAGTTAAACCGAATTACATTATTTAATAAGATGTGATTTCTAAAAGTATCAGTTTATGAATGAAGAAAAAAGAATAACCACCAGCTTTCTGAAATTCATTTGAGGATGATGAGATGGCTATAGACCTATAAGATAAGAAGATCCATATTCATTTTGAAGTCTATTGGTAATGGGAAATAGGTAATGACATGATTAAACAATGAAAAATATCTTGTATAATTGAATATAGATTTAATTTTTCAATGGAAAAGGAAGACAGATGGCATTATTAAAACAGTTTCAAAAATAAGTAGCTTTTCCAAATAAGGATGTATTTTAGACAGAGAAATAAAGAAAGTTCTCTGCAAAAGGAAGCTAGAGAAAGTTGTTCAGACAATACAAGCAGAAATGCTTGGCAGAAACTCTTAGTGTACTGTAAAACCTTGATTGTCTTATAGGGAGGATTGCTTGCAACAATAACCTTCCTTTTTGTACCTTTTAAGAGTAGATGACAGACAATTTGTCCTTGAAATGTTCCTATATTTTTTCTAAGAGGCTAAGATATGCTGCAGTAACTAACCTGACATCTCAATGCCCTACATAACCAACTATCTCACTTAAAGTATAGACCAGTGCAAGGACCCTACCCTACATAAGCACCTAGGGATCCAGACTTGTGGAGGCTCCACAAATATGTTACTGTACCATCTAAAATGCAAGGTATATTATATTTAAAATATATTGTGGAGTTAAATATTTTAAGCACTTATAAATATTCATGGAAATAAGTTGTATGAGAGAACAATCTACTGTTCCAATAATTATCTTCTTTGTACACTTTAAGAGAGACCAGGTCATGAATATTTTAGACATTAGATGGAAAGTGGCAACCTGATGCTGACTATCTTCTTCCTTAAGCTGGTAAGGTAATCAGTTGATAATGTAGTTTTCTATCTTGTAGAAGACATTGTTGGCTGGATGCATTGGCTCATGCCTGCAATCGTAGCACTTTGGCAGGCTGAAGTAGATGAATCCCTTGAGCCTAGGAGTTCAACACCAGCCTGGGCAACACGGGTCCATCTCTACTAAAACTACTCCATCTCAAAAAAAAAAAAAAAAAAAGACATTTTTGGTACTGGGGTCCTCTCATAGAGATGGATGCAGACCTTCAGACCTCTCTGGATTTTGCCACTCACACAGTTGGTATGGAGTAATTAACAATGAACTTGGTACTATACAAAAAAGAAAATGCATAAGCTAATCAATATTCATAGCCAATATTAAGTAAAACCTATGTCACCTGCGGCATTGTTCTGAGAAACATACTTTTGCAAAATAGGTCATTGAGATGTTTGCTGACATTGAAGGAGTTTACAAATAGAAACAATATTTCTATAGAACTGACTAAACAATTCTTCATTAGCTCTATACCATGTCTTCAGGTGACTCTATTCAGGAGATAGAAACATTTATTCAAGGAAGTTTAAACCCATTTCTTGAGTTGATAACAGGGAAAGCTAGAATTCAGGGGAAAGAATCTTTCAAGTATGTTTTTACTAATACATTTATATATATTAAACATATTTAAAGAAATGCACCAGGATAAAAACAGTACATATAGTTATTAACCACTGCATATCCTATGCAAAAAGTTGTTGATACTACCTCACATGGTATACAAAATTATTGTATCCTAAAACTGAAAGTAAGATTTAAAACTAAAATTTGTGGAAGAAAACATAGGCATATTTCTATGCAACAATGGATTACTTTTTCTTTAGGTACGATACCAAAAGTACAAGCTACAAAAATGAACATCTTCAATATTTTTAAAAAATGTATTTCAAAAGATACCATCAATAAAGTGGATCAGGTGTGGTGGCTCACACCTGTAATTCTAGTACTTTGGGAGGCCAAGGTAGGAGGATTGCATGAGGCCACAAGGTCAGGGCTACAGTGAGCTATAATTGCACCCCAGCACTCCAGCCTGGGAAGCAAAGCAAAACCCTGTTTCAAACAAATAAAAAGTGAAAAATCATATATCTGATAAAGACTTTGTATCTAGACTATGAAGAAATATTACAACTCAATTATATAAAGAAAAGTAATGCAATTAAAAATGAACACGGAGATGAATTTACGTTTCTCCAAATAAAGATATATAACGTCTTCTAATAATAAAAAATGCTATCTTTAGACATCAGAGAAAAGCAAGTCAAAACCACAGTGACATACCACCTTACACCCATTTGGATGACTACAGTCAAAAAGGCAGATGTTAACAAGTGTTGGTAAGAATATTTACAACTTGATCCTTTTCATCCACTACTGGTGTGAATGTGAAATTGTGCAGCTGTTTTGGCCCTCAAAATGATAAACATATAGTTATCATATGACCCAGCAAGTCAACTCCTACAGACATAATCAAGAAAAATGAAAGCCTATGTTCACGCAAAAATTTGTATGTAAATGTTCATAGCAGTATATTCATAATGGCCAAAAAGTGGAAACAACCCAAAAGTCCATCAACTGAAAAATAGAAAAATAAAATGGGATATATCTATAAAGGAGATATATCCATACAATGGAATATTATGTAGCAAAAGCCAGTTAAGTCCTGATCCAGGCTACTACACGGATGAACCTGTAAAATATTATCTTATGTAAGAAGGACAGTTTCAGGGGATCACATATTATATATATTTATATAAAGTGTCTAGAATAAGCTAATACATAGAGACAAAAAGGAGCTTGATGGTAACTTAAAGCTGTGGTTACAGCAATGGGAGAGAAAGAGAAATGACTACAGGTCTCCTTTTAGGGTTACAAAATGTTCCGAAATTTATTTTCTGATTGTTATACAACTCTGACTAATCTAATCATTGAATTGTATTATTTCATGCTATATGATGTATATCTCTAAAGCTGTTATACAAACAAATATATGCGGTACAGGAAAACATAAAAAAAGAGGTAAGTGGAATTAAATAGGCAGTCATGTGTGCTGGTATAATGTGTGTCTTATCCTTACGCTTGTATATCCTTTAACCTTATTTATATGTTACTATATTTTTTTCTTACTAGAAATAGAAAAGATTTTCTTATGTATATGAGAGTTATGCCTCTGTTATTGTGGAATATATCATATATTTACCTCTTAATTTTTTGCTTGAGAGCTTGGGCCCTCGGGGAAACACAGGGCTTGGAGGTCAGAATAGCACACCATCTCTGTTCAGCTTCAGGGATTGGTTACCTAGGCTTATTTGGAAAGAAGTCACTATTAAACTGTTTCATAAAAGTGCCTGAGGGCCAAAGATGAAGACAGTCCTAATTATAAATTTAATTATAATGAAGAAAGTAGGTATTAATACATGGTTTAATAAAGAAACACACATAAAAGTTAGTCAGGTAGAGGATGAATCAAAGCAAACACAAACAAAATACAGTACAGATACCTACATTAAAATCTAGGTGTAGAAGAACTTATCTCTCAGTAAGTCATGTTTATGCTAAGACCTAAGAAATTATCTAGAATACATTTTGAATTAGTTTTTATATGTAGTACAAGATATTAATTGAGGATTATTATACTGCATGTTTTATTTGAGTACAAATGCCTAATTTTTTAGTCTATTAAATTGACTTTGTGTCTTTATCTAAAATCATTTATCTCTATATGTGTTAGATTATTCCTAACCCTCTATTGTATTTCATTTGGCTATATTTTCATCTTTTCCCGGAATTCACACTCTTTTGATCACTATTGCTTTACAGTAGGTCTTTATTTCAGATAATGGAGGTTTTCCTTTTTTTTTTTTCATTTTCAACGTTCTATCCCTGTTAAAATTTTTTGAGTTTCTATAAAATTTAGAATCAGTTTGTCAATTATACAAAAAAAATACTGAGATTTAGATTGGAATTGCATTGAATCAATAGGTCAGATGGGGTGAATTGATGGGTTTTATGTTTATTTAATTTTATTTTTAATAATTATTGACACATAATAGTTATATTTATGGGGTATATATGATATTTTGATACAAGCATTTAGTGTACAATTATCAAATCAGAGTGACTGGGATATACATCACCTCAAGCATTTATCATTTCTTTATATTAAGAACATTTCAACTTTACTTTTAGTAATTTTCAAATAAACAGCAAGTTATTAACTGAGTCACCCTATTGGGCTACTGAACACTAGATTTTATTCCTTTTACTTGACTGAATTTTTGTACAGAATTAATGTTTTAACAATAGAAAAACACAGTGTGACTCTCCAATTAGTTAGATCTTGGATTCCTTTAACCTCTGTTTTGTGTTTTTAGGATGTAGAACTTTTATTTTGTTAGATTTAAACATAAATAATTATTGTTTTGGATACTATTGCATACACTATTTTTTATTTCATAATTTTAGTTACCAACTGTTCATTACTAGTCTGTAGAAATCTGACAGAGTTTTGTAATTGGCTTTGCATTTTGTGACTTTATATACTTATCACTTCTAGTACATTTTAAAAATATTATTTTAAAATATTATATGTAAAAAGTTTTCTTTTTCAATTTTCAATCTGTATGCATCCTTTTTTTGTCTTACTGAATTTGCAAGAACCTCAGTGAAATGTTGGATAGACCTAGTAAAATAATGAAATATAGCTTTGTTTCTGATTTTTAGGTAAAATTAATAGTTGTTTGAAATAGGTTTTTTTGGCAGATTTTCTCTCAGATCGGTTTTATTTTTAATTTTCTGAAATAATTTAGCATAAATAAATGCCATATTTTATTACTTTTTATTTTACATCTATTAAAATATGGTTTTTGTTTTTTTCTGTTAATATGCTGAATTACAATGATGGAATTTTGAATGTTGATCCAACTTTGAATTTTCTGAAAAAAGTCCTACTTGGTCTAATATATAGTTTACATATTGAATTTTCTAAAAAAATCCTACTTGGACTTCTTATTCATTTTATAATTATTTTCAAGAAGAGCATTGGTCAGTAGTTTCCTTTTTATAATGTCTTTCTTGATTTTAGAATCATGATAATACTGGCTTTCGAATATCAGTTGGGAAGTGTTATTACATCCACTTCGGTATTCTGAAAAAGTTTTGTGAGGAATTGGTATATATATATATATATATATATATATATATATATATATATATATATATTTTTTTTTTTTTTTTTTTTTTTTTTTTTTTGAGATGGCGTCTCGCTCTGTCGCCCAGGCTGGAGTGCAATGGTGCCTTCTCGGCTCACTGCAAGCTCCATCTCCTGGGTTCATGCCATTCTCCTGCCTCAGCCTCCCAAGTAGCTGGGACAACAGGCGCCCGCCACCACGCTCGGCTAATTTTTTGTATTTTTTAGTAGAGACGGGGTTTCACCGTGTTAGCCAGGATGGTCTCGATCTCCTGACCTCGTGATCCGCCCACCTCAGCCTCCCAAAGTGTTGGGATTACAGGCGTGAGCCACTGCGCCCGGCCAATTTTTTTTTTTTCTTAAGTGAGACAAGGCAGGCTGTTCCTTCCACGTGTCTTTTGCATCTCTTCCAAGTTGTAAAATTCACAGGCATAGAGCCATTTTAAGTATTTTAGTATATAGTTCTTTAATAGTAAATTATTATTTTAATGTTTGTAGGTGATATAGTTTTGCTCTGTGTCTCCACCCAAATCTCATTGCAAATTGAAATCCCACATGTCAAGAAAGAGACCCAATGGTTGGTGATTGGATCACAGGGGCAGTTTTCCCCATGCTGTTCTCGTAATAGTGAGTGAGTTCTCATGACAGCTGATGGTTTTTAAAAAGTGTGACACTTCCTTGCTCTCTCACCTGCCACCCTGTACGACATGCCTTCTTCCCCTTCTGCCACGATTGTAACTTTCCTGAGGCCTTCCCAGCCATGCAGAACTGTAAGTGAAACTTCCTTTCTTTATAAATTACCCAGTCCCAGGTAGTATCCTTACAGCAGTGTAAAAACAGATTAATATAGATAATTGCTACCAGGATTTGGGTACTGCTATAAAAATAACCGAAAATGTGAAATTGACTTTAGAA
This sequence comes from Homo sapiens, assembly GCF_000001405.40. Classification (NCBI taxonomy): domain Eukaryota; kingdom Metazoa; phylum Chordata; class Mammalia; order Primates; family Hominidae; genus Homo; species Homo sapiens. The sequence goes on along the minus strand of NC_000012.12, from coordinate 60,455,574 downwards.
CTGGGTAACAGGCAGAGTTTGGAACAGTTTGGAGGTCTCAGAAGAAGACAGGCAGATGTGCAAATGTTTGGAAACTTCTAGAGACTTATTGAATGGTTTTTACCAAAACGTTGTGTGCCTGAGCCTCAGGACTGAATATTTCTCAGCATTTCTGCTGATAGTTTCTGGGACAGCAATACTCTGCCATTTATTTCGGTGTGTTTATGTAAGATGAAAGTTCTTGTCCATTTACCAGCAATAGAGACTTCTGATGGTATGAGCATATAATCCTGGCCAAAGCCCCTTTTCTATTTCTCCCTAATACATAGTATTATTTTCCTGCTATGCTTCCCTAGTTTCAATGTCTTTACCTGTGGTCCGTGAGTGCTCTTTTCTTAGTTAAGCTTGACTCTTTCTGTAAGAGGGAAGGTCTGAGCCTTTTCCTACCCCACTGAGGGGTCCTGTCTCCATTTTCTTAACGTAGCCAGTCTTTCTCATGAGGCTTTGGTGGAGGTCCAGGGAAATGAGTCTTGAGTGACAACAACTCCTCCATGTTTGGAAGTCCCAAGGGTTCTTTATTTTAGCCTGCACTCAGTATTTAGCAATTCATGACATTGTTAGCTACTTTGTTCTTAGCTATTTCCAAATTGTCAATACTTCTTCATATGCTCTCTTCAGCAACTCTCTCCTTCCTTGGAATTCAGGCTACTTGATTACCCTCCCACTTCAGCTATCTGAGCTCTGTAATGATTCAGAAGAGTCACCGGTTAGTAGTTAACCCTGGAGTCCTCTGCTTATTGAGGTGGGAGTTGCACTCTGCAGCTTCCTATACCCTAGATACAAACCTCCTTCAATTTTTGAGAGTTGCAATGTATCTACATTTTTGAAGCAAATTGTCACTATATACTACACTTTTATTTTGGGATGATACTTTTGTCTTAGTTCTACATATAATATGTAGAAATATACCAGGATTTATACTAATGCTTTTCTACTAATTTTGAATATTTGAAATTTTCTTTCTAGCAGATGCCTCAGGAAAAGCTCATGGAAAATATTTTTATTTTCAAAGTTATTTTGCAATTTAAAAAAACAGTTATATTCTATCTTTATAAAGAAAAAGCAGTTTGGTTGGCTATAATGTCTTTGGTTCATACTTTTTATCCTTTATATATCTCTAATAGGACCTATATTGTCTTTTGATATAAAAATTTCTGTCTAAAATTCATATTTCAATCTTATTTCATTTCTATTGATGTTAATTTTGGTCTTTTTGTCTAGATGATGAAAGGCTTTTTTTCTAACAATTGTATTACTTTCTCTGTTTTGATCAATCTCACATATTTCTTGATATTCATCTCTCTCGTTTGTATTTATACACATATATATTTATAATGATATTTTTCTTTAAGGTTTATTTTCTACATTGTTGCTTCTGTTTGTTTTACTAGGGATTCCTATTATGCACATGCTTAATTCTCTTTGCCTTTTGTCCTTTTCTCACAAATTATTTATCACCTGTTCATTTTTAAAATAATTTTATTTTCTCATATTATGTATTGTTTTGTTCATATGTATATCTGTGTCTCTTGTGTTTTAGTATGAATGAGAAGTGATTTTTTAAAATTATTTTCTTTTAAAAAATCTATTTAAATAAATTTGGGATCTTGCTATGTTGCCCAGGCTGGTCTCAAACTCCTGGCCTCAAGCAATTATCCCACCAAGGCCTTCCAAAGTGCTGAGATTGCAGATGTGATTCCCATGCCTGGATTTTTTTTAAATTTTTATTTTCTTTAGTAATATAACTCATTTTTTAATATTTTTAGTTTTAATGTATGTTGATCTTTGATATAGTGTATGACTTTCTTAACTTATTTTGGTGTGCTTAGAATATTAGGTTACAGTTTTATCTATTTTGTGGGCATTTTTAACTATATGCTTATAATTTTGGTAGGATATTATACTAATTTTTTTTAATTCAACCATGTGTCTCTGTGTGTGTGTGTGTGTTAATTCAACCATGTGTCTATGTGTGTGTATATATGTATATATATGTACAACCATGTGTCTGTGTGTGTATATATGTGTATATATGCATATATGTATGTATATATGTATATGTATATATGTATGTATATGTATATGTATATATGTATATGTATATGCATATATGTACGTATATGTATGTGTATATATGTGTATATGTATACATTTGTGTATATATGTGTGTATATATATATATACACACACACACACACACAATTTTCTTTATCCTTCAATCTGTCAATAGACCTTTGTGTTGTTTCCATATCTTGGCTATTATGAATAATCCTGCAATGAACATGAGAGTTCATTGGCTATTATGAATAATCCTGCAATGAACATAAGAGTACAGATACCTCTTCAAGATCCTAATTTCAATTGTTTTGTATATACACACATAAGTGGGATTGCAGAATTACGTGGTAGTGGAGAAAGGTTTCCATTTCTCCAGATCTTTTCCAATTCTTTGTCTTTTTTTTTTTGATAATAGCTATTCCAACATATGTGAGATAGTCTGTCATTGTGGTTTTGACTTGCATTTCCCTGATAATTAGTGATGTTGAGTAGCCATTTCTCCAAAGAAGAAATACAAATAGCCAACAGGTACACCTGAAGCCACTGCACATACTCATTGCATTTAGAGTCAGGGAGGCTGGTGGTTTACGTTTTTTTTTTTTTTTAACAACACACAGTAGAGAGAAATTTTCACTATTTTATATAGATGTAAAGAGGTACTGAGATAGCCAGGGCAACAGTTCAAGCTATAATGTTTGAGGGACATTGCTTTAATTTATGACAGTGTTGCTTATTCAAGCCGTGATATCATGAGGCAGCAGAATATAAAGATTAAGGAAAAATGCTCAACAGACAAAGAATCTTGATTGGAATCCTCAATTCTGACATTGGTCTATTGCCCACCTTCTATGTACTGAGAGTTGTTCATGTGTAGATGAGGATAATAATTAAAACCACATGCAGTAATATGAGGAGTAAATGATTAATACATCTATGATGCTTAGGATACTTCTAGGAATTTTGTACACATTTAATAAATGTAAGGAATAACTATGTAGAGAATAGGATGACAGCAAGATGATCTAGGCAGAAGTGACTTTTTGCTGCCAAGCTGATGGTTATATGAAGATCCAGGAAGGTTTATAAAGGGCAAGTCTGTATCAGAAGCAATGACTGAGAGTTAAGTTAAATAGGGAGAAAAATATGAGTCATGGGAGGAGCCAGGTCCCAGTTATTTCTTGCTATGGTTTGAATGTTCCCTCCACAACTCATGTCAAAGTTTAATTGCTATTGTGATGATATTAAGAGATGAGACCTTTAAGAGGTGATTAGAATTTGAGAGCTTTGCCCATGTGAATAGGTGAATGCTGTTATTGTGGGAATTGGTTAGTTATCATGTGAATGGAACCCTGATAAATGGATGACATTTGGTCTTCATTTTTCCTCTGTCTCAAATGCTTGCTTGCCCTTCCACCATGGGGTGTTACACCGTGAAGGCCTCCTACCAGATGCCAGTGCCAGGCTCTTGAACTTCTCAGCCTGTATAACCATGAGCTAAATAAACTTTTTTCTTTTTTTGTAATAAATTACCCTATCTGAGGTGTTCTGTTATAGCAACAGAAAATGAGCTAAGACATTTGTGGTTTTAAAATATTAGAGTTACAGTATTTCTGCTTTCCTCTCCTTTTGGAAATCTGCTGTAAGAAATTTTTTTAAAAAAGTACAAGTTAGAAAAAATTATAGACATCTGTAACCTTGAAACAAAATATATGAGATAAAATAAGCTCCAAATGGGGTGATTGAAGTCATCACCTACAGATAGTAAAACATCTAACTGTAAAACATAGTTCTTTAAAGGAGAACTTTGCTCTCTGAGTAATAAAGCAAACAGTCCCTTACCTGGGTCAATTATTGGCACTGTGAACTTTTCTGGACATGTTTGTCATCACAAATTAATGTGAGAGAAAATTTTGAGCTAAGAATGCCAAAAATTGCCATGTTTATGGAAAAACTTTTGTTTATGAGACAAGTTGAAGAGAGAGAGTCTCAATTTCAAACAGTTCTGAAGGAGTTAATATATATATACTTGTAGGAATAATTTTTTTTAAAGGAAGTAACATTTAGCAGTGGACAGTCACTACCTTAACCAAATTATTAAACTTAACATCACTATAAATGGATCAAACTGACATTATGTACTTGGCAATATGAAACAATAGAAAGTAAATAATATAATCAATACAGTATTCCTAATAAAAGTTTAAATTTGAACCTAATAATGAAAAAAATTATCAGACAAATTAGAATTGTATAACAATTTGTAAGAAAACTGACATGGAATATTGAACAATGTCAAGTTAATAAAAGACAAAAGCCCCAGAGAACTTTTCTGAGTTAAAGGAGATTAAAAGAACATAACAAAATGCAACCCATGATGAGTCACTGGATCCTGGACAAAAAGATAAAAAAAAAAAAAGCTGTGCCATTTTGAGAAAAATTGGAGAAATTTGAATATTGAGTAGAGGGTAATAGTAGTATATTAATATTAAATCTCTTAGGTGTGATAATGGTATTTGAGTTATATTTTTAAAATCCTGAAATATGTAGTGTGAAATGCAATGATATCTGTGAAATTTTTCTGTATTTTGGCAAATATTGTCAACTGTGTGGGGGTGTGTGTGTGTGTGTGTGTGTGTGTGTGTGTGTGTGTATGTATATTTGCTGCTAAAACAAAATCTAAGACTGAGTAATTTATAAATAACAGGAATTTGTTTCTCACAGTTCTGGAGACTGAGAAGTCTAAGATCAAAGGCCCACAAATTTGGCACCCGGTGAGGGCCAAGTCCCTCTGCTTCCAAGATGGCACCTGGTACCATCCTCTGGAGAGAATAAATGCTGTATCCTCAACTAGCAGAAGGAAAAAGGGCAAAAAGGGCTGAATACTGTGTGAAACGTCTTTTATAAGGGCCTTCATCCCATTCACAAGGGAGGAGCCATTATGACCTAATCACCTCCGAGAGGCCTCATGCTTGGTTCTATTGCATTGGAGATAAAGTTTCAACATGAGTTTTGGATGAACACAAATACTGAAACCATAGTGGGGTGTGTGTGTATCTGTGTGTGTGTGTGTGTGTGTGTGTGTGTGTGTCTCATTCAATTTTGACTATTTTATGTTGATATTTGGCATGGCATTCCATTTCACCTATCCTCACTTCAGTATCATGTTAAGACAGTTGATTCATCATTGAATCTCTCCCATCCATGGTTAGAATCCTTGACTTGGTATCAGTTAAACTTTGAGAAACCTAGATAGATTAATGTGTCATCACAGAATTACCTGATACTTGAGCAACTATAACAAACTGAAAGTTGGGAACAAGACACTGTCTCCTGATTAAAATAAATTTGGACAACAGAAACCTCTTGTGGATGGTCATTTGGCCAAGGAGTGATAAGAAAAATCACCCAAGAAGCTTTATCAATCCAGCCTTCAAAATTTCTTAGGCAAATATTTCAATGCCTTGCCAGTAAACTGTTCATTTTCCAAAAGCCAATAACATTTTATTTGCTTATTTTATTTACTTTTATGTTTTATTTATCAAATACAATTAGCAGTTACTGTGTTAGAGGCCATATTTTTAAAGATTTATAAATATCATAAATATTAACTTAGTTTATCCAACTTTACGACATTATGAAATAGGTACAATTGTTATTCCTATTTTACAGAAGAGAAATTTGAGGCAAAGAGAAGTCAGTTGCCTTGCCCAAGATCACACAGGTAGTTCGGTGACAAAACAGGGACTCTACTTGGTAGGTTGGCACCAGAGTTCATATTATGGACAATGTTACCTTCCAATTTCCTAATTCTCTTAAAACATCTAATAGCATCTCACCACTGACCTTAAAACTTCACTTTCCTTAAGTATGATACTTGAAGTCTTTAATATATATGCTTTACTATTTGTTTCTAATCCTTCTGACACATTACTCATCCTTACCCTCTCTCTTTTTTCATTAGCCTGTATTGTCCTCATCATTCTGATTCATAGGCTTGATTTTACCCTATTGCTATGTGTGTTCAAGTTCAGCTTCTGTTTCCTGAGAACAACCCTTACCTCAAGTCTACTCTTCCCATTAACCCCAGAATGACAAAATTACTGTTTTTCATTACAGGGATGAGGCATAAAATGAGAGTGTATAATAAAACTGCACTGATATTGGACTATAGGAATAAAAATAGTGCCACAGAGTAAATATTTATGCATCCAATTGCTAACTACTATCCATAATCACTTGTGGCCATAATGAAATAGTTCCAGAAATGCTTCTTATTTTCTACTATAAAGTGTTTTCTCATTATCACTCTTCTATTGTTGGTTTTGAAAGTAATGCACCATTAAAAATTTCAAATTTTGTTAAAGTTTTAGCTATTACTAAAATTGGGGTCAACTCTTAAAATACATAGTTGAATACATTGCAGACACCTATTTTGTATCACCTATTTATATCATATTATCCATAATATAAATCAACATTACTCAAAATAATTATTAAAACTCTGGTTTTTTTTATTAGAGGAAACACTATGTGCATTGTGAGGGTATTTATATTCAAATGCAAATTAGACATGATCAGCCTAAAAATTGCTTATAAAACATATTGATTAAAATATATGCCACAGGGCTGGGCGCGGTGGCTCACGCCTGTAATCCCAGCACTTTGGGAGGCCAAGGCAGGCAGATCACCTGAGGTCAGAAGTTTGTAGACCAACCTGACCAACATGGAGAAACCCCGTCTCTACTAAAAATACAAAATTAGCCGGACATGGGGGCTCATGCCTGTAATCCCAGCTACTTGGGAGGCTGAGGCAGGAGAATTGCTTGAACCTGGGGGGCGGAGGTTGCAGTGAGCCGAGATCGTGTCATTGCACTCCAGCCTGGGCAACAAGAGTGAAACTGTCTCAAAAAAAAAAAAAAGTATATATATGCATATATATGAAGTTTTAAGGTAAGCAGTGAGATGCTATTAGATGTTTTAAGAGAATTAGGAAATTGGAAGGTAACATTGTCCATAATATGAACTCTGGTGTCAATCTACCAAGTAGAGTCCCTGTTTTGTCACTTAACTACCTGTGTGATCCTGGGCAAGGCAACTGACTTCTCTATATGCATAAATATATATATACGTTTTAAAAAAGTATATATACACTTTTAAAAAGTCTATATTTCTATGTATATTTTCAATTTTATATATATAAAATGCAGTGTTTTATAGGTATTTTTATAAAATTTGCATTTCAATTAAATTTTTTTATGTCATCACCCTATATGTTTTTTTTTTCTTTTTCAGAAAGCCCTTTGTTTTGTTGTTTCATGTTTTTTATTCTTAAATTGGTCTCAGGGAATCAAACATATTTAAAGTCTATATCTTCCTTATCACGGTAAGATACTCTAGGTTTGGAATTCTTTATTTTATTTTGATGGTCCCGGTAGATAGGGGGCATTTTCTCATGTATATTCTGATCTTGAATTAGTCTATAAACAAGAAACATTTTTTCAACGGTGTGTTTTGTTACATAATAGAGTCAATAACTTAGTGAATGTTGACATCAATAGGTGAAATAACATAGAATATTCAATGATTTCTAGCCAAAATACTCAGCATACTCTCTCTGCTTGTGATCTTTCACACACACACACACACACACACACACACAGACAAGCAAATTAAATATATCTACTCAAACACATAGATTTTGTCAAATATTTAAATTTAGATTTTTCTTTCTATGAGAAAAGAGAATAAAGTGGAATGATGAAACTATAAAAATAATTTAAGCCTCCTTCAAAATGCATTATAAATTCTAAGTATTTCAATCTATAATTTCTTTAAAAATAACTCAGCTTCTGGGAAAAAATAGGATGGCATAACTTTCTTCTGTGAAAATTTTTTTAACTTAATTAGATGTAAACATTACTTTTAAGAAGGTATATATAAAAAAGTTATATGTGTAGATATTTATTGTAGCATAATAGTTATAAAATATATCATAAATTCCAGTCAATAAATCCCAGAAAAATAAGATCTACCTAATAGATTCCATTTGGCTAAGTCTTGAAAGTAGCAATTATATTACCATTTTAAAAATGCATGCTTTATTTTCAGACTTGGAATAATTAACATAAAATATTTTACTCTCCCAAGTTTTTAGGACATAATTCTGATTAAGCAAGTGTTCTAATACATTTTGGTTACATTGAAGAACAAGAAGAAAACAAATGTCCTGATAATAGCTTCTGATCACCTACCTCCAGCCTTCAGAAGAACATTAAAAAAAAAAAACTCTAGAATCTCTGATGTATTAGACTAATAGATTATGACTATACATCTTTTTTTCTCTCTCTCTTCAGAAATGTTTTTGTCCTACTTTAAACGAACGTGTTTGGCAGAAGGAGATATCTCTACAAAGAGAAAACTGGTATCCTACTTCTTGGCTAGATATTTGCTGAATGAGCAACAGAAAATTGTATGCCACTCAGTGCACCAGAGAGGGAACTTGTGAGAGAAGTCTTTGGAAAAGTCACCATCTGGGCAAGGAAATTGTAAGTCATATATGAACAGAAGAATTAGGAAATGTTGAGGGTAGTGACCCAGTGGAAATTCCTGAAATGGCTGGATGAAGAAAGAAAAACATTAGATAAAATTATAAAACCTATAATTATCATATCAAGAAAGCATCTATCTCTAGTGGGCTACATGTGCATCCAGAAAAGGAGCTTGGCTTTGGCCATTTTGATTGGAAACTAATTGAGGCAGTTCCTTGGAAGAGAGTAATAGAAACAGGAAGAAGTTGCAGAATGTGTTACTTTAGGAACAGTTGTGGGGAGAGCAGACAAGAGCAGAAGAGGTGGTTCAAAGAAGTTAGTCAGAAAACTGGGTTTCCTCAATCAATTTATTACCATTAGATCATATCCTTTTTGTCCAATTACATGTCTAGGTCTATCCATTCTTCATTGTTTAAAAGCATAAAAATAGACAGTTTTCCTTGAGTCTTTGGGTCTGCATTTCTGAAGGCTTCCATGTGACATGAAACCTTGATTAAATTTCTGATATTTTTATCTTGTTAGCCTGTCTTTTGTTATAGTTGTGTTGGCTATGATCCTTATGCTGGGTAAGGAAAGGTACTAAACCTTACAATTTCCACAGATGCCAAATATATGTGTATGTGTGTGTGTGTGTGTATATATATATATATGTATATATATATTTCATATACATTTATGTATATCATATATAGCATATATTTATATATAAATATAAATATATATATATATATATATATACACATGTATGATTGTGTTTGTGCATGAGTGCTTGTACCTTTTTCCCAAGTAATCTGATTATATTATTACACTCTAGGACATACTGAAATTCCCCCACTTTAAGAATTAGTTTGACTTCACTAATCATACATTTATATTAAGGGCCTCAAATATTCTGATTTAAAATGATAGACTTTTTTGTGATTATCAGCAAAATTACATCAATTTAATAGAAAATGAAGAACTAAAACACGTTACCATAGCCAAAATAATCTGAACATTTTATACTTCTACAAATCTAGATGTCTATTACATTAATGCCCACTGCCCACATAGAGCCAATTTATCAGACAGAGGAATTGCAATAGAGAAAGAGTTTAATTCACTGTGAATCAACTGAATGACATATTGGAGTTTTATTATTACTCAAACCAGCCTCCCCAAAAATTTGTAGTCTAGAGTTTTTCAAGGACAGTTTGGCAGTAAAGGGAATGGGTGCTGTTGATGGGTTGGGAATGTAATCACAGAGGTGTGGAAAATGGTCCTTGTGCATGCTGAGTCAGCTCCTGGGTAGGGCTACAGGATGGGTTGGGGTCTGGGTAGAAGCAAGGGGAGTTGAGTGATCAGTCATCCAAAATGCAAAAACCAAAATGCAAAAACCAAAATGCAAAGACATCCCACCCAAAAAGCCAGTCTTAGGTTCTACAACGGTGATGTTATCTGCAGGCATAATTGGGGAAGTTGCAAATCTTATAACCTCTAGAATAATGGCTGGTAATCATTTATGTCTGCACATTAGCAGAATTCAGGCTCCTCTCATCCTCCTAACCTGGTGGTCGTTTATTAGTTTTACATAGGTAGTTCAGTTTTGGGGATGGGCTATTATAATTTAAACTATAAGCAACATTTCTTCCACAGTTAGCTTGGCTCAAGCCCAAGAATACCTAAGGGCAATTTGGAGGTTAAAGGCAAGATGGTGTTGGTTAGATCAGATCCCTTTCACTGTCATAATTTTGTAACTGTTAAAATTTTTACAAAAAGTTTTACTTTGTTTCTGAGGCACTTCCAACATCCTTCAATTCAAAGTACTCAGCATGCCAAAGCACCATACTTTGAGATACCATTCTCTGAACCCCAACACTCCCATTCATCAAAGACCCACTGAATATTATTCCCTGCTGTATGTATGGTCTATGTGTGTGTGAGTATACACACACACAGTTTTATTTACAAACATAATGACATATATAAGAAGATGCTAATGAACTTCAGCAGGACATTAGTTTGCTCTCTGTGAATCTCACTTTAGTTAAAATCACATTATGATTAAATCCATGGGTTTTTTTTCCCACAAAAGAAAACAGGATAGAAACTGAATTTCTTATGCTGAATCTTGTCATTTTCCAGAGTATGTTTTCTTACTAGGCTCACATTATCCATCATTCTTCTTTCTTTTAGATAGGGTGAGTACACTACAGTGCCATCCTGCTAAAGTCAGACTCATGATATGCAAATGTGGCTGAAATGCCTATTTAATCCAATGTATTTTAATGCAGTAAATAAATTGTTGTAGTGAGTGAGTAAATTGTTGTAGTGCGAGATCAGTTGGCACAGTAGTCTATATTAAAAGAAACATCACTTAAACTAACTCTTCACCATCTGTTGTGTACTCTAAAAAGACCATAATTTACAATTGCAAAAATAGGTAAGAGACAAATGATTGAAATGCATATTTATGTGTTATCTTCAGCTGAATGTGCATCTGTTCTGTTTATTTCTGGAATATTAGATGTTATTTGGGAGACAATGTTTTTCTTTACATATGAGGATAAATTCAGAGCGAGAGAAAATCAGAAATTATTCTTAAAGTAATTGTCTTTCACAAAATTGTGACACTAATCCAACTGGGCCTTAATAACTCATTCAATAGTTATTAATTATAATATCTACTATCACATTTTATAATATACAAAATGCTAAATCATGAAGATGCTGCCAAAATTACTGTTAAAGGAAAACCATTATTTTATTATTTACTTATTATTTTTTCATAACTTATTGGGGTATGGTGGTATTTGGTTACATGAGTAAGTTCTGTAGTGGTGATTTGTGAGATTTTGGTGCACCCATCACCTGAGCAGAATACACTGCACCATACTGGTAGTTTTCTATCTCTTGCCATCCTTCTACTCTTCCACCTAAGTCCCCAAAGTCCACTGCATCATTCTATGCATTTACATCCTCATAACTTAGCTCCTACATATCAGTGAGAACACACGATGTTTGGTTCTCCATTCCTGAGTTATTTCACTTAGAATAATAGTCTCTAATTTCATCCAGGTCACTGTAAATGCTGTTAATTCATTCCTTTTTACAGCTGCATAGTATTCCATTATTCATATATATTGTTGATCCAACAATCCCACTACTGGGTATCTACTCAGAGGGAAAGAAGTCATCAGTTGAAAAAGATACTTGCACACGCATGTTTACAGCAGCACAATTCACAATTGCAAACTTGTGGAACCATCCCAAATGCCCATCAATCAGTGAATGAGTAAAAAAACTGGTATATATGTATCTATGCATGTGTGTGTACACATGGTTCTACAAGTTTGCAGTTGTGAATTGCACTGCTGTAAACATGCGTGTTCAAGTATCTTTTTCGACTGATGACTTCTTTCCTTCTGAGTAGATACCCAGTAGTGGGATTGTTGGATCAAATGGTAGTTCTACTTTTAGTTCTTTAAAAAAGCTCCACATTGTTTTCCATAGTGGCTGTACTAGTTTACATTCCCAACAGCAGTGTAGAAGTATTCTCTGTTCACTGCATCCATGCCAGAATCTAGTATTTTTTGATTTTTTGATTATGGCCGTTCTTGCAGGAGTGAGGTGGTATCACATTGTGATTTTGATTTGCATTTCCCTGATCATTAGTAATATTGAACACTTTTCATAGGTTTGTTGGCCATTTGCATATCTTCTTTTAAGAATTATCTATTCATGTCTATTCATGTCTTTAGCCCAATTTTTGATGGGATTTTTTTTCTTACTGATTTGTTTGAGTTCATTGTAGATTCTGGATATTAGTCTTTTGTCAGATGTATGGATTGTGAAGATTCTCTCCCACTCTGTGGGTTGGCTGTTTATTCTGCTGACTGTTTCTTTTACCATGCAAAAGCCCTTCAGTTTAATTAGGTCCTAGCTATTTGTCTTTGTTTTTATGGCATTTGCTTTTGGGTTCTTGGTCATGAAATCCTTGCCTAAGCCAATGTATGGAAGGGTTTTTCCAGTGTTATCTTCTAGAATTTGTATAGTTTCAGGTCTTAGGTTTAAGTCCTTAATCCAGCTCAAGTCAATTTTTGTATAAGGTGAGAGATGAGGATTGAGTTTCATTTTCCTACAGGTAGCTAGCCAGTTATCTCAGCACCATTTGTTGAAAAGGGTGGCCTTTCACCACTTTATGTTTTTGTTTGCTTTGTTGAAGATGAGTTGACTGTTAAGTATTTGCACTTATTTCTGCTTTCTCTATTCAGTTCCATTGGCCTATGTGCCTATTTTTATACCAGTACCATGCTGTTTTGGTGACTATGGCCTTATAGAATAGTTTGAAATCAGCTAGTGTAATGATTGCAGATTTGTTCTTTTTGCTTAGACTTTCTTTGGCTATGTGGGCTCTTTTTTGGTTCCATATGAATTTTAGAATTGTTTTTTTCTAATTCTGTGAAGACTGATGGTGGTATTTTGATGGGGATTGCATGAATTTGTAGATTGCTTTTGGCATTAGGTCATTTTCACAATACTGATTCTAGCCATCCATGAGCATGGGATGTGTTTCAATTTGTTTGCATCATCTATGATATCTTTTATTGGTGTTTTGTAGTTTACCTTGTAGAGATTTTTTAACTCCTTGGTTAGGTATATTTCTAAGTTTTTTTTTTTCCTGCAGCTATTACAAAAGGGATTGAGTTATTGATTTGATTCTGCTGCTTGGTCACTGTTGGTGTATAGAAGAGCTACTCATTTGTGTACATTAATCTTGTATGTGGAAACATTTCTGAATTCTTTTATCAGTTCTAGGAGCTTTCTAGAGGAGCCCTTGGGGTTTTCAAGATAAACAATCATATCATTAGCAAACAGTGACAGTTTGACTTCCTCTTTACCGATTTAGATGCTGTTTATTTCTTTCTCTTGTCTGATTGCTCTGGCTAGAACTTCTAGAACTATGTTGAAGAGGAGAGGTGAGGGGACAACCTTGTCTTGTTCCAGTGTTCAGAGGGGATGCTTTCAACTTTTCCCCCTTAGTATTATGTTGGCTATGGGTTTGTCATAGATGGCTTTTATTACATTAACCTATGTCCCTAGTATGCTGATTTTGCCAAGAGTTTTAATCATAAAGGGATGCTGGATTTTGTTGAATGCTTTTGCTGCGTCTATTGGAATGATCACGTGATTTTTGTTTTTAATTCTGTTTATATGGTGTTTCACATTAAATTGTATATGTTAAACCATCCCTGCATACCTCGTATGAAACTCACCATATCTTTTAAGTTATGTATCTTTTAAGTAGAGCATTTAGGCATTTACATTCAATGTTAGTATTGAAACGTGAGGTACCATTGCATTCATTGTGCTCTTTGTTGCCTTTGTACTTTGCTTTTCTTTTTTTATTTTTCATTTTTTCCTTTTTAACTTGTAGTTTTGTTATATACATTGTGTACAATTTATGCTTTAAAGGGTTCTGTTTTGATGTGTTTCCAGGATTTATTTAAAGATTTAGAGCTCCCTTTAGCAGTTCTTGTAGTGGTGTCTTGGTAATGGCGAATACTCTCAGCATTTGTTTGTCTGAAAAAGACTGTATCTTTACTTCATATATGATGCTTAGTTTCACTGCATACAAAATTCTTGGCAGATAATTGGTTTTGTTTGAGGAGGCTGAAGATAGGGCCCCAATCCCCTCCAGCATGTAAGGTTTCTGGTGAGAAATCTGCTGTTAATCTGATAGCTTTTCCTTTGTAGGTTACCTGGTGCTTCCGTTTCACAGCTCTTAAGATTCTTTCCTTTGTCTTAACTTTGAATAACTTGATGACAATGATGACAATGTGCCTCGGCAAATATCTTTTTGTGATGAATTTCCTGGGTAGAACACCATTATTTTAATTGGAGTGTGTTTCGGTTAACTGAAAGTAAATTTCAAATACTTAGCTACTTTTCCCTACATAAAAGGCAATTTCTTATGGCTCAACCTAATAAACATAAAATTGAAGCAGCCTCATATTTGGTAAATGACCAAAGACTTTTACATTACACAATAAAACAAATGAGATATTTGCATAACTTACATCTAATGGTTTCATATTTATTTATATTTTTACATGTTAGACTGAATCACTCCTTGGAAAGCTAAATTCTATAAAGATCTGTAGAGTTCTACTGTGCATTCATATATACTTTATTATCTTCTACTTACAGTTCTAACACTACTATTAAAGAAAAAAGTTACTTATGACACTTGTTAAAGATGATAAGGAAGACTTTAATTAAGTGGTGTCTATTGAGACAGGTGTAGAAACCTCTGCAATGAGGTCTTACAGTGGGGAAGAGAGAGTGAGCTCAACTGTAAATACAACAAAGAAAAATAAAAATTGATAGCCAAGGAGCAGGGTAGACATCTGTGTATGGACAATTACTGAGAGGAAACATTGAGGATAAACGGGAATTCTGGCTAAACCAACCTAACAGGACTCTCTCTAAAGACAGGCCAGGGTGATCAGACATCACCTCGGGAATGTTGGAGGATGAGGGGATTAGATATTGAGGGCGATTAGATATTGAGAATGGGGAATTCTGGTTAAACTCACTTAGCAGCATTCTTTTATTTTTATTGTGATAAAAATACATAGCAAAGATCACCATCTTAAACTATTGTTAAATGTATATTTCAGAAACACTAAGAACATTTACATTTTTGTGCAACCATCCCAACCATCCATTTCCAGAAATTTTGCATCATCTCAAATTGAAAAGCTGTACCCATTAAACAATAACTCCTCACTACTTAGTAGGATTCTTGCTAAAATTTGAGAATGCCGAAAATGTTTCTCACTGCCTCTCAAAGTTGTACCACTTTATCAAGTTCTATTGCTATTCAGTCATCATCCTCTCCCTTTCCCTCACTTTTCTCCCTTCTCCTGTGTATGAGACATTCCAATGAGGAAAAAGATCAGAACTCAGTCTGAGCTCACTCAAGAGAAACAAAGGGTAGGAGGATTTTAAAGCACTGGAGTGAGAGTGAAAACATAGGTTCTCCTTGTTTGCTAATTGGCTTTTCCCAAAGGAAAAGTCAACTTTCTTTTCATGACAGAGGGTAGTTTTATAGATTGGTGCAAAAGTAATGGCAGTTTTTGCTGGCCAGAGGCATTAAAAAAGATTTACATGTCAAAGAGACAGGTAAAGAATTTACAACTATCTGTTTTCTATTAATAAAGCAAATGCTCTATATAATGAAAGTCAAGGGCTTGGAATCAGAAAGGAACTTACCTAAAGATCAGTCAAGGTGAGGAGAATATTAAACCCATTTTGGTCACTGGTTTAAAGAAAAATAGAAACTCACTACCTTGGTGGTGTTCACTGTATGAGCTGCTAATAGTATGTTATACTAGACCTATATTCAATACATGAATTTTACAGGCAATATTGATCCCCCTCTTCTTTTACCACATGCTTCTTCTTCTGAGCAAAGACCAAAAAAATGCTATTAAAATTACATTTAAATGTCAGCACTCTGGGAACCAGCGTACCCAGTCTAAATCCTTTCCCACACCAGCCCTTTTTGTCGGTTTTCCTTTCAGTTGCCCTGATATGTTCTCATGATGAAGATCAGAGTAGAATTTCCTTGCGCTTCACCAGGAGGCAGATACAATAAGCATTCTGACATACACCCAGAGAAAAAGTAATCGTTTTTAAAAAAGCCCCTAGAGATCTCCACAACAATACTTACCCGGTGTTGGGGTTCAGAATATATTCCCCAAAGTATGGCACCTTGGCATGCTGAGTATTTTGAACAAGGACATTGGAAGGGCCTTGGAAACAAGCACTCTGAACTTCTCCTGCCCTCCTATATTCTGCTCCTCTTTCTCCCCTGCATTGAGTCATAGGCATTAGCATTGCTCTTCCTCAAGGTGGGTCATAGAAACAAAAACTCTAGAACTTCCCTTTCCCAAAGCAAACCATTAAACAGGTCACTGTATTAGTCTGACTCACATTTCCACAGGTCTGGGGAGGCCTCAGGAAACTTACAATCATGGTGGAAGGGGAGGCAAACATATCTGTCTTCACATGGCAGCAGGAAGGAGAAGTGCCAAGCAAAGTGGGGAAAAGGCCTTTATGATACCATCAGATCTCATGAGAACTTACTATCATGAGAACAGCATGGGGGGAACCACCTCCCTAATCTAATCACCTCCCACTGATATGGACAGGAGGCAGGAAAAAACTGGGTAGAGGAGAGTGGTCCCCAGCAAGGGCCACACCCATAAACCTGGACCTACTGCCCAAAGTGAGAACACGCATTCCTGTTTTCCTGCCCAATTGTTGGCTTTTCCAAAACCACCCTGGCTCACTCTGCCCCCGATCCTGTACCCATAAAAACCCCAGGCTCCACCAGCAGTGTGGTAGAGAAGGAGAGAAGAGAAGAAACATCCGGGACATCAGAGAGAAGCAATGTGACTTTAAAGAGACAGTGTGACTTCAAAAGGGCAAGATCTCAGTGAAGAATTCGGCCAGGGATGAGGCCAAACTCCAGGTAAGATTTCATCCCCTTTCCAGCTTCACTTCCCGCTGAGAGCCATTTCCACCACTCAATAAAATCTTCTACATTTACCACCCTTCAATTCGTTCACGTGACCTGATTCTTCCTGGACACCAAACAAGGACCTGAGTGAAGGTGCAAGAGGCAGTCGCACTGACCCTCCACTAAGCTGTTTAACACTTAAGCCATCCGCAGATGACAAAGCTAAAGGAGCATACTGTCACACATGCCCTCTAGAGCTCTGAGGTCACGGGAAACCCTTAGATGCTGCCGTGGGCCTGCACAGAGTTCTGTTCCTGCTAGTTGCCCAGAAGTGCTTGTCCTGTCCTCTAAACTCACTCACCTGTGTGCTCCCCCTCCTGCAAGGGGTTGAGAGCTGTGACCTGAGTAAACGAACCAATCTCTTTGCGAGTCCCATGAAAGGGTCAAGAGAAGTATCCTGTTTCACCACAATGTCCCTTCCCCAATACATGGGGATTAAAATTCTGATTACAATTCAAGATAAAATTTGGGTACAGTCACAGTGCCAGACTACCACCCTCCCCAGAAGGGTCTTCCCCATATCTGGGGAGGAAACAATGATACAAAGAGAGGACAAGGAGGACCTAAACGGAGAGGCCTTGCTGGATTCTCCCTCAGTTTATTACCATTAGATTATAGTCTGTTGTCCAATCATATTTCTACACAGCTGACCATTTATTGTGGAACCTAAGAATAAAAATAGGAAGTTTTTCCTAAGTCTTTGAGTCATCATTTATGAAGTCTCCTATGTCACATAAAACTTTGATTAAATAAAGTTGTTATGCTTTTCTCTTGTTAACCTCTCTTTTGTTATAGGAGTGCTGGCCATGACCCTTACAAATAAGGAAAAGCATCATATCTTCCTGTTCCTACATGAGCTCATGAAAAGATTTCACCAAAGCTTTATCTGACTTAGAGGAAGGGAAGTTACCCAGTTCCAGCCCATTTTAGCCTTTCTCTTTCACCTAAGGGGGAAAAATGCTGAGAAGCACTCATAAAGATTATAGCCCAGTCCACAAGAGCACTATAAGACTGAGACTTAAATATAGGAGTATAGAACACTTCCCCGCCCCCAACACATGCAACTTTCACCATTGCATTAACATAGCTCCTATGGTATTTACTCAATGATGTAAAAATGATGTCTGTGCAATAACCTGGACATAGGAATGCTTATAGCAGCCTTAAACAAAATTACCCCATACTAGTGTATAGTAAATATTCTACTATATTTATTAACAAAGATGTCTTTTAATTAACAAATGGATAAACTCTGGTATATCCGCAACGGAATATTATTCAGAATAGAAAGGAATGAGCTGTTAAGCCTTTAAAAGACATGAACGAATGGTAAATACATACTGCTAAGTGAAAGAAACCGTACTAAAAAAGGAATATAATGCATAAATCCAACTATATGACATCATGAGAAAGCTAAAACTATGGAGACTGTAAAAAGATTAGTGGTTGCCAGGCATTCTCTAGGAGGGAAGAAAGGGATGAACAGGTAGAACACGGGGAATTTTTAGGGTGGGGAAACTGTTCTGTATGAAACTGTAATGGTGAATACAGGGCAATATACATGTCATAACACAAGGAACTATAGAACACAGTGAGCCCTAAAGTAAATGATGTACTATAATAATAATTATCAATATCAGCTTGTTAGTTGTAACAAGTATACTACATTAATGCAATATAAAAATAGAAGAATTTCTGTGGGGATGGGTTGTATATAGAATACCATGTACTATCTGCTCGATTATTATGTAATTCAAGCACTGTACTAAAATATAAAGTTTATTAATGATAAATCCACACACATTTGAATGTAACCATTTGTGTTAAAAGAGTGTTATAATTTATCTTGAGTATGCATAATTTTGGTTTTGAAAATATCTTGATAATTGTTTTTGACTATAAAATCTAAGGTCTTGTAAGGCTTGACTTTCAAAGCAGCAGTGAAACAAAGAGGCAGCTAAAATATTCTATATGTATTGTGAATAGAATATGGAATTTAACAGAAAAAAACATAGGTTAGTTGAGGGATAAAGATAAAAATGTATGTGAATCTGCAAAATGGCAGAAAAGAATGAGGAGGTCCTGTAGAGAAACTGTAGAGTGAGAGATTTGTAAGGGTACTAATTGATGAAAGAATCATAAAAATAGAGATGGTTAAATTATTTGCTATGGTGCTGTAAAAGAACCTCCCTCCATTCTCTCAAATGTTCAGCAAAATCTGAACACAAACATACAGCCAATATCTGAGCTATACTTGGAAGTCATTTATCTATATTAGGCTATAGTTTATCTTATCCTGTTATAACAAATCAATTCCAATCCATTTAATGTACCAGCACTAGATAGAAACTATTTTGCTTTATAATGGGTATATGGATATTGAAATATCTAATGTGACAATTAAAGTTTGTAGATATTATAAGTTTAACATTTTGTAAGTAATAGCTTTTTTTACATAAGGTGGCTTGCATTTGCAGACACTACAACAACTTTTTGTACGATATGTGTGTTATTCTATCCAACTTACTAATAATATTTCTTTATTATGGAGGACAGTCTTTCACAAAATGACAAAGGCAAATATCTTCCAGAATTTAATGACATATTATTCCAGAGGTAACTGATTTAGAAATAAACAAATACAGGTTTTTCATTTTCTATTGAAGTAAACCAGATCATTGTATTTCACTTTCCAGCTTCAAGAGTTGCACATAGTTACGTGAAAATAGTGAGTGCCACGTGGGAAAGTGGCATTATGGTCATTGTTTATTCACTCAAATTTTCAGAATCATTTTTTTCCAAAAGGATTTAATTTTATTTTCTATTCTCATCTGTTGCTTACACCATGTTTTTCTTATTTCAGACCCTGCTATATATGAAACCAAGTTAAAAAAAAAACTACAGATTTGAAGATTTAAAAAAATAATGGCAATTGCATTTATTTTATGTGGAGGTTTCAATTCAGAGTAAAACCTTCTAAAATATTTTTAGGTTCTGTAATTAGGTGACAGCTGGCTTGTGAAGTATTCAATGACAATTAGTAGATAAAACTTTCATAAGAGAACAATTGTAACAAATCCTATAGTTTCCAAGAGGATATACTATACTTATTTATAAAAAGTGGAAAACACTGTTCATTTGATTACAAGCTGATGTTTTTAGGGTACAGAGAAAATGTATGTGTGTATGTGTTATAATCTCCTTTAAATTCATAAATATATACTGTAGGGCTGAGAGTTTTATTAACACAAAACAGTTTTATTAACTGTATGGTATTTATCCCATTGATATTATGGAGGGAATTTATATTTTCCTTCTTAGGTTCCTTGGCTGGGGCCCCTGTAACAAAAGACAGATTAACAAGAGAAAACCATACACATTTATTTAATGTAAGTTTTCCATGACACTGAGCCTTCATTAGGGAATGAAGACTTGAAGTACCAGTTAAACTAGAAATTTTTTTTTAAAGTTCTAGGGTACATGTGCACAATGTACAGGTTTGTTACATATGCATACACGTGCCATGTTAGTGTGCTGCACCCATTAACTTGTCATTTACATTAGGCATTTCTCTTAATGCTATCCCTCCCCCGCTTCCCACCCCACAACAAGCCCCGGTGTGTGATGTTCCCACCCTGTGTCCAAGTGTTCTCATTGTTCAATTCCCACCTATGAGTGAGAACATGCGGTGTTTAGTTTTCTGTCCTTGCGATAGTTTGCTCAGGATAATGGTTTCCAGCTTCATCCATGTCCCTACAAAGGACACGAACTCATCCTTTTTTATGGCTGCATAGTATTCCATGGTGTATATGTGCCACATTTTCTTAATCCAGTCTATCATTGATAGACATTTGGGTTGGTTCCAGGTCTTTGCCATTGTGAATAGTGCCATAATAAACATACGTGTGCATGTGTGCTTATAGTAGCATGATTTATAATCCTTTGGGTATATACCCAGTAGTGGGATTGTTGGGTCAAGTGGTATTTCTAGTTCTAGATCCCTGAGGAATAGCCACACTGTATTCCACAATGGTTGAATTAGTTTACAGTCCCACCAACAGTGTAGAAGTGTTCCTATTTCTCCACATCCTGTCCAGCACCTGTTGTTTCCTGACTTTTTAATGATCACCATTCTAACTGGTATGAGATGGTATCTCATTGTGGTTTTGATTTGCATTTCTCTAATGGCCAGTGATGATGAGCATCTTTTCATGTGTCTGTTGGCTGCATAAATGTCTTCTTTTGAGAAGTGTCTGTTCATATCCTTTGCCCACTTTTTGATGGGGTTGTTTGATTTCTTCTTGTAAATTTGTTTGTTTTTAATAGTAGGTTTGATGAAGAATGGAGGGTGGTGGAGAAATCTGGATACAAGAAATATACAAGGATAAAAAGTTTCCATTATCCTAAGACAAAGGGTGTAAGTACTTATACTGCAGAAAACTTGGCATTGCCTGTTTGTACAGACAGGCTCTGTATACTTTTGTCTCAGGAGATTAAGGATACTCCTTTACTCAGGGGATAGTAGGGGCACTTCTCACATGAGGGGCTTATATGACCTGCTTCGTGGGGGGATCAGAAAATCTTTCCTAGGATTTTCAACCTGCTTCAGGGGAAGGTCAGAAAGACCTTTCTGCACTTATCATATCTCAAATTCCTTCAGCTTAAAATATCCAATATGCCAAGATGCCATATTTCTGGATAATGTATCCTAAACCCTATAAATATGTAAAGTGTAAATTATTTGCTTACTCTTTCTCAAAATACAATGTATTTTTCTATTTCAGACCCTGCCATATAAGAAACCAAGAAATGAAAACTGCAAGCTTTAGGATGTAATAAAATAATGACAATTGTATTTATTTTATGTGTAATTTTCAATTCAGAATAAAACCTTCTAAAAATGTTCAGGTTCTGTAATTTTCTGTGTGAATTTACCTAAGTGACAATGGAAAACAGAAATGAAGGTCAGTGTGTCTGTACCAAAGAAAGGAATAGAGAGACGGTGTAAAATGTGACTAGAGAGATAGTGAGAATCTTCTAGATTGTGTATGGGCTAGAGGTTTTTATTTTCTGAATACAATTTTAAAACCCACCAAAGGATTCGGCAATGTCTGACACTTAGACTTTGAAGAATTTTCTATGCAATGATAATTGATAGGACAATGAATAAAAAGGCATAGTCCTCATAAGGGATGACTTGGCCAGAGAGTATTATGTACCTGAGGATAATTGATGATGCCAAGAAGTAGTATAAGAAATGATAAACCTGTCAACCAACTTAGGTTTAGGTTTTAATTTTTAATTCAGTAGTGGAATTGCTATAGATATGTAGGAATCCTTTAATTTTGGAAATAATTGCTATATGGCTTAGAGTTCTTGTTGCCACAGAGCAGCCTCTTGCATTATCTCTCCTGGGTCTGTCTATATTTTGTATAATTTTCTCAGCTTTTTCCCAAAATAATTACAATTTACACTGAAGAGCTTTATATTAATGACAGAAAACCAAAGTTTATAACATGAAAGGAATCCAGGCTCAGGATGTCATAGAGTTCACAACGAGTTAAACAACCGCTTCAAACTTTGAAAGATAACTTGATTTAAGAGGAAAAAATAAGCAACTGCAGGCAGATTGACTGGTGTTAGACTTTAAAAATATACCCTCTACCATGCAAATCTAAGAGATCAGAAATGTTCATGTTATATGCAGCTTGTATTTTTTCATTTTTTTAAATTTGTTAAGATCAATAAAGTACATTTTTGTTTTGAATATTGAATTTAATTTTTAAAACAATGGGTTTAAAAATATAGATAGTAAATATGCTTGTATTAGTCTGTTCTCACATTGCTATAGAGAACCACCTGAAACTAGGTAATTTATAAAGAAAAGAGGTTCATTCACTCACAGTTCTGCAGGTTATACAGGAAGCATGGCTGGGGAGGCCTCAGGAAT
Organism: Homo sapiens; assembly: GCF_000001405.40. Classification (NCBI taxonomy): domain Eukaryota; kingdom Metazoa; phylum Chordata; class Mammalia; order Primates; family Hominidae; genus Homo; species Homo sapiens. The sequence continues at coordinate 60,432,410 of NC_000012.12, read as the reverse complement.
CTTAAAATTACGGCAAAAGGTGAAGAAGAAGGAGGCACGTCTTACATAGCTGGAGCAGGAGGAAGAGAGCTAAGGGGGAGGTGCTACACACTTTTAAACACTCAGATCTCCTGAGAACTCGCTCACCCTCTCACCCTCAGGAGAACAGCAAGGGGGAAGTCCAACCCCATGATCCAATCACCTCCCTCCAGGCCCCTCCCCCAACACTGAGGATTACAATTCAACATGAGATTTGGGCGGAGACACAGAGCCAAACTGTATCAGTGTTTTAAGACACTTGCTTAAAAACCAATTAAGCACCAGTTGGCCAGAGAAATAGGTCAGAGGATAGGAATGGATCTAAGCACTGTGCAGTAGTAAGCAGCCCTTGAAATAAGTCCCGGTATAACTGAGTACCCTATTTTTAAGATTTTTTTTTTACTTTCTTCAGACTTTTGTATTAACATTTCAGTAATGAAATAATAACCTTTAGTCTCCTTCCCACCAGGCACACCCCTGCATTGTTAGCTTCTAATTACGTTTGCTTAGAAGTCCCAGAGACTGAACCTTGAGACAACCCAGGTGCTTATGAAATTCTCCCCCACCAGAAAATTATTCAAAGCTGTGGCTAATTTACAACCCCGTTGAGCCCAAGATGGCACCATTTTATTTATCAGATGGAGTAATAACTCAAGTCATCAGAACAAGTCACGTAGACCTGCACTGCTGCACCCCTGCTGCATTCCCGCTGTACCAAACCTTCTTAAATCCTAGCATTTTGCCTGAGAATGTTGAAGCCGTTTTATTAGGGAAGTAGTCTGAATCATTTCCCCACTGCCAGCATTGGAAAATAAGGTTGCTTTTCTCCTACCACGCCTTGTCCTTGTTACTCAATTTTGCAATCAGCAATCAGTAGAACCTGCGTTTGGTTACACCAATAATTTTCACCTCTTAATATTTCCCCTTCATGTAATTCCCTCTTCTTGAGTGTAGACTAAACTTAGTGATTCAATTATAACAAATAGAACACAGCAAAAGTCATAAGCTGTCACTTCTGAGAGTAGGTTATAAAGTCTGTGACTTTTTTCTTACTGTCTCTCACTGTCTTTTATGGTTGCCCTAAAGAGAAGCCAGTTGTCAAATTTTGAGTTGTCCTGCATAGAGGCAAAGAACAGATGACTCTTTCCAACAGTTAGCAAGGACCTGAGGCCTGCAAACAACCACGTAAGTGATTTCAGATCTTCCCTCATCAAGTCTTGAGACAACCTCAGCCCTTGATTGCAGCCCAGAGACAGAGGACCCAGGAATCTAAGCCACTCCTAGATTCCTGGCCCACAGACAATGTGAGATAATATATTTCTATTGCTATAAACTGCTAAGGTTTGGAGAATTTGTTATGCAGCAATATGTGACAGAAAAAAAAACCAGTTGATTACAAAACATATTTTAAATGCTTACTCAAAACTAAGTGTAGTTAAAAATGATTTTACATGCTATATATAATTTAAGTGTAGCTATAACTGTGCTGAGAAATATGGCTGTTTTCTTGACTTGTCTTTATATTATTCAGGACAGGTTAGGTATAGAGGTTGAGAAAGAGATAAAGAAATGTAGAGATACAGGTATAGATATAGATATTTTCCCTCCATGTAATGCTACACACCACTGCAGGCTTATGAGGACTGGAAATTGGGTCTCTATTCATCAAAGTTAGTAAAGAACCAAGTTTATTAATGAAGTAGCTACCATCTCAAGTGTTGCTGGTCAGTATGCTAGACAGAAAAAACAGCTCTGGAGGGTTTTGCACTAGAAAACAAATATTTTGGCACAGCAGTGGCACATATTTAGAAGTAGCAGTAGTAACTGTACTCAATCAAAAAGCGAAAAGAATTTATAATCTTATCTTAAATCAGAAATTGATTAGAATTGAAAGTAACAGCAGTGTTATTGGCAACCACACTGTAGAAAGTTACCTAATACTTTCCCATTGTAAGTTTGATCTATTTTTCTTTTAAAGATACATTAAGAGAAATCTTCCTGGACCATCTTGGAATATTATAATCATTCATTAAAATTAATTGAAAAGCTATGCCACATAGAGTTGAACTATTCTTTATAGAATCTCCAACAGTATGTGATACATACATGAGTGATTAAGGCCTATCATACTTTTCCAGCAACACCAGTTTTGTTTTGTTATGTTTTGTTCTGTTTTAGTTCCCTCCCAAGATAAGAGGGATGGGAATTTATCTGCCAGCTAGTTCATAGTTTTTACTCTGTATTCCACTTTGTCTGTGCGGGTCTAGCTGGTACTTATCATTATGCTTTTGTTTTGTTTATTGGTCATTCTTTGAACATATATTGTATTATTCCATCTGGATACTTAAGACATCTGTGTATTTGTGCTTAATTAATTAATTCAACAAATATGTATTGAGCCTTTCCTTTCTGGCAGCACTTTTCTAAGGACAGAAAATGTAACAATGAAAATCTTTCAATATTTCATGCCCTCACAGCACACATATTTATGAAGGAGACAGATAGTAAACGAATGGAAAAGTAAAACATACATTATGTTAAATAGTGATGGATCTTGTAAAGAAAACTAAGAAAGAGAATAGGTTTTGCTAAAGTTATTATTTTAAATACGTGTTCAGGAAGGCTTCTCTAACATGCTGTCATTTAAGCAGAAACCTGAAAAACATGAGGCAATAGGACATGGGTGTAAGAAGAAAGAGCATTTAAGGCTGAGGGAACACAAAGTGCAAAGACTCTGCCACAGGAACATCCTCACTGTATTATCAGTATTGTAAGGAAGTTTGGTTACAGAAGAGTGAGCCAGGGAGAGAATCATAGCAGTTAATGTCCATCAGATAGCCAGTGTCTTATTTATATAGGACATTGTATCTAATTGAATTTACCTTTACATTGCCATTATGTAAAAACTCTTTGGAGAATATTAAACAGTTTTACATGATTGCGCTTGCATTTCAAGAACACCAATATGATTGTAGAATTTAGAAGTTAAGTAGGGAGGCGATGGTAGCTTAAAACACACAAGTGGAAGCAATGGAAGTAGTGTGAAGTTGTTATAAAACAGACTTATTTCAAAAGCAGACTTATTTTTAAAGGTCAGTTGCAGAGTGTGAGAGGTAGGAAGAGACAAGAGAGACTTGAATATTTTTTGCCTAACTCAGTGCAAAAACCAAAACTCACTGAAAAGGAGACTAGAAGAGTAGGTCTGGATATAAAGAGAAGGAGTGTGGGATATAAAGAGAAGGAGAGTAGGTCTGGATATAAAGAGGAGTGAAAGCAGTTGGAGTATAGAGGAGAGGCACATCTGAAGACTTATATTTGGAAGCCTTCCATGTAGAAATGAGTGTTAAAGTCATGAGACCAGATATCATTATAAAACAGTAAATTGAATGTAGTTAGAAAAATACAATGTACAAAACTTGATCCCTAGGGAACTCCAGTATTTAAAGTTCTTGAAAATAAGAACTAGCAAAGGGCACTAAGGAGGAGTGATCAATAAAGTAGAAATAAAATAAAAGAAGTGGCATGTATCTTAGCAAATAAAAAATTACTCAGGTGATCAATTGTATTAATTGCTGCTGACCAAGTAAGATGAAGACAGAGAATAGACAATTATATTGAACAATGTTGAGATCATTGGCAACCATAATAAGAACAAGTTCAATGAAGATGTGGGTTAAGAGTCTGATTCAAATAGTGGCTGCAAGAATGGGAAGAGAGGAATAGGAAGCAGGACAGAAGAAGTGATGTAGTAGCTAAAGGAGTATTTGGTCCAAATAAAATAATTGAAGTGAGAAAAATTGCCCATATGTATTGTAGATTCACTAGATGGTTTCTTCAGTAAGTTAAAAGGGATGGTCTGTGTTGCAAATGTGAAAAAACTTTATGGAGAAGTAACAGGACAGAAGGAGGAAAATATCTGCATAGATGCAATGGGATAGCATAGCATGCCAAGGTCAACAGCTGAAAGTCAAGAGATATTTGAAAATACATGAAAAGGTATGAAACATTCATGTGAATTAGTTGACTAGGAAAATACAGAATTGTTGCTTAAAAATTATCAATAGGCTTCATCTCATTGTGGAAAAATCTTTTCTTTCAGAATGTCTCGTATATGAACTGAACTCATTCAGAGAAATCATAATGATATTAAAATAATAACTATTTATTGAGAGCTTCAAAATTGCTAAACAATGATATTACCCTTTTCACTTCTCAGCCTCACCATCTTAGTTAAGTATTATTTTAACCCAATGTTTTTTGTTTTTTTTTTTTAATTTGTTTTTTAGAGACAAGGTCTCACTATGTGAGGGAGGGATCCTCCCACCTAAGCCTCCCAAATAGGGAGCACTTAAGAAAGATTAGTTAAAGATACAATCTTCAACTTTTTTTGCCACTGTTAACTTTCATCACATCTTCCCTGCAGAAGCTCAAACCTGCTTCATTCCCACCCTCATTTTGCTATGAAGATTAAAGTTGAAGATTATATTGAAGGAAGTGAGGAAGTGATTTAACAATAAATTGTGGGATTTCAACTTGGAAGGGAAATGGTGATATAAACTGCATACTGAAAAGCAATGATGAAAATTTGGTATAATATGTGTATTTTTAGTACCAGGAAGTCAAATAACTTTTGGAGACAGGATAATAATAGGAGTGAACTGTAGAGATAGAAATTGCCAGTTGGAGAATGGAGTACTTGCAATGAAGATAGTGGAGTTGCACTTTGGGAGGCTGAGGTGGGCGGATCATGAGGTCAGGAGATCGAGACCATCCTGGCTAACACGGTGAAACCCCGTCTCTACTAAAAATACAAAAAATTAGCCGGTCATGGTGGTGGGCGCCTGTAGTCCCAGCTACTTGAGAGGCTGAGGCAGGATAATGGTGTGAACCCGGGAGGCGGAGATTGCAGTGAGCTGAGATCGCACCACTGTACTCCAGCCTGGGTGACAGAGTGAGACTCCCTCTCAAAAAAAAAAAAAAAAAAAAAAAAAAAAGAAAGTGAAGTTATGGGTTAAAACACATTGAGTGTGTCTAGTATGTGGTTGAGGCAGAGCAGAGATGAGAGCCATGGAGGAAGGGAAGTCAAGAGTACTGAGATGACATTTCTAAATGTGATAATCAAGACAATGAGGACAGCCTGACATATAATTTCTGTCTTTAATTGTAAGGTTTTTTTTTTTTTTTTTAAGGTATCATAATGGCACTATGGCCATTTGGACAGACTCCAAGTCTGTCGTATGGGCCTGAGTGACATTGTACATCTGCTTAATCTTTCTTTAACTAACTTTTCCATCTTTAAAGTTGGATTACAAGCCAGGCATGGTGGTATGTATGTGTAGTCCCACCTACTTGGGAGGCCTAAGTGGGAGGATCCCTTGAGCTCAGGAGTTTAAGACCAGCCTGGGCAACATACTGAGACCTTGTCTCTAAAAAAACAAATTTTAAAAAATTGTGTTAAAATAATACTTAACTGAGATGGTGAGGCTGAGAAGTGAAAAAGGTAATATTGTTTAGCAATTTTGAAGCTCTCAATAGTTACTATTTTAATATCATTATGATTTCTCTGAATGAGTTCAGTTCACATAGGAGACATTCTGAATGAAAAGATTTTTCCACAATGAGATGAAGCCTATTGATGATTTTTAAGTTTGCAAATTCAAAATTAGTCTAATCAACTTCAGTTTAAACAAGTAGAGATATCTTAACTTCAGAAACATTTCAATATCCTTTTCACTCACGAACGTTGAACAAATTAATACTCTAGGTTTATAACTTTCTTGCATATTCCATAGGCAATTCTGGAGAAAACTCAATAGCAAAAATGGGAAAAGTTGGGTTTAAGAGTAAAAAATATTTGTAGCCTGGGCAACATAAGGAGACTCCATCTCTACAAAAAAAAAAAAAAAAATTAAAATTAGCTGAGTGTGGCTGCACACAGGCTTGTGGTCCCAGTTACTCAGGAGGCGTAAGGTGGGAGAAGCTCTTGAGCCCAGGAGGTTGAGGTTGCAGTGAACCATGGTCATGCCACTGTAATCTCACCTGGGTAACAGGGTGAGACCCTGTCTTAAAAAAAGAGAAAAAAAAATGTTTGCTATAAGAGAAACCAAAAAAAAAAAAAAAAAAAACAAGAGTTTTCAATGGGAAGGACTATAAGACAAACTCAGGCAGCCAACTTATAAGGGCTTCTCTGATATTTTGGCAATAAAGAATGACTAACTGGAGTCACACAAAGTGCATTTCTGCATGGTTTTCTATATTACCTTTTATAATCATATATAAGAATCCCATGGTTAGTAAATATATTATGTATTCCCTAGCATAGACTTAATTTTTCAAAAATAAATATTCTGTTGTCTTCATAGAGATCAAAGTTTCTTCAGTTACACTAAAGGATTAGCACTAGATTTAAGATGTTTTAGTATCCTAAATCTCATATTATTAAACAAGGGCTTTTAGCTCCAAAAATCTCTTGGAGCAGTCAAATTTGGGTAAACAAGTATTTACATTTTTGTAAGTTCAAATATATATTACTTTGATAGATAAATTTTCAGCATGCAAGAAATTTTCTTCCAGGATATTTGCCTAGGGGGTCCCAGAATTTAAGGCCGTGATTGAAATCAAAACAATCTAGAGTTTACTGTTGCCCTTTCTGTTAATTGAAAAGGTTGAGTTCCCTAAAACTATATTTTATGTTCCCAAAGGGAAAGAATTGCAATAATGAGTTTCCCTCGTAGAGAATCCCAAGCCTCCAGCATATTTTATATGAAATCTCAAGACCATGGAAAGTGAGGATATGATTTATTTTAATTAATGTGAGCAGAAAAATGATGCAGGTGATTCCTAAGGCAAATGGTGTTCTAATCAAACTAGAATCATCATATTAAATCTAATACCTAGGAAACTGGAGATCATTCAACACAGTATGAAGAGCACTAACATAACTTTTGACAGTGTCTCCAGGTATCATTGAATAAAAGAGACAAATCAAGTTCTAGAATCCTTTGAGTGAAAAAACACAACCTGAGCTAAGATATTTAAGATATTTAAGTTTATAAACAAAGGTACATATCACAAAATTGGATTTATTTAAACACCTAAGGAAAGGAAAAAATATTGCGTTTATTATCCAAGGTAGTTGTTGTTTTTAATATATAAATATATATACCTCAATATATGGATTGGTAATTTGAAAACTTTTCATTCCTATTAACAAATAGATCAGGTGACACTATTGTTCTCATTCCTTGGAGACTAAAATGTATCTTCTTGCCTGGGTAGTATTTTTATTATGAAGATAAAATTCAAAGTTTAACTCAACACAGCGTTGGCTTCAATGAAGGGATAAATGTAATTTTCATAATAATAATATTATTTATATCATTATCACCATTATTAATAAGTAATCAGATAATCACCAAGCCTCCTCTTTCTCCCATATGATAATCATTATGTTTCACTGAGACCAATTTACAACTTTATAATTCTAAATTCTTTTTTTATATTACTTTGTTTTATTTTTTAATTATTTTAATCAAGGTAATTATTATATATATTTAAAAGTTACATAGTACTAAAAGGCATACAATATAAAGGAAGGATTCTTTGAAACTCCCAGCCTAACCAATAATTCTTTTCTCAGAAACAACAGCTGTCAACTACTCTAGATTTTTCTTCCAGTATTCAGCATGTATTTCTAAACAATTTGCTTATACATCTAACCCATCGTCACAATTTGGGATCATTACTGGATCCTTTTAATATTATGATGGATCATGTGTTATCTCAACCACATTACCAGTATCACTTATCCTCCCTCATCCATTAGTAGATTTATATCATAATATTTGGATAAGTCAGTGGCATCTATGTTTTATAATTAAAACATAGTTTTTCATTGCTGAACCAATTGTTGTACTATGAGTTAACAGTTCCCTCTTTTCTATGTACTTAAAATTATTAGTATATATTTTCATAAACTCCAAATCAATTTTCTCTGAGAATAATTGCCTTCTGTTCTTTTCCATTTTATATTCCAAATTGAAATAATTTATCATAAAGCTTGTTGCATAGGTTTTGTCCAATAACTTTCTGAGTTAGATATGTGAAAATAGATGAAAAAGAAAAACTGAAGCCTATTCTAATTTTCTGTTTTGGTCCAGGAATGTGTGTATGTGCAAAGGCCGCTATGGTAGCAAGGAATAAGTGTTGTGACCTCCCATAAATAGACATATTTTAGCTGTAATCTTAGGGTCTTTAAAACTGACTCTTGCCTATGTAACGAGTCTGACAGGTACAGGTTGTAACTTGTTTATCAGATATAGAACAAGACAGGATAAAATCAATAATTCTTCCATCAGATCCTAAGATGCCTTACAGAATTATTAACTTTTTTCTCCTACCCACTCAACCACATATTTGTTTTACCTTCTTATATAACATTACTAAACACCAACCAAAATCACAAGAATGTGGCTGTGACTTCACTGCCTCTCTTCTGTGCTGCACGTAACTCTCTGTTTGGAAAGAAAATGCATAAAAACTGTGCTTCATGTACTTGACTTTGGACATCAGGTTACAGGCTAATGTAATCCTTGCTTCTTAGGTACACACCCTCAAACTCCAATTTAATAAGCCTGAATGGATTAAGATTCCTGTCTCAGTATTTCATTTGAGTTGACAGATCAACTTTGTAAAATCATGAGCTTTGGCCCTCATTTTGCTGAAGCTTATTTCTCAATTGTTTTCTTAAAAGGATTTTTGAAGTAGATATATTTTGAGACTTTGCATGTCTTAAGATAAATTTATTTTACTGTCATCCTCAATTGACAATTTGTCTGAGTATTGTATACTTGTTCTTAGCATACAACATTAATGGAGAGAAATCTGACACCAAAAAGAAATCTGAACTTTTGGAAGATTTCTTCTTCAAAATTTTAGACTTCTTTAAAATTCTGTTTTGTAATTTGGAATTTCATGATGATGTGCTCCAGTATGTTTTTATTTTAGTGTGCAGAAATATTTTTAGAATTTTTTAGTCATTTAAGTTTTCTGTTTTTAGAAGTTATTTGTTGGATGTTGGACCTTCTGAATTGATCCACTCTATTATGCAACTATACCTTTTTCTTCTTTTTTATTGTAAATCATTAATTTGTTTTTCAATAGCAAAACTAAATGCACAGATGTCTGCAAAAAACTAAGTGATAAAAGTAGAACATGGAACTGAGAAACAGGGCATCTGGTAGATCCGAGAATAGGAGATTCCTAAATATCCAATAGTACTTCATCAGGAAATACAAAGGGCCAATTTGAAAACTGCAGTGGAAACTAGGATATGTATTTGCAGACCATAATGCACTCATGAGTGCAACAGATTTGCCATAATGTCTCAGGAAGCTGAATCTGATCATGCCCTGTGAACTGTCAAAGCTAACAAATCAAACTATCTCTCTGATACAAAGACATTCTAAATATCTAGAAGCCCACACTGAGTGGGACAAGGGCAATAGGAGCAAAGGAAAAGAAAGATCTAGATAGAAGTAGAGGAAGGGCAGGAGTAAATGTTACCTCAGAAAGTATAATTCTGTATTATTTTTGCCACTTTGCCAGGATACTAGAAAAAAGTACCTTTAGACTAAGAAGCTTGAAAAAAAATATTGATTTACCCTTACCATTAAAGCTTTAAATTCATGGAAAAACTTAAAAGTTATATATATATATATATTTCAACCATATATATTTATAATTCAATCATATGTATACTGCAACCATGTATATATATATATATATATGCACACAGCACATGTATATTCAAACACATTTATATATTATATATATTTTATTATGTATATTTAATAATATATAATATTTCATTATATATGAATATATAAGGTCCCTGAGACCTTATGGCAGACCTGTTGTACTCATTATATATATAATATTTTATTATATATTTTACTATATATATAATGAAATATTGTTTTAATTTTACAAAGAAGGAAAAATGGACATGGTACCTATAATCCCAGCACTTTGGGAGGCTGAGGTAGGAGGATTTCTTGGAGCTGTCAGTTCATGACCAGCCTGGGCAACATAGGAAGATGCTGCAGTCTCAAAAAAAAACCCACAAAAAAAAAAGGAAGAAAGAAGGGAAAGGATGAGATGGAAGGAGGGAAGGGGAGGAAGGAAGGTGAGGAAGGAAGGGGAGGAAGGAAGGAAGGAAGGAAGGAAGGAAGGAAGGAAGGAAGGAAGGACGGAAGGAAGGAAGGAAGGAAGGAAGGAAGGAAGGAAAAAAGGAAAGGAAAGGAAAAAGGAAAGGGAAAGGGAAGGGAAAGGAAGAAAATCTTGTAATATGTGACAACATGGATGAATCTTGATGACATTATGCTAAGTAAAATAAGCCAGTCTCAAACTCATAGAAGTGGAATGCAAAGCTGCCATGGGAGGAGGCAGGGGGATGGAAAAATAAGTTACTAATGAACAAGTATGAAGTTTCAGTAATGCAACATGAGTAAATTCTAGAAATCTGCTGTACAACATTGCGCCTATAGTTAGCAGTATTGTATTAGGCACTTGAACATTTTTAAAAATGGTGGATCTCATGTTGAGTTCATACCAAAATACAAAAAAGTAAAATTAAAATGTAAAAAGTTTGATGATATTTACTACTTAAATATTTTAAATAATTTATGATGTAATATATTTTTATGATAAAGTTTTTATTTACATTTTAATTTTTTAAATAAATATAAGATGACTCACAGTTTTTATTCCTTTATTGTATTTTTCAGTTATATTTTTTCAAGAAGTATATCCATTCATACAAATTTTTGAATTTATTTTTTAGACTTGAACATAATATTTTTGTTACTTTAAATATTCCTAGGCTCTGTAGGGATAATCTCCTTTTCCATTCCAGTATTGGCAGTATGTATTTTCCCTTTTATTCTTGATAAGACTTCCTAGAGTTCTAATAATTTTACTCAAATTTTGAAAGAACTTAAATTTTCATTTGTTAATCTTCAGACACTTTTCTTCTTATTGATTACTTGTTTTCTCTTAATTAGTTCTTTTCTTGCATTTGTGCTTAATTTATGACTTTTTCTAGAATATTAAAAAGAACACTTTAATTAATTTTTGATTTTGCCTTTCTTCTTTTCTATAGTTTTCTGTAAATTGTCCTCTATGCATGGTTCTAGCTCCTTCACAAGTCTTATTTGTCATATTTTTATTTTTCAATTAGAAACAATTTCAAATATCCAGTGTTATTTCTTCTTTAACCCATGGGTTATTCAAAAGTTGCTTGCTTGCTTTTTAATGGATTTTTTATTTAACTGTCAATTATTAAATTCTAGCTTAATTCTATCTTTAAAGAACATATTTCTATAGTTTTAGTCTATCTTTACATATCTGTTGAAAATGTGCCTATGTAAATTATTCTTTGTACAGTCTCTACTTTGGAAGTGTAGAGTTTCTTGATCTGTGACTTGATGTCATTGTTTTAAAAAATTTTCCAGCAGTACTTTTTCAGAATTTGCTTTCCTGCCATTTTTTGTCTTCTTTATTTTGAGACTCCAATTCTATGTATGTTTGAAGACTTGAGTATATTGCACGTCTGTTTATGTTCTATTCTTGCTTCATTTTATCAGTCATTTGAGTTTTTTATATTGTCTTCAAATACATTAGTTAGATCTTTGTCTTATCTTTAAGGTATCATGTGAAATCTTAATTTGGGTTATTGTATTATCTATTTATAGCTGTTCTCATTGACTCTTTTAAAAATAGATTCCAGTTCTATAGTGATCTTTTCTCTGTTTTCTGGAATATATAAATCACAGTATGGTTAATATCTTTCTTACAATTTTAATATCTGGATTATTATTCTGTTCTCTGTTTTTCCTATTCTTTTTCAGTCATTTGCTATTTTTTCTTCAAATGACATTATTTTTAACTGAATGTAAGATATTGTATATGTCAATTTGGGAAGACTGAGTGATGTTATCTTCCTCTGAAGACATTTAAGTTTTGGTATTGTTGGTGTTTGTGTATTTTGTTTCTCTGGCCAGCTGATACAAGTACTGGCAAATAAGGCCAATTAATAGTGGAAGATGGCTTTTAGGTTTGGGAGTCCTTTTCCCTATCTGATGATCCATATTCCCAGTGTATAGTTTTCCTCCTAGTGTACACATATTTTCGGGTCTTATCTGAACATTGTGGGTATTTGTCATCACCCTCTTAACCCTCTTAACTTGCTAGTCCCTGAAATGAAGTCTTTCCTTCTTTGCACTGAAAAACTGCTGAAATCTTAACTTTTTATTCTCTGTTATCGACTGAATTTGGTTCCCCCAAAATCATATGTTGAATCCCTAGCCCTTAATACTTTAGAATGTGAATAAGGAGATGGGGGTTTTTTAAGAAGTAATTAAGGTTAGATGAGCGCATAAGTCTGGGGCCACAATTTACTATGACTGGTTTCCTTACAAGTAGAAGAAGAGGCACCAAGAGGAAAGGTCCTGTAAGGAAGCAGTGAGAAAGCAGCCCTCTGCAACCCAAGGAGAGAGGCGTCAGTAGAAACCAAGCCTGAGGACACCTTAATCTTGGACTTCGAACCTCCAAAATGGTGAGTAAATAAATTTCTGTTGTTTAAGCCATCTAATCTGTGGTATTTTCTTATGGCAGCTTTAGAAAACAAATATAGCCTCTAATTTTCTTGTATTTCATTAATTTTTAGAAGTTTCACCTTTCTTATGCTCCGCTTTCAAATAGTAAATTGCTGATGGTGGGGGTAGGGGGGAAATTATATGCAAAATTTTGATGTAATTGGCTTGGTATCTTGGTCCAATATTTGGCGAATTATTGGTCAGATATTGGCAAATAATCTGAGAAAAAAAAAGATGTATGTGAATGTAGTGCTCACCCAACGGTCATCTTTTTTATCTTTAGAGATTTTTCTCCTCAAATTATATTGTGAGTTTGTAGCTCTGCTATGTCTGCAAACAGTTGTCTTGTATGTATATATGAAAACCGTAAAACTTTATGGAGATAATTTTAAGTCAAATATACAAATATAAGAACAGCTTGCATTTTTTTCCACTGTCTTCACTTAAACCTATGATTGCCCTTCGCCTGCTTTCAGCACTTAAGCAAGGCTCTAAATTTGATAGATCTCACCCTTGACATAAGGATCATCTCCCCATTTACCTCCAGTTTTTGCCTGAGACACTTCCTGAATATCAGCTTCCAAGCCAGGACCTTGACTCTTGGGTGCCGCCTCATCTCTCTCCTGACCAGGCATAACATCCTTACTTTCAGTCAGTGGCTCCTCTTTTTGAGGCTGTTCATCACTGGGCTGCTGGACAACCACAGGCCCAACTGGCTTAGAAGTTTCTTGTACATTTTGTCTTCCTCTAGCCTAAATGTTAATCTTCTTCCCCCACTCATATTTCACACAGCTGTTTCAGCGAGAAAGAATGAAGATGGAAGGGACACAAGAGCCTGTAGCACTTGCTTTATATTTTTTATGACTTTTACTTTTCTTGGGAGGGCTTCTGTGATACCAATTTTTGACCAGAAATGGAAATCGTTAGCTACTCTTGTAAAAGTATTGATTATTGAAATGTCAATAACTTTTACTTCCCTTTCAAAATTTATCTCACAAAGATCAGTGCTAGTGATGTTGATTCCTTTCTGCATTGCACAGCTTCTTTACTGACCTGCCGGCTTCAATCCACTGTTTTTAGATCCATGTAAATAGCATCTCAAAAAATCCAATCCGATAGTTAAAAAAGATTATTTAATTTCTCCAATTAATAACAGCTCACACATCAATTAATAATAACAGCTCATATGTCCTCCATGTTTCCACATTTTTGTTGTACTTTATTATTATCATTATTGAGACGGAGTCTCGCTCTGTCACCCAGGCTAAAATGTGCAGTGGTGCGATCTCGGCTCACTGCCACCTCTGCCTCCCGGGTTCAAGCAATTTTCCTGCCTTAGCCTCCAGAGTTGCTGGGATTACAGGCACACGCCACCGCGTGCAGCTAATTTTTGTATTTTTAGTAGAGACTGGGTTTCGCCATGTTGGGCAGGCTGGTGTTGCACTTTAAACAATTCTGGAGGTTGTGTTCTTCGGTTTCAGGTGACTTGAGCTCTCTCCAGGATGACTGAGGTTGTCTGCAGTGACAGCTTTCAAAGAAGGTCCGTAGAAAATCACTCATGACACTATCAGCAACCTTAAGCAGCTGTCAGTGGCCCAAACTGGGACACATTAACAGATTGTTCTGAAGTAATGGTACATGATTTTTATGGATGATGTGTCTCTCTGGATGACTACTAAATCCATGATGGGATGAACCTGGAGCTTTATTATTAATTGAACAGAATTCCTTCCTCATGTCTTGTCCTCCCATCCTCTCTTCACCTTCCCATACTGGTATGGATGCTTGTCTTTTAAAACTTTAAATTTTAATTTTAAAACATTATTTTAAAAGTAATACAAACTTAAGTGCTGAAAAAAATTACTATTTTTTTCAAATGAAACTTGTTTACTCAATATACCATTGAAAAGTACATTAAATTAAAAATGGGCAACATGATCTTTCCTTTGAAGATTAGATCAAAGGATTTATTAGGAAACATCAAAGGAAGATTATTTAGTAATATTGGATTTCAGTTTTTAGTGCTATCTCTAATCTTCACTAGTTTATTTATAATCGACTATAAACTTGAAAAAAATGAGGTGTTTATTGTTCCTATGCACAACTTGTAATATAAATTCATGAATTAGTTTCTAAAAGCAGAGGTAGATTTTAAGTAGAGAACATATAGTTAATAATCTTTCACTGTATTGTTATGTGGATTCATTAAATATCAGGCACAAATGTAGGCCAGTGAAAAACTAAGCTCTCATACACATAGTATAGAATAAAAATCTAAGTTGATTTTAGTGGAATTAATTTATATGAATTCAAGACAATATTTAATTTTAGTAAATTAGTTAAACAGAATATAATAGAGATAAAATTCTGTAATAACATTTGATAAATAGGCAAAAACCATTTATCATGACCTAATTTTTACCTTTAAATCTGATAATTTTCTTAATAAGTTCAACTGAAGATCTAGCATAAAAAAATCTGTAAGAGTTCTCTAGGGTTATAGTGGTAAAATTCATGCAAATGTACTATAGAATGCATACAAAAATTTTCATTTTTAGAATTATCATTTCCCATTTGAACTCCCCTAAGATCTTAATTCTTTACAAATAAGGTATGCAAATATGCATAATGCCAGTTTCACAAATCCTTTTCTTTATAGCATGGAACACATCTGGAATGCACTTATTTGAAATAATCAATGATTTTTTTAAATACTATTTTGGTGGCCAGTTTAATAGTTATAGTGAAAAAAAACTTCATTAAAACATTTTATAAAAAGATGATTGTCATGCTTTCTTTTTAATTTGAAAATGCTTTGTTAAAAGATATTGTAGCCTGCTTTATTCTTTCATGAAATAGTGGAACAGTGAGTGAGTGATAGAGGGGTTCAGATCAGAAGAACATAGAAATATTCCCATGGGTTACATAGCCAATTTTATCCCAGAAGAAAATGACAGTATACACTATAAATCATTCTCCATTAATTATCAGAGCTTTTTAGTTGAAAAAGCTGAAAAGATTTACTTGATATTTAAGCATGTATCTGATTGCAGAAAACAGATTCTGAGTTGATTCTCTTTGTTACTATGACATTGAGTGTAAGATCAATATACTTATACTTCACTGATTTCTCTTTTTCTTATTTTCTACAATTTAGGAAACTTTACTATCAGTATGGAAAGACACACAAGTCATAAATGAAAAAAAAGCCAATTAAGATTCATGCTCTCAAAGCTATGAAAATAAACCCACACTTTCAAATCTGGTATGTTTCCAGAAAGGATGCAGATTTAAAAAGCAGGTGATTATAGAAGCATATACAACTTTTTGATTATAACTAGTACATTCTGTCATTTTATTTAAAATAAATGGTGACATGATAAATATAGGCTTTTAATATATTTGGTACAGTTAGAAAACACAAAATTTATGACATGAATTTTTGAGTATATACAAGTATTCGGTCTGTAATAGAGTATGATTAAACTGAAAATTTCTAAAAAGTTTTGGTTATAAACGTTCTGAATATACAAATTAGCCCAGTTCTCAAGTAAGTTAAGAAGTTGAGAAAAACCTAAAAGTCCTTTAGAATTTTTAAAAATTTATCCCCCATACCATGTGTTCTTTCTGTGTCTTTGTGATTAATGGTGTAATTCCTTGGTGCATTTGAAGGTGGCAGTTTACAACTCAGGTACTTACTAAATATATGAACACTACACTAGGAAGTTACTTTACCTTCTTATGCCTTCTTTTCTTCATACTGTTACAGGACCAACAGGTTCGTAAGCCCACTACACAGTAAAAGATCAGTACACTGAAACAGCAGGGTTTGCAGCAGAGAAAATGTTTAATAACTGCAGGGCAGCCAAGTGAGGAGACAGGAAGAGGCCCTCAAATCCATCTCCTCCAGGAGTTCAGGGCTGGAGTTCATAAGTGTATTATGGTGGGTAAAGGATTGCAAAAGTGGGGCCATAGATTGGTCAAGATAAGGGAGATGAAGTCATCAGGCTGTGAAAACTGCATTCTTTGGAGGGTCAGCTCCTCATGGGGTCCATTAGACTAGCTGGTGTTGGTAGTTTCACTACTTTGCAGCAACTGAAAGAATATCACAAAGGGAAAACTTAATGTTTCACAATGCTTAAGTTGTTATCTATAGAGCAGTTGAGCAGAGCTATAATCTTGTGACAGGGTTTACATGTTTCTGGGGCAATAAGCAAAAAAATATGAGGAAGCGGGTCAGAGAGCAAGCTGACCTAATGATTAATGCCAAGTGTGCTGTAAGCTTGGTTTATTTTCATTTCTCCCCCTCCCTTCTTTCCTGACTCATTTTATAGAGATGGTTTCAATACCAAAAATAAGGACAATAATATTTATTTAATAAGGATGTTATGAGAATAAAAGGACATAAGTGAGAGCACAGAACAATTTCTCATATTTAGTACATACTGAAGAATTACGAGGTACTATAGTGACTATTACTAGGTAGCAGCTATTACTTTCCCATTCCCGATTCAATTAATATTGGTTATACCATGTTACTTCTTCAGTTTGAGCAACAAATATAAGGGCATTATCATTAAAAAGGCACCCCAATATATTTACCTTTACCAAAAAATGCTGAGAAAGAGTCCTAGGCATTCTTTTTCAAATGTCTTTTTAAGTGATACTGTCTGATTATATCCATGGATCTCATCCTGAGATGGTTTTTTTACTTAGGAGAGTTTTCATGAAACATAAAATTTTATTGTGGATACCCGAACTGTGGCAAAACAAAATTCTAACTTTATGGACAATATGGAGTATTAGAGGATGATTACTTACAGAACTAACTCAGTAGAGTTCTTAAAGATAGAAGACAGAAAAGGAAATGGATACAGAAACTATTTTTTTCCTATTTCATAATTAAATTTCTTTTTTCACAATTTCCTTTTAAAAAATTAAATTAATATTTTTAATGACATCCAAATTAATAAGATGCTTACTTGGCTTATACAGTTCTTGAAACTGAATAAAATTAACTAAAAATGTAATTAGAACAAGTAGTAAGAGGATTTAACACACAAAAAAATTAACTCCTCTTACCTAAGAATTAGAAGTAAATTTGAAGATTGCAGAGTTCTATCTTCTTACTGTAATGATGAGAATACTGAGGTTCTCCATGACAGGTTGTATAATTAGTCTTTGGTAGAGATAGTAACAAACTTGTTACCAAACTATCAGTGAAGGTTTCCTTTTGCTACACCATTCCTGGAAAACTTTGTAAACAAAGACAAACTTTATCTTCAGTTGATAATTCACATAGTTACAATTTAGTTGGGTGCTCTGAATTATGTCATTATTATTATTATTATTATTATTATTATTATTATTATTATTATTATTATTTGAGATGGAGTCTCACTCTGTCACCCAGGCTGGAGCGCAGTGGCACAATCTTGGCTCATTGTAACATCAGCCTCCTGGGTTCAAGCCATTTTCTTGTCTCAGCCTCCTGAATAGCTGGGATTACAGGCACCCACCACCACATCCAGCTAATTGAATTATAGAAATCTTATTGGCTACTAATGGGGAATAGGTTTTCTTGAAGAGTCAATCAGAAATAAAGGGATATTTTATTTTAGCTAGAAAGAGATGATAATTTTTTTTTCTGAAAGTTTTGGTATTTCTTTATTTCAACCATTTTCTAACTTTAATAAGGTAGTTACCGTGGAGATAAATAAATTAAGCCATCTAAAATACCAGCGTTCATCTGTTAAACGTCTATCTTTTGCTGATTAAGTGAATTGTTTGATACTCAACTTGGATTTTATATTGTAGACTTAAAATAATCATTGATTTCTGAAAAGTTAAAAATAATTGGATTACTTAGGTGTTTTTGAAATGATTCTCTTAATGACATTAAGTCTCTCACTATACTTAGTTATAAAAGAAATACATCCTCTGACTGTAATAACTATTTCTAATATTTATATAACAATAATGACGTTATTAATTACCCTATTTTAAATAATTTTAAATTATATTGAGGAAAATTATGCCTTATTTCAATTTATGGGCTAATAGAAAATATTATAATTAAGATTTATAGTATTTTATAACAAGTGGTATCATTTATTTCATGTTGTTAGAAAAATAATGTATTTTTCCTTTTTAAAAATTAAATTAATATTTTTTATTATGTGACAAAGCCTAAGGAATTCCTGAGAGCATGTGACTGCATTGTTCCTCTCACATATATTTAGTATTACCAAAAAGTGTATTTCCAAAGCTATTCATAAGTTTTAAATAAAATAACTGGCCCAAGTTTGCCTATTCTTGATAATGTATGCTTAGTTTATCATTTTTTATTTTACTTTAGCAAACTTTAAAGAATAATTGTAGCTACACATACATTGAGTTGCAAATAACACCCTTTTTAGCACTTACAGGAAGAAACAATCATACAGTCATAAACTGTCTAAGCCGAATAGTTACAACTTAATTGTATTCTGTAATATTATATAGTAAGACTGAAAAATGTAGTTATCTTTATAAAAATTGTACAAGTGCCTAGATACATATAGTTGCATAGCATTATCTGTAACACATCCAATTTCATGTATTTTATATATTAAATTTTAATATTAATTTAAATATGTAATATATACTGTATAACATGTAATATTTATATAAATATATTTATATTACATTTCAAATAACAATATATAATATTATAAATAAATATATGTTACAACATATATTGAAATTATGCATGTAGTTTTATCACTACCCTCATGCCACTACCTTGGTCTGTGCCACTATCATTTCTCCACTGGTCGTTATCTGGACACCTGCAATATCCTTCTAACTGGTCTCCAGTTTTTCACTCCTATCACTGCCACTGCCAATAGCTCCAACATGCAAGTCAGTTAATTCTCTGTTCATCTGTTCATGGAAACTTCCATCACATTTACATTAAAAGTCAAAGTTGGCTGGGCACGGTGGCTCACGCCTGTAATCCTAGCACTTTGGGAAGCTGAGGCAGGCAGATCACCTGAGGTCAGGAATTCAAGTCCAGTCTGCCCAACATGGTGAAACCCTGTCTCTACTAAAAATACAAAAAATTAGCCAGGCATGGTGGAGGCCACCTGTAATCCTAGCTACTCAGGAGCCTGAGGCAGGAGAATCGCCTGAACCCGGGAGGCAGAGGTTGCAGTGAGCCGAGATGGTGCCACTGCACTCCAGCCTGGGCAACACGAGCAAAACTCCATCTCAAAAAAAAAGAAAAAAAGCCAAAATCTTTACCCTTGTTCTACAATTCCACTTGCCCTGCCTGTGACTACATCTAAAGTTATCTGCACCCACTGGCTTCCTTTTAAAGAAGCAGTTTGGTCTCTCAGGCTTCTGTGTTATTATTCAACCAGTAAAAAATATTTTATCTTCTTGGCTTTGCTCTTGCTATAAACTCTGCCTAAAATACTCTCTTATAAAGCCTCTGCTCAAATATCACTTCGCTAGTGTTCTTTTCCTTGATCACCCACTAGGAGCACCCACCCAGCTCCATACCTTTAATCTGCTTTACCATGAAACCACTCGTATTTAATACATTAATGTCTATACTTATACCTATTACTGTTTGTTTAACTTACTGATATTTATATACATATATTCACATGTATATATTAGGTTGGGGCAGAAGCAATTTAAATTATTTCCATTATTTTTAATGGCAAAGCTGCAATTACTTTTCCACCAACCTATAATTATATATTTATATATTTTATGTATATATATTCATATGTACTTGTTTTTTTTTTCTATATAACTGGTGCTTAGCATGGTAAAGTAAGCACAGTGATGGACATGATGTAGGCTCTCAATAAATCCATACGTATGTAGTGCATAGAAAATGGCCATGGAGTTAGTTGGCACTCAAAAATTTTTAAGGCATGAATAATTAGATACTAGACAGTATTTTAGGTAGAGATTAAAAAATTATTAGAGCATTATTAGGACATTCAAAGGCCTCAGGCTTCTTAGCACAAAGCCAATATACAATAAGAGAAATACATATGGTGAATTAGGAGCAAAGAGAAGGGTACCTTTTTACAAGACCAAGTGTAATCAGACACAGGTTCAACTGCTCACTGTACATAAGTCAGGCAAGAGAGGGGAGGGTTGGTGATCAGGTTTTGATCAGAGAGCCAACAAACCAAGAAGATGGTGAATTATTGTTCTAAAATACTGTCTTAAAATTTAAAATTTACTATAGGGTTTTTAAAGGGAAACTTGGTATTAGAGACATGTGTGAGTGGTGCAGGGTCTGGGTCTTTGTTCTGATGGCTATCTTGAGTAATTGCCAGTACAGAAGTCTGGTTGTTGTTATGGTGACTTCTGCCAGTGGTGGTGGACTATTTATTTATGACTCCCCATAAGTGAGAGGATTCTGGAGGGGTTCAACGCCGGGTTTATTTCAAGACAAGCCTCGGGAATTTCTTAAGCAAGAGCATAAGTGATATGGATTGGCTCTGTGTCCCCACCCAAATCTCATTTTGAATTGTAATTCCCAATGTTGAGAGAGGGATTTAGTGGAAGGTGATTGGATCATGGGGGTAGATATCCCCCATGCTGTTCTCATGATAGTCAGTGAGTTGGTTGTTTAAAAGTGTGTAGCACTTCCCCCTTTGCTCTCTTCCTCCTTCTCTGGCCATATGAAGATGTGTGTTGCTTCCCCCTGGCCTTCTGCCATGATTATAATTTTCCTGAGGCCTCCTCAGCCATGCAGAACTCTGAGTCAATTAAAACTCTTTTCTTCATGAATTACCCAGTCTCAGAAATGTCTTTATGGCAGTGTGAGAATGGACTAGTACAGAAAATTAGTACTGAGAGAGGGGCATTTCTATCATGATGCTGGAAAATGTGGAAGCAACTTTGAAACTGGGTAACAGGCAGAGGTTAGAACAATCTGGAGGGCTCATAAGACAGGAAGATGAGGGAAAGGTTGGGACTCCCTGTAGACTTGTTGAATGGTTTTGAACAAAATGCTGATAGTGATATGGATGATGAAGTACAGGCTGAGGAGGTCTCAGATGAAGATGAGAAAATTATGGGGGACTGGAGTAAAGGTCACTCTTGCTATGCTTTAGCAAAGAGACTGGTGGCATTGTGCCCCTGCTGTAGGGATCTGTGAAACTTTGAACTTGAGAGAGATGATTTTGGGTATCTGGCAGAATAAATTTCTAAGTAACAAAGAGATCAAGATGTAGACTGAATGCTTTTAAAAGCCTACACTTATTTCCAAAAACAAAGAAATGAGCTGAAACTGGAACTTATATTTAAGAGGGAAGCAGAGAATACAAGTTTGGAAAATTTGCAGTCTAGCTATGTGGTAGAAAAGAAAAACTTATTTTCTGAGGAGGAATTCAAGAAGGCTGCAGAAATTTTCATAAGTAAAGAGGAGTTGAATATTAATAACCAAGACAATGGGGAAAATGCCACCAAATATTTTAGAGACCTTCATGACAGCCCCTCCCATCATAGGCCTGGAGGCCTAGAATAAAAATATGGTTTCATGAGCCAGGCCCAGGGCTCCACTGCTCTGTGCAGCCTTGAAACACGACACCCTGCATCATGGTCACTCTAGCTCCAGCCATGGCTAAAAGCGGCCAAGGTACAGCTCAGGCCCTTGCTTCAGAGGGTGCAAGCCACAAGCATTTGTGGCTTCCACATGGTGTTAGGCCTGTGGGTATGCAGAAAGCAAGAGCTGAGGTTTGGGAGCCTCCACCCAGATTTCAGAGGATGTATGGAAATACCTGTATGTCCAGGTAGATGTCTGCTGCACAGGCAGAGCCCTCATGAAGAATGTCTACTAGAGCATTGTGAAGGGGAAATGTGGGGTGAGAGCCCCCATGCAGATCCCCCACTGGGGCATTGCCTAGGGGAGCTGTGAGAAGAGGGCTACCATCCTCCAGATCTCAGAATGGTAGATCCACCAACATCTTACATCATGCACCTGGAAAAGCTGAAGGCACTCAATGTCAGCCCATGAAAGCAGCCATGGTGACCTTGTAGAGCCACAGGGGCAGAGCTGCCCAAGGCCTTGGGAGCCCACCCCATGCATCAGCATGCCCTGGATATGAGACATGGGGTCAAAGGGGACTAGTTGGGAGTTTTAAGATTTAATGGCTGCACTGCTGGGTTTTAGACTTTCATGGGGACTGTAGCCTCTTTGTTTTGGCCAATTTCTTCCTTTTGGAATGGAGCATTTACCCAATCCTGGACCCGCACTGTATCTTGGAAGTAACTAACTTGTTTTTATTATTATTATTATTTTACAGGCTTGTAGGCATCTGGAACTTGCCTTGTCTCAGATGAGATTGCAGACTTGGACTTTTGAATTAAGGCTGGAATTAGTTAAGGCTGGCGGGGCAGTGGACTCTTGGGAAGGCACGATTGTGTTTTGAAACATGAGAAGGTCATGAGATTTTGGAGGATTCAGGGGAGGAGTGATATGGTTAGACTTTGTGTCCCCACTCAAATCTCATCTCAAATTGTAATCCCCATGGGTTGAGGGAGGGGTTGATGGGAAGTAACTGGATCATGGGGGCAGGTATCCCCCTTCCTGTTCTCATGATAGTGAATTCTCATGAGATCTGGTTGTTTAAAAGTGTGCAGCACTTCCTCCTTTGCTGTTTCCTCCTTCTCTGGCCATGTGAAGACATGTCTTGCTTCCTCTTCGCCTTCTGCCATAATTGTAAGTTACCTGTACCCAGCCATGCAGAACTATGAGTTGATTAAACTCCTTTTCTTTATAAATTACCCAGTCTCAGATTTGTCTTTATAGAAGTGTGAAAATGGACTACTACAATAAGTAAATAAGAATGCAATTGCCAGAGGGGAGTGTCTCGACAACGAAGGATAAAAGAAGTGAGAGGCAAGGGAAGGAAGAAAATAGTAGATGACTTCTAAAACCAAGATCCCCAGTTACAAAAAGAATTAGAGATTGGAAAAAATATAGGAAGACTCAAAATTTGGAGATATGAACCATCAAAGATTTCAAGTTGATAAGGCAAAAAAGGCATTTCAAACACTGAAAATAACCTTTGCAAAATCAAGAATCTGTGAGAACACATACACCTTGCTACGTCAAAATTGACGTACTATCTTAAGCATTATTAAAGTTGATGTCAAAATGTATGTCTAAAGAAAAAGAAAGCGTGCACATACAAATGCATCTGGTAATTCTCAATTATAGCATCTTGCTCAGCACTGGAGGCTGATAAAATACAGTATTTTATCCTTTAGATGTAAAAAACCCAACCAACTATACAAACCAAAGAGCTTGGTATTAAAGTTTCTGTTTTATACAAGTCCTCTGGCAAGCAGTGTGAAGCAGAGATGTGACAGGCAAAATATCAGAAGTAAGGGCCAGGTAGGTAGATCACAGTTGTGACAAGATGCTCTAAGTGTTTAAATAAGACATGCAGTATTTGAAGAGGGGCTAAATTTGAGAGATATTTAATGGTAAATAAATAGATGGTTCCTGATTAAATTTGTACGATATGTTAAAGCATTACATGACTTTACTTAAAGCCTGATGATCTATATTTTCCAATTCATTGTCTCATTTATTTTAATTTCTCTTTCCAAAAAATAACATTATTTAATTTAGTAGCTTTTCAGCTATTAAAGTTTGTTTCCATACACACAAAATGTCTAAGCAGGCAGATGTATTATTATGGTAGTTTTCACTCTGCATTTTCCACTTTAACCAAAGTTATTCTTAGGGATTTAAAAACAATTTTCATTTGATCAGTTTATTTTTAAAAATCAGATTTCTTCTTTATTTGTTATATATCATAATTTGCCAATATATCTTTATGTACTCCTACTTTCTTCAGATGTTACATGCAGAATTCAAGAAAAAAAGCATGTGCTTAATAGAACTTTAAAATATATATTTATTAAGTGCCAGCAAAGAATTAGCATAAGTTTTGATCAAACTTCAAGCTGCTTTTTTTTTCTTTGATGTCTTTGCTCTTCTTAATTTAATCTCATGGATTTTCCTCAATGACAGCTAGAGCGGGTTATGAAAGGAGCCAGATATAGATTAAGAAGAAATGATGCTCCTGGATGAAATTTGACTTATTCCCTTTGCATTGGTTTCCTAATCATCATCCTTTTTCATGTAATATTTATGATATTCTGTATATATAGTATGATAAATGGTATAGAAAGACATTATGATACTTATAATAAATAGTATAGAAATACATCATTTCTTTAATAAAATATTTTTAGAAGGATACTTAAAGACGTTTTATTGGCTTTGTATATAACATTAAGAATTTACTTCACCCAGAATTTACTTCACAGGTAATTGTTCAATTAACCTCTATGTTTCATAATATTGTCAAGAGAAATTTAAGTACTCTCTCAGGTAATACAAAGCTTAAGTAATGTACCTTACTATTTAAATAATTTGAAGTAAAATATTTGTTTTCGTTTTTGTTCTTTATTCTTCAGTCATGTTTGAGAAGGAGTGCCAAATAATGAACCAAAGTGAAAAAATGCGTGATTGAGATAATATAAATTTGACAGATTGATTGAGAAGTAATGTAATTGAGCAGTTAGAAAATATGAAGTCTTTTAAGACAAAATTTTTATAATTTAGACAACTTGAATATGAATGAAATTGACAAGCAGGTTCTTTTGTTAGTATCTTCTTTGATGCTAAGAATAAAACACTTTGCAAAGGCAGGTACTGATTGACCTTACTAACTACAAACTAATAATGCAATATTTTATTTGAAAAGCTGAAATGAATCCAAGGGATCTGTTTACTTTGTGAACAGCATATTAAACATGTGCATTTCAACCCTTTTTACCAATAAAATAAAATGCCTTTTTGTCATCTCACATCTCGTTATATCTCCAAATGACTTGACATTTAACAGCGTAAAATGCAGTGCTTACCAATAAATATTAAGCAGCTATCAAAAAAATTTAGATCAAATTTTTATATTCCCTATTTTAAAAGAAAAAAATGTTAATAGCACTATATCAGTGATCTCATTTATTTTAGGAAATAAAGGTTCATTTGGGCATTTAGTATTTATAAAACATGTTTACATTTTCATCCGGAATCATTTCTTCTACCTGCTTGTTGACCAGAAAAGTAAGTTCCCCAAAGTAGAATTCTAACTGTCCAATTCTGTTACTCAACCTACATGTGGGAAGAGGAAGTGGAAGAAATACCCATTTGTTTCAAATTTAGTTTTAAAAATAGTTTTATGTTCTTGGTTTTATAATACACTGGTTAAGACTTTGAATTTGTAAGCCTTCTAGACCTGAGTTTCTGGAAAATTCTAGCTCAGCCACCTGTAAGTATAGTGAAATTGAACATTTCACATAAAAAAAATGATTCTCAGTTTTCTCATATGTAAATGTTAATGGTGATACTTACTTTGGGTGTTGTTCTACTGTAGTGGTTACTTATGTCAATTTGGCTACTCTATTTTCCCGGTAATTTAATCAAAAACTAACCTACGTGTTGCTGTGAAGGTATTTTGTAAATGATGTTATCAATTACAATCAATTCAGTTTAAATAAAAGAAACTACCCTTTAATATTGTTGACAGGCCGCTAACAATCAGTCCAAAGACCTTAAAAGGAAAAGCTGAGCTTTCCGAAGGAAGAAGTGCTGCCCCCAGGTTGCAAATCAATTCCTGTATGGGTTTCCAAGCTGCCAGCCTGCCTTACAAACTTGTCACCTCTCACGAACATGGGAGTCACTTTCTTCAAATAAATCTTTCAGTATATATATCCTCCCAGTGGACAGGATATATTCCTCCATTTTTGAGTTTGTCCTGAAAAATGTTTTATATTTTTCTTTTTGAAGGTATTAATAATTGAAATGAAATCTATCCCTAAATATTTGTTATTTTTGAATAATTTAAAAAATTGTTTATATATTATTGTTTTTCACTGGTCAGTTTGTTTTTATATTTTGACCTCGCATCTATCAAGCTTATAAAGCATTTTATTTATCTTTGTATTTATTTAGATATGCTAGTTAAAAATTATATCTTCTGGAAAAAGTGAAATTTTTGCTGCATCTTGTCTAGTATTTACATTTTAATTAGTTTTCTTTTATATCACTCTAATACCTCCGGTACAATAATAGAAGTGATTGTAAGCATCTTGCCTTATTTTTGATAATAAAGAGAAAACTTTCAATATTTCACCATCTTGTATGACTTTTAATGTAGTTTGTGTTATAGAAAATTCAACACCTTAATTTTTTTCTATTTTTTCATTTGCTAAAAATGTTAAGAAGAATTTTAATTGCATAGTTACTTTAGCTATCTTTTTTTCTGACAAGAAAAATGTGTAGATTTTTTTTATCCTGCTAATATGGTGAATTATATTGATATCTAAATTTGAAAGCCAGATTTAAAAGCCAGATTGCATTTCTAGAAGAAAACCAATCTTGATTGCTATGTCTAATCCTTTTCAAATATTCTTTAGTTGGGTTTGTTACTATTTTCTTACCATTTTAAATTCTATGTTCATCAGTAAGTTTAGCCTATATTTTTTCTTTCTTAATATTCTTGTCTTTTCGTTGTCAAAATTAGGTTTCATAAAGTTAAATATGTATGAAAGGACTTACATAAGATTTGCTTAACTTTTTCCTGAAATATTTAGATTTCATTAATAAAATTATCTGGGCCTAAATTATAATTAGTGATATTAAAAATATAGATATTTCACTTATTTATATAGCAATTCAGATTTTTTATTTCTTCATCATTAAGGTTGTGTAAGTTATGCTTTCTTGAAATTGATTCATTTAATCTAGAGTTCAATAAATTTTTTTATGATATTCTCATATTTGTATGATATTTAATTATATATTTTTTTCATTTCTGATATTGGCTGGTTGTTTATTTTCTTGAGGAAACTTGCCAAATATTTATTAATTTTATTAAAATTTCCAAGAAAGTCTTTAGGATTTTATTTTTATTTTGATTATTGTATTGTCTTCTTTTATTCATTTGTATTTTTCCATTATCTAATTTTTTCCACTTTCTTTGATTTGAATTAGCTACTCTTCAATATTCTTTAGATGCATGCTTACTCTTGAGCACATGCTCTCTCTCTTGTCTCCCTCCCTTCTTCCCACCTCAGCCCCCATGTTATCTCTTTGGTAGTGGATAATAGGCTATTATATCTATTCAATGGGTTTTTAATTTCAGTTATTATGTATTTCAGCTATGAAAGCAACTGGTTTTCTGTCAACTGTTTAAAACTTTTGTATTTTAATGATAGTTTAAATCTGAGTCTCATAATTACATTATCTAAAGCTACTATGAATCTGTTTTCATTACCTGTAATTTTCTTTTTCTTTTGGTCATATCGTTTTTTTCTCCTATTCTGGCTGGTTGGTTTTGATTGAGTCCCAAATATTATTTGTAAAATGTTAGAAATAATTTGAATTATAATTTTAATTCTTAAGGAACTTTGTTTTTGCCAGGTATCTGGGCCACTTTAAATCTGCAATCACTTAATCCAATTTTAGAAATTGAGATTATTTATGGTCCCAACCCAAAGCAGATGGGGTTCACCAGGGTTCCTCCTTGTGTCCTTGACACCAATACCTGCTTCCTTAGCTTCACACATGTGTTAAAAGTTCAGTTTAGCTTTTTAGCCTACTGAACTCAACCCTCACCTTTAAAAAAATGATTTTAAAAACTGGGGCAAAGAAGGCATCAAATGTTGGTCTCATCTCATTTAACTTCCATTTTCTCCAGATCTGGCTTATATTTTTCCACTATCTTCTTAGGTATCTGGTGCCTTTAAGCATATATGTTGTACATTCTGACAGTGGATATTTAGACTAAATTATGTAGTGTTCCATTGCCTAAAACCTGTGCATTGCCTTTGACTCTCCAAAGAGATTTTTAAATTAATTGAGAACATGGTTATATTTTATTTTTGGAAAAAGTTGGTTACAAAATTTAGCATTTCATTTAGGTAACTGTACATAGTTGATCACTATCTTCTCTTGGAAACATTTTGTTCACTTGGCTACAGTACACCTTATTTCTCTTCTGATTATCCACCTGCTCTGAAGGCTTCTTCTCAGTCTCCTTTGATATTTTCTGTTTACATCTTAATACTGTAATTTTTCAGGTCTCCCCTCTTGAGTTCTCTTCTATATTTATGCCCATTTATTTGATGAGCTCAATCACTCACATGCCTTTATTTTTTGCTACTATTATGTATATTGATACACATTTCAAGTTTATGTCTTTAGTCAGAATTCTCCTCTGAGTTCTAAGAAGATTAATTTATCCAATTGCCAACTACACATTTCCAAACTTATCCAATTTTCTACTTGACATAAACTCAACATGGCCTGAACTGAACTACTGCTCTTCCATCCTCAAACCTACTTTATACAAAACTTTACTTTTCTCAATTCTGAAAAACCTCATCTCCAAGTAAAAACTTTAGTAACATGATCAACTACAGTCTTTTGGTTTCAACTGGCACGTACTGAGTCAGCATATCCTTTAGCTTATGTCTAGAAAACTAAAGCACCAATTCCTTCTTACTATGTCCACTGCTATTTGCCTCGTGCAAGGCACCATCATTTTTATTTGTTGACATTACAATTAATTTATTTATTTGGATGCAATACGTACACATACAGAATCCTGTGTTCCCTCTATATTCACATCCTGTGGAATATTTAATTTTATCAATTGACAGAAGAGGTGTCCTCCCAGAGTAAGTTTGGAAATTGGTTATTTAAGATAAGTCTATGTCAGGTAGAAATCTAGTTGATATTAGAACTCTATAAGATGCCTGCTTTTGCTTTATATAAAAACTATAAAATTGCTATCAATTACATTACCAAATTGAATCATATTGAAAAAATATAAAATCACTATATTAGCATCAATCAGCCATATTTACTGGGGTTATGTCTGGTATTTGTCATATGTGTCATTCCAAATTCTTACAACAACTTAAATAGTACATATTATTATTCCTGTTTTACAGAAAAAGTCTTGGGGGCAGAAAACCCAACTTTTGCCTCTAGTGACACAGAACTGAAATATGAATCTCTCTCTTTTTTTTGTTAAACCACAATGTTAGTACTGCCTTTTCCACACTATGCCTTCATAGACCTGTTATGAGATTATTTATTTATTTATGTACTTATATTCACGGGGTACAAGAGCAATTTTGCTACATTGTTATATTGCATTGTGATGAAGTCAGGGCCTTCAGTGCATAATTCCTAGCATGTAGTAGATGATCAATTTTGTTTCGTTGTTGTTAATATTTTTCTTTCTTATATCTAAAATAAGCACATTTAGGTTATGAAAGAATGCACTATTTTAAGAATATATGTCTTCATATCTTTGAATCTGCCTTCCTAAGTGCCTTTAGTGACTCTACACAGTATTGAACAATTTTCTAAAACTGTGTGATTTTTATGATACCACCTTTTTACCTAAATTAGCTGCCAGCAAAGAAAATACTTCCTATGATTTTTTTTTTTTTTTTTTTTTTGAGATGGAGTCTTACTCTGTCACCCAGGCTGGAGTGCAATGGCATGGTCTCGGCTCATTGCAACCTCCACCTCCCAGGTTCAAGTGATTCTCCTGCCTCAGCCTCCCGAGTAGCTGGGAGTACAGGCGCATGCCACCATACCAGGCTAATTTTTGTATTTTGGGTAGAGACGGAGTTTCATTATGTTGGCCAGGCTGGCCTCGAACTCCTGACTTTGTGATCTGCCCACCCTGGCCTCCCAAAGTGCTGGGATTATAGGCATGAGCCACTGTGCCCAGCCCCTGTGATTTTTTTTTTTTAAGCACATAAACTTGTTAAGCTCTTCAGTGTGTCTATGTTGCTTGCTTCAATGTCTGCATTAAAAACCAGTTGACATATTGTTACAGAATTTGTGGTTTCTACTAATCACCATTACAAAAAATCTATCTGTAAATACCCAGTGCAGTTATTCATCAATGTGTCCTTACACAGAATCCATTACCTGACCATGTTTTGACCCTAAAAGAGGTTTGCTTCAAAGATGAATACTAGGTGTCCATTTATGATTGGCTCAGCAATATAACATATTACTACCCCTGTGAACATTCAGCCATTGACAGTGACCTTCCAGGTATCACTCCTTTTGCAAGAATTTTACCAGCATATTTGAACATGGGTTTTACAAAGAAATCTTGAAGGGTTTAGGTTAAATTTCACCTAATATTATTATATCATTGGTATTATAAAAAACATTAAAAGCTTATCACTTCATTTATTATAAAAGATAGTTTGGGTTGTGTTCACCAAGTTACACTGTGTCCTTAACTTGAGAGTCCAGAAATATTATATTTGGTCACAGAAACAAAATTGGTTGTGCTTCTCATGAGCACTTTTATTCTTAAAAAAATTATATATACGTTTGTATCTAAACAATGGGTTCACATGGTCATAAAGATGGAAATACTAGACACTGGGGACTCCAGAGAAGGGAGTGTGGTGGGAGGTTGATGAGAGCTGAAAAATTGTACCTGCTGTGTACAGTGTTCACTATTTGGGTATTGGGTACACTGGAAGCTTTATTTCTACCGGTATGCTATGTACCCATAAAAACTAGTATATGCACCTCCTGAATCAGATATAAATTAAAATGTAAAAAAGAGATGAAAGACATTAGGAATGCTTGCCCACTGAGAAAAAGGACATGTTTAAGACATAGAAATGAGAGAAGGCAGTTGTCTACAAGGCAAGGAGAGAGGCCTTAGGAGAATCAACGCTGCCAGCACCTTGATCTCAAATTTCCAGACTCCAAAACTGAGAGAAATAAAGTTTCTGTTGTTTAAGCCATGCCCCTAAAATGTATAATTAATATTATTTTGACTGAAAAAACAATTGTATACATTTATGTTTTGCAAGTTGATGTTTTGACTATAAACACACACACATACACAGACACACACACACACAATGGTGAATGACTAGGTCAAGCTACTTTAACATATCTATCTCCTTGATTATTTTCCATTTTTTTTAGGATAAGGTATCTGCAGCTGACTCTCATAGTTATGTACAAATATGCAATCCATTATTATTGTAACTATAGTCACCTTGCTGTGCAACAGATCTCAATGCCTAGTCTTCCAATCTGTCTTAAATGTTGTATTGTTTGATTAATAACTCCTAATTCCCTGTCTTCCCTTCCCACCCCCAGGCTCTGCTAACCATCATTTTACCCTCACTTTTTTTTTTTTACCCTCACTTTTATGAGGAAAAATGTTTTAAAGTGGTATGAGTATTGATAAACAGATGATGACAGTACAAGCTTCTTTTTTAGTATCAATTGCTAGAAAACTCAGAGTCGAAGTTTTAACTCATCTCTCAGAGGTTATTTTTCTAAAGAAAGCTAACAGAAACTGCCACAATATTACATTTCTTATATTTCTTTATCTTCTCAGCAGTTCTATCACTTTTTCTATTTTAAATTGCATTGTGTTGCCATTTCCACCTTTTGTGGGCATAAAAATTTCATTTACTTCAAAAATCTATTAGCTAATACTTGCAGATCGCTTCCTTGAAACACCCAGTGATAAATGTTGTATTTATGAACATATTCAAACTTGTCAATTGATTACGGTGATGCTTTCTTTGAAGTAGATTCTGTTACTGTTAAGATAAAACATAATTTTTGTGGTTCTAAAACTGTCAAGTGATACCTTACTTATAGATACTTTAGTATTCACTATTAGAAAATCATGTAGTCTGCAAATAAAAAGTTTTAATTCTTTATTTCCAAACTATTTTTCTTTCATTTCATGTCCTTACATACTGCATTATCTAAGATCTGTAGCATAATGTTGAATAGAAGTGATTAGATTAGGCATCTGTGCCTCTTTCCTGACGGCAAGGGGAAGACAATCCGTCTTTCACTCTTAAGTGTGATGATAGCTGTGTTTTACAGATATGTCCTTTAACAGGTTGAGAGTTTTTATCAGAAGTCTGAATTTTTCTAAATTTTTGTATGTAGCTGTGAAGGCAATCATATAGTTTTTCTTCTTTAGTCTGAGAATACGGTAAAATATATTGATTTTTAGATATTGAAATAATCTTATGTTGGGATATTCCTTACTTGGTCATAATGTATTAATCTTTTTAATATATAGTGTGGGATTTGATATGCAATCTTTTTGTTAAGGACTTTTGTGCGTGGGTCCAGAGAAAATATTGTTCTTACTTAGTATTTTTTTTTTGTAATATTTTCATCTAGTTTAGATATCAGTAACACTGGTCTCGTAAAATGCAATATGCAGTATTCTTTTCTCTTTGGTTTTCTAGAAGTTTTATGTAGAATCAATAGGCATTACTTACACATTTTATATAATCATCTATAAAGTCATGGGAGTGTAAAGTTCTTTTTAATGAAAGTTTTTCTATGTCAGCAATTTAATATATACGGGACTATTCAGTATATCTAATTTTTCTTGAATAAGTTTCGGTAGATTTTTTCTTTCAAGGAATTTTCCCATTTTATTTCATTAACCAGATTTCTTGGTGTTAATATTCCCTGCTTATATTTTGTGTGTCTGTGTATGTTTGCGTGTGTGTGTGTATATGGGATTTTCAGTAACGTCACCTTTGTATTCTTGATATTAGAAATTTGTGTTGTTTCTCTGTTTCCTAATTTTACAGGTTATTTAAAACGGTCATTTCGTTGATTTTCTCAATTGTTTTCTGTATACAAGTGTTTATGGCAAATATGTACATAATCACCTACAATAGAAAAAAAGCAAATAGTCATCAACAGTTGAATAAACTAGTTGTAGAATGTTCAAACAATGAAATAGTAGTTAGTGACAATGTTTTTCTTCTTTTTGAGACAAGGTCTCATTCTGTCTCCCAAGCTGGAATGCAGTGGTGCAATCATGGCTCACTGCAGCCTCCAACTCCCAGCCTCAAGCAATCCTGCCACCTTGACCTTTGAAAGTCCTGGGATTACAGGCGGGAGCTGATGCACTCAGCCAGTAATGATTTTTGATACATGCAAAAACATGAATGAGTCTCAAAATAACTATGCTAAAAACTATACAAAAGGAGCACATATTATAATTATTTCACTCATTGAAAAAAAATTCTAGTAAAATCAAGCTAATCTGTAGTGGCAGAGGGAAAGTCAGTGCTTTCCTGGAGCTAAGAGGTAGGGAAACTTGGATTAAAAAGGGGCACAGGAAAATTTTGGGGTGACTACTATGTTCATGTATTGATTATGGCAATATTAATAGGTTCTTAGGTATATATATTTATGGAAACTCATCAAATTGTGCACTGTGTGTGTAGTTTATTGTAATGATACCTCAATTAAGCTGTAAAAATAGCCAAATATAACCATTTCATATGGATCAACCTAATATCTCCATTTTACAGAAAAAGAACTTAAAGAACAAGGATGTAAAATAGTCCCGTAGAGGCACGAAGCTAGTAAGTTTGAGGGGCAGAACTTGAAGCCATAGAATACATATTCAGAGAATCAACACATAAGCACGATTTTATACTGCATTTTTAAGTGGTGGTTTTTTAATTACATGCCTCTCACCTTCCTTCTCTCTCTAAGCTATATATATATGTATGTGTGTGTGTGTGTGTGTGTGTGTGTGTGTGTGTGTTACTAGCATTCAAAATAAATATATTTGCTTATATTTAAATCAACATTTTAATTTAATTTTATTTTTATTAATTGGTACTATTGAACCGTAACATTATTTTCACTGTACTGAAAGTATCTTATAGATCAACGAATTTTTCTAAGTTTATTTAAGAACACTAATTGCCAAGTAAACTCACAAATCGACATCTTTATCTGTGGAACAAAATGTAACTGTTCCATCTCACTTTATAGGTGATATATCTGAGGGGAAATTGTCATCAGAAGAGTATTTGAGGGGAAATTGTCTGTATCTGAAGGGAAATTGTCATCATAAGAGTAAGAACATATTACCATAAACACATTCTCATATATGTGATTCATATATAGCAATAGAAGGGATTCCATGCTCCTCTTGTGTGCCCCAAGGGCTGGGGCCTACCCCTCTTGTAATATTTATCCCACTTTATTATAATTAGTGACGTATTAGACAATTTCTTATATTATTAGACAAAGACTCTATTAAGAAGAGTTGTTACATTGACCTTTTTTCCCCAGAGCAAGAACATAAAAAGTGTTCAGTAAGAATTTGTACAACTCATTAATGTAAAAGATGCGTATTTTAGAGATAAGCCAGGTAGATGCATAGTAAAGGTTACTAAGTCAAGTCGATAACATGCTTTAGTTGGAATATAAGAGCTATCAGAAACTGATTTTAATTTCAGTAGATGAAACAAACAGGTTGAGTAGTACAATGTAGCTGCATACTGGGGAGGTATTTGTCCATTCTCCCAAGTGCAACAGCAACAAAAAAAATATGAAAAATTTCCAAAGAACAATCTTATTATGAATTCACTGTGGCACATGTATCCACATTCTGCATATAGTGCTTCTAAAAATGTACTCCAAAAATTACATAGAATTTTAAAGCAATAATTTGAAGGTTTTTATGCACTGTCATGCCACAACTTTTACACATAAAAGTAACTTGGGAAATTCTGTGTAACTCTTCAAATATTTATCTAATATAAAACAATTACTTAGATTAATTGTGAGGGTTTTGTACTTCAGAATTCCTCAGGCCAATATATACCTATATGGCACTAGATTTAAAAGTCTTAAATATCACCATATTATTAAGGAAGTGCAGTAAAAATCTTTACATTTTTGAGGGATTTTATTCAAAAGCAAAAGTATTCTTTAAAATTTGGAAATTTCCATGTTTTATGATTAATAATCTGCAGCTATTCTCATAATTGTATTTAATTTTTCTCCTTTTAATTCAACTTAATTTTATTTTTTCCTCATTTTGTCTTTTTTAAAAATTAATACCCAGTCCTTAATGGGACCCAAATAGTTCCAAAATACTCTGCTTGTGAAACTTCAAAATTATTAAATGTAATTTTAATTTTGATTACCTGGCATAGGTAAAATATTCATTGTGATGGGACTGTATTAATTCAATTAACACATCTAAAAAACTATTTTTGAGTCAGATATTTACCTGTCACCCTGTACTTCTATTTCTAAAACCTAGTAACCCAGCAAAATATTCCTAAGTATTTTTAGCAATTTTCAGTGTATATGCGAGAAGAAACTCCAAACACCACATCTTCAATCTGTTGCCTACTCTCTATTTTCAGGTGTTTTAATTATGTGTAAGTGATTATAGTTATATATTTATTATAAATGTAACATTTCCAAAACAATATAAAGAATAATAGTATGATAAATGTTAAATTTGAATGTGAGGGGAAAAATAATCTCTTAGAAATTTTCAAATAAGTTATTTGATAATTATTTTTATAACTAATAGCCCCCTAAGTCCAAAACAGGCAGAAAATAGGAAGATTGTAGGGAAATAAAAGTGTATTGATAACTCTTTGATGAGAGCTCTTGCAATCTGTGAAAACCATCAAGAGATAGGATAGGCTGCCTCCTTCATTTCAAACTTAGAAAGGTAGTTGAAGTGATTTCCTTCTAATTCTCTGCAGAGTAAGTCAAAGAGTATAGACAGCCTGAGAGGTGGCTGCATTAGGGTACTTTTGACATTCATCAGGAATTATCAGTATTCCCTATAAACCAGGTGTCAGCCACACAAGTGAGAAAGAAGCAGTGTGTATTGTCCATCAATGCTGACTAGAAGGGTGGAGAAATACCAGTATAGAGAAAGTAGGGTGATGCAGAATTCCTAAGAGCTGTGAAAAATCAGATTTGCCCAGGTCAAAGAAACTGTACAAGAGAGGGGACTAGCCAGGAACTTTTGAACGTGCCCCCAAAAGAATCCATAACAGAGTCAGCTTTAAGCAACCATCAATCCCAGGGAGAGAGAAGCTAGTTCCCAATGATACATTATTTCTCCTTACCTATTCTCTTCATTCCCTCTCTACATTCTCTGGACTGAGTAATAAGATTACAGAGGGACAGAGAAGAGAAATAGCACAATAAGGAGAAAAAGAGGAAAATCCAGCTTTAGGTGTCATGCCAATGAAGGCTTCTCTCAATACCAGGAATGAGATGGTGGAGAGGAGGTTTGCCATTAAATCAGTGTCAGAGCTATGAGTTTGGACTCAAGTTATCAGTTTGGACTCACACTTGGTACTCAAAATTTTATTTTCTTAACTGATTATGTTTATAATTTTTTAAAAAAGTATTGAGTTGCTTTGGATATTCAAGAAAGCATACGCCAAGATGGGATTAGATCTACAAGATAGTTATTGGAGAAATTCTCGATGGAAAAAAGGAGAGAGAACCAGAGAATGCAGGGACAGCCTTCAGACCACAAAAGCAGGTCCTATTCCTGTCTCTCTAAAGGAGATGAGGTGATTGAGATATAATGGGGAGAAGTGTATCAGATTGCAAATATCTCTAAGAGACTTTTCTCTTGGCAGGTGGAAAGTCTTTGAGTCAAAGTTGTCTATCAGAGGAGTCTCATATGCTAATAAACACAAATGGCCCTTTCAAGTATGCCTGATGTGCTCAGATATTGACCATAAGCAGCTCATGAGATTCACTGATGAACCCAAAAGGACTACAGCTTTGGCGATCAAAATACTAAGCTGTCTGCCACAGTAAGAGATATGAATAACACATTTTTATGACTAACATAGTCATATACTTGCTTGAGTTTTCACATAGGGCACAGGAAATGACTCATGTTAAGTAGATGCTAAAAGAATGATTGCTGGTAAAACTAATGAAGTATTTTTATTGCATTGGAAATCATGTTTAATTCAAGTATCTGTGGCCTAGAGAGTAACAGGTCCCCCAGCAAGCTGTGGTCACTATTATATTTAACAGAAAAATGAAGTGACTCAAGACCCATTCCACATACTAGCTATGTGCTATTAGCTCCAACATGATCCTCTCATCTCTCACCATTGCAGTAACGGTCATTTTCCTTGGTCAATTTTATGAAAATGAGTTTGCTTCATATGTATCCCTGAGTCTTATATACTGATTTTAAGGAATCATATGGCTTTCATTTGTGGTTTTTGCTTCTTGGGATTCCTAGGACATGATAATTTATAATAATCTATCAGAGCAATTTATTATTAAAATTTAAAAATAATGTCAATGCAATAAAAATAAGTCAATGCAATAGTAGAAACTTCAAGTATCTCTAAATTAGTAGATATATTTGGGAAACTTGGTCCTGACTAGATAACTAAACTGTTTGTTTGCCACAATACTGCTATGGCTTGATGGAGGGACATGCAATACTTGTTTTTCTCTACCCCATCCCATTGTCATAAAATTACTGGATCTAGAACACAGGTAATAGAACAAAGTAAAATAAACCAAGTTTTTTGACTTGATGTTCTCTTTCTTTTGCTTTTCTTTTACATTGACCTGTTTATTTTCTTCAAGCTTCCCTCTGGTTTTCAATTAAGAGTCAGAAAAGAACCCTTGACCTATAAAAATCTAAAAGGTCTTGTAATCTCCACTCATTAATTTTCAAACTGAATAAACTTCTAAGTAATAGATGCCATTTTCTCTAATTTGAAATAATCTTTTGAGCTAAAGACAAAGTTCAATTAAATGAGAGGATGGGCTTGTAGTTTAACTTTTAACATCTCACAGCTGGGCCGGGTGCGGTAGTTCACACCTGTAATCCCAGCACTTTGGGAGGCCGAGGCTGGCGGATCATGAGGTCAGGAGAGCGAGACCATCCTGGATAACACGGTAAAAGCCTGTCTGTACTAAAAATACAAAAAATTAGCCGGGCGTGGTGGTGGGTGCCTGTAGTTCCAGCTACTTGGGAGGCTGAGGCAGCAGAATGGTGTGAACCCAGGAGGCAGAGCTTGCAGTGAGCCGAGATGGCACCACCGCACTCCAGCCTGGGGGACAGAGCAAGACTCCATCTCAAAATGAAAAAAAAAGAAAATCTCACAGCAAAAACCAACCTTATAAGTTAGAGGGATATAAATCAGCATTGTGCAACTCTCAGGCAATGATTTTATTTGCTCACCTATATTGGATAATATAGAATGATCTTTAATACATACAATTCTACTTTATTCATACATTTTTATAATATTCTTTCTGAACTTATACAGAGAAGGCCTGGACCTAAATACTGTCACAGGATCCTTGGGGTATCACTCCTCCAGCTGGAAATGTTTCTGGCCAGTGGTGCCTTTGCCTGAGTTTTGCTTGGGCTTGTGGGCTCAATCAGCCTGGCAGGCTGCATTTGACTTGCGCTGCAGGATGGATCCCATGCCTGCCCAGGGCGAGTGGAGTGGTGAAGGGGGTGTGAGTGAGTGAGTGTTGGGTCCAGCTACTCTGCACAGCCAGGTATGCTGGCTGCAGTTGGGCAGGCAGCTCTAGGTGCTGGCATGGGGGCTCGCTCCCTGTGAGGCTACAGCTGGACCAGGCATACTGCAAGCAGCTTCCACAACTTGCACTAGAAAACATGGTGGCTCCAGAAGCTTGGAGACGCCGGAAACTGCAGAGCCCCAGAGAAGGTGTCACAGCCCTGGCTTGGGGAGCTCCTAGGTCTGGGGTCCCCACAGGGCTGCAGCTCTTCTCTCCTTATCTCTTCTCTCTTTCTTGTAACACGTTATATGGTGAGAGAGGTATGTGTTTTAGTCCTGTTTGTGTTACAGCTCTATTAGACCTGCCATTCAACAGGTCCCAAGTTCTCATCCTACATCCAGGAAGAATGAGGTATGTGAACAAGTGGAGGGTGGGCAACATGAAGAGGAGCTTTATTGAGTGACAGAACAGCTCAGAGAAGACCCACATTAGGTACCTCCTCTCTGCAGGCAGGGTGTCCCAATGAGTGTTCAGCTATCAGCAGAGAGGAAACTGTGGAGTGGGTAGCTTCTCTCCACAGCTGGTAGTCCTGATATCTGCTCAGTAATCAGTAGAGAGGAGACCCTGGAGTGGGTAGCTCCTCTCTGCAGACAGGACATGCCATCATCTGGCTGATTCCCAGGCTTTTATGAACCTCAGAAGGGAGGAAGTGCATGCCAATTTGTCCATAGGCAGCCATGGGTAGACCCAGAAAAAGCACCACGAGCTCCCACTCTAGTCCACAGGACCCATAACCCAGCCCTTAGACTTCAGGCCTTCCCCATCTTGTAGGTGGGGCTTCACTGGGGACCCATCTTCTTCCAGCCAGCAGCCTGTCTGCCTCCTGCCACTGTTCATAGCACCCAGGCTGTTTGTGCTGAGGGGTACCTGCACATCAGCACCAAGCTTTTCTCAGTGCCACCTCAGGCTCCCTCCTATGCTTATTGGCACCCAATGTAAGGATGGGGCCAAGGTGGCAGGGGGCTAGCATGTCAGTACTTCTGCAGTCTCGCAAACACCCAGCTGAGTTGCAATGGCACTCAGGCCTGGCCTCAACTTTTCTCTGATATGAGAGCAGGTGCTGAGAGCAAAGAGAGGCCAGGCAGCAGGACCAGGCACTTCTGAGTCTGCAGAGGGAGGAATTCTTCCTGGACCCCTGAGAGGGCAGAGATGCCTGGGTCCACCATTGAGGCTTGGGTGGCTGCAGCTGTGCCTCAAAGGGTAGGGCTCCTGCCTGCTCCCAGCTCCTTCCTGCCCCCAGCTCCTTCCTGCCCCCAGCTCCTTCCATCCCCATGGAGCATGCAGTCCCAGTAGCACCTCCCTGACTGCAGCTGGCACCATGGCAGTGGCCACTCCTGATAGGCCACCACTAGCAAGCAAAAACCAAGTAACACTCCTTTTATTCTCTTAAGCTTACATTTGATGTAGGGACAAAAAAAATCATTAAATCACATAAATAAAATTATGAAAAGACATTTATTGTTATACATATAATTTCTACACATACATATATACACATATTTATATACACATATATATATGTAAACTATTAATCTTTTGGACTTTGGGAAACAAACATTAATGTTGTTGGACAGATAGAAAGGTATAATTGAAAAAACTAGGAAACATTTACATGATAATTAGGAATTTAGGTTTTACTATAACAGGATAGATAAAACCATTTTAAGTACATACAATTTTTAAATTAAAAATTTGTTTGAAAACATAAACTTTTCTTCCTTGGAAAACAAGCCTTATTAAATAAAAATTAATTATTGATATTAATATATTATTTGGCATAAAACGCAGAGTCTTCTGTATGGACTGTTGGACAAGGGCAATATTCATCACTAAAAAGCAGTAGTCTGGGTTAAGTCCAGAGGAACTCTTTAGTTAGAGAATGTAATACTTATTTCTTGAGTTTATAAAGTTTATGTGCAAAGAAAGCTCTTTCCTCTATTTTTAAAGTTTTTACCGTGATTGGTAATGCCTGGAGACATACGGAACTAACCACATCCTTAACTAAGAACGCAAACCTTGGCTGCAGTTACCACACAATTAAAGCAAAGTACCAAGTTTTACTTTAAAGTTAAAAATTGCTAGGTGTTCATTGAAACTACTAGAAATAGATTTGCATGCAGGGTGTGTAAGAACAGTAAAATGTGTTTTTTAGTAAAAGGTTATAAGAAGGCATGGAAATGTAAACTTTTGCCCAGGATTAAAGGACTGTTTTGAGTTAAATTAGGAAAAAGCTGAAGGTTCAAAGAAGGGGTGAAGGAATTGTGGAAATTAATCTTGCAGAAGAGGTTCTCTGAGAGAACATACTAACTAAATTCAAAAAAAAGGGTATTATATGTTTATGCTGTAAATTGAGCATAAACATAAAATCATAACAAAGTTTTCCTAAGGTGGTAATCTGCTCTTTGGCAAAATTTGTAAAGGGATATAAAAGGTTTTTTCTTTTTTAAAATTTCTGAGTCATCATTTTGGCAAAATAAATAACTTATGGTCATCTGGAATTCTATTCCATAATATCAAGTGTTTTAAACCTCAAACATTTAACAGCCTTCCCAAAATCAAACTTCAGTTTCAAAATTGTCTTCCCTGGACTCTGCCTTTTTGAATACTCAGAGGGCCCCCAAAGTGTCCAGAAAACAGAGGTAAACAGGATTATTTGACATGTTTAGGTACATGAGATTGCCAAAATAATGCTCAATCTTCTTTAGCTTTTATTTTTGTGAATAATGCTAATATATGTTTCAAAATTGTATGGGCTTTCTAAAATTCTAATGTCTAAGTATATGCTCTGAATCATAATTAAGGTTTCTATGTTAAGTTATTGTAAACCACAGAGATAACCAAGCTTCTCTGTCAATTGTGTTTCTAACTGTAACTACCCTGGACATTTTGCTATTCACAGATAATTGTTGTCTTGTTTAAGTTCTTTTCAAAAGATGGTTTATAATAAGCTATAGAACAGTAACAGGTGCTCTCAAATACAGGATGCTGATGATTTTGAAGATTGTAACACTGGAATAAAGGAAAATGTACAAGACTCATGAAGAGCTGAAATGTTCATGAATATCATGCAAAACCAGAGTTAACTAAATGGACAGAACTCAGAAAGATGAAGCAACCTTTTTGACTTTTTGCTTGGAATATTGCTGATCCCTGTTTTGTTTTGTTTTTTCAGAGCCAAGGAAACTTATTTTGAACTATTTATAGCCTTTAATAATCGAGTAAGGTATATTTCTATGAACAAAATTTGGAGCATGTTAGTTTCTCTCTGCCTGGTTCCTCTAGAATTTGGAAACTGTGTGAGTATTCTTAACTTACGACAATATAGTTGTTTGCAACAGGGCAATAAGAATCCATTTTTCTTTGCAACAGAACACAGTTGGAGAAAGTGGTTATTTTACCAAGGCTTTGATTGGAAGGGTATGCTTCCCTGTAAGGAGTCAAGCTTGACTTACAGAGCTAATTAATGCCCAGTGGGGAAACTGGCCTCATACCCTGTCTACATAGTCCCTGTACAGGGTTCCTGACCTCTGGCCAGTAAAGAACGTCACTCTCCAACTATCTCGGGACCTTAAGAAGAGAGGATCACCCAACCCACAGGTGTTTGAGGATACAAATCCGTGGTTGTGCTTGGCTTTAAAAAAGTCTTATCTGAGATTCCTTGTGGAACAGAATTCCATAAAAGCCAATCCAAAAGGCCTATGTAGAAATATTACTCTTGCTGCACTTTATGCGAATAATCAGGCCAAGTATAAGACTAAAATCTATTTAAACAACTCAGTCCTATGATAATTTGTTCCTTAATAAAAATGAAGACTGGAGAGAGAGAAATTATGTTCCAACAATTATCATACATTTGTCACTAAATTCTAAACTTATTATATGTAAGTTTTTGCCTACATTTTAGACTAACCCTGCTTGTTTCTGTGAACCTACCAGCAATCTCTGATTGCAGCTCAGAAAAAAACAAAACGGATAGGTAATATAGAATCCTGGATCAATATTCTGGTTCTTAGGAATTGTCCTGTAAATCTTGCCAAGTGATGGAATAAACAGGGAATAAATAAGGTTCCCATCATCACCCAGCAATTTCCTTTTGGGAAAGTAAAAGCAAGTGAGCCAACCAAAGCCAAGCACCAAGAATCCGAATTCTAGCAAGCATAACTATAGCTACCAGTTATCTGGGTGTGTCACAAGACATCCTCTCCTCTCTCTTTTTGGAGGAGGACTCAGTTGCACAGTTTCACCTTAGCATTTGGCTTATGATAAGGAGTCCATGCAACCCCCACCCTGAAATATATTCTTGTATCAGACTCGATTCCAAGCTTTGGGCCAAAGCTTAAGGATCCAGAGGCAGATGAAAACAAAGGTTAAAATGCACAGCACAGGTGAGCGTGGCTGATTCCTGCCAATTAAGCCAACTCCAAGCTTGCTGTTTTATGGATAAAGGCCACCTTAATATCCATGGCATGAATGAGGTCTAGGGAACTCCAAGGCTACTGACAGTAGAGGAGATAGAGGCATAGATGAGAGTGGATAATTCCT
The DNA here is from genome assembly GCF_000001405.40 of Homo sapiens. NCBI lineage: Eukaryota > Metazoa > Chordata > Mammalia > Primates > Hominidae > Homo > Homo sapiens. The sequence continues at coordinate 60,388,700 of NC_000012.12, read as the reverse complement.
ATTTTCTGGACCCTCCCTGCTTTATGGGTGCAAGCCACTTTGACACTCATGTTGGGACCTGCCAAGGTTACTGGGACTCAGGATCCAAGGATGGAAGATGAAAAGAGGATGCTCTTCTCTCTCTCCCTCATGTACCCCAGGTATCTGCTAGGAAGAGATGGAAACCAGGGACATCTTCTCCCCTCTTTCTAGACGGGTAGCCATTCATCTTCAGTCTGTACCCCTTGTGAATGCATCCTGAACCTCCGGGACTCCTTTAAATCGTGCCTTCTTTTTTCCTTTCTTCTCCTCAGTTCTGTCTTTACTAATAGGTATTTGTGTCTCCTTACTATGAGATGCTCCCCTTAGCTGCATCCTCCAAACTGGAAAGAGTTTATTTCCCAAACCTTAAACCGGTTAGCTTAGTATTGGGCTCAGGGGAAGGGAACGCAGAAGCCCAACATGCCAGCAAACGGGTAAAGCTTTTTTGCTAGTTGGGCCTTTGGCCTCCCTCTTCCTGTGCAAACTGGTAAAAGGCCTCAGAATTTTTGAGCGGTCCTTACCCCTCTCCTTGTTTCATTTTGATACATATTTTCTAATAACCTGGTTTGTCTGTTCTTGCCTTCAGGTCATCTAACTCTGAACTCTGACCTTGGCTCCTTCCGATGACAACCCTTAGGCCTCTGAAGGAGCTCTGACAGCTGTTTCCCCAAAACAGCGCCCCCTTTCTTGCAGGAACCAGTTAAAATGGGTTTTCTTTTTTTTTGAGACAGAGTCTAGCTCTGTCGCCCAGGCTGGAGTGCAGTGGCGTGATCTCGGCCCATTGCAAGCTCCGCCTCCCGGGTTCACGCCATTCTCCTGCCTCAGCCTCCCCAGTAGCTGGAACTACAGGCCCCCGCCACCACGCCTGGCTAATTTTTGTATTATTAGTAGAGACAGAGTTTCACCGTGTTAGCCAGGATGGTCTCGATCTCCTGACCTTGTGATCCGCCCACCTCGGCGGCGATGCTGGGATTACAGGCCTGAGCCACTGCGCCCGGCCGTGGGTTTTCATTCTTATTCTGAATCTAATGGCATTTAGATGCACTTATTTAGATGTGGGAATGAGACAACCAGATGGGATAGGCTCCCCCGAAAAACTCCAACTAGCCAGCGCAGTCGGGTGGAGCCACAGAGCTTTGAGCTATTTGCAGCAGGGAGGAGCCTGGCCCTTCCTCTTGCTGTGTGGAATCCGGAATTCCAGTGGCTGGGTGAGAAGCACTCTAGCAGGGACTCTGGCCTTGAGAGAGTCCCTGTTTCCCCCTTTTCTGTTTTTTTAACCCAATAAAACCCTGCTTTACTCACCTCTTAAACCATCTGCAAGCCTAAATTTTCATGGCCGTGGGATGGGCAAGACCCTCGTCTTTAGCTGAACAGAGGAAAAGTCCTGCAACAATCGTGCTATGAATACATGCCTTGAAACATCACATTGTACCCCATAAATAAGTACAATTATTATGTGTCAATTATAAATTTAAAAATTAAAAGCCAGATATGTTTATACTCAGTATGTCTACTTTCTCTCCATTATTTTTTAATCCCACTTGGCTGTTATTTTATGTGTTTTCTTAAACTCAGATATAAAAATGAATTTTAAGAGGGTAAGCCCTTGATAGTGGAACTATGAAGGTATAAGCATATTTAACTTTATTAAACATATTAAATATTTTTTCAAAGTGATTGCAACAATTTATATTTCTAATAATAGTGGAATATGGATTCTGGTAATCTATGTCCATGTGTACAGTTGATGCTATCAAGATTTTTTTCTTTGTAGCTGTGTGTGTGAGTGTGTATGTCTGAATGTATTTGTGTGATTATTTTTGGTCCTAATTATGGAATGATAACCTTATAATTTTGAGTTTCTGCTGATTACTAGATTGAGAATGATTTTAGTACTATTTCTGTGTATTGATTTTGTATATTCTTTTTTAAATTCTGTATTCATTATTTTATTATTGATTTATAGAATATCTTAATATATTTTAGGTACCATTGGTTACATGCATTCAACCATGTTTTATCTGCGTGTGGCTTTTTTTTCCTATCATGTATTTTGATGCAAAGAAGACTTTAATATAAGCAATCCAACTTATTAGCTTTTTTATGATGTATGCTTTTCATGTTCTTGTTTAAGAAACCCTCCTTCTTCTGAGATCATAAAGCTATTTTTATATGAAAGCTTTTAAAACTTTCAAAGTATTACATTTCACATTTAAAATTTTAATACACCTAGTATTGACTTTTACTGGGGAATTTAACTTAAAATTCCCTTTCTTTGGTAAAATAACTTTTGTGAAACTATTTATTGACTTGTCCATTCTTTCTGCATCAACCAGCATTGTATCTTTTGTCATATATTTGGTGCCAATATATTTCTGCACTCTTAATTTTATTCTATTGACTCTTTTTTATACTTGAAACAGTACTGCACTATCTGACATAGTATAATTCTAACTAGCAGTAAATTATTTCATGTGACGAAAAAAATGTAAAGATTAAAAAATAAATACACCAAGCCTCAGAGAACTTTGGACAAACACTGGATTTACAAAAATATGTGTAATCAGAGTTCTAAGGAACTGGAGAGGGAGAGCAGAAAAATATTTGATAAATAATTTAAAACTTCCCAAATTTTATGCAAGCTGAGTCTACATATCCAAGAGTTTCAGCACATTTCAAATAAGATAAACAAAATAAACCCACTTCTAGAAATTTACAATCAAACTGTTGGAAAACAAAGACAAAGTGAAAATTTTGAATGCAGCAACAGAAAATGATTCAATGGGAGCTTCAATTCTCTTGAAGGCTGTTTTATATTAGAAATAATAGCAAACAGAAGAAAGAAGTGGAAGAACCCACTTAAGGCTCAGAACGAACAATTTCTTCTAAGAATCCTACATCCAGATAATACTACTCCAAAAATAAAAACTGAATTAATACCATGTAAACAGACACTATTAGAATTTGTTGCTAGCAGATTTACCTTACAAGAAATACTAAAGGAACTTCTTTAGCCTGAAATAAAATAACACTATCCCATAAATTAAATTAATAGAAAGATACAAAGAATATCAGAAATGTTAAATATGTGGATTGCTTAAGTATGGGGAAGATTGCATAGGCTGAAAAGGAGACAAAAGAATAATCGTGAACTGGCACAAAGGCTAGTTTAGATGATGGTAATCTTCTGAAACAGGATTGTAGTAATGGTTGTACCCCTATATATATTTTCTGAAATCAATGATTTGTGTACTTAAGTGAAAGATAAATTTTATGGTAACTAATTTATATCTCAATAAAGCTATTTAAAAATTAATCAATGCAGTCCATGATATTTACAGAATAAAGAAGAAAACACAAGTGATTATGCTAAAGATGCATAAAGGCATTTGACATAATTTAATATTCATTAATGATAAAATATCTAAGCAATTGAAGAAACTAAGAAAACATCCTTAACCTGGCAAACAGCAGAAACAGATTTCTCTGATGTCATATTACAATGTGGAACATCTTTTCTTATCCTTATTTGCCATCTGTATATCTTCTATGATGAGGTGTCTGTTGTGGTCTTTGGTCCATTTTTAAAATTAGGTTATTTTAGTATTGTTGAGTTTTAAGAGGTTTTTACATATTTTGGAAAAGAGTTCTTTATCAGATGTATCTTCTGCAAATATATTCTTCCAGACTGTGGCTTATCTTTACCTTGCTTTGGCAGTGTCTTATAAGAAAAGAAATTTTTAATTTTAATGAAGTTCAGTTTATCAATTAATTTTTCATAGATCATGTTTTTGGTGTTGAATCTAAAAAGTCATCACCATATACAAGATGATGTATGTTTTCCCTATGTTATCTTCTAAAAATTTTATATTTTTGAGCTTTACATTTAGGTTTATAATTTATTTTGATTTAATTTTGTAAAGTGTGTAAGGTCTGGTACCACACTTATTTATTTGTATGTAGATTTCTAGTTGAGCCAGCAACATTTGTTTGAAAGACCAGCTTTTTTAAAATTTTAAGTTCTGGGATACATGTGCAGGATGTGCAGGTTTGTTATGTAGATAAATGTGTGCCATGGTGGTTTGCTGCACCTATCAACACATCGTCTAGGTATTAAGGCCAGCATGCATTAGGTATTTTTCCTGATACTCTCCCTCCCAACAGGCCTTAGTGTGTGTTGTTTCCCTCCTTTTGTCCATGTGTTCTCATCATTCAACTCCCACTTATAAATGAGAACATGGGGTGTGCGGTTTTCTATGCCTGCATTAATTTGCTGAGGCTAATGGCTTCCAGCTCCATCTATGTCCCTGCAGAAAACCAATCTCATTCCTTTTCATGGATACACAGTATCTCATGGTGTATACATACCATATTTTCTTTATCCAGACTATCACTGATGGGCATTCAAGTTGATTCCATGTCTTTGCTATTGTGAATAGTGCTGCAAGAAACATATGCGTGCATGTATCTTTATAATAAAATTATTTATATTCCTTTGGGTATATATCCATTAAAAGGATTGCTAGGTCAAATGTATTTCTGGTTCTAGATCTTTATGGAATCATCACACTTTCTTCCACAGTAAATGACCTCATTTACATTACCACCAACAGTGTAAAAACATTCCTATTTATCCACAACCTCACTGGCATCTGTTGTTTATTGACTCTAATAATCGCCATTTTGACTGACTTGAGATGACATTTCATTGTGGTTTGTATTTGCATTTCAAAACCCTCCAAAAAATCACTGAATCCAGTAGCTGGTTATTTGAAAAAATTAACAAAATGGATAGACCACTAGCTAGACTAATAAGAAAAGAGAGAAGAATCAAATAGACATAATAAAAAATTACAAAAGGGATATCGCCACTGACCAGACAGAAACGCAAACTACCATCAGAAAATACTATAAACACCTCTATGCAAATACATTAGAAAATCTAAAGAGGTGGATAATTTCCTGGATGCATACACCCTACCAAGACTAAACCAGGAAGAAGTCAAATCCCTGAATAGACCAATAACGAGCTCTGAAATTGAGGGAGTAATTAATCACCTACCAACCAAAAAAATCCCAGGACCAGATGGATTCAAAGCTCAATTCTACCAGAAATAAACAGAAGAGCTTGTACGATTCCTTCTGAAACTATTCCAAACAATTGAAAAAGGAGAGACTCTTCCCTAACCCATTTTGTGAAGCCAGCATCAGCTTGATACCAAAACTGGGAAAAGACACAACAACAACAAAAAAGACAACTTCAGGCCAATATCCCTGATAAACATCAGGGTGAATATCCTCAATAAAATACTGGCAAGCCAAATCCAGCAGCGCATCGAAAAACTTATCCCATGATCAAGTTGGCTTCATCCCTCGTATGCAAGGCTTGTTTAACATATGCAAATAAATAAACATAATCCATCACATAAACAGAACCAAAGACAATAACCACATGATTATCTCAATGGATGCATTAAAAGGCCTATGATAAAATTCAACATCCCTTTATGTTAAAAACTCTCGATAAACTAGGTATTGATGGTCCATATCTCAAATAATAAGAGCTATTTGTGACAAGCCCAAAGCCAATACCACATTGAATGAGCAAGAGCTGGAAGCATTCCCTTTGAAAACTGGTACAAAAAAAGAATGTCCTCTCTCTTCACTCCTATTCAACAAAGTATTGGAGGTTCTGGCCAGGCAATCAGGCAAGAGAAAGAAATAAAGGGTATTCAAATAGGAAGAGAGGAAATCAAGTGTCTCTGTTTACAGATGAAAAATTTTATACTTAGAAACTCTATTAACCCACAAATTTCTCGAACTGGTAATCAACTTCAGCTAAGTCTCAGGGTATAAAATCAGTGTGCAAAAATCACAAACATTACTTTACACCAACAATACACAAGCAGACAGCCAAATCATGAATGAACTCCCACTCACAATTGCTAAAAAGAGAATAAAATAACTCCGAATACAGCTAACAAGGGATGTGAAGGACCTCTTCAAGGAGAACTGCAAACCACTGCCCAAGGAAATAATGAGAGGACACAAACAAATGGAAAAACATGCTATCCTCATGGATAAGAAGAATCAATATCGTGAAAATGGCCATACTGCCCAAAGTAATTCATAGATTTAATGCTATTCCCATCAAACTACCATTGAAATTCTTCACAGAATTAGAAAAAAGAATTTTAAATTTGATATGAAATCAAAGAAGACCCCATATAGCCAAGACAATTCTAAGCAAAAGAAGCAAGGCGGAAGTATCATGCTATCTGATTTCAAAGTATACTACAAGCCTACAGTAACCAAAACAGCATGGTACTGACACCAAAACAGACATATAGACCAATGCAGCAGAATAGAGACCTCAGAAATAATACCACACCTCTACAACCATCTGATCTCTGACAAACCTGACAAAAACAAGCAATGGGGAAAGAATCTCCTATTCAGTAAATGGTGCCAGGAAAACTGGCTAGCCGTATGCAGAAAACTGAAACTGGACTCCTTCTTTACACTTTATACAAAAATGAACTTGAGATTGATTAAAGACTTAAAAGTAAAACCCAAAACCATAAAAACCCTAGAAGAAAACCTAGGCAATACCATTCAGGACATAGACATGGGCAAAGACTTCATGACAAAAGCACCAAAAGCAATTGCAACAAAAGCCAAAATTGATAAATGGGATCTAATTAAACTAAAGAGCTTCTGCACAGCAAAATAAACTATCATCAGAACAAACAGGCAATCTATAGAATGGGAGAAATTTTTTGCAATCTATCCATCTCACAAAGGTCTAATACCCAGAATGTACAAGAAACTTAAAATTATTTACAAGACAAAGACAAACAACCCCATCAAAAAGTGGGCAAAGGATATGAACAGACACTTCTCAAAAGAAGACATTTATGCGGCCAACAAACATGAAAAAAAGCTCAACCTCACTGATCATCAGAGAAATGCAAATGAAAACCACAATGAGATACTATCTCATGCCAGTCAGAATGGCAATTATTAAAAAGTCAGGAAACAATAGATGCTGGAGAGGCTGTGGAGAAATAGGAACACTTTTACACTGTTGATGGTAATGTACATTAGTTAAATCATTGTTGAAGACAGTATGGTGATTCTTCAGGGATCTAGAACCAGAAATACTATTTGACCCAGAAATCCCATTACTGGGTATATACCCAATGAATATAAATCTTTCTACTATAAAGACACATGGACATGTATGTTTATTGCAGCACTATTTACAATAGAAAAGATATGGCCAACCCAAATGCCCATCAATGATAGATTGGGTGAAGAAAATGTGGTGTGTATACACCATGGAATAGTATGCACCCAAAAGGGAAAGAGAACATGTCCTTTGCAGGGACATGAATGAAGCTGGAGGCCATCATCCTCAGCAAACTAACACAGGAATAGAAAAACCAAACACCTCATGTTCTCACTCATAAGTGGGAGTTGAACATTGAGAACACATGGACACAGAGAGGGAAACAACACACACAAAGGCCTGTTGCAGGGTGCGGGGTAAGGAGAGAGAGCTTAGAGAATGGGTGAATAGGTGCAGCAAACCACTATGGCATACGTCATACATATACCTATGTAACAAACCTGCACATTCTGCACATGTATCCCATTTTTTTAGAAGAAGAAATTAAAAAAAAGAAATGATTTGCATTTATCTAATGATGAGTGATGTTGAGCTTCTTTTTATATGTTTATTTGCTGCATATATGTCTTGTTTTAAGAAGAGTCTGTTCATGTCCTTTGCCTAATTTTCAATGGAATTTTTTTGTTCTTGTAAATTTGTTTAAGTTCTTTGTAGACTCTGGATACTAAACCTTTGTCAGATGGATAGATTGCAAACATTTTGTCCCATTTGTAGGTTGTCTGTTTGTTCTGATAATAATTTATTTTGCTATGCAGAAACTCTTTAGTTTAATTAGATCTCATTTGCCAATTTTTGCTTGTGTTGTAATTGCTTTTGGTGTTTCTGTCATGAAATGCTTGCCCGTGCCTATGTCCTGAATAATACTGCCTAAATTTTCTTCTAGGATTTTTACAGTTTTTGGTTTTACATTTAAGCCTTTAATCCATCTGTAGTTAATTTTTGTACAAGGTGTAATGAAAGGGTCCAGTTTCAATTTTCTACATATGGCTAGTTAGTTTACCCGGCACCATTTATTAAATAGGGACTAACTTCCCTGTTGCTTGTTTTTGTTAGGTTTGTTAAAGATTATATGGTTGTAGATGTGAGGTCTTATTTCTGACTTCTCTATTCTGTTTCATTGGTTTATGTGTCTGTTTTGTAACAATACCATACTGTTTTGGTTACTGTAGCCTTGTAATATAATTTGAGGTCAGGTAGCATGATGCCTCCAGCTTTGTTCTTTTTGCTTAGAATTGTCTTGGCTCTACAAGCTTTGTTTGGTTCCATAGAAATTTTAAAATAGTTTTTTCCAATTCTTTGAAGAATATCAATGGTAGTTTAACGGGAATAGCATTGAATCTAAAAATTACTTTGGGCAGTATGTCCATTTTCACAATATTGATATTTCCTATCATGGGTATTGAAGGTTTTTCCATTTGTTTGATCCTCCCTGATTTTCTTCAGCAGTGGTTGGTAGTTCTTCTTGAAGAGGCCCTTCACTTCCCTTGTTAGGTATATTCTGAGGCATTGTATTCTCTTTGTAGCAATTGGGAAAGGGAGTTCATTCATAATTTGTCTCTCTGCTTGTCTGTTGTTGGTGTATTGGACTACTTGTAATTCTTGCACATTGATTTTATATCATGAGATTTTGCTGAAGTTACTTATCAGCTTAAGAAGCTTTTAGGCTGAGACAATGGGGTTTTCTAGATAGAGGCTCATGTCATCTACAGACAAAGACAATTTGACTTCTTCACTTCTTATTTGAATATCCTTTATTTCTTTCATTTACCTGATTCCCCTGGCCTAAACATCCAACACTATGTTAAATAAGAGTGATCAGAGAGGGAATTCTTGTCTTGTACCAGTTTTCAGTGGGAATGCTCCCAGCTTTTGTCCATGCAGTATGATATTGGCTGTGGGCTTGTCATAAATGGCTCATTATTTTGATGTATGTTCCTTCAATATCTAGATTATTGAGAGTTTTTAACATGAAGGGATGTTGAATTTATCAAAGACCTTTTCTGCATCTATTGATATAGTCATGTGGTTTGGTCTTTAGTTCTGTTTATGTGATAAATTACATTTATTGATTTGCATATGTTGAACCAACCTTGCATCCCAGGAATGAAGCTGACTTGATCATGGTGGATAAGCTTTTGGATGTGCTGCTGGATTCAGTTTGCCAGTATTTTATTGAGGATTTTTGCATTGAAGTTCATCAGGGATGTTGGCATGAAGTTTTATTTTTTGGTTGTATCTATGTCAGGTTTTGGTATCAGGATGATGCTGGCCTCATGTATTAGTCCATTTTCACACTGCTGATAAAGACATGCATAAGAATGGGAAATTTACAAAAGAAAGAGGTTTACAGACTCACAGTTTCATGTGGATGAGGAGGCCTCACAGTCATGGCAGAAGGTGAAAGGCATATCTTACATGGTGGCAGACAAGAGAAGATAATTTGTGCAGGGAAACTCTCCTTTAAAAAACTTCAGATATTGTTGAGACTAACTCACTTTCATGATAGCAGCATGGAAAATCCCTGCCCCTATGATCCAATTACCTCCCACCAGGTCCATCCCACAACATGTGGTAACTGTGGAAGCTACAATTTAAGATGAGATTTGGGTGGGGCCAAACCACATCATTCTACTGCTGGCCCCTCCCAAATCTCATGTCCTCACATTTCAAAACAAATCATGCCTTCCCAACAGTCCCTGAAAGTCTGAATTCACTTCAGCATTAACTCAAAAGTCCACAGTCCAATGTCTCATCTGAGTCAAGGCAAGTCTCTTCCGCCTGTAAGCCTGTAAAAATCAAAAGCAAGTTAGTTACTTTTTAGATACAGTGGGGGTACAGACATTGGGTAAATACAGCCATTCCAAATGGTAGGAATTGGCTAAACAAAGGTGCTACAGGCCCCATGAAAGTCTGAAATCCAGCAGGGCAGCCAAGTCTCAAAGCTGTAAAATGAGCTTTTTCTCCTTCTACTCCATGTGTTGCATCTGTGCCTTGCTGATGCAAGAGGTGGGTTCCCATGGTATTGGGAAGCTCCACCCTGGTGGCTTTGCAGGACACAGCCTCCCTCCCAGCTGCTTTCACAGGTTGGTGTTGAGTGAGTTCAGCTTTTCTAGTTGCACAGTGCAAGCTGTCCGTGGATCTACCATTCTGAGGTCCGAAGGTCAGTGGCCTTCTTCTCACAGCTCCACTAGGCAGCATCCCAGTGGGGACTTTGTGTTGGGGCACCCACCCCACATTTCCCTTCTGTACTGCCCTAGCAAAAGTTCTTCACAAGGCCCCCACCCCTGCAGTAGACTTCTGCCTGGACATCTAGGCATATCCATAGATCCTCTGAATTCTAGGCAGAGGTTCCCAAACCTCAATTCTTGACTTCTATGCCCCCTCAGGTTCAACAACATGTGGAAGCTGATAAGACGAGGGTTACACCCTCTCAAGCCATGGCCCAAGCTGTATTTTGTCCCCTTTTATTAATGTCTGAAGTGGCTGGGACAAAGAGCACTAAGTCCCTAACTGCACACAGCAGAGGAACCCAGGGCCTGGCCCAATAAACCATTTTTTTCCTCCTAGGATTCTGGGCCTGTGATGGGAGGGGCTGCTATCAAGACCTCTGATATGCCCTGGAGACTTCTCCATTGTCTCGGTGATTAACCTTAGGCTCCTCATTACTTTTGCAAATTTCTGCAGCCAGCTGTACTTCTCCTCAGAAAATGGGATTTTGTTTTGTATGGCATTGTCAGGATGGAAATTTTCTGAACTGTTAAAACTGAATGTCTTTAACAGCAACAAAGTTACCTGTTGAATGTTTTGCTGCTTAGAAATTTCTTCCAGCAGATACCCTAAATCATATCTCCCAAGTTCAAAGTTCCACAAGTCTCTAGGGCAGAGGCAACATGCCCCAGTCTCTTTGCTAAAACATAGCAAGAATCACCTTTACTCCAGTTCCCAGCAAGTTCCTCATCTCCATCTGAGACCACCTCTGCCTGGATTTCATTGTTCATATCATCATCAGCATTTTGGTCAAAGCCATTCAACAACTCTCTAGGGAGTTCCAAACTTTCCCATATTTTTCTGTCTTCTTTTGAGTCCTCTAAACTGCTCCAACTTACACCTCTTACCCAGTTCCAAAGCTGCTTCCACATTTTGGGGTATCTTCAGCAGTGCCCCCACTCTACTGCTACCAATTTACTGTATTAGTCCATTTTCATGCTGCTGATAAAGACATAGCTAAGACTGGGAAATTTACAAAAGAAAGAGGTTTAATGGACTCACAGTTTCATGTGGGTGGGGAGGCCTCACAATCTTGGTGTAAAGTGAAAAGCACATCTCACACGGTGGCAGACAAGAGAAGAGAACGTGTGCTGGAAAACTCCCCTTTATAAAACCATCAGATCTCATGAGACTTATTCACAATTATGAGAATAGCACAGGAAAGACTCACCCCCATGATTCAATTACCACCCACTGGGTCCCTCCCACAACACATGGAATTGTGTGAGCTACAATTCAAGATGAGATTTGGGTGGGGACACAGGCAATCATATCACCCTATAAAATGAGTTAGGGAGGAGCCCCTCCTTTTTAATTGTTTGGAATAGTTTCAAAAGAAATGCTACCAGCTTCTCTTTTTACCTCTGGTAAAATTCTGCTGTAAATCCATCTAGTCCTGGGCTTTTTTTGCTTGGTAGGCTATTTACTACTGCCTTAATATCAGATTTTGTTATTGGTCTATTCAGGGATTCAACTTCTTCCTGGTTCAGTCTTGGGTGGATGTATGCCTACAAGAATGTATCCATTTCTTCCATTTTTTTTACTTCATTTTCACTGAGGTGTATATAATATTCTCTGATGGTTGTTTGTATTTCTGTGGAGTCAGTGGTGATATCCCCTTTATCATTTCTGATTGGTGTATATTTGATTCTTCTCTCTTTTCTTCTTTATTAGTCTAGCTAGTGGTCTATCTTTTGTTAATTTTTCAAAAGAAAAAGCTCCTGGATTTATTGATATTTGAACGGTTTTTCATGTCTCTATCTGCTTCAGTTCTGCTCTGATCTTGGTTATTTCTTATCTTCTGCTAGTTTTGTGGTTCGTTTGCTCTTGGTTCTCTAGTTCTTTTAGTTGTGATTTTAGGATGTCAATTTGAGATCTTTCTGGGTTTTTGATAGGGCATTTCATGATATAAATTTCCCTGTTAACACTGCTTTAGCTGCATCCCAGAGATTCTCATATGTTGTCTCTTTCTTCTCATTAGTTTCAAAAAACTTTTTGACATCTACCTTCATTTTATTATTTACCATGAGTCATTCAGGAGCAGCTTGTTCAATTTCCATGTAGTTGTGTGGTTTGGAGTGGGTTTCTTTATCTCGAGTTTTAATTTAATTGAGATGTAATATGAGAGACTGTTCATTATGATTTCAGTTCTGTTGCATTTGCTGAGGAGTGATTTACTTTCAATTATATAATCACTTTTACAGTGAGTGCCATGCAGTGATGAGAACAATGTATATTCTGTTGTTTTGGGGCAAAGAGTTTTGTGGATACCTATGAGGTTCACTTGATCCAGAGCTGAGTTCAGATACTTAATATGTTTGTTCATTTTCTGTCTTAATGATCTGTCTAATATTTATAGTTGAAGTCTCTCACTATTATTGTGTGGGAGTGTAAGTCTCTTTCTTGGTCTCTCAGAACCCATTTATAAATCTGGGTTCTCCTATATTGTGTGCATATATACTTAGGATATTTAGCTCTTCTTGTTGAATCAAACACTTTACCATTTTGTATTCCTCTTTTTTGTATTTTTTGATCTTTGTTAGTTTAAAGTCTGTTTTGTCAGAAACTAGGATTCCAACCCTTACTTTTTTTCTGTTTTCCATTTTCTTAGTAAATTTTCCTCCATTACTTTTTTTCAGCCTATTTGTGTCTTTGTACATGAAAAGTGTTTCTTGAATACAGCACACCAATGGGTTTTTATCCATTCTGCCATTCTGTGTCTTATAATCGGAGGATTTAGTCCATTTACATTTAAGGTTAATATTGTTATGTATGATTTGGTCCTGTCATGATGATGCTAGCTTGTTATTTTGTAGACTTGTTTATGTAACTCCTTCATAGTGTGATTGGTCTGTGAATTTCAGTGTGTTTTTGTAGTGTCTGGTAACAGTTTTTCCTTTCTGTATTTAGTGCTTCCTTTAGGAGCTCTTGCAAGGCAGGCCTGGTGGCGATGAATTCCCTTAACATTCGCTTGTCCGTAAAGGATCTTATTTTCTTTTGCTTATGGAGCTTAATTTGGCCAGAAATGAAATTCTGGGGTGGTAATTCTTTCATTTAAGAATGTTGAATATTTGTCCTAAACTCTTTTGGCTTGTAGGGTTTCTGCTGAGAGATCCACCATTAGTCTAATGAGCTTTTCTTTGTAGGTGACCTGTCCTTTCTCTCTGGCTGACCTTAACATTTTTCTTTCCTTTCAACCTTGGAGAATCTAATGATTATTTGTTTTGAGGTTGATTTTCTTGTGGAGAATCCCACTGGGATTCTTTGGATTTCCTAAATTTGAATGTTGGCCTGCCTTGCTAGGTTGGAATATTCTTCTGGATGATAATTCTGAGGTATCATTTCCAACGTAGTTCCATTCTCCCCATCTCTTTCAGGTACCCCAATCAGTCATAGGTTTAGTCTTTTTACATAATCCCACATTTCTCAAGGGTTTTGTTTCTTTTTTTTTTTTTTTTTTTTTTTTTTTTTGAGATGGAGTCTTGCTCTGTTGCCCAGGCTGGAGTGCAGTGGCGTGATCTCTGCTCACTGCAAGCGCCGCCTCCTGGGTTCACACCATTCTCCTGCCTCAGCCTCCTGAGTAGCTGGGACTACAGGTGCCCACCATCACGCCCGGCTAATTTCGTTTTTGTATTTTTAGTAGAGACAGGGTTTCACCATGTTAGCCAGGATGATCTCGATCTCCTGACCTTGTGATCCGCCTGCCTAAGGGTTTTGTTTCTTTTAATTTTTTTTCTCTAATCTTGTCTGCCTGTCTTATTTCAGTAAGATAATCTTTAAGTTCTGAAATTCTGTCCTCTGCTTGATCTATTCAACTACTGACATTTGTGATCGCATTGTGAAGTTCTCGTGTTGTGTTTTTCAGCTCCATCAGGTAATTTAATGTTCCTCTCTAAACTGTTTATTCTGGTTATCAGCTCCTGTAATGTTTTATCATGGTTTGCATTGTGTTAGAACATGTTGCTTTACTTCAGCAAAGTTTGTTATTACCCACCTTCTGAAGCCTGCATCTTTCATTCATCCTTCTCACCCTCAGACCAGTTCTGTGCCCTTGCTGGAGAGGTGTTGCGATCATTTGGAGTAGATAAGGCACTCTGGCTTTTTGAATTTTCTACATTTTTGCACAGATTCTTTATCACCTTTGTGGATTTATCTAGCTTTGTTCTTTGAGGCTGCTGACCTTTGGATGGGGTTTTTTTGTGGGGTCTTTTTTGTTGATGTTGTTGTTGTTGCTTTCTGTTTTTAATTTTAAATCTGGCCTCTCTTCCATAGGGCTGCTGCGATTTGCTGGGGGTCCACTCCAGACCCTATTCACTTGGGTCCATCCCACACCTGGAGGTGTCACCAGTGGAGTCTGCAAAACAGCAAAGATGGCAGCGTGCTCCTTTTATGGGGGCTCCATTCCAGAGGGCACTAACCTGATGCTGGCTGGAATGTTCCTGTATAAGGTGTCTGGCAACCACTGTTGGGTGGTCTCACTCAGACAGAAGAAAAGGGATCAGAGATTCACTTTAAAAGCAGTCTTGCTGCCCTTTGGTGGAGCAGGTATACTGTGCTGGGGCAAATCACCTGTGTTCGGGCTGTCTGGACTCTTCTGAGCCAGCTGTCAGGAAAGACTAAGTAGACTGAACTGCAAAGACCATGCCTGCCCCTCCCCACAGATTAGAGTTCTGTTCGTAAACCCTTGGCTGGAGTTGCTGAAATTCCCATGGGGAGGCTTTGCCTGATGTTGAGGGATGGATTGGGCTTCCACTTAAAGAAGCAGTCTGGCCATGATCTGCCACAACTGCTGTGGTGCACTGTGGGGAATTCCTCCTGGTCCTAACCACCCAGTCTCCCCAGCACCGACAGGGGAAAACAGCCGACTGGAGACTCAGAGACAGTGGTGGCTGTCCCTCTCCCTGGGAACTCAGTCGTTTTTGGAATTCTCCAGCCTGCTGCCACTGTCTGGCAAGCTTTCCAAGCCAGCGGGTCTTAGTTGGTAAGGTTTCGTGGGATTGGGGCCCGCTGAATGATGCCACTTGGCTCCCTGGCTTCAGCCCTCTTCCTAAAGAAGTGAACAATCTCCTGCCTCACTGGAATTCCTGAGGACAAAGTATGCAAAAGAACTCCTGCGTCTCAGTGCCTGCCAGAGCGACTGCCGAACAGAGTCTGGGGAGTCTGTACAGCTCTGTGGTTGGGGCCAAAGGCCCTGGTGACGTGGGCTCACAAGGGGAATCTCCTATTTTCTGAGTTGCAAAGGTCCATGGCAAAAGCATGGTTTCCCAGGGGGCATAGCACAATCACTTACCGCCTCTCTTGCCTGGCGGGGGAAGGGAGCTCCCCTTACCCCGTGTAGCTCCTAGGTGGGCTGTTGCCCCACCCTGCTTTTCCTTGCTCTCCGTGGGTCACAACAACTGCCTAGTCATGATGAGAGAACCTGAATACCTCAGTTGAAGGTGCAGAATTAACTTGTGATTTTCATTTTTTTTGGTAAGAGCCACACACTGCAGCTGCTTCTGGTAAGCCATCTTGGCCAGAAAAACTATCTTTTCTTTATTATATTGCATTTGCTCCTTTGTCAAAGATCAGTTGACTATATTTGTGTGGGTCTATTACTGGACTTTCTATTCTATTCCATTGACCCATTTGTTTATTAATCCATCAATACTACAGTCTTGATTATTGTAGCTTTATAGTAACTGTAGAATATAAGTAGTATCAGTCCTATAACTTTGTTCTTCTTTAAAATTATGTTGGCTATTCTGGATCTTTTTCCTCCTCAAATAGACTTTAGAATTAGTTTTTTGATATCAACCAAATAATTTGCTGTGATTTTTATTGGAGTTGCATTTAATTTATAGGCAAAGGTGGTAACAACTCACGTCTTGACAATATTGTCTTTTAATCTATGAATACAGACTATCTCTTCATCTATTTAGTTCTTTGATTTCTTTATTCAATGTCTTATAGTTTTTATCAAATAGATCTTATTATATTTTGCATATATTGTTAGATTTATACCTATGTATTTCATTTTTGTTGTGATAATGTAAATGGTATTATGTTTTAAATTTCATAGTCCTCTTGTTTGTTGCTATTATATAGGAAAGTGTTTGATTTTTGTGTATTAACCTTGTATCCAGCAACCATTTTATAATTATTTATTAGTTCCAGGTGTTCTTTCTTATTTTTTTGTTCCAATTTTGTTGAATGTTCTACATAGATAATCATATCATCTGAAAACAAAAACAGTTTTATTTCTCTTTTCTCAATGTGTACACCTTTTTCTTTTTTTTCATTTCATTAGCTAGGACTTCCAATATAATGTTGAAAAAGAGTTCCAAGAGGGTGCATTCTTGCCTTCCTCCTAATCTTATTTTAAAAGTTTCTAGTTTCTTGCTGTTAAGTATTATATTATCTCCATAGTTTTGTAGATATTCTTCATGAAATGAGGAAGATTCCTTTTATTCCTAGTTTATTGAGCATTTTTATAATAAATGGATGTTAGACTTTGTCAAATACATTTTCTACATTTATTGATATGATCATTTTTCTTTTTTAGTCTGCTGATATTATTGATTACATTAATTGATTATTGAATATTGAACCAGCTTTGCATACCAGGAATAAAACTTACTTGGTTGTGATGTTTAATTATTTTTGTATATTGTTGGATTCAGCCTGCTAATACTTTGTTGAGGATTTTTGCTTGTATTTTCATGAGGAATAATAACCTTTTCTTGTAATGACTTTGATTGTAATGTGTTTGACTGTTTTTGTATAAGTGTAAATTATATAATATGAGTTAGGATGCATTTTTACTGCTTCCATCTTCTGAAAGAGATTGTAAAGAATTGGTATAATTTATTGCTTAAAACTTGTGTAAAATTTACCAATGAACCCATCTGGGTCTGGTGATTTCTCCTTTGAAAGCTCATTATTTATTGATTCAATTTCTTAATAGATATAGCCTAATTAGATTGTCTATTTCTTATTGTGTGAGTTTTGGTGGGCCCTGTCTTTCAGAAAATTGGTCATTTAATCTAGGTTAGCGACCTTAAAGGCATAAAGCTGTTCATATTATTTATTTATTTATTATCTTTTTAATGTCCATGGAATCTTCAGTGATGTCTCCCCTTTATTTCTGACACTAGTAAGTTGTGTCATCTCTCCTTTTTTCCTAGTTATAATGGGAGCATATTATCCACTTTATTTGTCATTTTAAAAACCAGCTTTGGATTTCATTGATTTGTTCCATTGGTTTTATGTTTTCCATTTTATTAATTTCTGCTCCAATTTTTTATTTTTTTCTTCTGCCTACTTTGAATTCAATTTGCTATTATTTCCCTACTTTGTTAGTTAGAGGCTTAGATGACTGATTTTTCAATCTTTCTTCTCTTTACTATACACATTCAATATTATAAATTTTTATCTAAGCATTACTTTTGCTGCATCCCGTAAATTTTGACAAGTTGTTTTATGTTCATAATATTTTTTAAAATTTTACTGAGATATAATATTTGTATATATTTAGCGGATATATATCTGTTACATGTATAGAATGTGTAATGATCAACTCAGAGTACTTAGGGTATCTCTCACCTCAAGCATTTACTATTTCTGTGTGTTTCAGAAATTTAAAGTCTTCTCTTGTAGCTATTTTGAAATATATAATATATTGTTGTTAACTATAGTCACCTTACTCTGCTAGAAGACATTAGACTATATTCCTTCTTTCTAACTCTATGTTTCTATCCATTAGCCAATGTATTTTTGTTCCCTACCCCTACACACCCTTTCCAGCCTCTGGTAATCATTCTAATCTCTACCTTCATGAGATTAACTTTTTTACCCCCTACATATGTGTGAGAACATGCCATGTTTGGCTTTCTGCGTCTGGCTTATTTCACCTAATATATTAGCCTCATGTTCTATCCCTGTCATTGCAGATGACTGAATTTATTTATGGCCAAACTGTTTTCTACTGCATACAGGGAATCATTCAAAACGTTCCAGAGAAACATGTATTATGAATAAAATCTATGCATATTTTTAAAATTTTATTGCATCAAATTAAATTTGCAATAAGTTATATAACATATCTGAGTAGGACCTAGTTTCAAGCACTAAGAAGGATAAAACATGAGGCCCGATCAGAGCAGCATAAATTCTGCTAAAATTGAAGTAAGAACAAACATGAAATTTATGGTGACTCTTGTGTAAAAGAAAGGTGAAATCATCATGCTTTATCAAAAGTTTATAGGAATACTACTCCAAAGAAACCAGAAGTTTACAAATGGATAATGCATTTTAAGAAGGGATGAGATGATGTCAAAGATGGAACCCATAGCAGCTGACCACCTATACCAATTTGTGAGGAAAAAATTCATCTTGTTTATGCCATAACTAAAGAGGGCAAACAAGTAACAGAAGAGATAACAACCAAAATTATAGACATCTCAATTAAATTTAGCTTACACAATCCTGGCTGAAAAAATAAAGTTGAAAAACTTTCTGTTCAGTGAGTGCCAAATTCATTGCACTCAGATCAGTTGCAGCTAAGAGCAGAGCTTTCAATGTTGATTTTAAAGAAAGATCAAGATCCTGAAGCGTTTTCTGAAAGAATTGTAACAGGAGATAAAACATGGCTTCACCGGTATGATCCTGAAGACAAAGCACAATTAAAGCAATAGCTACTAAGAGGTGAAAGTGGTCCAGTCAAAGCAAAAGTAGACTGGTCAGCAGAAATGTTTATGGCAACAATTTATGGAATGATCAAGGCATTTTTCTGTTAACTTTCTTGAGGGCTAAACGATGAATACCTCTCCTTATAAGGACAATGTTTTTAAAAATTTATGCAAAGCTATAGCAGAAAAATACCCAGGAAAACTTTACCAGAGTATTCTTCCCACCGTGACAATGCTTCTGTTCATTCCTCTCACCAAACAAGCGCAATTTTGTGAGAGCTTTCATGGAAACTCATTAGACATTTACCTTAAAGTCCTGATTTGGCTCCTTATAGTCCTGATTTGCCTCCTTTTTTTGTCTCCTAATCTTAAAAATCTGTAAAGGGCACCCATGTTTTTGAGTTTACACTTTAAAAAGGGCTACATTGACATGGTTAAGTTCCCAAGACTGTCAGTTCTTTATGAGTGGACTAAATGGCTATTGTCATTGCTTACGAAAGTGTCTTGACCTTGATGAAGCCTGTGTTAGAAATAAAGTTTTTTTATTTTTATATTTTAATTCAATTTTCAATAAACTTTAAATTCCTCTCATAAATAGGGTACATTTTCTTTATTCTTTTATTCATTGATGAACAGTTACATTGATTCCATGTTTTTGCTATTGTGAATGGTGCTGCAATAAACATGAGTTTGCAGGTATCCCTTGGATATATTGATTTCTTTTCCTTTGGATAAATACCTAATAGTGGAATTTCTAGATTTTATTATAGTTCTATTTTTAGTGTAGTTTTTTTTTTTTTAGAAACTAACACTCTTTTCCATAATGACTGAACCAATACTCATTTTAACCAACAATGTATAAGTTTTCTTCTCTTCACATCCTCACTAGCATTTGTTATTTTTGTCTTTCTGATAATATTAATAGCTATATTAACTAAGATGAGGTATCTTATTGTGGTTTTGATTTCCACTTCTTTGCTGATTAGTCATGTTGAGCATTTTTTAATAAACTTGTTGGTACCATTTTATGTTTTCTTTTGAGAAATGTCTATTTAGATCCCTTACCTACTTTATAATTTTTTTCTGTTGAGTCGTTTGAGTTCCTTGTATATTCTGGGTCCATTGTTGGATGTCTAGTTTGCAAATATTTTCTGTCTTTTAACAGGTGGCATCTTCACTCTGTTTATGGTTTCCTTTGCTGTATAAGAGCTTTTCCATTTAATATAATCCCCTTTGTCTATTTTTTGTTTTGTTGCTGTGTTTTTGAGGTCTTACCCATAAAATCTTTCCCTACGTCTATGTATTAGAGGGTTTCCCCTATCTTTTCTCCTGATAGTTTTATAATTTTGAGTCTTATGTTTAAGTCTTTGCTCCATTTTGAGTTGATTATATGGTAAAAAATAGAAGTTTAGTTGCATTCTTCTGCATATGGAAATCCAGTTTTCTTGGCATAATTTATGGAAGAGAATGTCCTTTCCTTAATGCGTATTCTTGGCCTTTGCTAAAAATCAATTAGCTGTAAATATGTGGTTTTAAATCTGGGTTTTCTATTCTGTTTCATCAGCCTGTGTGTCTGTTTTTATACCAATACCATGCTATTTGTTTACTATAACCTTGTAATATATTTGTAGTCAGGTAATGTGATGCCTCCAGCTTTGGTCTTTTTACTCAGAATTGCTTTAGCTATTGAGGCTTTTTTTGTGTCTCATACATATTTTAAGATTTTTTTTATATTTCTGTGAAAAACATCATTGGTATTTTGATAGAGATTGCATTGAATCTGTAAATTGCTTTGGGTAGTTTGGTCATTTTAACAATATTAATCCTTTTGATCTATGACCATGAAATGCCAATACATTTGCTTGTCTTCCGTTATTTTCATCAGTATGTTTAATATTCCTTGTAGAAGTCATTCATTTCCTTGATTAAATTTAGCTATTGTAAATGGAATTGCTAGTTGAATACTTTTTCAGGTAGTTCATTACTACTATAAATAAACTCTACTAATTTTTGTATGTTGCTTTTGTACCCTACAACTTTATCAAATTTGTTTATCATATCTAAAAGTTTTTGTGGGGGAAATATTTAGGTTTTTCTAAGTATAAGATCATGTTATCTGAAAAAAGAAACAATTTGACAATCACTTAAAAAATTTGTATGCCTTTTATTTTCTTCTCTTCCCTGAGTGATCTGGCTAGGACTTCCAGTACTATGTAGAACAGAAGTAACGAAAGTAGGCATACTTGTTCCATTTCTTAGAGGAAGGGGTTTCAGCATTTCTCTATTCAGTATGATGTTAGTTATGGGTTTGTCAATTCTTCACTTCTGAAGATTAATTTTTCGAATATAGAAATCTAGGTTGGTGTGATTCCTTTTTTAAAAAAATCTTAACACTTTAGTATTTTATTCCACTGTGTTTTTTCTTGCATGACTTCTAAGAAAAAGCACGCATAATTTTTATCTTGGCTTCTCCATAAGTAAGGTATTGCTTTTCCTCTAACTTCTTTTAAGGTATTTTTCTCTGTATCTTTGATTTTCTATAGTTTAAAATGATATGCTTAGGTGTGGATTTTTTGACATCAGTTCTGCTTAATACTCTCTGGACTCCATGGATCTGTTATTTTCTGTCTGACATTAATTTAGGGAAATTTTCAGTTGTTATTGTTTCCATAATGATTATTTGTTAAGTTCTTCTCTTTTGGTTATTTCTATTCTGCTTAAGTTATAAATTTTGGAGTTGTCTCATGATATTTGGGTATTCTGTGCTGGTTACTTGAGCCTTTGTTCTCTTTTCTTTTCTGTTTTGGAAGTTCCTAGTGATATATCCTCAAGCTCAGAGATTCTTTCTTCAGATACATTTAGTCTATTAATAATCTCATCAAAGACATTTTTTCTTTCTTTTATGGTTTTTCTTATCTCTAACTTTTTGTTTTGCTTCTTTCTCAGATTTCCATCTCTTTGCTTAAATTGCCTATCTGTTATGGCATGCTGTCTACTTTATCCATTACAGCCCTTAGCATACTAATAATAAGTTGTTTTAAATTCCCTTTTAGATAATTTCAATGTCCCTGCCATGTCTGCTTGTTATGCTGGCTCTGTCTCTTTGAACTGCGGTTTTTGCCTTTTAGCATGCCTTCATTTTTTTTTTTTTTTTTTTTGATAGCCAGATGTAATGTACTGGGTGAATAGAAATGCTGTAAATAAGCCTTTAGTAATGTGATGTGGAGAGAGAGGAAGAAATCTATAGTCCTATGATTAGATCTTAATCTTTTATTGTGCCTCTACTTCTGAACTGTGAATTTCGTAAGTGTTTCTCAGGGTTTTTTTCCTTCCCCATTCGCTGGGACAATATGGGTACGCTGCCCTGAAGTGAGCCATTTTCTTTCACTCAGATCAGTCTCTGATATAATCCCAGTAGGTTAGGCTCTGGTAAGGTAGTTTCTTCTGAAGGCAAACCTTGTTAAGGATGGAATGCTCTGGCATATATCAGAATGGTTCCTTTACCCTTTCCTCTGCTAGAAGCATGAGGGTATTTTTTTTCTGATATTTATTATAAAGACCTGATCAAGCTATTGAAGGTAAAACTCACATTTGTTGGTTCCCTTGTATGACTGCATTCCCTGGGAATTTTTAACTCAGATTTGTCCACTCCTAACCTCCAGCAATTTGTCAATTACAGTTCAAGTTTTCCTACACCAGCGATGTTACTAGTAGAGGTTTCTTTTAAGGTATGGTGTGATTCTCTGCTTCTGCCTCTCTTGTCTCTCCAATTTTGAGGAACAGCAGTTTGCCCTGTGACCTCATTTCTCTTATGGATCTAAGAAGAGTTGTTGATTTTTCAGTTTGTTCAACGTTTTACTTGTTAGTTTGAAGTGTCAATTTTCAAGCTCCTTACGTTGGAAAATGAAAACCAGAATATAAACTGAGTTTTAATTCCAACTATCCTATTGTTTCAGTCCTAGTTGGTTATTTTTCCTATCTATTCTGTATTTTTGTGAATAGCATCTTCCTTCTCATGATTTTATGCTCTTTTTATTTATTAAAATATTTTACCTATTTGTTTTACATTCTATACAAAGTAATAGTATATTTCATTATTTTTGACATGCCAAAATTCTACGTAAGTGGCATATGGAAGAGACGTCTAAAATTTTTCTCTCTCCCTCTTTCATGATCCTATATTTGCACGGGCTTCCTCTTTGGAAATTTGTGAGTGTTGCGTCCATCATTTGTTCCTCCAAAGAACGTTTGCTTTTGCTTTTACCAGGCACCCTGGTGAATTAACAACAAAAGCCAATCTAAATTAGCTTCTTAATTTGGGGTTTCTTGGGTCAGGTAGTTAGTATAAATTTAAAAATTACCAGCTATGCTAAAAGGAGGTCTGCCATTAAAAAATATCAGGAGATAGTTTTTTATTTTTATCCTTATAAGTAGACAGAGGCTGCCCCTACCATCTGCCATTAATGGAGGGAATGTTTTTTCTAGACCTTTAACTGAGTTTGTAAACATTTAAAGGTCTCAGGTTTTTGCAGGAATCTTATATTCATAGTTTGCAAGAACCTAAAATGTGTCTTCTATCCCAAATCTCTTGATTAAAGAAGTTGATTAATGCTCACTGGAAGGCATATTTACATTTCCAGTTTATTTTTATCACTCTAGAATCTTAGAATTAGTGTGGAATTACCATAGCAATCTTTAAATTACTGTAATTTTTTTTATATTTCTTCCTAAGCCTACTTATGCATTTGAAAGTTAGTTCTACGCAAATTAGAGGTTTCAGTGTTTGAAACTGCCTTTGCAAAAATTAAAACAGTGGGAGAATTATGACAGTAAAATAGATGAGACCTAACCAGCTTCAACTTGCTTCTAACCTCCAAGCTGTTCTTGTTCACTACTGGGTACAGGCTGAACTAACTTTGGGAGGAAAGTATAGTTTAACTCTGAAACAAAGATAAGAGCAGCCCTTTCCAGAAACACCCTCCCTTCTGTCCTGGGGACTAGACTGCCTTTGTAGGACTAACAAAGTAGCCACAACATTAGAAATTATAGTTTAGAAGACCTGCAGCTAGAGGTCACAAGATTCTAAACCTGTTAGTTGCTCCTAGGGATAACATCACTAGTGTAAAACTTAAGATTGGTGCTTAAGATATTTTTTAGACTTTGCTCTTGATGTATCAACCAGTGCCACCCAGATTGATAAACTGGCTCATTTGGTCTTGTGACCCCCGCCCAGTAACTAATTCAGCACAAGAGGACAGCTTTGACTTTCTATGATTACATCTTGGATCTGACCAATCAGCCCTCCCCAGTGCCTGGCTCCCTACCTACTAAATTAATCTTTAAAGAACCCAGTCTGAATTTCTGGGAAGACTGATTTGAGTACTAATAAAACTCTGGTCTTGGGTTCACTCAGCTCTGCATGAACTAAACTCTTCTGCAATTCCTCTGTCTTGATAAATCAGCTCTATCTGGAAAATGGGCAAAATGAACCCATTGCATGGTTATACTATTTTTAATTGTTTTTTAAAAAGATATTCTAGGAAATATAGTCTGCTAGATTGTCAGACACAAAAGTGGCTAACATATTATTAATTATGAGATTATCTTTTTTCTTTTACTTGTCTCAAGGTGACTGACAGCAATGGCAAAATTTGTAATGCTGCTAATTTATCTCCAAAAATTTATTCATCACATCAGAAATATCTTTTCTCCCAATGTAACAATGTGCACTGATTACTTTTTATTTAACTCCAAGTTAAGAAACCATCTTCATAGTTTATTAGTATTAGGTTGGACTTTCAAATGATAGAAAATAATTTTTGCTTAGACTGGAAAGACCATATAAGAAGCATACTTTGTATGTAGCTGCTGTAAATAAATTTATTCCTACTTATTCTAGAAATTGACAATTATGCCAATCAGAGTCCCAGCCAAAGAGCCAGGTTGGATATGTAGATAGGGAATGCATGACCTAAAAGAATGTCTAGAAGCAGAAAAGGAATGCTCCAACTAGGTCACACACAGATTTGATAAGCACAGATGACAGGTTTATCAATGTGGAACTGGCTGGCAAATGCAAGTCAATCCAGAATGGATAAATACATACATGGGATTGAATCTAAATGTGAGCACAGCTAACTAAAATGTTTCAAGTTGAAGAAGGCACAGTGGAGATTCCAACATTGAAGGACTGGAGAGCAAATATAAATTTTAAAAAGGGGAACGTAGCAGAAAAAGAGAGGAGTAAGAGTATTTACATATTATAACCTCTCCCAAATCTGTTTGGGTGTACATTAATTGCAACTGTCTTATATCACCAGGTGCTTTACCTATGAAACTTAAAAATTCTCATCAAACCTCTGCTACTTACCATTTCTGTATCTTCCTTGCCTGGAATGGGTTTGGTGAAGTGGCACTAAGAGTTCTATGCTTATCAATAGAAGCAATCTTAATCATCCCTGGATACATTGCAAAGAATAGACTCAAAATGTGAGTCCCTACATTTATTTCACTTTGCTAGTCATGCAGTGCCTTTGTGGTTTTGTAGTTGTTTTGGCTTTTCTCTGCTGTTGTTGTTCGCATAATTTGTGAACAGTGAATAAGTCAAAAACTGATTATTAAAAAAAAAATCTTTAGTCTTTTTTAATAGAATAAACACTTAAATTTATTTTTTACTTTTTGAAATATTAAACAGTTCTCTCAGTTTAATATAATAATTTTTCTTAAATATATTTAAGAGTAAAATAGCAATTTTATTAAATGACAGCATAAAAAGGGTGCTGTCCTTAAAAAGATTATTTTTAAATATTAAAGTATAGATTTGCTATGATTCAGTAGATCACAGATCACATCTAATTCATTTATATCTGCTTCAATCACTTACTATAATTGATAATAAAATTACCTTCAATTAAATTAAGCAACACTTTAAAATTTTATGTGTGTAATTATCATTTATTTACCAATCATTATAAACATAGGCTTAGTTTATGTTATCGACAAATTTTTGAATGTTATAATAATTTTAAACCACACGCAATCCATCAATGAAAAACATTAAGTTAACATTTTTCTCCGTCAATTTGTTACATACCTAAGAACACAAAGCAAGGTCTTTACTAATTTGAAAATACTACAGTGAAAACACATTTATTCAAATGACTAATAAAAGAAATTGAGCATGATTATTTTAGAATACACCATAGGTAAGTAATAATTTACATTAGAGATGTAATACTTATGAAGCTGTCAGCTTATTCTGTCAGAGAATAAAAAGATAAGGGCTATTGAAAATTCCTTCTATATTTTGTTATATTCTAATTTCAAATATTTCAAATCCTTTACAAACTGTTAAATCCATTAGTTCATTCACTAAATTCTTGGACTTTCAAGCTCACAGAAGTAGTTATTTTTGTATATGCCCATGCCAAATTTTTAAGTATTTTCATTTGTAATTGCTTTGTGTAGTTTATTCAAATTGACCCTACACACTTCTATCTTAAAATACAGTGTTAAAGTAATGAACACATTTTGGGGAGTCACTCTATAAACCAGAAATCTCAAACTTTGGAGCTAAACTGGATTTAATTATGGTGTACTTGTGTTTGTTTAACTTTGTTAATATTTTATTTAGGACAGTTAAATATCAAAAAATGTGATAATGTGATGTATCAATAGATTAATCCTAAAAATCTTCAAAAATTTAGGATACAGGCATTATTATATCTCTAATATGTTTGCAATAAATTACAAATCCGGATACCTTTCTTATTAGCAATATAATCAACATCCTAAACTTGAAACTCCTAATGTTTCCAGGGAGCAGAAGGCTTAATTGAGCTCAACAGGGTGGGACTTGGATAGACAGTCACAGTAAGACAGAGAAGATGTGTCTGATCAGTCAACTATTTTTATTGTCTTTCACTTATTTATAATGTCATACATAAAAACTGCAGCTCAAAAATTTGCCAGATAAAGATTGTCCAATCTGTTATCATTTTTCCACACACCCTACAAGCAGAATGTAATGGTTCCTTTTTGTGGAGAGTGGATTTGGAACATGTAGTCCATTTGAAAATGAACTAGAGATCATTTGTAAGAGTGCTTGGTAGGTCATTCAAATGAGGAATGAGGAAGCCTGAATGTGGTTGCAGTAATGAGGGTGAAGAAGTCTGTTGGATTTGTCAGAATATTCAAGAGATAAAAATAATAAAACTTTGTTGTCAGTTTCTTGGTGTGAGAAAGAGCTAGGAGTCTGGAACATTTCCAATGACTGGTTAGATAGGCGATGATACTCCCCCATAATTTTCCCCATCTTATATATGTGGACCAAACATCACAGAATCTTGATAGACTTCTTTTTTCCTTTTTACACCCCACATATAATCCATCAGTTCCATCTTAAAAATATATCTCGATTTATCCACTTTTCACCAATTTCACAACTGTTTTCCCTGCTCAAACTTCCATAATATCTCACTGTAATAGCCTTCCAACTGATCTCTATTCTATATTCTGCATCTCTACAGGCCTCTCTCCACATCATCGTAACATCATCATTTTAACATAACATCATGCCTCTGTTGTATCCAATCACTCCAATGGTTTTATGACATATTTAAGATAAAATCTTAAAAAGTTGCTTAAATAGGCAATATTACTAAGAGAAAATTTTAAAAATGTTTCATTGTAAAAAGATAAATGGTATATTTTTACAGTGCTAATAAGGTCAAAAGTCAAAGACATTGGATTTATTTGGTAAGACTTGGTGGCACTTCTAACCCCACTATACATATAATATATATAAAATATATGTATACATATGTATATGTATATGTGTTAATATCACTATGTATAATATGTATGCATTATATGTGTATACATATGTATAATATATATGTACTATATATGTATGACATATATATGTTATAATAGATTTAGGGTGTTATGCTACTGTGTTAACCAATTTATTTCCTTCCAATTATTTCACTTATAATATGGCTGTAACCTCTAAATAATAATACAAAAATGCATTACTCTTGATCTTTCTTTTACTCCCCAAACTCTTAATAAAATTGGGCATTAGGGCATGCATATTCTTTCTCTAGTTTTAATACATACATAATACATACATATTTTCATTATACTATGTATATTCATATATACATGTATTTCATATATACATAATATACACATATATCCAAACTTTTTAATTTCTTCTTAAATAATGAAAAATCTTTAATGCTTTTATTTATTCTATTATGAAACAGGAAATAATTGCAAATGGAAAAATGCAAACAATTCAAAATATATTATACGCATAAGTATGGTTATTGAAATAGTTCATGTTAAGCTCTACTGAAAAGTCAAGACTTCTTCCTCTACTAAATATTGTTCTGGTCTGGAATATCTTCTTTCTGGATCTATTCTTCTATAATTTAGAGAATGCTTCACCAGTGCTTCTAGATATTTTCCTAGGTATTAAATTCATTTTTATCAGATCAGTAGATTTAAGAAGATAATGAAAATGGAATTTAAAAGATAGCCATCACATTTTGTAGTGTGTGGCTGAAATCTGCTTGTGGTATTAAAGTTCCTTCTTCAAATAGGCATTGAGGAGGGTGAGGTTGGATTTAACTCCATCAATAACACTTGCTTGTCAAAGATCCAGTAATTATAAATATCACTGCTACTACTTTAAAAAGGATCCCTTCTAGGTGTACCCAAACAACACACAACTTGCTGAGTTTCTTAAAACAGTTACCAGTGAGTGGTTAAATAGAGTTAACTGGGCTGGCATGGTAGCTCACACCTATAATCCCAGCATTTTGGGAGGCCAAGATGGGAGGATTGCTTGAGGCCAGGAATTCAAGACAAGCCTGGCCAATGTAACAAGACCCCATCTGTATAAAATAAAATAAAATAATAAAAATGTTTTTAGAAAAGAAAATTAATTGATCAAACAAGCCAGAAAGATTAGTTCCAATGCTAAATAAGCATTCATGCTCTTACGTATGAATTATCAACTTTTGAGGAAACAATACAGGAACCATACTTTTTTCTGTCCAAATCAAATATATATGAATTTATACATAAAATTACATTAGTAATATCTACATAAAATGAAAAAATAGTAAAACTAAATGAAATACACAAATGTATATATATGTTTAAATTGATTTGAAATTGAGAAATTGAAATTGTTAAATGAAAGGAGCTTTACTTCATTAGTCAAATATTCATAATGCAATTCCATAGTCTTAACTCAATTGAGATTTGCAGATGGTTAGATCATGGGTGGTATAAACCAGAAAAATGTCTAGGACCTCCCCACTATAGGCTGTGCTCTAAGGGGTGTGGAAAGCAACTTTACACATTATCCTAAGATGAATGTAGTCTAAGTTTAGGAAGGAATCACCATCTATGGAAACCCATTTTGGCGTGGGGATACACAGTAGAGAGAATTGTGGGAAAACGTCATAGTTAAAACCAGGTGTATTGCTGCTGCTGGTGTGGGAATAATCTGGTCAAAGCTCATTTTATAAGCTAATTTGTATAGCAGGAGAATGGACTGTTCCCAGACACATTAGTACCTATGAAACACCTTTCCAAAAGTTATGACAGTGAAAGAAATCTGACCTATTCAATACTATCTTGCTTCTAACCTCCAAGGTGCGCTTGCTTGTTCGTGGGCATAGGCCGTCTAACTAAGGAGGAATTTAGTTAATTGTTTAACTTTGAAACAGATGGTACCATCCACTCCCTGAAACAAACACCCTTCTTGCTTGGAGATCAGACCTCTTTTGTAAAACTAACAAATTAGCTACAAGGTTAGAAATTATGGCTCAGGAGTCATGCAGCCATGGGCCACAAGATTCCTAACCTGTTCAGTTGCTTTTATAGATAACGTTACTATCGTAAAACCTAAGACTGATGTTCAAGGTGTTTTTTTCCAGACACTGCATTCTGATGGACCAGCTGGCACCATGCAGACTAGTAAACTGGTCTTGTGGCCTCTCATCTGGTCTTGCGGCCTCTACCCAGAAACTGACTCAGTGTAAGTTTTGACTTCCTGTGATTTCATCCTCAACCCAACCAATGAACATTTCTCATTCCTAGCCACCTTCCCACCAAACTATCCTAAAACAAACAAACAAAATCTAGCCTCCAAATTTCAGGGGAGACTGATTTGAAAAATAACTTTGTCTTCCACATGGCCATGCTCATGTTAATTAAACTGTTTCTTTACTGCAATACCACAATACCAGTGTATTGGTTTTGTCTGAACCCTGGGCAGGAAGAACCCACTGGGCAATTACACTTACGCACACTAAATTAAAACATCTCAGTGTTAAGACAAATCTAGGACCCAGCAATTTTCAGGGCGGTGCAGACTAAACTCAGTTTGGTTTACCTTCACATCAGAAGCTATGAAAATTCTTGGTGGAAAACACTAGAGAAAAGGTACATTGAAATTATATTTTATGAGCTCCTTATATCATTTATAAACCTCAATTTCTGCTTTTACTTATAACAATTTTTCATATGATGTATTTTTTCATGAAATTATAAGTGGGCTGGTATGAAATATGTTCCCACATTTCTATTTAAGTATTTCATTCTTAAGCAGAGTCATATAAGGAAAGCAAACCTAGAGCTTTACTTTGGTGGGTTTTGAAATTTTTATTGATATATTGCTGAATAAAGATAAGATTATATTATTTACCTAGCCATTATATTAGGATCCCAGATAAGCAAAAGACCTATACATTTCTAACGTTTATGATGAACTCACCTTGGACTTGAATACACTACACAACAACTAATATTACATCACTGAATGTTTAATAGACTGTTACTAAGGGAAGAAAAATAGATTTAGTTGGTATATAAAGAATTATGCAATAGAACTAAAAAAAAATCCCAGAGATTTTTAAACACTACCGAATCTGTCTATTTCCATTTAAATGCCAAGGAAAAAGACACATGTACATGTACACAGACACATACACACACACACACATACACACAAGTAAATATTTATGTGAAGGTATCTCCCACATATTTTGAAGTTCCCTGCATCTGATTAAAGTCCAGAAAATGACATCCCACCTTAGACAGCGTTTATAAAGTGACGTTGCTGGTAAAGAAGAAAGTGATTTCTTAAGATCACCTTCTCATGTGAATAGTAATTTCAGGTTAGTATTCAATGCTATCTCCATGAACCATGCTTCTCAATGACTTCTACTCTGGGTGTTCTCATAGCTTATGTGGAATAATAGAACTTCTGGGGGAAAATGCAGAGGTTTTCAGCAGTGATGTTGGTGGCTGATGTTTATCAAGGGTAATAACTTATTTTAAACCCATTTCTTTTTATTTTTTAATAGCAAAATAAATTAAAATATGGAGAGAAGTGATATTTCCCAGATTTGCACATGTATGTTTCCTATCACCGCTTGAAAGAGAATCACTATCTATTCACTGATAAAGTTGCTACTTCTGCACAATGTTTAAAACAGCAGGATGAGACAGCTATATAGAATCAGTGATTTGGGTATTAATTATTGACAACAAATGACCTTCCAGACACTACAGTGAGTACCATTACTCAATAAAATAAAGCCATACCTTCACTCTTACAATCCCCCTTTAAGTAGTGACACTAAAGAGTACAGAGGAGTCACTAGATACAAACATTTAAATGTTGATGTTATAAAGCAGAACTTTTTTTCTGTGTTTCTCTTTTAAAATCATTATATTTACTAGTCACCACTTCGCCATTACTTTCTTTTTCTTTCTGTTTTCTATTTCTGATGTTCTTAGTAGAGTAAAAATCCTTTTTTTTCTTTTCTTCTTTTTTTTTTTTGGCCGTGCATAAGAAAGCAACTTACTTAAAGGGACATGAGAGGGCTTCACAAAAGAAGTTACTTTCAAGTTGGGATTTGACCACTGAATAGGATTTCCCAGAGATAGAAGGCAATGTGGGCAGCAAAGATTATGCTTTTGGTGGAGCTCAATGCCAGAGTCTAATAAATTCAAATAGTGCAATAGGTTTGGCCCCTAAATGTTTGCTGAAATGTCACTAACATAAGGCAGATTGATTAATAGGAGAAAAGACATACAAACTGGTTTAATGTGCATATCCAAGCACCTTCAGAAGAAAGACCCAATTCCCTAACAAGGTACAGAAGCTTATATACCATCTTGAGGATACAGAAAGATATAGGCTCAGAGCATGGCCAAAGCCAGATTATGTTGGTAGATCAGGTTTAGTGGCCAGACGGGTTATGGGAAGGAGAGAAGAGGAGGCCTGGCTAGCAAAGTTGGCCTCGTTATATAGATGAAGATTCATAGGTAGCAGTCCTCCGAGAGAATAGATAGTAAATGTCTCTTTTCAGACCTTTAAAGTTATTAGACTCTCAATTAATCTCTTCTGATCCAGGAAAGGCCTAGAAAAGGAAGACCTGGTTGCACTAATGAGTTGGTCTGCAGATGAGAATTTCTCCAACTCAATCTGCTGGCCAAGTTACAGCCATTTCAAATATGTCAAAGAAATTTATTCAAGGGTAAAATATTTTTATTTCCTTTAGTGGCTAATCTTTGTTCGTGTGGCTTTTGCTGTCATTGAATCATAAAGCACTAATAGTTAAAGTGTGATTTCCAAAGATGTCAATGCATAGTCCCTGTCCTTCAAGAATAAGTAAGAAGCAAGAAAACATTCATGAAGTAGGACAGAGGAAACTATATTCTCCTTTATGCATGATGAAGCATGTTTCTTTCTTTGATGAATAGAATATACCTCAGCAATACAGGTCCCAAGAGGAAATAGCTTCCGTTCTCCACACTGACAAGGAACCTGTCTTTATTGTCCTCTACAGCACTTAGCGCACTGTGGATGTTTAATTAATAAAAGACTCTCTCACTACAGTGAATAATGTTGAATCCTGGCATCCAGGCTTACTTTTCACTGTTCCTACAATGGTAATTTAGAGCTTATTCTTCTCAAGTGCAAAGTCAAGTGACAAGTTGGTAATTCTCTTCCTTAAAATGCAAGGTCAACGACACTT
The DNA here is from genome assembly GCF_000001405.40 of Homo sapiens. Classification (NCBI taxonomy): domain Eukaryota; kingdom Metazoa; phylum Chordata; class Mammalia; order Primates; family Hominidae; genus Homo; species Homo sapiens. Next base: position 60,355,485 of record NC_000012.12, on the reverse strand, counting down.
CACAAAAGTTCTTACTTTTAAATCATCTTGTTCAAAGGCTCCTAACCTGGTGTTTCTTGTAGTTATACATTATAACCGGATTCATTTATACCAGGCCAACTACAATCTATGGAAGGTGTGGATTTTCAGAGTATTTAACATGTGACCCTTTTAATATGTTTATCAAAAGAACATTAATAATTTGGCATTTAATCTTAGTCACCATTGGATCATTTGCTATATTCACTAGATATGGAATTTTATCCTTCACAGAAAACAAAATGTGACTTTATCAAGTATGGACTAGTTCAGAATGAGAAAAGGAAACTAATAAAATCAACAAAGCAAGACACAACCAGATAGTTCCAAATAATATTGATATTACATTTCTCAATATTTTCTTAGCAATACGTAGACTAGTTGTAATAATTTTGAAGAATGAAGTTCAAGTTTCTATTACATTTTTTTCAGAAATAGTGGCTGCATGTAAATTACTGTCTCTAAGAGTAATATAACTTTTACCTCTTGCTGTGGTCTGAATGTGTCCCCCAAAATTAGCATTTTGAAACGTAATTGCCAATGTAATAGTATAAACAGAAGGAATTTTTTAGGAGGTGATGAAATCATGAGGGTATAGCCAGCCCTTAGCAAACACTGAAACTACTTGTACCCTGATCTTGGATTTCTCAGCCTCCAGAATTGTGAAAACTAAATTTGTATCATTTATAAATTATAAATGTGGTATTCTGTTAGAGTAGCACAAATAAATTGACATGTCTTTCTTTCTTTCTTTTTTTTTTTTTTTTTTGATACTGGATCTCACTCCTATTGCCCAGGTTGGAGTACTGTGGTGCAATTTCAGCTTATTGCAGCCTCAACCTTTCTGGACTCAGTCATCCTCCCACCTCAGCCTCCCAAGTAGCCAGGACTACGTGGGACTACAGGTACACACCACCACACTCAGCTAATTTTTTTGTATTTTTAGTAGACATAGGGTTTCGTCATGTTGCCCAGGCTGGTCTCAAACTCCCAGACTCAAGCACTTCACTCACCTCGGACTCCCAACATGCTGGGATTACAAGTGTGAGCCACCATGCCAGCCCAGATTGACACCTCTTAACTTTTGATCTGATCAGTTCCCTAAGAATTGCATCATCTTCTGCAATTTCCTAGTGTAATGTCAACACTTTCTTTTTATAAGATTTACCAGCCTGAAAATCTATGGCTATGGTATGTTGAAAGATAGTTTCTATTTGTTTTTAATTTTAAAATAATTGTTTTCATTTGTATTTATCTGACTACATATGATGTGAAACATCTTTTTATATGCTTATTTGCAATTTGTATATCATTTTTGGTGTTTAGAGGTGTCTATTAATGTCTTTGTCCCATTTTTTAACACATTATTTTTAAAAATTTTATATATTTAAGGTGTATGTTGTTTACATATACATAGTAAAATGGTTACTACAATCAAGCCAATTAATACATTCGTAATCTCAGTTATCTTTTACTGCATGTGGTAAGAACACCTAACGTATGCGTTATTGGACAATTTCCATTGTATAGTAAAATATTAACTATAGTACTCATGATGTACTTGAGATCACAAGATTTATTCATCCTACATAACTGCAACTTCATATCATTTGACCTATATCTCCCCAACCTTTACCCATCGCCACCTTCACAGTTTTCTCCTGCCCTGCTGACACATAACTACCCTTCTAGTAGTCTCTGTTTCCATGTATTCAGCTTCTTTTTTTTTTAAGATTCCACATGTAAAAGAAATCTTACCAGATTTTTCTTTCTGTACCTAGCTTATTTCACTTAGCACGTCCTCCAGGTTCATCCACGTTGTCACAAATGGCAGGATCTCCTTGGTTGCTAAAGCTGAGTAAGATTCCATTGCAAATATATACCACTATTTCTTTATTCAGTCATCTTTCAAAATTGCAAATTACGACAACAGAAGATAACACTACACACCTATTAGAATGTCCCATATCTGGGATGATGACAACACGAAATACTGACAAAAATGTAGAGCAAGAGGAACCATCATTCACTGCTGATGGTAATGCAAAATGGTATAGCCACTTTGAAAGACAGCTTGATGACTTCTTATAAAACTAAACATAGTCTTACCATATGATCCAGTAATTGTGCTCCTTAGTATTTACTCAAAAGACATGAAAACTTTTGTCTACAGAAAAACCTGTACATGGATGCTTCTAGAAGCTTTTGTTCATAATTGCAAAAACTTAGAAGCAACCAAGATATAATTTCAGTAGGTGAATAAATAAATAAACTTTTCTGCATCCAGAAAATGAAATACTATTCAGTGAAAAAAAAGAAACAAGCTATCAAGCCATAAAAAGGTATGGAAGAAACTTAAATGCATATAACTAAATGAAATAAACAATCTGAAAAGTATACACTATATGATACATTATATGATTCCAACCATATTACATTCTGGAGAAGGCAAAACAATGGAAATAGTAGGAATGTCATGGTTGCAAAGGGTTGAGGGGGGAGGGGGTGGATGAGAGGCAGAACAAGGAGAACCTTTAGGGCTATGGAAATACACTACTCTGTATGATACTGTAATGATGAATACATGTCATTATACAGTATCCAAGCCCATAGAATGTACAACACCAAGAGTAAAAAACTAATGTAAACTATGGACTTCGAGTGATTATAATGTGTCAATGTAGGTTCATCAATTGTAAAAAATGTACCACCCTATTAGAGGATGTTGATAATGAAGGAGGCTATTAAATTGTGGGGCAGAGGGTATATGAAAAATCTCTGTACCTTACTCTGAATTTGGCTGGAAACGTATAATTGCTCTAAAAAATAAAGTCATAAAAGGATAAAATAATTACAGACTTATAAACCCTCTTCAGATTGCACTAGTTTTTTTAAAACTTTTTTTTTCCAGGATTTAATCCAAGATCACACATTGCATTTAGATGTCACATCTTACCTCCTGAAATAGCTAACATTAAATGGATGGATAATACAGAAGGTTTATGTTTTACTCTTTAAGAAGCCAAAAAAGGGGCCCAGGCGCGATGGCTTACGCGTGTAATCCCAGCACTTTGGGAGGCCCAGGCAGGCAGATCACTTGAGGTCAAGGAGTTCAAGACCAGCCTGCCCAATATGGTGAAACCCCATCTCTATTAAAAACACAAAAAATGAGCTGGGCATGGTGGCGGCTGCCTGTAATCCTAGCTACTCGGGAGGCTGAGGCAGGAGAATTGCTTGAACCGAGGAGGCGGAGGTTGCAGTGAGCCGAGACTGTGCCATTGCACTCCAGCCTGGGCAGCAAGAGCGAAACTCCCTCTAAAAAAAAAAAAAAAAAAAAAAGCCAAAAAAGACTTTTCCAAACTGATAAACTGATTGTGCAATTTTTCGTTCCCCAAAACAATGTATTAGTATTCTGTTTCCTCCACGTCTTTGCAAAGACATGGTTGACCAGTCTTTGAATTTTAGTGATTGTAATATGTGTCTAGAGGTATCTAATTGTGGTTTTAACTTGCATTTCTCCAATGACTAATAATGTTGAGCATCTTTTCCTATGCTCATTTGCCATATACATATCTTCTTTGGTGAAGTGTTTGTTCATTCTAATGTCTGATTGCTCATTGTTGGTAGGTATTAATTCCTGACTAAAACAACCAAAAATTATTTTAAAATATGTGAGACAACAGATTTCAAGACACTCGACATTAGACAAGAAAGAATTATTATCTCTAAGAAATGAGAAACAAATCATGAGCACTAAAATTGTCTCAGTTTATTGCCTTAAGAGAATTTTCACTCTACTGCAAATAATGAGGGAACTCACTGAGTTGAGGAAAGGGAGCTAACGACGTGGAGAGTATAAGGCTGGATTTCACAATATAGAATACTGGAGACTAGACAGGTAACAGAGAGGTCAGAGATCTGAAGGTGGTGTTCCTGGAGAATTTAGCACAGTGTTAGTAAGAAAATGCATATGAGTAACATATCCATAGATGAAAAAAACATATTTGAAAGGATTACAGAATAGCTCTTAGCATTCATACCAGCCAGTCTGGAAAAAAACATACATTTTCATGGGGCATTATTTGGCCTTCTCTGGTTTGAAATCAGCTTTCTTTATGATTTTGTTTCCTCTATTATTAATACTTACTATTTATACATCATTTTATACATTATTTTTGGTAGGCTGCTCTGAGGTTTGGATTGTAATATTTAATCAGAATCTATTTTCAAATAATCTTGTATTACTTTACATGTAGTATAAGATCCTTACAACAGAATACTTTTAAATCCCTTTCTCTCATTTGCATTATTATTGTTATACACATAACTTTTCATATGTTATAAACATATAACATATTGCTCCTGTTTTTGCTGTCTTAATTGTCTTCTAAACTAATCAAAAATTATTTTTAAAAAGATTTACATTTATGTAATTTTCATTGTTTTTCATTTCTTTGTGTGTATCCAAATAATTGTCTGATGTTATATATCTTCTCCTTTTTTTTTTTTTTTTTTTTTTTGAGACAGAGTTTCACCTGTCACCTAGGCTGGAGAGCTGTGGCATGATCTTGGCTCTGCAACCTCTGCCTCCCAGGTTCAGGCAATCCTCCTGCCTCTGCCTCCTGAGTAGCTGGCACTACAAGCATGTGCCACCATGCCCAGCTAATTTTTTTTATTTTTAGTACAGATGAGGTTTCACCATGTTGGCCAGGCTAGTCTCAAACTCTTGACCTCGTGATCTTCCCGCGTCGTTATCCCAAAGTGCTGAGATTACAGGCATAAACCACCAGGCCCGGCCTATATGTCTTCTTTCTAAAGAAATTCCTATAACATTTCTTCCCACAGATATTATTAATCTACAAAATGTATTTCTTTCTTTCTTTTTTTTTTTTCGAAAGCTTTATCTTCGGTCATAGCTTTCTGGGTTGATTTCTTTCAGAAATTTAGCATTTCATTGTTTTCTAACACATGATTTCTGAAGTCAGCACATATTCCTAACCCTCTCCGCCCATTTGAAATCTTTCTTTATTCATCCTTTCTCCTGACTGCAATTAGTTTTTTGCCCATTTTTTTCCCCATAAATTGTTTGTTTTCTATTGAGGAAATAAGGGAAAAGGGCACCATGGATTTTGAAATTTTGTTTGCCACTGTGTTGTTCCTCTCTTTCTCTTATTCTACAATACAAGCGAGACTTTCTCTGTCTCTTCTCAATAGTTTCCAGTTGGAATTGTGGAGTAAAAAGGTCTGAAACTCTTTTCAGGTGAAATAAAAAAGTGAAGACTCCATACTGTTTTTGAGGTCCACGAAGCCTTCACCTTTGCATTTGCCCGGGCTTCACCAATCTGCCAATAATCCTATTAAACTTACATTTTTGGTGGCTGGCTATGTCTTGTCCAGGTATATCAGTCAACACTCTAGTGGGTTCAAGAAAACTTTTGAACTTGTTGTTTTTCTAGTTGGGTTTTGATTGTTTGTTGTTTGGTTTTGTTTTTTGTTTTTCACTGAAAGGTTTGGAATGACACATGGTAAATCCAGCAGATGTGTTTATAGTTTAACAAAGTTCCCTATGTCCCAACCATAAGTCTTTTTCAAGAATGCATTTCCATTTCTCCACTCCCATGAACATTCAAGGCACGTATGCATAAAAGAGAATCACCAAATCTACAGATGCCACGATGACAGAGAGTTCAAGCATATCTCACTGATGCCTGTGTTGAAAGATGACTCAATGATCAGATTTATTCCTACCATCCTTGTGCTCTCAGCCTCTCAAAACTTTCACAGCAAATAATGTTCAATTCAGAAAGAGGAGGTTAATTTTTGTTTGCAGCCTGGACAAATGTGAGCCAGAAATATAATTTTATTCAAAAAATAGAAGAAAGAGAAAGAAGGAAGGAGAGAAACAAGAAAAGAAAGAAAACATTACATTTAATACATATTCAATTTAGAGATGTAAAAATCATTCCTTCTGTACAAGTAAGATCTCTGCCTTAAATAGAAAGATGACACCCAGATGTAAAGTATGGGTGGGGCAGGAAATGAACTCCTAAGATAATGCAGGCTGATATCGTAAAATGTCCTGGAGTTCCTGAAATTCTTCCTCTCAATGGTGAGGACTTTTAAAGAAAATGTTGCAGAATATACTCTTCTGGAGAGAGAAAATATCCCTAGATGTGTATGGTAAAAATAGAGACACAGAGATAATAATGTTGACAGACAGTTCCAGTATTTACTATATGTTGCCATTTCCTTTGTTAAAAGTGAGCATACAGTACAAAATTTGGAAAAGTGATTTTTAACATACTTATTGATTCCGAGGTTGAGGAAAATAGACATAAAATTTTAATTTACCTATTGATATCATAATAGAGTATACAGTATTAAGATACTGTGGGGAATATAATTTTCAAAGCAACATGCACTGCTCTGATTGACAGTAGATTTCATAAGTCGAGAGTTTTGTGTGGAGTGTTCTTTGTTCATTTTTTCATTCCCAGTTGCAAATGGTAGTTCTTTGCTCATAGAGTGACAAATATTGCACGAAAAAAGGAATGAATGACTGACATGGAGTAAGATAAGTCAATAGATAGCCACAAATATTACTGTTATTCATTTGTTTGCTTTATTTTGCCTTTATGACATAGCTGTGGGAAGGCTGTATTTGTCAGCTTTTGATGTGGCAAAAAGCAATCCCCAAATTTCAGTGCATTTCAACAACAAAATATTATTTCTCATTCAAATGTCTGCATGTCAACTGGTGCTCTGTTCTGCCTCAGCTCAGCTCTATCCAGCTCAACTCTTCTCCTCAAGTCAGCCTACTCCATGATCCACGAATAGCTCTGAACTAGAGCCAGTGTTCTCAGGAAGAAGACAGGAACAAGACTGACTGAGCCACCCAAATGTATCTAAAACTTGTAGTAACACATGATGTACATCATAGAGGCTCACATTCTCCTGGTCAAAGGAAGTCACAAGGCTGAGCCTGAAAATAGGGAGAGAGATGATCCTGCACCTACAAGAATACCTGGCAGGAATTGAGATGTACAGTGCTCGTAGAGGAGAAAGGAGTAGATTATTGAAGACAATAATACAAAAGCTCTGATGTGTTTTTATGTTATCTATACCTAGAGATTCTCTGGGGTACATTTGTATGAATATCACAATCTTCTTCCCTGATGGACATGAACACCACAATTTTATTTTCCAAAAACTTTTAGAGCCATCCTAGTTTTGTTTGAACAAATATTTACCAGATTTACATATTATTTGAATTCTGAAGATATGTTTTAAAAATGTATTTGTCTACTAGATAAGAACACTCATTTCAGGTATTTCTAATCTTCTTGGGATATAAATATTTATCATTATTTAGCCAGTTGACATATTCAGTTGAAGCTCAAAAGCACAAAGTTTTAGCAATATAAGTACGAACCTGTAGAAACGTCCTAAAAATGTTTTAGCAATGTAAGTACGAACCTGTAGAAACATCCTAAAAATGAAGGAAAAAGAGAGCATTTACCAAAATATGCTAGAACGTTTTAACAAACAAATTCTACTGTGAAAATAAATATGCATCTTAAGTGAAAAACAAATTTCTGGAAAATATACCTAAGATGCAGAAGTCAAACACTTTCAAATGTGTCTGTGTTTCTTCAACCCCTTGGATACCCAAGTTCACAAATTTATTCTATGTAACTTGTAAATTTAAAGTATGAAAATACAATGACTAATTTACAGTTAGATTGGTTAAGAGAAGCATAATTATTTACACATGCCCTTGAAAGATGAAAGAGGTAAAAGAGGTAAACAACATTATATGAAAGTGTAAAATTAATTTTCAAATGACTATGAGAGCTTATCTAAATTGATTAGAGATGGACACAATACTGTCACTTCTTAGAGAGTCACTGAAAATTTAAGAAGCAATTTCCCAGTTATATCAATGAAAACACCCAAAATTCTTTAATTAATCATAGTTTAAACTCTGTATAATAGTGTTAGAACAAAGCTACTTTTAAGAAAAAGACACTATTTAAGTAATTCTATTTCTGTTTAATCAAACATTATTCATGTCAAATTATGTCAGACTATCTGTGAAGTTAATTCTAGTAGCTGGACAGAATAGGTTAAACATTGATGACATTTTTCCCACATGACAATGTTTTCATTAGCCACCCTATTAAACTGGGAACACAATTATTAAAAGTAATCTACCATTTCGTAGAAAGGTTGACCCTAGCAAATAATTACTAGAAGAGCCATGCTTTAGAAATTGTGGCAGTACATATGACTTGTTTTTGGAATAACTAGAGTAGAACTAATATGCTTTATGTGAGGAAGTATAGAAAAGTAGGGAGAAGTAGGAGGGATCTAGCAAAAAATAAAGGAAAGATGGGGAAACAGAAGACTGATCGAGGGTAAGGTTGACAACCAATCCCAACAGCCCCCACCCCAGTTTCTCAAGTTAGCAGATTTGGGAATAGGACCATGTTAAATGGCATTTATGAAGTTTTTTCCTCTGAGATATGCTGTGTTAAATTCTCTCCTATCTCATTAAATACCTAGATAAATGTATTTTGTACAATAATTCTTAGAATATTGTCTTTTCGTATAAAAAGAGATGCTGAATGTATTGCTTATATAATGTTTAATTTGAGATGACTGCGGAGCTGACATATGAGAAAACCAGGAAACCAGGTTATCTGTTAGATGTGATTTATAATATTCATTTTTTTAATTATGGGATATTTGTATGTGTGATGATTCATATAATAAATAAGCATACACAATACCTGTAACTAAAATAACTAGTATTCATATGAAACTTTAGAGTTGCAAAGTATTTTCATGTTATTAATCCATATGAAGTATACATTAGTATACATGGCTGTATTATGTAGTATACCTTAATATTATTTCATTGCACACAGTGTTATATGTCATATCCAAGAGTTAGGAAAGTCAGAACTAGAACTTGGGTCTTCTAAAACCAAATTTTTAACAAATCCCTGAAAATAAAGAACTTTGAAAAATATAGGTTTGAAAAAGAAATAAATGTAGATCACTGTATAAATATTTCCAGGGAGAATATTACACCCAGGCATCTGTCATACTGACCTTTTAAGAGCTACTGGAAATGTCATGTGTTGCCTAAATAGCATACCAAATATATGCTGGAGTGTTCAACAGAATCTAAGCTGGGGACAAACAAGAACAATCTGTCAAACCAGCTGTTTCTAGCATGATAAAACTCTCCTTCAAAAAAAGAATCTTGTCTCTGATAGTGTGCTCCACTCAATGGAGATAAGTGCAAGTATGCCAATTCTTTACGTATTTCAGGATTTCTACGTATCTGTCCTTCACAACATGGAGTAGCCACTCAGCTGACACAGCACTGTTAAGACATTTTTGTCTATAACACAATTAGAATTTGGTTTTTGTAGGTAGTTTTACTTTTTGTTGTTGGCGGTGGTGATCAAGGAAAAAAAGGAATAGGTTAAATGCCACTAGAAATAGTTCATATATCCCCCGCTCCAAGTCATTTCTTACTTCTTATACCATTTGAAAAAATTAAGCAGAATGTTCAAAATACCAACCTGATAATAGGAAATATAGATTATATTTTGTGCTAAGTTAATCTCTGTTAAGGCATCTCAAGTCACTTTCTGCCTTTATTTCTTAGAGTAAAACAGAATACAAAACAAAATATGAAGAAGAATATGACTATTTGTCTATTGTATAAAAGCCTAGGAGGAGATTAAGCCAGAAATTCCAGTAAAACTGGCTTTGGAAAATATGTTTTATTGGATGTTAATACAAAAGTAGCCTAAGTCTGGGTGCAGTGACTCATACTTATAATGTCAGCACTTTTTGACGCTCAGGTGAGAGGATTGTTTGAGCCCAGGAGTTCACCACTGCAGTGAGCTCTGATTGTACCACTACACTCCAGCCTGGGTAATGGTCCCTACAAATGAATAAATTAATTAATTAATAATAGAAACAAAACAAAGAGAACATTTGAAATCAGAAATACAAAAATAAATTATATGGGGAACAATTATTTGATTAAGGGCAGATTTAATATCTGAAAAATGTACAGCATTAGAGTGTACATAAAATATTCAAGGCAAAGTCCAAGGTAAATTTAAACTAAAAGAAAAAAGTCTTAATATATTTAAAAGTCATAAGTTTTTTAAACAATAATTATAGTATTTTTAGTTTGCTAACTTTTTTACATAATATATAAAAATCTAGCAAAATGGAAGGGGAAGAAAATAAAGTTCTAGTGTTTCAAAGTCACTGTCTTTTACCAGAATTAAACTGATACTAACTCAAAGCAGATAATTACAAATAGGAATAGATACTTTCATCCTTAACCTCAGGGGAACAATATAGCTAAACAATTAACAGAATAACTAAAAACCTATAAAAACAAATATTCATTTAACAGAACAGTACAGTAAAACGAGCACAGAGAAATACACACATAATTATATGAAAAACAAGTAACACAGTCGCCAATATAATTCTAACTGTATAATTAAATATATATTAATTAACTAAACATTCCAATTGAAAGGCAGAGATCTTCAGATTGAGTAGAAAGTTTGATTCAACTATATATTGTTTATGAGAGACACTCTTTAGATTGAAAAAAATAGATTGAAAGTAAAAGGATGGTAAAGGTTTAAACTGTACAAATACTATAAGAGAACTGGAGTGGCTGTATTAATATAAGAATAAGTTTTAAAAAAAAGGAATATGACTAAAACTGACTAGAACAAAGAGGAATGCTAATAATGATAAAAACATCAAGAAAATGAAAGCTATCATATTATAAATGCAGATGCACACAACAAAGTCCCACAATGCATGGAAGTAAAGAAGAAATTTGAAAGAAAGAATAGTCCATTAAAAATTATATTGATAGATTTTAACACTCTTTTTTTGCAACTGATAGAAAAACTAGACAGAATATCAATAAAAATGTAGAAAGTTGGAACATTATCAAACAACTTTAACCAGCTGACATATCTATAGCACTCTAACCAGTAAGAGTAGAACACAATTTTATTTTAAGTGCATATTGAACATTTTCCAGTATAGACAATGTGCTGGGCCAAAAAGCAAGTTTTAATAAATTTAATGAGTTTTAATTAATTGTATGCAGTAGGTTTTCTAAATACAGAATGAAATGTAAATTCAACAACTAAAAGAAAACTGAAAAAGCAACAAATATTAGGATGTTAAACAATGTGACTTAAATAATCCATAGTTAAAAGAGGAAATTAAAAGAAAAATTAGAAAACATACTGGACTTAAAAGAAAACACAGCATATTAAAATTTATAGGATGCAGATAAAGCAGTGCCTAGTGGGAAATTTATTTGGTTAAATATCTACTAGAAAGAAAGATCTAAAATCAACAGTCAAATGCCCTACTTTAAGAAAGAAAATGCAATTCAAGTCCATATTATCAGAAGGAAAGAAATTATAGAAATCAGACCAGAACTTATTAAAATATGAAACAGAAAATAATAGAAAAAAATCAATGAAACCAAAATTTCATTTTTGCTAAGACCTACAATGTATACAGACCTTTAGCTATGCTGAACAAGAAAAATAAAGAAGGTAGAAACGTCTATCATCATGAAGGAAAGAAGGACTATTACTGCAGACTAACAGACTAAATATAAATTAAAATAAATATAATAATGGTATAAATTTGCTAATAATTTGAAGACTTAGATTCAATGAAAAATTTATGAGAATAAACATAAATTATCCAAGCTCACTCAAGAAAATATAAAAATCTGAATACAACAATTTTGAGTAGATAAAGTAATTTTTAATTAAAAATCTGCCCACAAAGAAAAGTCCAGGCACAGATGGCTGAACTGATAAATTCTATAAAACATCTAATAAAGAATTAATACTAATCATACACAAAATATTTGAGATAATAGAGAATGGGGAAACAATTCCCAACTAATTTTATATAGCCATTATTATCCTGACAATAATAGAATACATATCAGATCCATCTCTTTCCTACAATAGATGCAGAAAACATATTTAACAACATTCACCACCCATTCATGATGGAAATTCTCAACAAGCTAGCAACAGAAGGTAATTTTCCTCAATCTGATAAAGAACATCTATAATTAACCTACAATTTTATATTTAATATTAAAACCTGAGACAGAGAGAATTAGGGCAACTGCAAAATTATATGCAATTTTCAGGATCTGACTTCTAATTCTAACATTTTGCACTGAAAACTATGTAAAAATAAAAAGGTGCAGAATAGAAGCCAGATAAAATGTGATTACAGGAGACCATGCATGAAAACACAGGCATACACACACACAGTTGCTTGTTCTATTGTGAGGCTATTCAGAATTAATAAAATGGTTAGATTCAATGATATTTTGAAAATAACATTATCATTATTTTATTAGGAAATTATTTTCATAGAAAAAAACTCTTTCAATAGAAAATACTATTTCTAGCCTCTTGAGCATTTTTGAATTATTTCCAAATAGGATGATGTTTTAATGGGCCAATGAATTGTGTGAAGTTAATGCCAAAATTCTAATCAGGAGAAGAGAGGTAATAAGACAATGAGGGGCTAAATGTTCTGGAATAGTGATGTAAAAACTTGTCTTTCTGAAATGTAGCCCTGAATGTACCATTCTGAAAAGAGAAGGTAAAACTTATTTTTCCCATCTCTTTGAGCCCTGGAAAAGATGAAATACCTGACTTTTGGGTGATGATGTTAATCATTGGTTTTGCTTGGGAGGAATCACTGGTTTTCCTTGGGAGGAAACTGGGTGAATGATTGAATCCTTTACACATTTTATCAGCCAGGGGGAGAGATTGGCAAGGGACTCAATGAGGAAAACCAAGACCTAGATTAACCAAGACCTAGATTAACCAAGACCTAGATTAACTACTCTGGGGGAACAATATCATGTTTTATTTTAGGAATTTCTCATTGCACTTCTGATGTGATGCATCTAAGTTTTCAGATAATGTGATTTCAAAGTTGACTGAAAGCTTGAAAAATTTCTTTATGATAGTAAAGCATCATGTAAGCTTTCTCTTATAACTCTTAAACACAAAAGAAAAGAAAGCAAAATAGAGAGAAAATGAAAAAAAGTACTTTGGATAGAAATTCTAATAAAGGAATGGAAATGCTACATTCTTGTTGGATGGGAGCTTGAGCTTTTATTTTTGTGTTAGAAAAACGGGTGACATGCTGAAAGATGAAAGATTTGAGAATATCTTTGTTGAATTTTAGGATATTTTCTACAATTAGTTTGAATTCTCACACACTGTTTACCAATATGTTGAACTAATCACTACCTTTAATATTGAGCCAAGAGTGTTAATTCAGTCTCACCATGATTACCAATGTATTGGATGAATGGGCCATAGAACAAAAGTGGACATTGGTCAAGCATTTCTGGCTGTTGGATTCACCTTGAAATAAAAGATTGGTTGTTAAAATTATTCAGCATTAGCTGGTCCAAAGGTAGTGAGTTATCTCAATTGACTGTTCACAGTCAGTTACAAATTGAACTGCTTGTTCGATCTACTCTTTCCCCACTTCTAAACTGCTACACGTCACTAGTCTAAAAAATAAAAGTAAAAATTATCCAGCATTACAATTTTAGGTATATGCATTATTTGAAAATGACTTTTTAATGAGTAGTACATAAAGATATTGGTAATTACTCTGAGTTTTAGGGCTGTTTTTCGATGCTACCTCCTAACAGAGTTTTTTGAGATTTGATCACTCTGATAAGCAATCACATCTGTCATAGAGAAAGTACCTATTCCAGATTATAATAGTGCTCTGAAACAAGATCCTGTCTACCTGTCTCTTACTCATTTTCTTCCCCTCTATCTTCAATCTGAAAGGAGTCAGAGGTACCAGAATGGTTAAGAGAAATTATGAAATAATAAGGTAGAAAATGGTTAGATCGACCACATACTCTTTATTTACAGTAATTTTTTAAGCCTGATTTTGACGTGAGGGAGAGATGCTCTTAAATAAATGAGAGGTGAGCATTTTAATTTAGAATGGGACAGACATTTTAATAATTGAGAATGAATCCAATACCTGAAACGGAATTGGAAATCTATGCCATCTGCCTATATTATTGTTTGGGGCAGAAAAGAGAAATTCAGAATAGTACTGTTGAAACACAGCATTGTAAGAAGAGTAATGCTGTTTTATAACTTTATCTCACAGAATAGTTCTCATTAAGTGTAATGACTTTGATAGCACTCTGATTAAAGTGTTTATTACACATATTTATCTGCATGTATATTATTTTTACCATAACAATATACTAAAAGTTAATCTTCATGAAATAAATATGCCTATAATGCTATACTTCTAATACACAGAATACTACCTAGCATATTGACATTTGTTGAAAAATACATATCTGTGATTCTATAGTTTGGTTTTCTCCTGTAACATAATAATCATGAATATGTTATACCAATTATCCGTTTATTGCCTTTGAGCTCCAAGTGTTCTGTTCTATATATGTTTGAGTCTATATCCTGACTGGATAGACTCTTGTTATAGATCTTAATTAATAGATCCTTATTTTAAACATAAAATGATTACAGGCATTTAAATCTTCTGGACCATGTTCTTCTTCATAAATATTAAGAGTCGGGCAAAAGAGACATTTCAGAGTTTCATTTTGAAAATTTAATTTTGACTTCTTTCAGTTTGCTTCTAAAGTTAGTAAACTTAAAACCTAAAACAAAAATATACAACTGAAAATTGTATTATCGTCTTGATCTACTTTCTTAGTTTTATGCATTGAAATTTATTCATTTAAGTGGAATGGCTATGTTGTGAGAATTTGCTTAGTGATTTATAACCTTGTAAGCTATTGCTGCCCAGTTTTAGTGAATTCTTTTTATATAATTTTCTTTGTTAGAAATGCTACTTTAGCACATCATTAGGTCATACATAATATGCTACATATTATCTAATATTTAGAAAATCAACATGGAAAGTGGCTACATAGGGCTAAAATGCACAAAAACACACTCATTCTAAATTATTTTTAGTTAGAAGAAATTTCAAAATTGCCCTTTGGTCTAAGCATGTCAGATTATATTGTAAAATTTTAAGTATATTCGTACCAAATTTCTGTAAATTAACCCCCAGCTAAACTGTTTTTCCATACTAATACAAACTTTTCACTCCTCTCCGAAAACTCTCATGCAAGATTAAAATCTAAAGATGGTAAAGAAAATCTGACTATCTATAATCTTCACAAAATGCCACTTGTGTTTACAAAGCACGATGTTGTCTTATGGATAGTATAAATTAATTGTCTTTATTAGAAGACTCTATGTAGAAAAATATAAAAACATTTCACAATAAAAAGATTTAAAAATGGCAAAATTGTCACTAGATAGAGAAATAAATTTTAAGTAATCTTTCAATAACAATCTAAAAATCCTAGCAAACAGTTTGTTGCACTTACCAGACTGGAAACTGCATTTTGTTTCATAATTTTGACTTATTTTAGATCATATTTCTAATTAATTTGCAATGATGTCAGTGCCATTTTTTGGTGCTTTTTAAAGATTATTATTATTTTTAATTGTCCAGTTGCCATAGTCAGCTTCTAAATTAGTTCCCAATGATCCCTGCCTCCTGGTATTCAAATTCTAGTGCAGTTTCCTAGCCTTCTATGTGGGCTGAACTTGTTACTTGTTTCTAACAAATATAATAGATAAATAATCATGGGATGTTGCTTCTAAGATTGGGTTATAAAAGATTGTGACATACATCTTATTTGCATTCCCTCTTTCTTGCTCTTCTCTTTTTTTCATTCTGATGAAGCAAACCCCCAGATTGTGAGGTATAGAGATGCCTTGTGGCAAGGAAGTTACAGTGGCCTTCTGCAACAGCGAGTGATAACCTAAAGATCACTATGTGCACTTGGAAGCAAATTCTTCTCCAGTTCAGCCTGGAGATAACTGCAGCCCCACTTCCAACCCCACTACAAACCTTAACTGTAGTTCTGTGAGATACTCTGAGCCAGAGGACCCAGTTAAGTCTGGTCTGAATTTCTAACCCACATAACTCTAAGATAAATGTTGATGTTCTATGCTACTAAATTTAGAGTTACCTTTTTAGGCAATAATAGATAGTTAATGCACTCATCATGTTCCTTGTTCTGTCAAATCTCAGACTATTTAAAATTAACATTTTTTAAACTACACAATGAAATGAAGTATCTCTAAAATTATTCAGTCTTGTGATTTTTCAGCAACAAAGACAAATGTCTGTATCTGAAATGGGAAAGTGAAAGGTAAAATATTTCCCATATTACCTATTTAATTTACTAAATTATCCTTGGACTCCAACTTTATAAATTATTTGAGTAGACCACTTTGAAGACAAGAAATACCTTTATAGAATTGTCCATTTAAAAGTTTCCAATGGATCCAAACAAAAGGAGATCTTAGTGGAAATAATAAATTATTTTTACCCTCCTTGCGCTGTAAGATGAAATGAGAATTATACTAGCACATAATTAAGCATATATGACATAAGTTGGTTGTATTTGAGTTGCAACAAAAAATGGCCCCACGAATTACTGGGCTCAACTAAAATACACCTTCCTGTATCTATTAAAGGTAGCGATCTATTAATTCAGAAATAAGATAATCATCCTCTGTCCAATGCTGTGAGTCCTGTCTTGGCTTTCAGAATTGCTTATCTGAAATCTAGGGAGAAATAAGATTGAATGGCAGAGTCTTGGGGTGTGGAATGTAAAGTGGTAGAAAAACTGAATAAGAAATAGTGAATATAGGCATACGTGTGTATGTGTGTGTATGTGTTTTAAACAAACACTTGATGAAAGTATGTTATATCCACATAAAAGAACATAAATCATGAGTGTACAATTCGGTAAATTGTCACAAAGATAATGCACCAATATATACAACATCAAAATCAAAAATGAAAAACATTATCTGCACTCTGGAAACTGCCTTTGAAATCCCTTCAAGTCACCATTTTCCTAGAAGGCTAACCACACTAATAAACGAGAATTATTTTTGCCTACGTTTCAATTTTACATAAATGAAAGCATATGTTATATACCAGTTTTGTCTTTTCATATAATACTGTGTTTGTGTTGATGTGTGTAGCTATAGTTTGTACGTTCTCATTGTGACATAGTATTCCATTGAATGAATATGACATAATTGATATATCTAACTTGCAGGTGATGAACTATAGTTTGTTTGTTGTTTGGAGCAATTACAGTGTTGGAATCAATATTTTTGTCACATATCTTTTGGCAAATATTTGTACATAATTTCATTGGTTAAAGACTTAGAAGAGGAATTGCTGAGTCATAAGTATGAGAATATTCACTGTTGGTAAATACTCCCAAAATATTTTTCAAAGTATTTATGCTAATTTATTCTCACAGTATGTGAGAGTTTCAGTTCAAATACTAACACGTAAGATTGCTCATTTTTTAAATTTTAGTCATGGTGGGTGATGGTATCTAATTGTAATATTCATGTATATTTCTCAGATGAATAATGATATCAAATATTTTTAATGTTTATTGGGCAATTTGATATCTGTAATTATAAAGTAATTTTTAAATCTTTTTGCCCATTTTAATGGTCTTTCTTTTTTATTGATTTGTTGAAATATACTATATATTATTTACATGAATAATTTGATTTATTTATATCTTTTCCTTAAATGTTTGAAATATTTCAACAGTGACAATATTAGACCTGGGATTTTTTATTTAATTTAACAGCTAACAAGAGCAAAAAATAAAAAAGTGGAACTAGATCAAACTGAATGGCAGAAAAAAAATAACCTGTTTAAAAATGGGCAAAAAACTTGAATAGACATTTTTTCCAAAGAAGACATACTAATAGCCAAGTATATATAGTGCTCAACATCACTGATAATCAGAGAAATGCACATTAAAATTATATTGAGATACCTCACACTTGTTAGATTGTCTATCCTCAAAAAGACAAGAGATAAATTTTGGCAAGAATGTGCAAAAAAGGCAACTCTCACACATTGCTGACAGGAATGTAAATTGATACAGCCATTAGGAAACACAGTATGTAGGTTCCTCAAAAAATTAAAACTAGAATTACCGTATGATCTAGCAATTCCACTTCTGGATATATATCCAAAGGAAATAACATTTGTATTTCGAAGAGATACCTGCATTTCTGTGTTCATCGTGGCATTATTCACACTATCCAAAATATGAAAACAACCTAAGTGTCTATTTGTGGGTGAATCATGACACACACATACACACACACACATGATGAAATATATTCAGTCCTAAAGAAAGGAAATCCTGTAATGTACTACAACATGGATGAAATTGGAGACATAATGCTAAGTGAAATAAGCCAAACACAGAAAGAAAAACACTATATCACTTGTATGCAAAATCTAAAATAGTCAAACCTAGAGAAACAGAGAGTAGAATGGTGGTTGCCAGGAGCTGGAGGATGGGAGAAATGGGGTGATGTTGGTCAAAGGGAACAAATTTTCATTTATAGGTGAATACGTTCAAGAGATCTAATATACAGAATGGTAACTATAGTTTATGACACTATATTGTTTACTTAAACTTTGCCAGTGGAAAAGATCTTAAGTGTTCTCACCACACACACCAAACAAATGGTAGCTATGTCAGATGATGAATAGGTCAATTAGCTTGATTGTGGAAATCATTACTCAAGGTATACTTATATAAACACGTTATGTTGAACATCTTATATTTAATTATTTATTTGTAAATCATACCCTCCAAAACATATTTGTTGAAAGTATCAAGCCCATCTACATTGCTTATGCTTATTATATTTGAATCTCAAATATATACATACATATACACACATATATAAATCTGTACGGCTATATATATATATATATATATATATATACATATTTAAAAATTAATTTGAAATATTCCCTTAAAAGGTATACGAATATTCAAATTTTTCATATCTTTTTTATCTTTTTTTAAGTTGAGATTTCAAGAGATTCAACCATTTTATTGAAGTTTTCAAATTATCTAGCTGAGGGAATGTATTTTTTAAAGTATAGAAAAAATACTGATTCTATAATAAGTCCCCATCTCTATTTAAGAGTATCAATACAATTAAATTGGAGAGCAATAGATAAAATAAATTAAGACCAGGACTGATTCTAATTAGTAATAAAAGAGAAAGTTCTTTAAATGAATGTTTTCAGCTGCAAAGTAAACATTCTGTGTGTTTGGATTCACAGCACTCTATTCAGGACTGGTCAAGAGCCTCTGTAAAAACTCTGAAACAAATAAAAACTAACAGTCCTCCAACTGCTCTTCCTGGTGCATACTACAGAGGTACTTATAGGAGAGCAGTCATTGATTGCAAACCAGTACATGTATTACAGAGTATCTGCCTTCCTGAATGTTGATGACTCAGTTTTGAAGCATTCTTTTTATCACTGCCAATGAAGCCTAGATATATATGGCATGCCCTCTCCAGCAAACATTTACAGAAATCTCTCTTTAAGTTTCAGAGATTTTCAAAAATGTGCATATTGAAGCATGTAAAAGGGCAATACATTTAACATAGGAGGTTTTAAGGAAGGGTTCTCAGAGTAGGCCAAATTCCTAGAATTTTTTTGAGATACTTACTTTTCCTAGAGCAGTTTCAGGTTCACAGCAAAATTGAGAAGGCACAGAGATTTTCCAAATGCCCCTTGCCCCCACACATTTATACCCTCCACTTTGATCAACATCTTCCACTAGAGTTGTACATTGCTTAAAATTGACACTGACACATCATAATCCCCTTTAGTGCATAGTTTACATTATAGTTCATTCATGGTATTTACATTCTATGGGTTTGGACTAATGTATAACAACATTTATCTACAATTATAGTATTACACAGAGTATTTTCACTATTTCAAAAATTCTCTGTGCTTTACATATTCATCACTGTTTCTCCTAACCTCTGGCAATGATTGATCTTTTTACTGTGTTCATAGTTTTGCCTTTTCCAGCATGATATATCATTGGAATCATACAGTATTTTCAGCATCTTCAGATTGGTTTCTTTCATTTAGTAATGTGCATTTACATTTCCTCCATGTCTTTTCATGGCTTGATAGCTCATTTCTTTTTAGCACTAAATAGTATTTTATTGTCCAGATATACCACAGATTATCCATTTATCTGCTGAAGGATATC
Source organism: Homo sapiens (assembly GCF_000001405.40). Classification (NCBI taxonomy): domain Eukaryota; kingdom Metazoa; phylum Chordata; class Mammalia; order Primates; family Hominidae; genus Homo; species Homo sapiens. Next base: position 60,335,171 of record NC_000012.12, on the reverse strand, counting down.
TTGGTTACTTCTACATTTTAGCAATTATAATTAAACCCTCTGTAAACATTCATGTAAAGGTTTTGTGTGGGTGTTTTCAACTCCTTTGAGTAAATACCGAGTAGCATGTTTGCTGGATCATATGGCAAGAACATGTTTAATTTTGTAATAAATTGCCAAACTGTCTTCCATAATGGCGGTACCACTTTGCATTATCACTAGCAATCTGGCAATGAATAAATCTTCCTGTTACTCCACATTTTCACCCGCATTTGGTGATGTCCATTTCCTGTATTTTGGCAATTTTAATAGGTTGTTTTGATATACATTTCTCTAATGACAAATGATGTGGACTGTCTTTTCATATGCTTACTTGCCATCCATATATCCTCTTTGGTGAATTGTCAAGATTCTTGGTCAATTTTTTAATCTGTTGTTTTTTCTATTGTCTAGTTTTAAGAATTCTTTGTATATTTTGGATAGAAATCATTTATTAGGTGTATCTTTTGCAAATATTTACTCCCAATCTGTGGCTTGTCTTCTTATTCTCTGACATTGTTGTCACAAAGCAGACATTTTTAATTTTAATGAAGACCAACATATCATTGTTTTCCTTTATGGACTGTGGCTCTGTTTTGAATCTAAAAAGTCATCCATACCCAAGATCATCTATGTTTTCTTTTATGCTGTCTTCTAGTTTTATAGTATGCATTTTACACTTATGTCTATGACCCATTTTGAGCAAATTTTTGTGAACAGTATAAGGTCTGTGTCTAGCTTCATTTTTAGCATGTAGATGTCCAGTTGAGCCAGCACAATTTGTTGAAAGAATTAACTGTCCTCCATGGTACTCTCTTTGCTCTTTTCTCAAAGATTAATTGACTATGTTTATGTAGGTCTATTCCTGGGCTCTCTGTTGTGTTCCATTACTCTTATTTATCTATTCCTTCATCAGTATCATGTTGTCTTCAATGTGCAGCTTTGTAGCAGATCTTGACATCAGGTCATGCCAGTCTTCCAATTTTGTTCTCCTTCAACATTATGTTAGCTATTCTGGGTCTTTTGCCTCTCCATATGAAATTAGAAATGGTCTGTTGATATACACAAAACAATTTGCTGGTATTTTGATATTACATTCAACCTATTGATCAAGTTGGGAGAAACTCACATCTCAGCAATATTGAATCTTTCGCTCTATGAACATGGAATATCTCTTAATTTATTTAGTTCTTCTTTTATAATTTTATGAGAGTTTTGCAGTTTTCTTCATGTAGCTCTTGTATATATATTTTTTTAGATTTATACCTAAGTGATTTTTTTGTTTGTACCCTAGGATAGCTTTAATGGTTGAAATAGGAGAGAGGAGGACAAAAAATGGTTGGGTAGAATTTTCCAGGCAGAAAGAGAAGCAGGAAAAAATGTGGAGCCTCAAAAGACAGTTGAACATTTAGAGAACAAACAAACATTTCATGAGTAATGAATTAGACTGTTTATAAAAGGAAATTGAGAAGTGATGAAACTGAAGATAAAAAGCTTCCAACGTTTTGCCCTGGTGGAGCTCTGTACAGACAGTGGAAGTTTCTTTCGGATTTAGAAACATATATGTTGCTTGTGTCTGTGGTGAGAGTTTCCATCGTCGCGTATCGAGATCAACATTTCAAGCAGCACAGAAAAATATTACAGATAGCATGATAGCTATCTTGACTAAACTGACTAAAATGCCAAAATGTCAGAGTGATTTATTATAAGTTATTTTAGGCAGAAAAAATTACAGATAGATGGCAATTACACTTAAACATAAGCATACATGTGCATATACACACTAACACTTTAATTATTGATCTATTATCTATTATTTATATTTACTATTAATTTATATTTGGATAAAATCAAATGAACTTTTTCTAACCATAAATGCTGTCCTATGCTATAACAGATTTCCTCATGAAGTGATTTATGATGAGCCAGTATTCAAGTAAAATACTAGTAATTGTTGTTAGTGTAACTGAGTTTAGTGAGAGCTTACATTTTAATAAATTTGAAAGGCCTTGTACTTGAAAATTTTGGAATTCTATTATTTCCTCCCAGGCCATCAAAGTCCTTCAGTATACCAAACCAGTTAGAGATTTCTGTAAAAACAAAAAGTGGGCACTTGCTTGCTTTATAATCCTTGCTTTATAATCAAGCATTGTTTAAGACTACTAAACATTTGAAATTTGCCAATAGTTCAAGAGTGACATCACATGCATCTTCTCATAGTTTTCAGGAATTTAAAACACCAGGTTTATTAGTGAACTTTACTTCTTACCTTCAGAAATATCTACCTTACTGATCACTCTCATTAATCACACACTTTCTCATCACTGTTCATGCTGATCAGACATTTTATGGTTATCACTCTCTCCACATGGATGTAGGTCAATCACTTGATAAAATGAGAAGGGAGTAGCTCCCTTATCTGAGAATGCTTAGAGATCTTTGTATTTATACCTGGAGATTCATAATATTAATTTTTATATAAAGAATGAAATAGTCCCTCAAAGGTATCAGTACACAGTGTATTAGACCAATTAAAGAACACTCTATATTCTGTTTATTTTCTAGTTTCATAGCTTCTTTGAAAAAAAGGCATAATTTTTCACACTGCATATATATGTAACTTATACTTTCAAATATAAGAGAGCGATTAGCTCCAATAGAGGAGCAGAAATGAGGGACAGAACATTTTTCCCATCTTCTATGATTTAAATCAATTTTTAGGTTAAATAGAGAAATACAGTTTCAGAAATAATACTTGAAATATGACTAGAAAAAAGAACCATCAAAATCTGTGTATTATATGTACTTGGATATTCACAAATGTAAATTTTACATATGGGCTTCTGACTTTCTTTGGTGATAATGTTGTACAACATGCAGAGTTCTGACTTCAACAAGAATCTGTGTGTTGAACTGATTATGATTTTTTAAATTTCAAATATATCTTTAAATTCTCAGGACTTTGCATATAATTTCAACTCACAAAATTTATAAAACGGCAAATATCTCATCTCATCACTTGCTGACATTGCTAATCAATTATTTAAGGAACAAGTCATACTCCCTGGCAAAAGAATTACAAAATGTGCACCGTAATTCTTGGTTGTCTTCATTGTTTTGTCAAAAAATTTTATTGTTTGAAATTTGACTAGCTTTTGATCATTAGATCCATGAAATTAATAGTTGTGATTTCTGTTTATTTATGTATTTGTTTATGTTCACTTAGCATCTATTTAATTCCAAAATTATTTATTTTCTATTATCTACTCAACAATAAGAAAATATGAAAGGGAGATAAAACATAGTGCTGGACTTAAAGAATTAAAGGCCCTGAAATCTTAAATCACAATCCATGCACAAGTAATTGTATAACCCATTTTTATAAACAACTATTAGATTACCTGTCAATTCAGATTAGAAGAAACTACTTTACATTACAATGTGTGATTCGGCCTCTGTTACTATCCATCTATCTATCACTAGAGAATGAGAAGAATATATTTACAGCATATTTAGAAGTGTTTATGCATACACATAGGCATAGAACTACAGATAATACTAATATTAGTTCCTATTTCAGATATTATCACTAGGTAATTATTATATGGATCATACAAGTAAAAGTAAGAGTGTCAGAAAATAATAACGGAATCTTCCCCTGTGCAATAAAACAAATTTAGTGTATTATATCTCACTTTTATTTTATTTTTTATTTTATTTTTACCTTTTAGGTTCAGTGGTACATGTGCAATTTGTATAAAGGTAAACTAATGTCACAGGGGTTTGTTGTACAGATGATTTCATCACCCAGGTACTAAGTCTAGTACCCAATAGTCATTTTTTCTGTTTCTCTCCCTCCTCCCACCCTCCACCTCAAGTAGGCCCCAATGTCTGTTGGCCCCTTTGTGTTCATGTGCTCTCATCATTTAGCTCCCACGTATAAGTATATGTCTCACTTTTATATTTAATACATATAGCACCTAAAAGTGATTGCTATATGGCAGGTGGCCACTAAATATTTGCTAAGTTTTAATTTAATTGATTGACCACAATTTGATTGGTTTAGAACTAATAAAAAAATTCTTCCTTTCTGTTGCAAGGCTTAACACAAATGATAATCCCTTGGCTATGACAGAAGAATAGCATCTAATACGTATCTGTTCCAATTAAAGCAAGGGGTTACATAATGATTTGTGATTGAAATGAATCAAAGTTTTGAATAAGAATGCATCCCACTGGTTTTCTTGAAAAATATGATGTTTATATTAATCAGCATATTTATAATTTGAATGTAAGGCATACATATCCCTTCCAATACTGGAAATATTTACAGAAAAGATTTATAAATGACAAATGCAGAAATTCATATCAAGGTGAAAGTTATTCTATTGCATAAAATGTTTAATTTGTTACTTTTTACCTCAGCAAGGGTTATATTCATGCGTTCATATTTGATCTCTTATGGCAATTTATGACTAGTAAGAGCCAAGGAATTTGCTTCCATCTTAAATAGATTGATTAGCCATAAGCTCGTGAACTGATGGGTATTTTTCTCTGAAATTTTTCCTGCATTGTGAAAATGCACAAGAGTTTCTTGGAAGTTAAATATGACTCACATTATATTTGAATTTAGATAATAAATAAATTATGTTTACTGTATGCAAATAAGCAAGTACATTATATTTATCTTCTTTATGTTTCAAAATAATTTTGTAATCTATTTTATTAATTTTTTTGTTTATTCACATTAAATGATTTTGACATCTTTCCAGTATAACTTTACATTACAATGTAATGTATAAAATGTACAAAATGTATACATTACAATGTAATGTATAAAATGTACAAAAACCAATGTACAAAAACAATTGTACAAAACAATGTACAAAAAGCTTTCCAATTAACTTTACATTACATTATAGGTAATGTAATTGTTATTTTTTTCCTTGACAATTCATAATTATATTGTGGTTTATAATGATAAAATTAGGACTGAAAAATTGGGACAGGGTTATGTAGTATGTAAAATTCTTGAATGTTAAAATTTAGGATGTCTCATAATCCATTGGATGCATTTGAAATAATTTTTCCTCACTTATCTGAGACACTTGATAACTAGTAATTTTGATAAGCTCATTTTGATTTAAGCATGTAAAGGCAATGGAATTTTTCTTCATGAATTATAAATTATTTTGTTTTGGCTATATGATTATAGTGTTAATTTACATATGCATTAGGAAGCTACTACGATATCAGTGCAATAATGTGTTTTCTGTATTTTTTAATGAATAATTTTTGGCCTATCACAGAATATCGTTCATATTTTGTTAAATTTTATAGTAATATATTAGTAATATTATTATTACTATTAATTGTGATAAATTCCAAATAAATTATTTGAAGAACATATAGTAAACATTTATGATCTCTTGGATACCATTTTTACAAATCTATTTATAGATACAGATATATACATGATTATATATATTATATATTACTCACACATACACATATATACATACACATGTATAACATATTGACACATAAATACACATAAATATATACATATGCATAATATACAATAACATATATACATATATATGTAAATATGCACAATTTGGGATTTTTTTTAAACAGGGTCTGGCTCTGTTGCCCAGGCTACAGTGCAGTGGCATAATCACAGCTTCTGTAGCCTCCACCTCCTGGGCACAAGCAATTCTCCACCTTAGTCTCCTGAGTAGCTGGGACTACAGGTGTGCACTACCTTGCCTGACTAAATTTTTTATTTTTTGTGGAGATGGGGTCTCACTGTGTTACCCAGGCTGGTCTCAAATTCCTGGGCTCAAGCACTCCTTCCACTTCAGCCTCTCGAAGTGCTGGGATTACAGGCATGAGCCACCACACCTGATCTACACAGTGAATTTTGAAAGCACATTGCATATACAAAAAAAAATTAACTAAAATACATATGTACATCATGTTTCAACATAATACATATAATATAAATGTACTATCCAATCCTCCTATTAGTTCTGCACTAAAAATAACCACTAAAATATGACCTTTCTCAATATCATCACAGATTTCCAATAGGTTTTTATAGCTTCTTTAGTTTTTCAATTACCCTCTCAGTATTCAGTCTGAAATTTACCTGCTTGCAAAAACAACCCTAATTGAATGTAGTCATTTGTACTCCAAGGATTCAAGTTTGCCGTTGAATTGCTGGTACCCATTTGGAAAGATGATTTTAGTCTTTAGAAATGTCAAGTTCCTTTTGCATCTGGCTCATCCATGTGAATACATTGAGTAGTTTATTAGAGATATAAGTTGTGGAACTCAATCGAAATAAAATTATTTGGTGTGTATGTGGTTGTATGTGGTAGAGGTGTGGGTGGTTGAAACATTGAATTTTATAGAGACCTCACTGAAAAAATAAGGAGAGTAAAAAGTAGAAAAATGGCAAGTCAGAACCAGTAAATTACGAACCTTGTAAAGGACTGGAATATAAAGTGGAATTGAATTGCAATGCTTGGTTGTTAATAGAGACAAGAGAGAACTTCAAGTCTTGACATGTGAGATTTCAAAAAGGAGAGACATTGTTTATAAAAATGTGATCTAATAAGGAATCATATGATTTAGTAATTGGGAGGTAATTAGTAATGCTAGTCACACAGAATAAGTGTCATAAAACTGGAAACCAGATTTTGATTGATACTGGAGTGAAAGGGATTTGAAGAACTGAAGACAGTAAATTTAATGTATTGACTTTTAGTTGATCTGCGTTGTGCCACAATTTTATAACAGTCAAAACAGGAATAACTTACTGTCTTTATGGTATATCTGTATGGAGCTCATTCCATGTCTTACCACATTTTACCCTCATAAATACCCCATGAGTTAGGCACTATAGCCCTCATTTTATCTATATGGAAACTAAAGAGTAGAAAGAGATTCAGGAATTTACCAAGAATTAACAATGAGGAGAGATAGGATATGAATCTATGTACATAGTCTGGCTACAGAACCTTTACTGCTAATGCTAAAAACTCTGTCTTTCATTGTATTCTGAATGTCCTTCACTGGGCTGACTAATTTATCAGAATTTTCAGTTGTTTAAGGTACTGGCTCCTACATGTTATTATTATATTACAAATGCATCTGTATTCAAGGTTGTTCCTAACAACTCAATGTCATCCTAGTTAATGATGAGTATGGTGCTTATGTCCACTGAGAAGAAAGGGTTCCATGAATAATTTGAAAATCGTTAGCTTGTCTTCAGCCACTCCCTCCTACCTCACCAAAATACAGACATTCTTGTCTTTAAATAGTTCTGTGTGCCTTCGAGCCCTCAGATTACCTACTATTTGCCCAGAGCCTCCTCAATCTGTACTTTCCCTCCTATTTCTCAATGCTTTTGTTGTTCACGTTTCTAATTCTGACACTGGTCTTTTGAAATGCATCAAGATTCTAAACTCCTGAAATACATTCTAATGACTTGAGATATTTTGATGATTGTACTTGTATAAATACAGTCAAGACAGAAATACGCCGAGGAAGTAATTCTGACCTAATTGTTGGTCCCTCCTAATTCTATATTCTAATGTGAACTAGGAAAATTCATGTGGATGCCTGCTGATGACCTTTCTTGCACTTGTCTTCAATTTGTGCTGCCACTTTTGCTCACGTTTCTTCATACAAAGATGCTGGGCTTATTTACAAGTTTACAGAAGCAAAATCAAATATGAGTCTCTGCTAATGTTGTTCAGCCTGCTAAATAAGTCACATTACAACTTCTTTCCTCAAGACTTAAAAAAAAAAAAAAAAACCAGAATTAAAGTGTACGTTGTTGGTACATTTCTTACATAACTATTTAATTGAATAAAATACAAGTACTTTCCATCACATATGGACATCGAGGAATGGTAGTAAGAGCAACATGGGAGTTAATGAGTGATACACAGTTGGACCTCTCATTGAGGTGATAGTTTTCTTGGGTGATCTCTGCATATCATGACAGGAGAGATCCTGAATGGCCTGAGACCCTAGAGCTACAAAAAAGAGAAAGAAGACTTTGATATGCCTTATGAACATATAGTTCAGAGCTCAACAAATTATAAACCAATTTGTCTTTTCAGTTCTCATCAACCTCTAAATTCTCATGCATAAAACCAGAACCAACGAAGACTATCCCACAAGGCTTTGTGACACAAACGCACAATTGTCATACTGACACAATACAAATATGAAGCATTCCCAAACCATGAGATATATTGGCCATGGAAACCTCCATATTTTTATATAAAAATTATAGTAATTAGGAAGAAAAGTGGATTCTAATGAGAATTTAAAGACATAAAAAGATGCTTCTAAACATTGCTGATGTCAACATTTGTACAAGGATATTTCCTGCAGTATTGTTTAGAATATTGAATATTTGAAAACAAAGGTTCTCTAAAAGAGAATCCGTTAAATAAATATGGAAGGCCATGAAGCAATTAAAGAGCATGAGGCAGGTTTCTATGTATTGACATTAAAAGACGTTCACAATATATATTTTTATTGTTATGGAAAATCTTCCACATACAATGGTAGCCAGACTAGATTATAATGAGCTCTCATGCAGCCATTATCCAACTTCAAGAATTACTAACTCATAGGCAGTCTTATTTTATTTATACCTCCTCCACTCATATACTCTTTACATTATTTTGAGGCAAATCCCAGATATCATCTCATTTTCTCTATAAACATAACCACAATATTATTACCATGCTTTAAAAAATAAAATCATAATATGATTGAAAAATATATTTCTGATGCTTTTCAAGAATATGGTCATGGCAGACTGCCACTTTGTTAAGAATTGCAAGTCCACATGCTCCAGGTAAAAATGCCCAGGTGACTCTACAGTGCCAGTAAAATACATACATCCCACAATTTGGGTCTGAAGAAATCTACCTCTTCAAAAAGCTTCCCTTATACAGGCTCACAAGTAAGGAATATGACATCAATTGGAAAATAGCCAATAATATGGAAACTGTAAGAAATGAACAACAGTATGTTCATAGACATTTGAGTAAGGCCCCATCTATATCATTTATGGATTTATTTAAATTTTTTACTTTAGATGTTTTAAAGAAAAGTATTGATTCCTACTCACTGTATAGAAATTTATATAATGACTAAAGAGATCTGCAAATGAAACAAAACAAATCTTCCATTCCCAATTCTTCAGGTCTTTTTACAAGCTCTCTCCAAGTAGAGGGAAATACCTTACAGGGAAGATGACAGTGTATTTGTAATTAATTATCATATGGCAAAATGCTTTTTCATAAAATGCTTTTTTGACGAAATTAAATTAGTAAAATGTGTAGGGTTTTCTGTTGTTTACCTGTTTGTTTCTATCAACCTCTCTTTTTTTTGTACTAAGTATTGTAATTAGTTGTATAACTATGTCTATGTGAAAACAAACATGTTGTTTATATGATATAGATGTATATATTAATTCTTTTTGCTTTTGTTTTTCCAGAAAAAATGAAGACCCAAATTTGATATTTTAAAAATAAGTACATGGTGGTTTTCTCCATTAAGAACACAAAAGCCTATGAAAAACAGCTATGTAAAGTATTTCCTCACTTGGCACACTACATTCTAATGAACAGATACTCATTTAAGAATGAATAGCAGGGATGGGCGCAGTGGCTCACGCCTGTAATCCCAGCTTTGGGAGGCCGAGGCAGGCAGATCACCTGAGGTCAGGAGATTGAGACCAGACTGACCAACATGGTGAAACCCTGTCTCTACTAAAAACTAAAAATACAAAATATTAGACAGGCGTGGTGGTGGCTGCCCCTAATCCCAGCTACTTGGGAGGCTGAGGCAGGAGAATCCCTTGAACCTGGAAGGCAGAGGTTGCCGTGAGCTGAGATGGCACCATTGCACTCCAGCCTGGGCGACAAGAACAAAGCTCCATCTCAAAACAACAACAAAAAAAAAACAAAAAGATTAAATGACTGTTCACTTAGGTATATCTGTCCAGACCCAGGTGCAAAGAGATGGGCAATTCAAACTTACAATTGAGAAGATTTTAATGAAAGAGCTATTTACAGAGGTTTAGAGAAGAGAAGGGATAGTGCAATATCGGAAGGCCAGTGACCACCACAGACATCTGTTAACACCCCTAGGCTTGAAAACACAAGGGGATGGAGCAGTGCCTGAACCCAGACACATAGCTGTATGGCTGGGGCAGCCTGACAAAGCCATTGTGCAGGAACCCAGAAGGAAAGTAGTCTGACCTTATTTTTGTTTCAGCTTCTTAACTTCTGCTAATGCCTCCAATGAAAGAACCTATTTGGAAGGCAGAGGGCAAGGAAGCCACCTACAACAGTGGTAAAAGCTGAGGAGGTAAATGTGGGGAGTGGATCTGAAAAAAAAGAAAAAAAAATAGAGGGATGACTACCACATAGGTAGAGCACATCTTCAATGAATGTCTACTCTTCTGCACCTCACAAAGTGGTATTTTATTAAAAAGTCTGAAAAGAACCTCCTCTGAACTATTGATCGTGCTGATTTCTTAGAAATGAAATTGGATAGTGTGAAGAGAGGAGTTTATACACCTTTTAGGTGAAGGAAAATTAAGACGAGGATAAAAAGGATGAGTTAAAAAAAGAAAGATTACAATGATTCCCAAATTCCTTTTTAGATTTTCTGTGTTTGGCAAATTTCCCGCATAAAAAAAGTGTTAAGTTTGAAATTATAAAAGTTGAAACTTTGTAAAATGCTAAAATTGTGTCTAAGTTGACCTTTATACATTTATTTTAATTCCAATGTAGTAGAATAAACTATCAATAAATTTATCATTTGGAAAATTCAATGTTGTTGTTGTTTTTAACCAGGCCTTTTAAAAGGCAATGAAACATAGTAATTCACAGCATACATCACTTTCACAGATGAAAAAGGATCAAGAGAAAATAAGGGGGATTTACATTAAATTATTTCTGTATGTTAAGAAATTTCTTAAATGCTATTACATAAATTATCTTAATACGTAAATCAATCTTGGGAGGTAGGTATTTATCTTTCCATTTATGTAAATGAGGAACAAAATAAGCTTAGAAATTTGAAATGATTTGCTAACATAGAAAGGGAAAGACAATGTTCTTCATTTAAGTTCTATTTAATATACATTTTCTGCACATAAGAGAAGGCTAAAAGGTCTTTGGTTCAGAGGTAGTTTCTAAGGTCTTCCAATTTTCTTAGTAATTTTTTTCTTTTTTTTTTTTATTATTATACTTTAAGTTCTAGGGTTGTTCAGCTTGCCAAGGCACCATACTTTGGGTTGTCATTCTCTGAGCCCCAACACTCTACATTTTGAGAATATTAGCAACAAATAATTTCACTGTGTTTAGGTTTTGAAATATTTATAAATGAAAATAGAGAGAATAAATTATGCTAACATTTCATGATAGAGCTCTGGAATCATTACATATCATTAGATTTCCAAGAGTTTGGAAGTAGAAAAATCTAAGGCAAATCAGGAACCAAATCAATCTCTTTTTTTGTGTATCCAACCAGATGTGCTACCTAAACAAAAAGCTTAAATGAATGATGCCCTGAAACAGAGTTTGTGTTCTGTTATGCATAATTGATATGTCATGTGCATTGCAAAGAGCTGGTGACAGGTTACAGTTTGACTTTTAAATCAGTTCATGGTGCACATTTTCATATTTTTTTCAACTTTGATGTAGTCAAATGTAACCAAAACACCTTTTCGTTTTCTTTTTTCTTTTTTCTTTTTTTTTTTTTTTTGACATGGAGTCTTGCTCTGCCGCCAGGCTGGAGTGCAGTGGTGGGATCTTGGCTCACTGCAACCTCCAACTCCGTGGTTCAAGCGATTCTCCTGCCTCAGCCTCCCGAGTAGCTGGGATTACAGGCACATGCCACCACGCCTGGCTAATTTTTGTAATTTTAATAGAGACAGTGTTTCACCATGTTGGCCAGGAGGGTCTCAATCTCCTCACCTTGTGATCTGCCCACCTTGGCCTCCCAAAGTGCTGGGATTACAGGCATGAGCCACCACAACTGGCCCAAAACCTGTTCTTATATCCTTTGTGTTTTTTCCCTTTTTAATATCATAAAAATATGTAATTTATTTTTTAAAAAATTCTTCAAATTCTTTTTGTGTTTATAGCTCTTTAATCCAACTGTCTTTATTTTAACGTATATGATTTAGGAAACTGTATCATCAAATGATTCTATAACCCATGACAACTCCTTACAGAATCATCTCAGGGGAACATTTTACCATATTTGGTGTAATTTTATTCTGTTTTGCTAATGCCTTTTTTTAAGGAGAAAAGAGGCAATCTAAAGTCCCAAAATAATGAATGGTGGATTAGCACACATCAGGGCATCCTGTTCATCTCAAGGATTTGCACAAATTTCACTTTTCGAAAGAGCAGGCATACAAAGCCCGGCTTTGGTCAGTTTTGATTTTTGTGAATTATGTATCATGTTAATTTTTAACTTATATATTAAGTTTTTTGGCCGGGCGCGGTGGCTCACGCCTGTAATCCCAGCACTTTGGGAGGCAGAGGCGGGCGGATCATGAGGTCAGGAGATCGAGACCATCCTGGCTAACGCGGTGAAACCCCGCCTCTACTAAAAATACAAAAAATTAGCCGGGCGTGGTGGCGGGCGCCTGTGGTCCCGGCTACTCGGGAGGCTGAGGCAGGAGAATGGCGTGAACCCGGGAGGCGGAGCTTGCAGTGAGCCGAGGTCGCGCCACTGCACTCCAGCCTGGGCGACAGAGCGAGACTCCGTCTCAAAAAAAAAAAAAAAAAAAAAAAAAAAAAAAAAGTTTTCCAGTCCTGCCATAACAAATTAGTAAAAAAATTGGTGGCTTAAGTTTACAGGAATTAATGCTCTCACAGTGTTGGAGGCTAGAAATCTAAAGGTAAGTTGTCTGGAGCAGAGTTGCTTCCTTCTGGAGGCTCTGAAGGTGGTCGCCTGAAATTTTTAATGTTCCTTTTTATGTAGCTGCATCACTCTAATTTCTGCCTACATGATCACGTAGAATTTCTTCCTTGTAAGTATCTTTGTGTCCTCCTCCTTTATTAAAGACACACCAGTCATTGGATTTAGGGATTATCACAATCCAGTATGACCTCATCTTAACTAATTATAGCTATAAAGACCTATTTCCAAAGAAGGTTAAATTCTGAGGTGTCAAGGAAGTCCAAATTCAAATTTTGAGGATCAATATAAATTTTGAGGGGGAAAGGGGACCTATTTAAGCTATTGCATTTAAAAATAATTTTATTTGGTCAATAATTGAATAGCTTTATTGCCATTACTGTGCAGTTTATATTAATAGAATAAAGGACAAGGATCCACTAACTATTCCCTCCGTTATCTCACTTTATAACAAAATTTCGGCCTGTGCATTTAATTGGATGCCACTTGTTTTTTCTTTCAGATATAAAAACTCGTTTATAAACAAGTCAATTATTGTTATTAAATTCTTGCTTCAGATAAGTCCTTAGGGATATTACTGAAATGTTCCTGTTTCTCTTGACTAGTTAATTGAAAAACCACTGAAACTCTAAAGTTATTATGGGGAGACTAAGGCAATAGATTTAGGTACAAATTACTAATATATTTGAACCTGGATTGGCTTTATTGTCCTTTAAAATGACAGCTTGTATTCTGTCTAGGCCTACATTTATTATGTGTGAATTATTTTTAAATTATTTCTCGAATGATTTTACACACTTATTAATTGAGAGTAGCAGCACCTTGCCTGATTCCTTATTTGTTCTCATTCTGATCCCATGTGTCAATCCAGATGATGTTACTTTGAACATCAGCATACATAAAGATAAACTAATCTACAGTTGATTTGGGAATTTACTGCCCATGGTGGCTGAAATTTCACTTCAGAGGACACATCAGTGCTTTTTAATTTGGGATGCAATTCAGCATGCACACTGTAAAATCTCACTTCTCCAAAGAATTCTCACTTCTTTCAGAAGCAGATAATTATTCACAAACACCGAGTATATCACTGGGAAATTATTACTATGGGTAAAATAAAGAAAGAATATTGTGGGTGTTTTTGTAGCTAGAGAGAGCTTCTCATGCTCTTATCCCCTGATGTGAAGAGGTAGCATAATGAAGTAAGGCCTCCAGCTGTTCTAGGTCCTCAGGACATCAATTAAACCATATATTTCTAAATCTGTTTCTGTTCCTCAATTAAGTGCATTTTTTGATACTCATTTATCGCAGTCTGAATCACATCCCAATTATGTTGAGGAGAATGTGAGATCATGAAATCTAAGCCTAAGTCCCCTTTTTGGTTAAAAAACAAATGACTTTGACATCATTCGTACCTATATTTCTATAAAAAATGTATGAATTTAACATCGTTCTGGCACTTTAATTTTGGCAATGACACTTGTTATGTTTTCACTCAAGTGGCATCACATTCAAGAATCCAAATATGTATTCTACCTAGAGGAAAAGCTTCAATAACACATTTATAATAAAAAATATGAAGGCAATATCAAATATTAAAAAGGTAATTAATTCCAGACTTCAAATCTCATAAAATTTTATATTAATTACATATTAATGACTGCAAGTGGCTTTGTGTCTAATGAAAGAATTTAATTTTTATGACCAAGAGATATTGTTTTCAGAAATAATGTTCTTTTTCCACTGGGTCAAAAGTAGCATGTTACCTTAATAGTCATAGTGTTTAACCTACCATTCTAGGCAATCCCATTAGTTATTGAATATCTTATATCTTCAAAAAATGTTGCATTCCAAGTCTCATGATAACCTGAAATTTTATAACTCCAGAAAGAACTCCTCTGACAGTAGTTAATTTTTATACAAGATATAAATGGAAAATATTGGCCTAATTTTTATCTACCATAGCAACCTAATTTTCACTTGTGCAGTGGCATATTACATCCAACTGGAAGCTTCTAAGTTCCTTTTAAGAGAGAGATTTTTTTTTTTGTTCAAGTAAACCAGAAAGCATAACTGGTTAGCTTAGCCTGAGCAAACCACTTGAGTTTATTCAAAGATGTAGGCTAGACCAAAAGAGTGAAATTACAATGACAGTGGCTTATTTCTAACTTCCTCAAATTAAATCCCTTTGTATCTCTTCTGTGGGGGTCACCATACTCCAGCATACATATACTCTTCCCTTGGCTCTTGAATCAACTTGGCACCTAGTAAAACAAGCAGCAATTATCCCTGTTTTTGTTTGTTTGTTTGTTGTTGTTTTTTTAAACCTAAGGCTTATTGCCATGTAACCATGAGAGAGAATATTATATCAAATATTAGAATTTTTGTTACTTTCTGTGAAGCTCTAACTTGTACAATATAGTATGGAGATCCAATTCTGGTCTTGCTATGTATGAACTATATGATTCCAGGCAAACACCAGCTCCACTAAACCTTAAATTTACCATTGGTTTAATGAAGCTAATATTACCTGCTTTGCTCACTTACAAAATCAAATTAATGTAGATGAAAAAAGCTTTAAAAATTGTATGTCATTAAAATAATGAGCATTTCTACAGCTCTCAAAAAGGCTATATGCAGTCAACATTTACTCACTAAAAAATGTTAAATGAGCCCTTACTATGCTCCAAACTGATATATTTGGTGTGGTTAAGCAGTTTAAAAAGCAGACTAAAAGCCTTGTCATCTAGGAGCATGACCTTTGACCTAAAAGGCAGTGAAAGAATAAGTAAAGGTGATTTCAGGAAGCAGTGCTCTGTGAGAACAACAAAAATAAATAAACAAATAAAATTAAAAAGTAAGATGATAGGGAATCACATTTATGTACTTTTAAATGTTTTAATAAGACTTTTATTTTTACTTTTAAAATACTTTTAAGTACTTTAATAAGATGTCCATATATGTACAAACACACATATACATATATATAGTATTTTATATACATATGCCCTGCTGGAGGTTCATAGAACTTCATGAGTCTGTGGTTTCATGGCTTTGTCTCATCTTGAATAATTATTGGCCAGTGTTCCTTCAAATATTGATTCTATTCCATTATCTTTCTTTATTTATTCCAGGGCTTCATTTATAAGTATGTATATATCTTGTAATTCTCTATTGTTTTTTTCTGTATTTTCTATCCTTTGAATTCTTAGTGCTTCATCAAGATATTCCCTACTTGCTCTATTTGTTTCCAATATTTGCTGCTGCAGATGTCTTGATGAGTGTCAAACTCATCTATAGATCTTTATTTCATATATTATATTTCAGTTCTAGGAATTCCATTTAATTATTTTTTGAAGATTCGAGATCACCTATGATAGCCTCCATTCTTTATTTCATTGAAAATATTGACTCTAGTTATTTTAAAGTCACTTTCTGATAAATCTAGTTTCAAGATCACCTATACATTTGATTCTATTTCTCATTTTTTCCACTTGGTTCTGGTAAATAAATCCTATTCCCTGGTATACTTAGAAATATTGTATTGAATGAAGGACATTATGGTTTTTGTTGTTTTAATGTAGAGACACTGGATGATTATCACTTCTAATACAATATCTAATTTTCTTCCTTCTGGCAGGCATAAGATTATAGGCACTTCAACAGGACCCATTTGAGGCCATTAATCCTAAATTGCAGCTTTCTGGTGATCTCAGTGAAGTCTTCCCTATTATCAAAAATTTGCACTTTACAGACCTTAATCTCTTAATTCTTTATCTCCCCAGCAGTGTAAGACATACTGTCTTAGCTACATAAAAATTACTTTTTCTTGGCCACACCTAGAAATTGGAAAATGTCTCAATAAGTTGTTTGCAAAATATTTTGCTCACTTCTCTGAGTTCTCGTTTTTCCTGGGTTTGTGGTTCCTCAAATCCTGCTACCTTGGTAACTATGAACTCTAAAGTTTGTCTCTCTAACACAATGAAACCAATACACTTTTTAAATTTATCCAATTTTTAGTTGTTTTGGCAAGAGAGTTAATTGTACTCTAGCTACTCCGTCATAGCCAGATACGAGGTTTTGATTTTTATTTTAAAACTAATATTTTGTTTAATGTGTGGAAAAAATAACAATGGAGGAAAGGGTAAAATCAAGCAGACAAGTTAGAAGGCTATCAAATTATATAGGTATGGCATTGGAGTAAGTAAGATAGGAAAAAGAGCATGAGAGTTTGAGAATTTCAGGGATATAAGGGAGGAAATATACACAGACATAGAATATGAGATTATATTAATCTAATGTCAAATTATTTCTATAATTTTAACAGTGCTGTTTACTTGAGAGAGGTTGTTTTCTTAAATAATTGGGTAGTTGAAGTTTGAAATTGCTGAGACAGGATAGATTTGAGGAACAAAAATGAATTTGAGGAAAGAAAAATTAAAAGTTGTGTATTAAGCAAGCTAAATTTGAAGTGTCTATTATTTATGGGTGTAGGCAATGTCCCATAGATATGTGGACGCTCAAAACTTAGGCCCAGTGAAGAGATCAGAGCTGATGACATAATTCTGGGAGTCATCAGCACATAGAATATATTTAAAAACATGATGAAATCATCCAAGAAGGAGGTGTGGATGGAGAATAAGAGGGGGCCTAAGGAGCCCTGGTGTACTCTAGCAGTTAGAGGTCAGCAAAGGAAGAAAAAAATGGCTATTATGAATAAGGAGAAGCAGCTACTAAGATAGAATGAAAACCTGGTTAGGGAGATAACACAGAATTTACATGTAGAAAATTCTGTAAGAAAAAATAACTTTCATAGAAGAGTCTGAGTGATTCTGCAAGTTGGAGTAAAACAAGAGTAAATAAATAAATTTCAAGTATTTTTTGTTTCTGCTTTAACTGGTTGTTTTAAATTCATATATCAATTTACAGAGAACTTATACTTTTTTTAGAAATATCATATTAAATATTATTATTTTAAAACTATATTTTTTCTTTTCCATTATTGCATTTTTTTTTTTTTGAGGTGGAGTCTCTCTCTGTCGCCAGACTGGAGTGCAGTGGCGTGATCTCGGCTCACTGCAACCTCTGCCTCCTGGGTTCAAGCGATTCTCCTGCCTCAGCCTCCCAAGTAGCTCGGACTACAGGAATGTGCCACCACTCCCAGCTGAGTTTTGTATTTTTAGTAGCGACGGGGTTTCACCATATTGGGCAGGATGGTCTCAATCTCTTGACCGCGTGAGCCACTCACCTCGACTTCCCAAAGTGCTGGGATTACAGGTGTGAAGCGCCAATCCTGAACTTCAGATCTTATTTCATGTTTCCAAGAGTCTTTTAAAGTGTTATTTACATATATAGTTCAAATTTTATCTTAAATTTCTCTGCTCCAATTACATGTTCAGAAATACATGTACCTGTCACACACACATACACAAAAATACACACACACACAATGTTGAAGCACTGCATATCTTACTAAAAAGTTTATCCCTGAGAGCCCCTTTTTTCAGCTTTTTTTTTAAACAAATGTTTTGCTGGAACATTTTAAAGGAAATTAAATCTATTTCTATATTCTTCCCATTATTACTGTAATGTGTATAACACCATTGGGGCCTTTCATTGGTGTTCTTGAAATATTTTTCTTTGGCAAAATGGCAGAGATGGAAACTAAAGAATATTAAGAAGAAAATGAGGTATTTTAGGATAACAATATTATTTTACATTTTCTTTTCTCTATTAAATGGGTGATTTTTAAATTTAACTGTTCAAAAATGCACACTTTAAAAATAATCTAGTAAAATCAAGACAAATAATAGTCCCATTTTCTTTTGACTTCCAAGAGATTGCACAAATTTCTTGCTTTTTTCTCAAATATGGTAGTTGATTGATTTTCTCAGAAACCAAACTATTAAATGCCATCTGTATTATATATATGTATATATAAATAAAAATAACATAAGTATTATGGGTTGAATTGTGTCCCTCCAAAATTCATACGTTGAAGTCCTATCCCCCAGTCCCTCTGAATGTTACCATAGTTAAAAACAGAGTCATTGCAGATGTAATATGTTAAGTGAAGGTGAAGAGCGAAGACATGCTGGAGTAGGGTGAGCCTCTAATCCAAAATGACTGCTGTTCTTTTAAAAAGAATGCCATGTGAGGAGACAGACATACACAGGGAAAATGTCATATGCATATTGGAGTCATGCTGCCACAAGCCAAGGAAGTACCAGAAGCAAGGAGATAGGCCCAGAAAAGATGCTTTCCAATGTGAAAGAAAAATAAACCTTGAGACCCCAAACTCACTAAGCCAAAGGGAAAAGTCCAGCTGAAAACTGCATCAGGCAAACCTACCTTCCTCCTAACATGTCCACTAGAAAATTCCTATGGGCACCAAGATCTTTTCCCTAAAACAGTTCTTTTAAATTTATTTCACCCTGACAATGTAAATTGATAACTGATCTTCACAGGTGTAGGTCAAAGAACAGAACTCAAAGTCATCCATCCCTCTGCTCACCTGAGACAAATAGACATCTGATTGCTTCCTCTTCCCCATGTTTATTTTATTTTATGTACAAATGAAGAATCACTGAGCTAGATGAATGCGTAAGTGACTTTTCCTCTACCCTCACCCTCACATGTGAATGGCTGATCGAAGACTCAAAAGAATACAACTGCTTGCCTCTTACCTATCCGCATCTTTAGAAAATTTCTTCCTCTTTTCCCAATATCTGCCTTTTCCCCTTTAAACATTAAAGCCCTCAAAATAATCTTCTAGAAAGGCAGAGACCTGTCTCCTCAACCTTGGTATATTAAACTTCTAAATTGACCGAGATTTGTCTCAGATACTTTTGATTTACACTGACCACCTTCAGAGGGATCATGGTCCTCCCAACACCTTGATTACAGGCTTCTTGCCTCCAGAACTATAAGACAATAAAATTCCCTTGTCCTAAGCCACCTACCTGGTTTGTGGTACTTTATTATAGTAGCCCTTGAAAACTAATACAATAAGTTTCATAGAGTGTGCGTGTGTCTTTTTCTACATGTGTCCAGTATAGGCTAGCCATCCAGGCTGCCAGAGGCTGATACAAAGCACAATGTTAAAGAAAACCCTTGACTGAAGATGTGCTCAAGGACTTTTCATGAGAAGTCATACATGCTGTGTTTAAAAGAAGTGGGATCTTTAAGTAGGATATGAACACAGTGGAGGCAGTAATAGGTTGTTGCTTTTGGACCATACAGTATTGTTCAGTAGCCAGATTATTGGGGCTGAAATCAGATGATTTAGACTAACGTCTAATTCCTCGATATATCAGTACTATGATCTTTGGTTAGTCATTTAAACACTACTCTCTCTTTTAAAAATGAAATATGTCTAAGAAATATAGCTAGCATCAAAGATTCCTTTAAGAATAAAATAAGTTGTATGTATGAAAATTCTTTGGAATGCCTTCATTTATTCAATAAATATTCCTGAGTGTCCTCTATGTGCTTATCCTTGTGCTAGTGCTACTGTGTAATTATGATCCAGACCTGCATAGCTTCTGCCTACATTTGCATCAATAGAGTCGCAGAAATAGAAAACTTGCCTCTTATATATGCGATTAGAATTTCTTAAGGCTGAGTTCATGAGGGACATATCTAGAGTTCACAGCTGTATTCTGTCAGGGCCAAGGGCTAGCTTTTCCCTTGGTCCTCTGAAGGTTTGCTGAAAAATCAGCTCACAAAGGCAGATTAACTGGAGAAAAAAATACACATTTATTTAACATGCATACACATGAGACTTCAGAATGAAGACCCAAAGATACGGGGAAAATGTTCCATTTCTGTCCTTAGGTTCAACAAAATATGGACACCTGTGTAGAAATATGATTGGACAAAAAGGTATGATCTAACATTTATCAACTGAGTGGTGCAACCCAGCAAGACCTATCTATCTCTAGACTCTTCTTGGCTTCTCTGAGCATGCATTTCTTCCTTCTGGATATGGAGAAGGAACCTTTCTGGAATTAGGATCTTATGATCTATGGTCAAACAAAGTAGGCCAGGTAATTTCTTTATGGCCAGTTTTTACACAGAAAGGTAGAGGAAAAATTAGGGTAATATTTTTAGGTTTGATGACTAGCTTTAGGGAAAAGGGGTTCCGGTTTCTATGACCTGCCTTGGGGAAGAGGGATTCTAGTTTCTATGGCTAGCCTCAGGGGACAACTGGACTGAGAGGACGGCAGAAGAAGGTCAGAGAAAACATTTTGCTTCCAAGGTTGCTGCCGAGGCCCTCATTTTGAAGTATTGTTTCGTGAACCCCAAAGTTTGTTTCTAGATTACAGCCTCTGTCAGAATGGTTTCATTCTAAAAATACATCTTAGTGTTTTAGAGATCCACAGGGAGATTTTCATGTTTTCCCTAGAGACTCTAATGTCCTTAGGGACTATTGAAATCTATCTCTTAGTTTTCTTGCGCAGTCTACTCAACCTTTGCATTGTGGCTGAGTGGGAATTGAACCGTCACCATTCCCTGACTTGTATCTGCTATCACTGTTTCTGACTGTTGTTAACGGGGCTCACATTGTTCTGGTCCTAGCTTTTCCACTCCACTTCCCTGAAGTAAAAAGGTAGGTCTCCATCTTATGATTTTGAGGCTATCTCACAAGAAAGTCTGATGCTTTTGATTCCTTCAAGACCTAATTTAGAATGGCAACTTATTTTGATTTGCCATCTCAAATGTTAAATGTGTGTGTTTCTCCCATCACCAAATGGCTGGGTCACACACTGAAGTGAATCATACAGTCAAGCGCAATAATCCAAACAGCCTCTTTCCTGAAGAACCTCTTGCTCTACTCTGAACTTCTCAAGGGGAATGTATTTCTATATTTTTGATATGTGATTTAAATATATCTATTATTCACAAATTGTTTGAATAAATCAAGTTTGGGAACCAGCCATTTGCTCCAAATTGTCTTTATGGCCTCTTTTAGAAATGAAAGAATTTTACTTATGTTTCTACAAACCAAAGTCCTGCTAGCCAGTCTTAAAGGTCTGCCTGCCCCAGAATGATGTCTACAAACTCCAACAGTCTGAATTTGCAGTGGGCAAGCTGGTTTAGAGATGAATCTGGAGATCCTCATTATGTGTATCACTACATAGAAAGAGACCTTTTCGCTGAAACTCAATCTCAAATCCTGTATCTGTCCACAAAACATCCTTGAAAATCCCTGTGTCTAAAAATAAGAAAAGGAATAAAACTGAGCCCTAAAAACAAATTCAACTCCAAAGTAAGCCTAACAATGACATATTTCATGGTGTTTAAATGAGAAGAAAAGCCCTTTGAATCTGAAAGGCCAGAGATGTTAAGACAGCAGGAAAGCAATACAACAAAAGCATAAAGAACATGCAGTAATAAGCTCCCAAGGTAGTCCTTAAGTCGAGTTTTAATATCATATGAAAAGTCTGCACTGAGAAGAATAATATAGTTTCTAATTGTTACTTAGGACAACATCATACAGTTTGATTTAAAAGACTAAAATTGACCTATTTTGTTATTTTTCTTAATACATTAAATAAACTTTCCTGACTTCAACATTGTATAAGCCAATTTTGTTGAAGTGGAACTATGCCCAGATTAAATATATATATATATATATATATAAACTACTCTTCTAGCATTTCTTGCGACTAGACATGACCATAAGACTCAGTGCTGGCCACTCTATTGTATGTTGAACTTGTTGGGTTGGGTTTTAAAAATCCTTTTAAAACAAGGCAGGTTCAGCTCAGATTCTCCTTGTTGCCCTTTGCACTTTCTCCCATTCCAAATGTAGACATAAAAGTTGGAGCTTTAACAATTACATGACTGCAGGTAGTGAAAAGAATGCTGAAAGGATCGCAGAGCCCTCAGCTGTAAATACCCATAAACTATAACAAGAGGTTCTTAACATTTCTCTCAGACTGACTAAACTTTAGACAGGTTTGTTCCTGCCTCTAGGCCCGGACATCCCTTTTCTTACAGCTTTTACTTTAGAAAATTTATAATTGCAAATTATTTCTCTGCTCTGCTGAAATGTACATAAATCTTCTTAAAAACCTCTTGCCAGTTTAATGACACAGGGGATGTCTTTCTCAAGGACCTGGGAAGCAACTCCTTAAAATATAAGCATGGAAGAAAGATAGCATCCCTCCCTCACAGTCTCTGTGGAGGCTTAGGAGCCTGACAGTGGGCACTGTGCCTAAGCTGTAAAGCTACTTTCAGTCATGGAAATTGGAGGAAATTTACCTTCACTTTGGGTATGGTCAGTTGGTCAATTAGTAAACACAGATGGCCTACACCTTTTTAGCCCCCTATACACAAGCCCAGTTTTTACAAACTTTCCTCCTTTAATTTCAGTAGGATTGAGTTCAGTATCTTTCCCCTATTGCAATGCTATTGAAAGAAAATTAATTTATGTTTGCCCATCTTATCTGGTATGATGTTTTAAATTCTAACAGCTGCTTATGCCTACCGCTGGACTTGCTGTTATCTGAGAGAATGTTAATCTCAGTCTTATTCCAGTTATTGTTATTTGCGAATTAAAATCTAAAATTCCTAACTGATATACTCTAATAATCTAAGAAAGTTAGATATTGTAAAGTTGAATCATGGATTGTAACCACTTGAAGTTCAATCCTCCTAGGCACATAAAGCTAAAGAAAAACAAAAAAAAAAAAAAAGAAAAGAAAAGAAAAATGGAATCCAAGTATTGAACTACAAAATTAAAACAAAATCCTTATAAAATATTTTTTTAAAGTGAGAAGGATTAGGTTTTCTATAGTGAAATCACTGTTCACTATTTCAAAATAATTTTTAAATTTATTTCTTGAGAAATTTAACCTCATGTAGTTTGTTGAGGTCTTTAAAAATGTATATACAATAAAATTACAATTATTTGTCATGCATATTAATATATTTTCAAGAATGAAAATTCAAAATATATAAGATATCATTCAGTTATAGTTTGCTTATTGTTTACATATGCCTAGCCAATGAAAGTGCAGAGAATCTTGTGTAGGAAAAACACTAGAACCCCACTATTAGTCATTCAGAGTGGTAACACAGAAAAGCATTACCCTACCTAATTAAATTAGCTAAATGTTGCTGTCTGGATTTATCTAGCTGTTGTAATTTAATCAGAGCTAAATGAGATCATCTTTTAATTAAAATTGAAACTAATTAATTGTTCCAATTGTTGTTTCTATGAAAGATGCAATTTCTTAGCAAAGCTGCTTTGAAGAAGTGAAGAGATCACTTGGAACATTGCCTTAGGACCATTGCTGTGAATTGGAGTCATTCACAAAATAATCATCTTCTTACTTTGGGTTAACATCCAACATTGAAGAAACAATATTTACTTTAAATCTTGGGACTCCTAATAGTAATTCTTCTGTTACAATAGAAAAATGATAACTTTTTGAAAAAAAAAATGGAATAAGAACTGAAATAATTACAAAAATTTGAGTAAATATGTATTCATTTCCTATTTATTTGTGTGTATTCCAAATGATTTCATTTCCACTTTTACTTGCAGAATTTATAAATGTTTTTTAGTTTTAATTTTACAAAAAATTGGTGTCAGTTAATTTGATTGGCTTCTTATCAGACTTACCTGATTTCTGCTTTTCTTACACTACTCTGATCTAGCCATTGCTTGTTCTAATCAACTGAAAGCATGTCATTTCCTCTCATTTCTACGTTTTAGTTGCACACTGAGAGTGTGGGATAGATGGGACTCAGGGGTGGGTGCATTCCTAACATATGTGGCAGTTTGAGCAAAGACATGCTGACACTTTTGAGCATGTTTGGGAGCCTAAAAGTAGTTCCAACTAGAAGGAAGCCTAAGTTCAAAAACAATAAAGCCTAAAACAGCAGTTTTGCCTTATGGTGCCTTTATTCCCTCAATAAGGTAAATGAATTGATACTATTTTTATAACCAAAAAAGAAAGCATGCATTGCTTGCTCCACTTTTCTTGGCCATATCTCATTATTACTTTGTTATTCTTTTGCACGCTGTGATCAAGTAGGACCTTCCATGCCACACAGATGACAAGGAAATCAAGATAAATGTAACTCAAGACAGGATAGTTTTGCTCTTCATTGCACATGAGTACTCTGATCCTGCACCTTGGTGGAAACGGGATATTCTTACATGAGTTTAGTTCAACTTAGTGCCAGTCCGCCCTGTAGTATGGATGAGAAAAACAGAGATCTTGAGCTATGAGCCTAAAGATATGGTTGGACTGTGTTTGTATGATCACCCTTCTACTGGCTAAAACCGGAGGAATGTTACAAATTATGTTTGGCTAATGTCTGCCTGTCCATGTGAGATAAGCTTTTTTGTTGTTCTTGTTGAAGAAAATATTTTAACATAATATATCAGTATACTCAAGGTAGAGAAAGATTTATAATATAAAAGTCATTCTTTTTTTCACCTGTATTATCTATTAAAGCTGCTAAATATATTCATGATCCAAAGGGAAGGAAAAAATAGACAGATGTCAGAATCCTAAGAAGGCTTTTGCCCTTAATTCATATGTAGTTTTTGGGTTCTCAGAATCTTTTTAGAGATTCAATATTTCTTCTTTTTTGTCCTTGTATGGCTGCCTGAGAGATAGAGGAGTTGTAGCTAAAACAAACATTTAAAAATACACTAGATGATGGCACAACTTATAAATTGGCTACAGGAGAACTAGTTGTAATGTTTGTGATACTAATTGGCTTTGTGCCTTTGAACAATTACTCATTCTATTGGGGTATCTCCTCATCTCTGAAAGAAAATGTTTGGTAACTAGATTTTTTTTAAGATGGTGCCTTGCTCTGTCTCCCAAGATGAAATGAAGTGGTGCAATCAGCTCACTGTAAACTCAAACTCCTGGGCTCGCAGGATTCTCCTGCTTCAGCCTCCTAAATAGTTGGGACTGCAGGTGCCTGCCACCTTTATTTTATTTTTTTTGTAGAGGTAGAGAAAAGATCTCCATTTTTGTCCAGGCTGATCACAAATTCCTGGCCTCAAGTGATCCTCCAACCTCAGCCTCCCAAAATGCTGGGATTACAGGCATGAGCCACCATGCCTGGTTGACAACAAGATTAGTTGAAGATCTTGTCTATCATTTAATATTACTTGATTTTTGTTTAGAGTGCACAGAAGGTTTTAATGTGTGCTAATATTGCCCATGCTAATACTTGGGAATAAAGATACAAAGCACAAATCATTTTCTGTTTTCAAAGCATTCACATTTCAATGAGATAAAAACATAATGAGCAAGACATATTTTCCTAGAAGTTATTTTAAATGGACTCCACGTTATGTGGTATCAAAGAAAACCACAGCTAGGCAGTAGTTACAGTGATAAAAATAGATTTTATTCAGGAATGATTGCAACAGAGTAAAAGAGACCACAGTACAGAGCTGAGCTTAATTCCCAGCACAACAAGGAAAAGTGAAGTTTGATAGCCAAGGAACAGTTTGGAGGGGCCAATGAACAGGAAATTACTAAGAGGAGACATTAAGGGTAGGGGCAATTCTTGCTAAGCTGACTTAAGAGACTTCCTGCTAAAGGTATGCCAGGTGAGCATATATTGCCTGGGGATGGTAAGAGGTTAGGAATCATACCAGAACATCAAGGGTGGGGAATTCTTACCAAAATGATTCAGCAGGAGCTCATCTAGTGTTTGTTTAAGGAGAGAGTTTTTGTCAATGGTTGTTGTATGGCTATATAATCAGTGAAAAAAAAAATATCTTTTGAGTACCACCTAACCCTCAAGCCTTGTGTTTAGAAGTAGGAATGCAGAACTATAGCAATCCCCCTCCTAAAGTAATATATTTCCCAGTGGAATATACAACATGAAAACAAACAAATATAATGTGAAGTGATTTTTCCTATGATACAGGTAGAAACAAGTTGCAGTAACATACACCTGAAGGCTATCTTGTCCAAATTAGAAGGTTAGAGAAGATGTATTCTGAAGCTATGGCCTGAGACAAAACATATGTTTCCAATATCCGTTATTTTCTTAAAGAACAATTCTCTAGGTAACAAAAGACAGGTGCTAATAACACCCAAGAGATTCTCTAGATCGATGAGCTAGAGCAAAACAATTCAGGAGAGAGCCTTGTTTCTTTTCAGTAAATATCCAGTAACTCAGCCAAATACGTATGTATGTGTTTTTATTTAGACATGAATACAATGTGTTAGCCACTGGGCATAGCACACAAAATGTTGGGGTTCAAATGACTAAATAAACCTATACATGTAAAATTGCAAGTTGTGAATATTATCACATGGAAATTAAAAAAGATGTCTTGACAGAAGATACAGAGAGGGTCAGACAGCTTATTTTAGCCATGTGATCAGCAAATTCTTCCTGAGGAGATTACTCTTAATATTTTCAGCAGGAGAAGGGACCCATAGATAAATATATATTAAAAACATAGTCTTTGTGTCATAGTATGTGTAAATGTGTTAGATAACTATGAAAAGGAAGAGAAGACAAAATGTCTAGAGCACTGTTGCTCAATCTACTAGTTGAGAAGAGATAAAGCACATCACAAGAAAAGCTTTGCTAATGAGAAAGTGCAACAAAATCAGCTGAGCTGAGTGTTGTGGTTGATTCACATTTGTCTCAAAAGCTGATCTGGTTGCTGATTTGTGACGTACCATTTGCTGACTGGTGAACCATCCACCAGTGACAAGCCTGCTCTTCTATAGTACACCAGAAATAGATAATATTATATAATGTTAGAAGGCCCTTATTGAAGAAGAATTGAACATGTTCTCTGCAAGGACCAAAGACCACTGGGTCCAATATGTAGTAAGTCTGGTGAGCGTGAGCTTTTAAGAGACAGATTTCTTAAGATGAGGTTTTAAGAGACAGATTTCTTAAGATTTAATTGGACATATTAAGAAGCTAGATTTGTTTTCACACATAATTAAAAAACACAGATGGCTCTTACATGTTTTGATTTGTATTCTTTTGAAAATCATTATTTTGTTAGAGGTCTTCGAGTCTCATAAGGAAAATCAAAATCAATGTGGAAGTCAAAAAAGAATTAGAGATGTTTTATCAAGTTACTAAAGTTTGTCACTTTGCCAGACTCCTTGAATTGAGAAAATTTGATGTCTACCCTTTACATTCATGTTTTTCCTCCTTTCTTATCGAAAGATTAGTCTGGATAATTTTATAATTATGTGTCATGTCTTTAGGCACTATTTTAATTTTAAACAGCTTCTCTAACAATGGAATGAGATGCTTCATCCAATGTTAGAGGAATTCAAATCTTTAAGCAATAAGTGGCAAAACATTTGGAGAAGACAAACAATAAAATTTAACTTTGAAGTAAACTATCAAACCTTTACATAAAGTTGCTCCTCCGTAAAGCTACATGTAGATAAGTACGTGCTCAATGATTTAGCTAATAAAGAAGCATTTGAATTGTCTTATGGTAAAACAACTTAGTGAATATATTTTAATGAATTAGGATATATTTAGAGATCGTTTTTGGTTTATTTCATTGACGAGGACATTATATGTTAAAGAAAAGCTGAATTACCTAAAAACAGCACCTCAGGTAATAGAAACTGAGCACCAAAGTGAAACATTACTACCAGAATGACTTCTAAAGAAA
Source organism: Homo sapiens (assembly GCF_000001405.40). Classification (NCBI taxonomy): domain Eukaryota; kingdom Metazoa; phylum Chordata; class Mammalia; order Primates; family Hominidae; genus Homo; species Homo sapiens. The sequence continues at coordinate 60,306,526 of NC_000012.12, read as the reverse complement.
ATAATAACATTTTTACTAGTCTAGTTAAAAAAGAACAGTTTTCACAAATATATATACACATGTAACAAACACACATGTACATACACACAAATACAGCTATGACTGACGTGGTGCTATCAGTCCCCCCAGTTATTGAGAACCTATTATTTTTACTATTTATTAAACTTCCTCTTCTACAGATATAAAGTTGCTATGTTAATGAGATCTGCCAGTGAAAGCTGTGAGTTGCAGGATGCAGGAAATGTCAGTAGTTATATTTCTCACCATCTGGAGAAGAGAAACTTTATTGAGAATGAGACTAATAAAAAGAGGGAAACAGAAATGAAAAATATGTGGGAAATAATGTTTTGTCTCATATTTGCTATTTCCAGGTGATTTTTTTTTGTCCAACTGTATTATTTTAGTTGACAGGGTTTGGCTGTTCAACTTATTCTTAAGTACATAAGGTATTTTAATGCTTTTAAATAAATTATTTCTTATTTGGCCAATCTATTTAGTTCTTATTTCTGTCAATTGCAACTGAAAATTAAATTATAAAATGTTAATATATATTAAATTGCTTCACACATATTAATACTTAGATATGAAACCATCTTTGCTGTGCTCAAATTACTTCAACTCTAAATAAGCTCTTTTGGTTTTCCACTGAGAGTGTTCAAATGAGAAACACATTTTCTTTTGCCATCAACCATACTTTGAGATGGCTTATGTTTGTCAATGAAGGGTATCAATGAATATTCAGATAAGTATGGGTAAGCAAATAATAATAAGGCAAATATTTTGTCCTTGCTATTGTACAGGTAAAATAAATTTCCATAGCTAGCATGTTTTCTTGATTATCTTCCACTGTGGATTATTTCCTTCATTCATCAAATTCATTGATAAAGATATCTAAGAACTAAGCAATATTTATAAATTTCTTCCAAAGACAGATATGTATATGGCAAGAATATGATATAAATAAATATCATATATTAATAATCACATTTAAGATGAGAATTTAAAAAACATATATTTGAGCAAAAATAAGTTTTTACTGTTTGTAATCTATGTATTAAAGTTCCAATGGAGAAATTAAAAAAAAATACCTGAACAAGTATAATCTGCCACATTGGTTCTCAGAGATAATTCTGTGGAAGTATTAAACAGAGCAGTCTCAGACAAAGATAACAGTTACAGAAGAAAGTCAGGAGAATTTTGTGGTGTTTTTGCTATAAAATCTCTTTGTATGGATTTTTCAGGCAATGTCATGTTAATTTCTGGGTAAAATCCTAAGGGCAGAGGGACAAGAAATAGGTAATCTCTGAAGGTGAATGTCAATTAAATAATTTTAAACCAATATCAAAGAGAATTACATAAGCAATGAAATTAAACAGGTGAGTTAATTCTCATCTTATCGTTAAAAACATTTTGGTAAAATTTTGTAAAGCTCTTAGATTTCCAAGATACTTATAAGATTTGGATAAAATGAAAAAATGTTTAGAAGGAAATTATATTAATTGATCTCTAACACTTGGGTTTTTGAAAATAGTCAATGCATTCATGCCAAAGAAGAGTATACTAATTGAATATAAAGGAAAAAATGTGATTGATTATTCTATAAGTAGACAAATTCCACTTAAACAAATAGCTAATTTAACTCACATTTTATTTTGCTTTCAGAAGGTAGGAGGAGCAAAAAATGCACCTTCTGCTTAGACATAATTATAATTGATGAGAAAAAACCAAGTCAGCATTAGACTGCCTGGAATAGTATATATGCTATGCTAGTTAAATGTGTGTTAAATGATTTTAACTGGTTGGAAACATGGAAGTTACTTGAATCATGCACAATATACATAGGAACTTTTAACAGAACAAGAAGTACTAGAAAGTATCAGATTTAAGTATGTAAAAATAGATTTATTCTAATACACAGAGAAGTGAATATGCCATTTCAAAATGAATATTTAATAAAATAAAGAAACTCTACTATATATCATTCTTGGATCATTTAAATTTACTTAAACTTTTTGAGCCTCAGACTTTTCATTTATAGAAAAAGAAAACATTTAACTTAAAGGAGTGTTATAAATATCAGGGGAAAAATGTATATATATATGCTGTTTGTACATGTACACACACACACACGAATCCAAGTTTATAACTTCTTAACAAAAAAACTACTACATTCTTAAATTATAAACTCTGAATTGCTAAATGTATTTTCTTTTCTAATCAGCACCTACTTTTGACTTGAATCTGAAATTATTTTTTGACCATAAGCCCAGTATTAAATCCCATCTTTTTAACACATAATACATATTGAAGCCAAGATTCTTCTAACCTCCACTCTGGATATCAATTCTAAAATGATTATTAGTCTACACTAGTTACTGCTTTACTTTTCTGTTCCCTACTTGTAATTACAACCTTGTACTGAATAATTATCTAAATACCAACCCAACTAATGAGGGACCAGTTAATCTGTCTAGTACCTATGAAACTTTATTCTTGAGGGACTAGAGTTTGTCTTTGTTCTGTAGCTACAGCCTTGGCCCCTTCTTTAAAGAGAGACATTGACATTTATCAGAAGAGCAGTGAATACTGCCCAGAAAGCCTGGCTAGATCTGTATCCTAAAATTGTCTTTCTCGCTCATCTTTTCCTCCAATAGAGTAAAGTTAATCTAGACTTTTTCCTCCACTAAAAGTATCATTCTTTGTGGTATAGCAACCCTATATCATCTTGAAAATAATCCTGTGTAAATGTTTACATATATATATATATATATATATATATATATAGTACATCAAAGTAGTATTTACAAGCATGATCAAATGGACAGAATTAATTGCATAACAATTGACTGTTTATTTAATCAACACTATTGCCAACCTGTAAATAAATGACTCTTTGATGGAATGACTGATTGGTAGCAGGTGTCAGGTTAATATGATAAAAATGGGAAAAACTCGTATAAACAGGCCTACTCTTGATGCTGAGAAGAAGATGTTCATTTATATTCTATTTCTACCTCTACAGAATATAAATTCCTAAATTTTTGCTATGGTGAGAGAGCTAACTCTGTATTTACAAATGCATCTATAATTTTATACTAGTAAAAATATAAATAGTTTTGTAAAATCTGTATGCTTCGTAGAAGCAACAATCTGTGTGACAAAAAGATTACATTATTTCTACTCAGGCTTCAAGTTCTCTAGAGATTAGGATTCTAATTTATTTATCTTTGTATCAGTAATGTCTCACATAGAGCCTGGTATATAGTTGATGTCCCATGAATTCCATGTTTTTTCCAGTTTTACTCTAGGCTGTAATGCAAATGTATACAAATGTATGTATACAAATAGAAATGTATTTCTCATTACAGATTTTTTCAAGTGTGAGACATTAAATGACAGTCATTTAAACACTGAATTATTAAATTTATTTTTGCCACTTTGAAAATGCATTTTGAAAATGCATAAAATTTTATTGAGGTAGAAGCAAAGAAGCTTTCTGAATTCCAGATTACTATTTAGTTTTAATAATTAAAACTTCATTTAACATTTACAAAGCTTAATTTGGAAAGAAAAAATACAGATTTTAATCTTTTGTAGTCTAAGAATGGCATGCTATTTCCATTTTTCTTAACATGCAGCAAAAATTTAAGCTGATTTAATTACAGAATATGCTAAAATTATATAACATTTAAATAGGAAACTTATGAAATATGAAAGTAAATAGTACCGTAAGCATCTCAAATTGAATTGAATCAGAAAAGAGATGTATAAAATTAAAGCCCTAAACTCAAAGTCATTAGACTTGCTCTGTATTTTTTCATTAAAAAAAAGAAATCAAAGATTTTACTTTAGTGTATGTGAAAGGTTTCTAAGAAGTAGCTATATAAAATACAGTACATAAAACAGAGACACACAAACTTGGGTGGTAGATATTTCTTGGGAGGCATGGACAAATATGCTAAAATAAAGATGAATTATTTTAGGTCCTTCTCAAAAACGTTGGCATGACCTTTCAACTAATTCGTTCTGATCAAAAGTGGTATATTCTTATGCAGACTACTGTCTGTCATTTCTTGACCAAAATTGCAATGAAGTGGGTGTCTTTTCTGCTATCTAATTCTTCATCCAATGTCTAAAAAAGAAGAATTCTGAAATCGTAGAAGATGACAGAGTTATAAGGTGAAAGAACTTGGGGTTCCTGAATTGTAGTATGCACACATGCTGAATAGATGCATAGACTGTTATGTGACAATTCCTGTGCTCTGGGGTTTCCTACGTAAGTTCCAGTAACTAGTGCTCTATCTTACTCTAGCTACACAACATCCCCCACCACACACACACACACACACACACCAGTAAAAGACATCACTATTTTCCATTGTTTAAAAAGAAACCTGTTGATCATTAACAATCCTCTCTCTAATAAGCCATATCCAATCAAGTTCCTATATATTCTAATCCAAAAATATTCCTAAAATCTGTCCACTTCCCTTTATTTTTTCCTCATTACATCTAAAATGATATTGTAGCTATGGAACATATCCAAGTCATGAGGCACTAAGTATGTTACTGGTCGTGAATCTGTATGTGTATGCAGCGACCTCAATTCTCGCCTCCTCAGAAGAAAGAATTCAACTGAGAGGCATGAGGCAGAAGGAGAGACCAGGCAAGTTTTAGAGCAGGAGTGAAGATTTATTAAAAAGTTTTATGGCAGGAATTACAAGAGGTAAAGTACACCTGGAAGAGGGCCAAGCAGGTGACTTGAGACATCACGTGCATGGTTTGAGCTTTGACTTGGGATTTTATATGTTGGCATGCTTCTGGGGTCTGCATTTCTTCTCCCCTGATTCTTCCTTTGGTGTGGGCTGTACAAATGCACAGTGGCCCGCCTGCACTTGGGAGGTGAGTATTCGTAGTGTGTTTACTGGAGTTGTATGCATGCCCCATTGAGGCATTCCTCCCTTGCCAGCTGAATGTCCCTAGAAGTTCGTACACCAGTTAAACTGCCATTTTGCCTCTTAATGCACATGCTTGAGCCCACTTGCCCAACTCCTGATATCTTATTGAGAAGCTGCTGATCACCAGTTTTAGTTTCTTTTTATTTTTTCTTTTGGGAGACTGCCTTTCCATGGTGCTAGCTATGATCAATTACTATTTTAGAGAGAGAGTTAACTGCTTGACCATCACCTGATGGTCTCTTGACATTCCTAGTGATGGGGATGGGAGGGGCTTCACCTACCAACTCATGCCTGACTAGTTACCTTCTGTAACATTTTCCCCCTCAAGAGTCCAAGACCCTAATTATTTGGGGGAAATTAGACAAAGGTTGGTCTTCTGTAACTGCTTCCTGCTAACAGAGTGGTAGTGGTGGCTTGTCTGTTGGTCTTGGCCTCTTGTTAGCTGTCAAGGAAGGAGAGTAGCTCTGTGGGTTGGTGAAAGTGGTATCCAGCCAGGACCACGGAAGACAGGGGTAAGATAGATTTTACTTCTGACATGCCTCGCTAATGGACAACGTAGGCACACTGTGTAGAAGGGTGACTCTTGAATATTGAGAGGATAGTGTCCTTATTGAGAATCATTTGGAGCTTGATGGCATGAAGGTGAGAGAGACAAAAAAGGTTATTAGATTTAGAAGAATGTCAAAATGAAATAAGGGGGTGATTACAGCTCTAAAAAATTTATAGAATGCTGACATGCTCAGGTAGCTGGAAGCTACATTCATGGGGGGATGGGGTTGCTTGCCGATTCTAGTATGTGTTCATACTTAGAATATTGATCCAAATTTTTACATTATCCATCCCTCTTGTTTCTTCTGAGCTTCAGCCAGAGATCAGTGGTTGGTTCACAGAAATAAGCAGGGTTAGTTTAAACTGCTGACAAAAACTTGTGAACAACTGATGAAACTAGAATCTAAAAACAGGTATACCATGGTTCTTGAAACATAGTTTTTCTCTCTTTGGTCATCATTTTTTATTAAAAATAAGTCACGACAGGATTTATTTGTTTGCAAAATAAGCCTTAGTCTTATTATATTTGTCCAGATTATTTGCATAAAGCACAACAAGAGTAATTATTTTCCATGTAGCCTCCTTTTTAACTTGGCTTTGATGGAAGTTTGTTTCCTAAGGAATCTCAGATAGGACTTTTTTAAAGCCTTAAGCCCAGCCATGGGTTAATGCCATAAAATACCTGTGTAATTTAGGTAAATTCCTCTCCTCTTGAGATTCCATGATAACTTAGGGCCCCAGGGCCTGTTATAAAGTGATATTCTTAACTTACCATAGGTCAGGAGCCTGTGCTGGGACTGTGTAGACAAAGTATGAGGTCAGTTTTCCCAATGGGCTTTTATTGGCACTATAAGTCAGATTTAATTCCTTAAAAGAAAGCATGTCATTCCAGTCAAAATCTTGGTAAAATAAGTTTCTCAAATTGTGTCTTCTTGCAAAAGAAAATGGATTACTATTACACTTAAGTAAATAAATGTATTGCCATAAATTAAGAATACTCAGAAATAGTTTCCAAATTCTGGAGAAATCAGGTAGAGAGAAACAAATATGTTCCAAATTTTGTTTATAGTAGTCTATTCAATTGTTAAAAGCTGTAAATAGCTCAAAAGAAAAGTTTCTTGGCTTTGAAAAACAAAAGATTAGCAACATTTTATGCAAAACGTCATAAACGTATTATTTTAGTCTCCTATTGGTTAAGTATATGAAGTTAATGCTTATTCCGCTTGATATTCATGAACATTTCAGCTCTCCATGAGAGTCCTAAAAGTTTTTTTTTCTATTTTAATGTCATAATCTCCAAAGTTATCAGAACCTTGCATTCAAACACCTGTTAGAGCTCTATAGCTGATTATAGAGTCACCGTCTAAAGAGGATCAAAACAAGGCAATAATTGTCCATAGATGACAAAACATCTTAGGACAGCCACAGTCAAAAACAATTGACAAATATATTTGTTACTTCTGTGGCACACAATAATTTAACATAACAATTATAATTATTACTGATAACCTATACTAAATTATATCAGAATTATAAGAGTTTTGAGTAATTCTGGAACACCTAACAATAACATATTTATACAAGTACTGTCCAAAGAAACCCAAATGTTACCTTTGCATTAGTGTACTATTGATGTCAAACTCAACTCTTAACAAATCCTTATAGACAAATCTATTCAATTTTAATAAGTTTGACCATAAGGTATGATTCTCATACACCTCCTATAATCTTTTCTAATTTTCTGTTAAAGAACAGAACAATGCTCTAAGAAAACTGTGTTGTCAATAGCAAAAACATGAAATCAACCTACATGGCCATCAATAATAGATTAGACAAAGAAAATGTGATACATATAGCCCATGGAATACAGCCATAAAAAAACATGATCATGTTTTTTTCAGGGACATGGATGGAGCTGAATGTCATTATCCTTAGCAAATTAACACAGGAACAGAAAACCAAATACCGCATGTTCTCACTTCAAAGTGGGAGCTAAGTGATGAGAACACATGGACACATAGTGGGAAACAACACACCCTGGGGCCTATTGGAGGGTGGAGGGAGAGGATCAGGAAAAATAACTAATGGGTATTAGGCTTAATACCTGGGTGATAAAATAATCTGTACAACAAACCCATATGACACAAGTTCACCCATCTAACAAACTTGCACATGTACCCCTGAACTTAAAATAAAAGTTAAGAAATGTATTTTTATTCCAATGTTCAATATTGGATAAACTGAAGAGTATCTCTTTAACTTCAACTAATATAGTAACACACAGAATTTCTTTTATAAGATGAATCTTTTAAAAACTTTCCACAAGTTTCTCAACCCTTCAGCTTTATCCTATTTAACTTAAAACAATCCTTTAACCCTCTAAACTAGGCAAGAAAAATCCACATTCCCATGTCTTTTTATGATATTTTATCAAAAACACATTGTACTTTCCTTACATGCATTGCATGTAAACTGTTTTTTCCAGTAGTCTCAAGTACATGTTACACTGTTAGAACTTTTACTTTTGGTGAAAAATCTGCTAAGTAAATGACTCTAATTATATACTAAGTTTTCAGCGTAGGACACCAGACAGAAGTGAAGATAAGGCTTGACTCTTTCCAGCACAGCTGGGGGAAATGGCTAACTCTTTACGTTTCAGGCCTTAACTAGCTTTAAAGCAGGTAAATTGTATAGTTAAGAGTCGTAGCAGCAGTATATGCAGTATTTAGTAGGCCTAATAACCTTTAAAATTATGTAATATTTCTTTTATAAATTCCCTTTTACAATTTTGTTTATGACTTACACTGACCATCTGCAGCATGCTTAGACTTTCTGACTGGTCCTAAACATCTCTATTTTTAAACAACCAGTTATTTTACTTTAGGATATGAATTTACCATACAAGATCCTTTTTCATATGAAATCTGTCTTTAACAACATTCTTTACCCAAAATACCTGTTTACTTTTATAATCTTTAAGTTAGACAAGAGTCATTTTCCTCCTGTTAGGAAATTAAGGTTTGTACTGTGTGGTTCTGTGTTGACTCCTGTGAAGGGAGAGTAGATAAGGAGATAATCTATATACTCTAGAAGTTTCATCCCTCAAGAGATTGATTGGTTAATTTTTTGCTAGAGTTTGTCCAAATAAATGTGAAGTATTTCTAAACCCCTGAGGCAGGACCATCCAGGCTAAAGTTATTGGTTAACGTTTTTGGAATCTTCCCCAGGAAAAATACAGCTATTAGATGGAAAGGTGAATTCAGAGATTGGGGAAGCATTAAGCAGGTACCCACTTTGGAAAGTATATCTTGGCCCCAGAGAAGTGTGGGGTATTTAGACATTACTAGGGACTGGTAGGAGAATGGTAATTAGTTTCTTAAGTAATATAAAGGGGTGTGAATCTTTTCTTTTGGAGGGAGGGGGTTTGATTTGCTCCCATTACCAGACAGGATTTGGAAAAGACTTGCTCAGAGAAAGAGACTAGCACAGAGTAGGCAGCTCTTAAACCCAAAAGAGAAACTTATAATTTTACTTGCTGCTTTCAGAATTGCCCTTGACTTTGTCCTGTTGATGACAATGTCTAATTTGGAAGAAGGCTGGAGTGTAGAGCTCCTTCAATTCGAGGCCATCAGGGATTGGGATTCTGTCGCAGGGGCTCTTCAGCCCTCAGGACAGTCCCATTTCCAGTGGTTGAGCTTGTGGCAGAGGGGTCAAGCTGTGTGGGTCTTTTTTCCATTTATCCCACTGGGGCAGTTTGTTTTCCAGTGGCCTGGCTTCTCACATCAGTGGCGATTACCTGGAATGATATTCTGAGGGCAACCTGGAGGAGGCTGGAGAGCTTATAAATCAGCAAATAGTTGAGCCTGCCTCTTTCCATTTTACTTCTCCCTTTCCTGAGCCATTTTTTCTTCTTCATGCTCTTGGTGGTAAAAGACTGAGGAAACTATTTTGTGAATATCAGGCACAGGGGTATTGGGGGCCAGTGCTAGCTTTAGGAGTTTCCTCCTAACATCTGAAGCTGCCTGAGTTAGGAAATGGTCCTTTAGGACCAGTTGCCCTTCTGGTGTCTCTGGGTCTAAGTTAGTATATTTCACCAGAGCCTCTTGTAGCCTCTCTAGCAAAGCAGTGGGGTTTTCAAGAGGGCCTTAATCTATTAAGGCCAATTTATTATAGTTCACAGGCTTTTCTCTGTTAGCTTTCATTCCTTCAATCACACAGAGGAACATGTGGTTCCTTGCCCATATATCACCCTGGGTATTGTAATACCAATTGGGGTCAACCTGGGGAACTGTGGTGGCTCCTACAGGTAGCCGCCAGGGTCAGTCATATGCATTGCATTTGCCAATTGTTGGGCTGCCTCCATAATGGAATCATGTTCTTTCTTGCACAGTGTTTGCCCTAGTATGTCTGAGAGATCCCTCCAGGTCGGTTCAAATGTTAAGCCCAGTTTACAAATACCCTTCAATGTATCTGTCAAGGTCCTCCATAAACTTCCTTAGTTCCACGTTAATTGGGCTCAGGACTTGCATAGTGAATGTCTGGACTCTAGCGGGTCCAGTGAGGCCAGTTACGTCTTGAAGGAGATGGAGTCCAGAGGACAGCCCTGGGTAGGGCAGGGAAGGCTCCAGGGCTGAAAGACTTGGATATAATGAGGCAGAATTGGCAGTGGGGTTTGAATTAAGTCCTCCCTTGGTTCCTCTGAGGCTTGAACCCTGGGTAAACCCAATAAAGGGTCTGCTGAATGAACTAGAGGGGGCTGCCTGACTATGGCTGCTATCATTTCTGTCCACGTTCCTTGCTGGAGACAAAACAAATCTAGTTGTTAGTATTAAAATTCAGGCTTCCACTTTCAAGCCAAGATGCCTGGCCCCAGTGCTTATATTCAATCCATGCTGTGTTACAGAAAAATATTAAGCTTTTCATTTTTAGTGTTTGAGGATCACACTTTTCCCCAGTTCTTGAGGATGCATCCGAGGGGTGCGTCCTGTGGTATGGAGACCAAATTACCTATTTGCAAAGAGAGAACAGAGGACCAAAAAGAAAAAAGCAAAAGAAGGCATCTCTTCGTACTTTCCTATTATCCTGAATGGGGCATCTCTTATTCATCTTTAGGTTTCCAGAATGAATCAGTTTTACTGTACCCTTAACTTTGGTCCAATCATCACAATTACCCACTTGAGATCAGAGGAGACACCAAAGTGAACAGAAGTCCCTCTCCTTTTTATCCTTGGGGACCTGGAATAAACCAGTCTTACCATGTACCCCTAACATTGCCTTCATCTCTGTTCTAATCTGTTAGATGGGTCCCAACCTTCATCTCTGTCCTATGGGTCTCTTGCACCTGCAGCCTTGGGCTGTCCTATATTCTTGTCTCTGTGACCTTATAGTGACTCTCAATCAGAGCATACTAGCAACAGAATGATTATCTCTTTTGTCAAATTCCCATGTCTCGTGTTCTTTAAGTAGATAAGAAGCCTGTTTTTCAACTAACTGACACAAGGCAGCAGGATTCCCCAACCTTCAAATATGATCTTAAAGGTCTTGATGCATATTGAGAAGGGCATTGAAGTGATTAGAGGAATGGAGGGTACAGGAGGAAGTGGGAGAAAGCGAGAAAAATACTCATGGAAAGCCTTCATATGCTTGCAAAAATAGCAGCCCTTGGATTCCAGAGGGCAATGTTTATTTGCCCTCTTTACATAAAATAGTAACCTCTGGAGAACTTGAGGGTTGGGATAAGAACTCACAAATGGCAAAGAAAGAATTTTCCCTCTTCCCAAAGGATTACAAACTAAAAAAAAAAAAAAAAAGGAAGTTGGCAGAATCCTCAAAGGGCCAAAGAGTGAGGACCCATGCAGGCAAATAAATTGCTTCAAAAGCCACATGAAAACTTGGCCCATAATAGGAACAAAATGTATATAGTAAGGCATAAGGGGCTGGAGTTCCAATTAGCATCTGCATCATCTCTGGCCAGAATTTTCTCTATTGATTCTTAATGTTTATTTCTGTTTCTAAATTTGTACCCCACATATTCATACTCTATAACCAGCCAAAGTGATATTTATTTTCTTAAAATATTAAAATTTGAGCATAAATTTTTTTTAAAACTTTTTACTAGATACTTATTTTTCCTTAGAATGAAGAAAGCTTGAAAGAGTTAACACTCTAATCTTTTCAACAAAAACAAAAATCCAGACACTCTCTGAAATTATAATTATTTGAACAAATCAGAGAGCTTACAGGACAAGAAACTAACCTGAAATTTAAGAATAGACAAAAATCCAAGGAGAATCAGGGTACAAATACTTGCATACCTGGAGTCTATGCAGGAAATGATGTAAGTCAGTAAAAATAATTTAGGTGAAAGTTGTAATAAATTGCTAAAGCCTAAGTGTAGGCTAGCATAAGGGCATAGAAGTCCTAGGAACTGCAGACACAAGAGGGATTCACAGCCACTTGTAGAATTACATGAAAGATCAAGGGAAGGGTGAAATATGAGAGGAGATCTCAGTTATGACACAGGATGAAGGAAGGAGAAGAGCAGCAACAGAAAGCATCAAAAGGACAGAATCCTTCCTAGGACAGTTCTTCCCTCTCTCCCTTAAGGGAAGCCACTGGGAATGTACAGCATCCCCTATCACCCTCAGGCCAGAGGTAAAGACACATTGCTTCTAAGAAAGTAAAACAGAAAATTATTACCCTCTATCCATGGTGGAAATGCAGGAAGGCTTCAGGAGGCCAGATTATTAGAAAAATCTAACAGTGGGGGAGGACAAGTTTATTGAGAAAGCCCAACCTCAGCACCCACTGAGGATGAAGTAAAATAACAGCAAACACTACCCTGATTTCCAACTAACCAGCCTAAAGAGGGCCGAGTAACAACAACACTTACAGCTGGAAGATGGGAAATACATGAGTGAGGAAAAAAACCACACACACACACGCCACAAAAAGAAGACCTAAAGCAAGCTAAGGGGGCAATGCATATTTGTGAACAACCATCTGGCAAGTCAGCCTTACACTTAACACAAGGTTATATTACAAGAATTTGAAGCTTGTGGCACAAAGAGGGTAAACATAGCAACAAAAAGTCTAAGGCCAATTCAACTCCTGGCTAGATTGACTCAACCCAGGCACAAAAGGCCTAAGAAAGAAAAAAAGTGTCATTTCCAGGCATAAATGCCTCTAACTTGCTATTTTACACAAGATATTGGCTTTTATTAAAAAATTGTGAGACTCACAAAGAAGCAAGGGAAAAACCTCACGCAGTTAAATACAAAGCAGTTAACAAAACTGGACTGAAGTTAACAGAAATGTTTAAAATACCAGAAAATTTTAAATAATTGTTAGCAATATGTTAACAATCTTGGTGGAGAAGATAAGCAACACACATGAATAGAAAGGGAATTTGACAGAGATGGAAACTAAGAAGCAAATGAAAATGCTAGAAATCAAAGAGGGACAGATATGAATAACCTTTGATAAGCTCATCAGAGCCAATAAAATAAAAAAGTAAACTTGAGGGTGAGTCAATTATATATATTATCCAATGTAAACACTGAGAGAAAAGAGACAGAGAGAGAGAGAGAGAATGAAAGCAAAACAGAGCATCCAAGATCTGTGGTGCAATATCAATAGTCTAACATATAAATAATCACAATATGCACAGGAAAGGAGAGAACAGTAAGGATACATATTTAAAAACTATTGTGGCTTAGAATTTCCAAAGTTAATAAAATACATAAAAGCACAGATTCAACCAGTTGAGTGACACCAAGTAAAACAAAAACAACACACACACACACCCCCCTAGACAAATAATATTTAAACTTCTCCAAACTGATAATAAAAAGGAAACCATGAAAGTCACAAAGAACAAGGCCACAGCAAATAAAAATTAACAAAAATAATAAGTATGGCAGACCTCTTGTGACGTTATACACACCAGAACATGAGAATGAGATTTTGAAGCATTTTAATATTATTTTATAAAGATGCAATTAATTAAAGATATATAGTGTACACCAAACAAAAATTACTAACAAAATTGTAAAACAAGTATAAATAAGTGAATACTAGAGAAAAAATAATTTCATTATAAAATTCAATAAAAAATAACCTAATAAAGAAGGAAAAGAAACAAAGAGTAAACAGAATACAGCTCTACAAATGATAGACTATTAGACAATTATTACATTAAATGTCATCAGTCCAAACGTAACGGCATACCAATTAAGAGAGAGAACTTGAATAATTAGATTAAAAAACAGAACGCTCCCTTTATGTTATTTACAATAAGCCTACTTTAAATGTAGATAGGTTAAAATTAAAGTAATGGAAATGATATGATTCAAAAACCAATCTAGATAAAGTTGGCATGACTATCGTAGTATCCGAAAAAAAGAGACTTCAGAAAAAGAAAGATTATAAAGGATAAAGAAAAACAGATAAAGCTTCTCTTTAAAATGAAAAATTGATCAATTTGCCAAGAAGGTATAATAATAATTGATCAGAGAATGTCAGTTAGATTACAGTACAGTCCATCCTACAACATTGGAATACACATTCTTTTCAAAGACACACGGAACATTGACAAATCTATAAAACATTCAAAAGTCATAAAACAAACCTAAACAAATTTGAAAAATTCAAATTATACAAAAGTGTGTTCTTGGAACATAAATACCAAAGATATCTAGAAAATTGTCTAATATTTGAAAATTAGACAATGCACTTAAAAATAATCTATGGGTTCAAGAAGAAGTTACACTGGGGCCAACCTGAGGGAGAAGGGTGGGAGGAAAAAGAGATCCAGAAGAAAAAAATAACTGTCAGGTACTATGCTTAGTATACAGGTGACAGAATAACCTGTACACTTGCCCCAGAGTCACAAATTTACCTACCTAAGAAACATGCACAAGTACCCTTGAACCTAAAGTAAAAGTTAGAATTTTTTTTTAAAAAAGAATAAGTCAGAGGATATTAGAAACTACTTTGAATATTTTACAAAATATGCACTCATACACATATAAAAGATCTGAACTTTCTACTTAAGAAACTAAAAACACAAAGAAACAAATAATACAGAAAAAAGCAGAAATCAATAAAACTGAAAACATAAAAGAAATAGAGAAGTCAAAACAGCTAAAAGCTGGTTCTTTAAAAAGCGCAATATAATTGATATATCCTTAGCTACACTAACCAAGAAAAATAAAACATACACACTACAAATAATAGGAATAAATGAGGCTCGTTGCAGAACCTACTGTATTAGTCCATTTTTACACTGCTATAAAGATACTACCAGGGATGGTGTAATTTATAAAGAAAGGTGGTTTAATTGACTCACAGTTCGACATGGCTGGGGAGGTCTCAGGAAACTTACAATCATGGCAGAAGGTAAAGGGGAAACAAGGCATGTCTTACAGGGTGACAGGAGAGAGACCAGAGAGCACAGGGGAAGTGCCACACTTTGAAACCCTCAGGTCTCATGAGAAATCATTTACTATCATGAGAACAGCATGGGGAAAAACACCCCCATGATCCAGTCAACTCCCACCAGGTCCCTCCTTGGACACATGGGGATTACAAATCAAGATAGGATTTGGGTGAAGATACAGAGCCAAATCATATGATTCTGCCCTGGAGCCTCCCAAACCTCATGTACTTTTCACATTTCAAAACCAATCATGCCTTCCCAATAGACCCCCAAAGTCTTAACTCATTCCAGCATTAACTCAAAAATTCAAGCCAAAGTCTCATTTGATACAAGGCAAGCCCCTTCTGCCTATGAGCCTGTAAAATCAAAAGCAAGTTTGTTACTTCCAAGATACATTGGAGATACAGGCATTGAGTAAATGTTCCCATTCCAAAAGGAAGAAATTGGCCAAAACAAGGGGGCCACAGACTTCATGCTAGTCCAAAACCTGGCTTGGCAATCATTAAGTTTGAAAGCTCCAATATGATCTCCTTTGACTCCATGTCTCACATCCAGGGCATGCTGATGAAAGGGGTGGACTCCCACAAACATGGGCAGCTCTGTCCCTGTGGCTTGTCAGAGTACAGCCCCTGTGACTGCTTTCATGGGCTGGTGTTGAGTGCCTGCAGCTTTTCCAGGCACATTGTGCAAGCTGTCAGTGGATCTACCTTTCTGGAGTCTGGAAGATGGTAACCCTCTTCTCACACTAGCCAGTGCCCCAGTGGGGACTCTGTGGGGGCTCGAACTCAGAATTTCCCTTCTTCACTGCTCTAGCAGAGGTTCTCCATAAGGGCTCCATCCCTGCAGCAGACTTCTGCCTGGACATCTAGGCATTTCCATAAATCCTCTGAAATCTAGATGGAGGTTCCCAAAGTTCAATTCTTGTCTTCTGTGCACCTGCAGGCCCAACACCACATAGAAACTGCCAAGGCTTGGGAATTGCAACCTTAGCAGCAAGAGCCTAAGCTACACCTTGGCCCCTTTAAGCCACAGCTGGAGCTAGAGTGGCTGAAATGGGGGCACCAAGTCCTGAGGCTGCACAGAGGTGTAAGGCCCTCAGCCTATCCCACAAGACATTTTTTTTTTTCTTGTAGGCCTCTGGGCTTGTGATGTGATGGGCTCCCATGAAGATCTCTGAAATGCTCTGGAGACATTTTCCCCATTGTCTCACCTATTAACATACAGATCCTCATTACTTATGCAAATTTCTGCAGCTGGCTTAAATTCCTCCCAGAAAATAGGTTTTTCTTTTCTACCACATGGTCAGACTGCACAGTTTTAAAACATTTATGCTCTGCTTCCCTTTTAAACATAAATTCCAATTTCAAACTATCTCCTTGTGAGTATATATAACTTAATACTTTTAGAATCAACCAGGTCACCTCTTAAATGCTTTGCTGCTTAGAAATTTCTTTTGTTAGATACCCTAAATCATCTCTCTCAAGTTCAAAATCCCATAGATCTCTATGGCAGGGGCAAAATGCCCCCAGTCTGTTTGCTAAAACATAGCATGAGTGACCTTTACTCCGGTTCCCAATAAGTTCCTTATCTCCATCTGAGACCACTTCAACCTGGACTTCATTTTCCATATCACTATAAGAATTTTGGTCAAAACCATTCAACAAGTCTCTAGGTATTTCCAAACATTTGCACATATGCCTGTCTTCTTCTGAGCCCTCTAAACTCTGCCTATTTTTCCAGTTCTAAAGTAACTTTCGCATTTTCAAGTTATCTATATAGCAGTACCCCACTCCTGTTACCAATTCTCTGTATTAGTCCATTTTCACACTGCTATAAAGATACTATGTGAGACTGGGTAATTTAAAAAGAAAGGAGATTTAACTGACTCACAATTACACATGGCTGGGAGGCCTCAGCAAATTTACAGTTATGGCAGAAGGTGAAGGAGAAGCAAGTCATGCATGTCTTACAGGGTGGCAGGTAAGAGATAGTGAGGAAGGGCCACACTTTAAAATCACCAGCTCTTTTGAGAACTCATTCATTATCATGAGAATAGCATGGGCGAAACTGTTTCCGTGATCCAATCACCAACCATCATGTCCCTCCCTTTGAGATCAGATTTCAGTGGAGACACAGAGCCAACTATATCACCTACAGACATTAAAATAATAGTTTACTATTAAAGTACAAAAATACTAAAATACTTAAAATGGCTCTATGCCTGTTAAGTTTACAACTTGGAAGAAATGCAAAAGACACGGAAGGAATAGCCTGACTTGTCTCACTTTATAAAAAAAACCTAATAAATCATAGCTACTAAAGGAGTTTAATGCATCAATAAGACTTTCTAACTTAAGATTATATGGAATTACAGAAAAAATATATCAAAGGTCTAAGAAAGAAATATGAATTCTTCACAAAACTGTTTCAGAATACAGAGGAGGAGGTAACACTTCCAACTCATATTTGGAAGCCAATATTATCCTGATTCTTAAATTAAAAAAAAATATGAAAACTACTGACCAATGCTCTTCTTGAAAATAGTTGTAAAATAAACAATATATCATGACCAAGTAGAATTTTTTCAGAAAATTCAAGGTTGGATCAACATTCAAGAATTCATTATTGTAATTCAGCATATCAACAGACAAAAACAAAAACCATATCTTAATAAGTGTAAAAGAAAAAGTAACAAAATGTGTCATTTATTTATGCTAAATCCTTTCAGCAAACTAAAATAGCATAAAACTTCATCAATCTGATGAGAAAACCTACCACAAAAACCTTTTCAAACAACTACTATTAATTTTACCTAAAAATCAAGAACAAAGTTATATTTTATTCTTTTACCAGTTCTATCCAACATTTTCCTGAGTTTCTAGCAAGTTCAGTAAGACCAGAAAAAGAAATAAGATTCTATACAAATTGAAAATGTAAAAAGAAGGAAACTCTTTATGTGGAATAATATTTTAAAATATTTTTAAAAGCTAATAGAAGTAACAACTTTATAAAATCACAAAATGCAAGACCCATTTCAAAACTCTATCATATTTCTACAGACTAGTAATAAACAGTGGGTAATTAAAATTATAAAATAGAAAACTCGTGTATGCAATAGTATCCAAAACAATTATTATTTAAGTATAAATCTAACAAAATACAAGTTCTATACCCTAGAAAACACAAACCACCGATGAACGGAATCCAAGAATACCTAACTAAATGGAGAGTCATACTCTGTTCTTCTATTGTTAAAACATTAATTCTAGTACAAAAATACAGTTATACAGAAAAAATAAAATCTAGTGTTCAGTAGCCCAATACAGTGACTTAATTAATAACTTACTGTATATTTCAAAATTACTAAAGGTAAAATTGAGATGTTTCTAATATAAAGAAATGATAAATGCTTGAGGTGATATATATCACAATACCATGATTTAATCATTACACATTGTATGCTTGTATTGAAATATCATATACACCCCATAAATATATATATTACGTATCCATTATTAAAAACAATCGCACATAAACCTCAAACACATCAATTCTCTCCATCTGACCTATTGATTCAATGCCTTTCCAATCTAAATCTCAGTATATTCTTTTGTAGAATTGACAAGCTGATTCTAAATTGTAGAGAAACTCAAAAAATTTTAACAGGGAAAATACATTGAATGGGGAAAAAAAGGGAAAATCTCCACTACCTGAAATAAAGACCTACTATAAAATGATAGTGATAAAAAGAGTGTGAATTTGGGGAAAAGATGAAAATATAGACAAACGAAATACAATAGAGGGTTAGGAATAATGTAACACACATAGAGATAAATGATTTTAGACAAAGACACAAAGTCAACTTAATAGATTAAATAAAATTAGGCATTCATACTCAAATAAAACATATAATAATCATCAATTAATATATTGTAATACATATAAAAACTGATTCAAAATATATACTAGGTAATTTCTTAGGTCTTAGCATAAACATCACTGACTTTGAGGTAAATTCTTCTACTCCTAGATTTAAAGTAGGTATCCCTATTATATTTTGTTTCTTCATGTTTGTTTTAACACATCCTTTACCTAACTTGC
This sequence comes from Homo sapiens, assembly GCF_000001405.40. Lineage (NCBI taxonomy): Eukaryota > Metazoa > Chordata > Mammalia > Primates > Hominidae > Homo > Homo sapiens. Next base: position 60,287,479 of record NC_000012.12, on the reverse strand, counting down.
TTTTAGGTATTATTTTTTGTTAAGTCATGCATTAATATTTACTTTTCTCATTATAAATTCAATTTCAAATTAAGCCTCTCTTCATCTTTGGCCCTCAGGCATTTTTATGAAACAGTTTCCTTAACAGTGGGTTCTTTCCTTGTAAGTCTCCGTAACCATCCCTGAAGCTGAACAGAGACAGTGTGCTATTCTGACCTTGAAGCCCTGTGCTTCCCCAAGGGTCCAAGCTCTCTAGCAAAAAATAACAAGGTAAATACCTGGTAGATTACCATAATAACAGAAGAATAACTCTCATATACATAAGAAAATCTTTTCTATTCCCAGTAAGAAAATATATAGTAACATATAAATAAGATTGAAGGATATACAAGCCTAGAGATCAGACACACACTATACCAGCATACATGACTGCCTATGTAATTCCACTCACCTATTTGTTTATATTTTCCTCTACCACAGATATTCATTTTTATAAAAGCTTTAGATATATACATCACATGGCATAAAATTTACTCATTTAAATAATATAATTCAATGATTTTAGAATATTCAGAACTGTACAACAATCAGAAAATAAATTTCAGAACATTTTTGTAACCCTAAAAGGAAACCTGCAGTCATTTCTTTTTCTCTTTCATTGCCATACCCACAACTTTAGTCTTTATGCATTAACCTGTTCTAGACATTTTATATAAATATATACAATATGTAGTCACCTGAAACTGTCTTTTTTACATAAGATAATATTTTTAAGGTTCATCCATGTTGTAGCCAGGATCAGGACTTAACCTGCTTTTATTGCTACATAATATTTCATTGTATGGACATATCCCCTTTATAAATACATCCCTTTTATTTTTCTATTTGTTAGTTGATGGATTTTTGGGTTGTTTCCACTTTTTGACCATTATGAATGCTGCTGCTATGAACATTTATGTATAAGTTTTTGTGTGAACATATGCTTTCATTTCTCTTGATTATCTCTAGGAGTTGAATTGCTGGGTCATATGATAACTATATGTTCATCATTTTGAGGAACTGCCACAGTGTTTACCAAAACAACTACATCATTTCACATTCACACCAGTAGTGTATGAGGAGAATCAAGTTGTAAATACATTTACCAATACTTGTTACTATCTGCCTTTTTGATAGTAGTTATCCAAATGTGTGTAAAGTGGTATCATTGTGGTTTTGATTTGCATTTCTCTGATGTCTAATGATGACAGCATTTTTTAAATGTGATTAGAAGATGTTACATATGTTTTTTTGGAGAAATGTGTATTTACCTTTTTGTTCATTTGTAATTGTATTACTTTTCTTTTTATATTTGAGTTGTAATATTTCTTTATATTCTAGATGCTATAGTCTTTTTATAATGGAATTGTAGTACTTCTTTATAGTCTAGATACAAAGTCTTTATCAGATATGTGATTTTTGACTTTTTATTTTCTTTGAAACAGGGTCTGGCTGTTTTCTAGGCTGGAGTGCAGTGGTGCAATTATAGATCACTGTAGCCCTGACCTCCTGACCTCAAGCAATCCTCCTACCTCCACCTCCCAAAGTAATGGAATTACAGTTGGGAACCGCCACACCTGATCCACTTTCTTGATGGTATCTTTGAAAGACCTTTTAAAAAAAATTTCAAGATGTCAATTTATCACAATTTTTCCTTTAGTAGCTTGTACTTTTGGTATCATATGTAGGAAAACACTGACTAATCCATTTTCACATAGAAATATGCCTTTGTTTTTTTCTAAGAATTTTAGTTTTAAATCTTACTTTTAGGTTTTTGATCCATTAATTTTTGTATACAGTGTGAGGTAGTGTCCAACACTTTTTGCATAAGATATGCAGTGGTCCCAGCACCATTTGTTGAAAAAGGTGTTCTCTCCCCATCAAAATGTCTTGCAGGGATTCAGTACCTCCCCGACAAGATCAAGGACAAAAATATATACATTCAAATGCAAATAACCTATTTAATGATACTTTGGTTACGATGGTATTAGGTTACATATTCATAAAAAATTGATCTTATGGCTCCTTTCCAAACCACCTTTATCCATGTGCCTATAGTACGAAATATCCTCCCCTTCAATAAATAAAATTTAATTGCAGATGTCTGTGTTGGGAACAGGTGCCAAAATCTGGCCATAAACAGGCCCCCAAATCTAGCCATAAACAAAATCTCTGCAGCACTGTGACATGCTCGTGATGGCTCTGATGCCCACTCTGAAAGTTGTTGGTTTCCCAGAATGAGGGCAAGGAACACCTGGCCCACCCAGGGCGGAAAACCGCTTAAGGCATTCCTGAATCACAAAAAATAGCATGAGGGATCTGTGCCTTAAAGACATGCTCCTGCTGCAGATAACTAGCCAGAGCCCATCCCTTTGTTTCCCATTTTAGTTAATCTATAATCTATAGAAACAATGCTTATCACTGGCTTCCTGTCAATAAATATGTGGGTAAAACTCTGTTACTGGCTCTCAGCTCTGAAGGCTGTCACCCCCGATTCCCACACTGCACTCTATATTTCTGTGTGTGCGTCTTTAATTCCTCTAGTGCCGCTGGGTTAGGGTCTCTACGACCATGCCGAGCTGGTCTCGGCATGTCTGTTAATTTGCTGTTTAATATAATACAAGTAAAATAGTTCATTTACTTTCAATAAACTTCTAAATTAAATAATAGTCATATTAAAGCAATTTTCTTATAGTTTCATAGGAAGTATGAAATTTAAAGTGGATATTTATTGTCTCTGTCCATCACAGTATGTAGCTCAAGGCCCTACTTTTTAAAATGAAAATACTTCAGAAAATGTAAAATTAAATAAACTGCTAGAGCCAGCAGAAAGTAAAAGAGGAAAGATAAAATATAGTAAAATAGTTGGCAAGTCCCTGTAAATTTGCAGCATTCAGAGAACTTCCCAAATTAAAAGTCATGGTCTTAGGATGAAACATCTGTGACAACTCACTTTTTTTTTTTTTTTTTTTTTTTTTTTGAGATGGAGTCTTGCTCTGTTGCTCTGTCAGCAAGGCTGGAGTGAAGTGGTATGATCTTGGCTCACTGCAACCTCTGCTTCCCAGGTTCAAGCAACTCTCCTGTCTCAGCCTCCCAAGTAGCTGGGACTACAGGCACATGCTACCACGCCCAGCTAATTTCTGTATTTTTAGTAGAGACAGGGTTTCACCATGTTGGTCAGGCTGGTCTCGAACTCCTGACCTCAAGTGATCCACCTGCCTCGGCTCACTCGGCAGGCACGAGCCACCATGCCTGGTCTAACAACACAATTTTTAAAGAGCATTAGTTCAGAGCTTTGTGGATATTTATATCTTCTACACAAATTACATCTTTTGGTATCAAAAGTCAATCATCAAAATATACCACAGATACGATTCCTTTTGAAAAACAGATTGTTTAAAATAGAATTGACTTCTTCATTATTTTTATAAGCAAGAGAAATATTCTCAGTACAAAGACATTTCCTGAGCATATTGAAAATAATTTCTATCTGTATAAGAATATCTGCTAAACATTAAAACCTTAAAGAATTAGGTTACTATTGACAATACATAAGACTATTTAAGCTTTCACAATATTCCCAAATGACCCAGAACTAATTTTAATCTTTTTAAATAGGTAAGATATTCTTTCCCCAAAATTCTTAAATTGTTTAATTTTATAGTGTTTATTGTTTTCATACTAAATCTCTGTGGTGGGCAGAATAATGTCCTCCAACAATATCCATGACATATTATATATCACCTTATATGGCAAAAGAGAGTTGCAGATGTGATTAAGTTTAAATAGAGACCTTGAGTTGGGGAAATTTTCTAAGTGGACCCAATCTAATCACATGATTCTTAAAAGAAGAGGGAGGCAGAAGAGTGGGCTGGCATGATAAGCCATGAGAATAAGGTCTGTGAGCCAAGAAATGTGGCAGTCTCTAAAAGCTGGAAATGGCCTTCCACCAACAAGCAAGAAACAGAGATCTCAACCCTATAATTGCAAGGAACTGAATTCTGCCAAAGCTGAATGAGCAAGGAAACAGATTCTTCCCTTCATATTTATTTGAATAATGTGAAATATCTATTGTTTCATTGACTCCATTCTTTGTGTGAATGTCTTCCTATATTTACCAAATGCATTTTATGAATATGAAATATTTATATACACATACATATGCCTCCTTATCTTCTGAATCATTCTAAATATGTTTTAAAGTCACTGGGTTACAGGAGTAACTTGCTGTGGTCATTCTACCAAGCGTTTTCTTGTAAGACATAATTGCCTTACCTGTAGATATTTCAGATTAATCCTAATGGTGATGGCAGTGGTGGCCCATCTAGAATAGCCGCTGCCATGACGCCAGCTGCAGGAGGGGGAGGTGTGGCCAGGGTTCCATGTTCCAGGGAGCTGGTGGGAGCCAGGAGCTGGCAGGAGTCCCACCCTCCTGGGTGTACCTGCAGCCACCCAAGTCATGGCTGACAGATTAGGACCCAGGCCTCCCTGTGTTCCTAGGAGCTGGGAGCAGTCAGCAGCCCCACCTTCCTGAGCATAGCTGCAGCCACCCAAGCCATGGCTGCAGACCTGGGCATCTCTGCATTTTCATGGTCCTGAGGAGGTCCCCCCTGCCCTGCAGGTTTAGAGGTGTCTGTTCCCACCACCTGGCCTCTCCCTACTCTCAGTGCCCACTCCAATCTCGGAACAAGATTGGGGTCCAGCCAGGAAGCTGCTGCAGCCTAGCTGGGTGTGTGCACACTCAGAGCAGCTGCTACTTTGGCCCCTGCTACTTTGGCCCCCTGTGGACTTTGGGCACCAATGAGCACAAGAGGGAGGCCGAGGGCAACTGGCACAGGCCTGCAGGTGCCCCTTGGCACAAACAGCCTGGGTGACAGGAACAGCAGCAGGAGGCAGACAGGCTCTGGGGCGGAAAGGGCAGCTCCCTGGTGAAGCCCCACCTCCAAGCTGTGAATGCCTGAAGCCTAGGGCCTGTGCTGCCAGTCCTATAGAGAGAATTTGGAACTTGGTGCTTTGTCCAGGCCTGCCCATGGTTGCCCATGAACCAATTAGCAAACACTTCCTCCTCTCTGAAGCCCATAAAAATCCTGGACAAGCCAGACTTGAGGAGATGACAGGATGATCAGCTGCGGAGAGGAGCTAACCACCCCACCAGGGTCTCCTCTCTGCTGAGAGCCGAGCAAACATTGGGACTACTAGCTGTGGAAAGGAGCTACCCACTCCAGGGTCTCCTCTGTGCTGAGAGCTGAATGCTTATTAGGCCACCTTGCAGAGAGGAGCCACCCAATGTGTGTCTCTTCTGAGCTGGTCTTTCACTCAATAAAGCACCTCTTCTCCTTGCTCACCTTCTACTTGTCCATGTAGTTCATTCTTCCTGGACACAGAACAAGAACTCAGGACCTCCTGAATGGTGGGGCTAAAAGAGTTATAACACAAACATGACTGAAACATGCCCCTTGCTTGCCAGGTTGTGGGTGACAAGAAGGAGAGAAGAAAGAAGCAGAGAAGAGCTGCAGCCCTTTGGGGATCTCAGGCCTAGTAGCTCCGCAAACGAGGGTTGTGACACCCTCCTTGGTGCTCTGTGGTTCCTGGAATCCACAAGCTTCCAGGTACCACAACATTCCCCAGTGCCAGCCGTGGAAGCTGCTTGTGGTACGCCTGATCCAGCCATGGCCTCATAGGGAGCTGGCACCCATTCTGTTGCCTGGAGCTGCTGTGCCAATGTAACCAGTGTGCCTGGCTGTGCACAGTGGCCAGACCCCATGCTCGCTCACCCACCCTTCGCCAATCCATACCTGACTCACCCATGGCAGGCATGCAGTCCAGGTCGGTAACATCAGCTGAGTGCAGCCTGCTAGGCCGAGTGGATGGAATGAGCCCAGCAGGCCAGAGTAAAACTCAGGCAAAGGTACCACTGGCCACAGAGGTTTCTGGCTGGCAAAGCGACACCCCAAGGATCCTGTAACATAGTGTGGGTAAAAATCATATAATGCTAGAAGGAATTTGGTTATAAAGAACAGGCATTTATTTTCTCTGTGGAAACATATCTCACACAGCTAGAGACTCAAAGCAGATAAATCAGAGAAGACTTGTAAAATTATGCTATAAGGCATTTCTTCCATTAGGGATACTTGATATAGCTTGAGAAAACCAAATATGTAATTTATTTGGTTTACTGTAGGATCTAAATTTATTAATTTAGTGTAGGATCTTACTATACAAGTAAAATTTTTAAGCTTGCATGTCTGGTCTTTATGTTCCATTTGTTTTGTTTTCCTGTGTATTTTTGTTGGCAGTATGAAGGTCTATTTATAGTTCCATTAGTCTTCTTCTAATGTTATTAAATGTTGGCTGGTTCTAAATGGTCTTTAATTATCCCTCAAATTATTTTATCATGGGGTCCTCAACTAACTTGTTATGTACAAACTTTTGTGAAATTAATATATGATTTTCTATGCAAGAGTTAGGTATTTTAATAAATTTTTTATCCCAGTGGTATTATATGGAATGGCTGAAACAAAAATGTTTTGCCTAAAGTTGGTTTTTTGGTAATACAAGATTTAAAAATAAAAAAAGAGTTAAGACTCCTCTTCAGTGAACTAATAAATGAAGGATGTAGACAACAGACTGATGTTGTTTTTACTTTCCTCGTCTTGTTCTGAGAGCCTTTTTATACACTGCTTTGATAGAAGGTTTGGAGATTTAGGCTAAGTCAAAATTAGGTGAAAATTTTGCATATTTAAAGTGGAAAAGAGATTGAGGAGTTAAAAGATACTTGGTATTTGAAGTAAAAACAAAAAAATTCAGAGGAACTGTATGGCTATTCAAATTTTTACCTCATTTTCTTTTATGTGGCATAAAGGATCTTAGAAGTGATTTTAGGGACTATCCAGTATAGACGCACCAAGGCACTGGGAGGTAAGGGATAGTTCAAGAGCATAAAGCTAGAGATTGAATGAGTTTTTGTCACTCCTACTTAAGTATCCTTTCTTTCCTTGCAAAACATTGACTTCCTATGTATGATATTGCACACATTTCTAAGAACGAAGAAGAGGAATCAAGGAAAATATTTAAATACAGTTTTTAAAAATAATAGCCACTTACTGTAACTGAAAGGATAGAAGTCGAATTGTAATAAAGAATATGTTTTTAAAATCACATTTATTCTTAATAGGACTTTGACAAATGACCTAATAATATTTCTTTCTCCATGCTTTATTCTAACTCAGTTTGTAATAATAAACCCTTCCTAAATGCTTTATCCCCAAGTGGTATAATTGACAATTGTTCATAAAGTTTGTGAATTTTATAGCTGTAAATTGCTACATATGCATAAATTTTACTAAAAATATTTTTGTACAAAAACTCATATGTGGCCAGGCATGGTGGCTCACGCCTGTAATCCCAGCACTTTGGGAGGCCGAGGAGGGCAGATCACCTGAAGTCAGAAGTTTGAGAGCAGCCTGGTAAACATGGTGAAACCCTGTATCTACTAAAAACACAAAAAATTAGCCAGGCATGGTGGTGCATGCCTATAATCCCAACTACTCAAGAAGCTGGGGTAGGAGAATCCCTTGAACCTGGGAGGCAGAAGTTGAAGTGAGCCATGATCATGCCATTGCACTCCAGCCTGGGCAACAGAGTGAAACTCCGTCTCAAACAACAACAACAACAACAACAACTAAAAAAACCCTCATCTTTTTTAATGGCTATTTAATTGTAGCATACTGCTTACAACCTTAGAGGGCAACAGAGCTATTCAACAACATATTACTTGGAGCTTCAGCTGGTTACAGACCATAGGGTTGGCAGATTGGCTTGATTTAGTGTGTGGCATATTTGTGTCTTCTAATATCCATGCAAGCTGATAATAGAAATATACTTCAGCTTCTCCTTTTGATGCTAGGAGATATACATAAGTAAAAGCATGTGATGGATAAAAAGAGAAGTACACGCAGGAGAAATGGTATGCTTATTTCTTGAGATTATCCATGCTGCCTCTGCCTGAAACTGTTGAGCCTAAGAGTAAACACCAGGAAGTGAATCATCCTGAAGGAAAAAGTAAGGAAAGGACTACAATGCTGGCATTTTGGTCATTTTTCTAAGTTACTGTGTGGAGGATGCTGAACTGTTGAATTGTGCTAACTCCTACTGACAATAGTGGGGGTAGGGACAGCACAGACTAAAAGAAAATGTCCATTCTATATAGGAAATCTCACAATTCCCCACTAACTCTTTAAGAATCAATAATACCAGCATTAGTATCTCACAAAGTACAGAAGAAATTTCAAGCTATATCAACCACCAAACATTTATCCAGGATTCTCATTTTCCAGGTCTTACAGTAATAATTTATAAATAACAAGTTTATTTCTCATTCCACACATAGTGTAATATGGGTCAGGTGCAGAGGTGAGAGAGAGTGTCTCTGCTCCATGCAATCATTTGGGACCCAGGTTCATTCCACCTAATGATTTGCCTATCCTGTAGCCTTTAGTGTACTCCACTGGAAACTCTGTACCCCATTAGCCAATGACCAAAGATAGAGACTTTTTAGAGAATATTGAGGGACATTTTAGTGGCCAACTGCTTCTGTTCACTTTTCAATGGCTAAAGCTGGGTCATTTGACCCCATATCGATGCAAAAACACTGGGAATGTGTTCTGGAAGTTTTATAACAAAAAGAGACTATTGATAGTGGTAAGTCACTCTCTGCTACAGTAAATACCATTACATTATGCAAATAAAAATTAGCTCATGAGTAGTTTCCATACTTAGAGGCTATCCTCTATGTTCTCTTGGATCCTGTATTTCATTACTAAAAATATTCTAAGCAACACTGTAATTCTCTGCCATACACTATCACTAAAATCAGTGATATGGTTTGGCTCTGTGTCTCCACCCAAATCTTCTGTCAATTGTAATTTCCAGTGTTAAAGGAGGGGCCTGGGGCGAGGTAATTGGATCATTGTGTTGGTTTCTAATGGTTTAGCCCCATCCCCCTAGTGCTGTCCGGTGACAGAGTTTTCACAAGATCTGGCTGTTTGTCAGTGTGTAGCACCTCCCACTTCATTCACTCTCTCTCCTGCTCTGCTGATGTGAAGACTGTACCTGTTTCTCCTTTGCCTTCTACCATGATAGTAAGTTTCCTGAGGGCTCCCCAGCCATGCATCTTTTACAGCTTGCTGAACTGTCAGTCAATTAATTAAACCTCTTTTCTTCATAATTTATCCAGTCTCAGTTCTCTATAGCAATATGAGAACGAACTAATGCAGTCAGTATTTACACTCTTTTAAAATCCTGTAAGAATCAGCTGCAATATTTTGCTTAATAATTTAAACACATTGTGGCACTGTTAATCTACCACCAGTTCAAATATTACAGGTAGTTACTTCAGCTATCCCTGAAGACTTAGTTGAAAATTTTCCTTGATAACCAGATTTTTAATCAAGGAAATAAGGCATATTTAATTATGCACATGGGCTGTGCTTTAAATAATTCTTATTAATTGTGTGCTTCACTTCCTAGCACATAATTCAGGTGTGACATGGCAGATCCTCCTTTAACCAATGCTTGCTTAGATTACAACCAGAGACAGACTCAATCCAATTAGCAAACTCATCCTCATGTGAAAAGTGAAAAGCTGCTGACAGTTGCAAAGATTTCCATTAGTGATTTTCTATCACTGTGTTCTCTAACAATATCCCGCCACTGGTACTGAGGTGTCACAAAAGGCCAGCAAAGAGACAGTGAAATATACTTGAATATAATAATGTTGCTTTTTGATGGAAGGAAAGACTATAATCTCACAAGGACCTACAGTACAATGTTGAAGATAGATAGTCCCTTGAAACATTTTGTTAAAAAATGTTGCCCCCAAACTCTATTTTTGCTGCTGTTGGAAATATTAAAAGTGGTGTAAAGAAAAAAAGTTTATAAGAAAAAAAAAAACCCAGTGAAGAAGAAAAATGTGAAATAGCCTGGACTTTTATAAATTCTACTTGAATTTACATTTCAATGTGAATGCTGGATACTTGTGGTGTGATTTAGTCTTAATTACATTACTAAATGAGTTGTTTTTGGTAGGATAAGGTATGCATATTGATATCTTGCAACATTAAATATGATACCCCATTTCTAGAGAAAAAAGAAAATTCACAGCAGGAATGTCTGGTTCCTCCCATTATAGTAGTCTTTGTGATATGTTTCACAACCATTATCAGCTCAAGACAGGCTGGGAAATGAGAATCCCTGCTTTGCATTTAATATCAAATACTACTTATTTAACCTGATTCTGTCATACATCCACAAGAAAATGTGACCTCCACATTGCATTTTTTTAAATCTAAGAATCTGAATTTAATATCTAGCAAATATGTTTGAGAGAGACTTCCAAAAATTGAAAATGGATATCATGGCATTATTTTTATGCTTTTTTGTGCTTTATAACCCTCCTCTTCTACTTGACCATCTTCTATGATAGTGGAGTAAAAGTCATGAGGTACACCTCTCTTTATTTAAATATATAGTTTTTCACTAAATAATATTGAGCATTCTGGGTATACTCATTTTTTAAAAAACTGTGCGGATTGTTTTCTTCCAGGCAGACAGTTGTGAATAGAATAGAATTCTGCTCAGCATTCTATTATATATTTTCAATAGTGTCACTCTCAGCACCCAAATAATCAAAATGACAAAAACACTAGGTAATACTTTGTACTAGATATTAATGGCAGGAAAGGTATAATATCTACTATAATATAGTTGTATACAGATTGATAGATGATCATATATAATTTTGTATGCTCATATATAAAATATAATTATATATTATAATCATGTAAAATATATATTTTATGTAAATATATAAGTAATAATCCTACTTCTATTTGATCATATAATATTAAGTATAATTGTTGCTCTCTATCAGTATCTCAAAGCTTTAAAGTGAGTCCAGCAATTTTCTTGAACTGTCAGAAGACCTTATTACAATGTTAAAGCTACTAAATTAATCATAATAGCACTATAAGGATTGGCAAGTTGGAATTGATGAGTAAATAATTGCTGACCGGGTGTGATGGCTCACGCCTGTAATCCTAGCACTTTGGGAGGCCTAGGTGGGCAGATTGCCTGAACTCAGGAGTTCGAGACCAGCGTGGGCACCACGGTGAAACCCCATCTCTACTTAAATACAAAAGAAATTAGCCAGGCATGGCTGAATGCACCTGTAGTCCCAGCTACTTGGGAGGCTGTGGCAGGAGAATTGTTTGAACCTGGGAGGCAGAGGTTGCAGTGAGCCAACGCTGCTCCACTGCACTCCAGCCTGGGTGACAGAGCGAGACTACGTCTCCAAAAAGAAAAAAAAAATTGCTATCAGTAATTGAGATCACAAATACCATTTTAGGGATGAAACTAACCAAAAATTATTCTGGGTGGTACAATGCCAAGCACAGAAAGGAAGTCTCCATGAAGGCAGTAAATTAATTTTACAAACAATAATACAGCAAATATAACTTTCGTTCTTTGTGAGGCTAATGGGTATCATTTAGTTTTTCCATGGATGCCTAATCAAATGATCCAGAGAATTATATAAAACTATTACCTAATCAAAATGCGAAATGCATTGATGTGTGATGCAATTAAGACATAAATTCTGAGTATATTAATTAAATAGAATTGAAAATAAATATGATTTTAGGGTCAAGTCCTTCAAAACCTGAGTCAGTCCTAAAGTTTAATACAGCATATTTTCAATGATGATTTTAGCAGTTAAAACTCTATGAAGTTCAAAATATTAATCTACATACCCAATATTTTCTCTTGATTGAAGAGAATGATACAGAAGTTCTTCATTACCCTTGAAAAAATGTTATCTGTTTCCAAAATATTAAACCAATTTAGTTTTAACTGCATATGTTATTGGTTTATGTAAGAACTTACACTGTATTGTAGAACTTTCATTTTTACTATAATTAGCAATTTCCATAGAGTGATATAAAGTTGCGTAAATGATACAAACTTTAAATAAATACAGCTAAGAAAGTTAAGGTTCTCTAATGACAAAAATTCACAGGAAATACAATCTTATCTTTATTTTAAATCTTTATTTTACTCTAGTTTTTTATTCAAAGCAAAATATTGTTCTACTACATAAAATAAAATAATGCTAAGAGAATTCATCCATGCACACAAACATTAACATACAATAAAACAAAATTTTCTTCCCATGAACAGATAAAGGATCATTTACTCTCTATCCCTTCATAGATTACTTGACACTATGGGAACTAGTCTATTATAACACACATTTGAAAGATCTCTCAAATAGGTCTTAGGGTGGAATTAAGAGGAAGTACAAGGCCAAATGAGATGGAGAACTATAGCCATAGAATTATAAAATTTGGGTAAGAGGTTTAGACATCATCTTCCTTTAGAATTAACCTTGAGATACTTACAATTGTGCTGCATAAGATAATTTTCGGTGGTATATTAGTGACATTTCAATTTTAATAGTTATGTATTTATTTTATATGAGTTAAAAATGTAACTGGCACAACAAACTTGTATTTTATGAAGATATTTTTGGAAGAGGCTAAATGTTACATGTATTGATGTCAATTTGGCTTAAAGAGACCCTAGCAAAAGCACAAGAGATGCCTTCTTTTGGCAACATCCTGGAAGGAAGAAAACAAATGAGTTGACTTGTGATACACTACACTGAGGGAAATAACACACATGTATCAGTAAACACAAATGATACTCAACGATGTGAAACAGATGTGTATGTTTTAAAATTAGTGTAGGTAAATGTAAACTTTACAAGTACCTGAGGAAGAAGAATACAGAGCCTTAAAATAAAACAGCATTATGTTCCATAATTCTGCATCCCATTTGGGCCTGTACTTCTTCTTAATCCCACTCTGATACCCGTCTCAGACATCTTTCAATGCGTATTATAAAAGACTAGCTCTCATAGTGTCAAATAATCTAATTCTGGTTTTCTTTGCTAATATGTATTGTATTTTAACATTTCAAATTGTATTAAGAGAAATGGCAAAGAAAATTTGGGAAACATTGGAATAAGAAGAATTACAGTAAAACAATGAAATGTCAATGAGAAATCAATGGAAAAATAAAATATATTTGAATACTTACTTCTGGTAGACATATTTTAAATAGAATTTAGAAGAATGTAATCAATAATAACTACTTCTCTTCTTTGCATTATTTTGAAAGTTAGAGAGATAACATATAAAATCAATTTGCATTTCTTGTTTAGATTCAGGCAGAAAAAATTTAGCGTTTTTATTCATCCTAAGTATTTCTTAATCTTTGGCCATGTTTCATTTGTTCAAATATGAATTGACTTACATATTCCCAGTTGTTGAAATTTTTACAGTAGAGCTTAACATATATTTGACTGCCTTGAAAAATATAGAAAACACTTTATAATGAAAGGTAAAGTTATAACGATAACTTTATATTGAAATGCCAAAATGGCGAAATATGATGGAGATATCAACTGAAAAGAAATAAAGTAGATATCACATTATTTGGGTAAAGGGATGAAGCTATTTTTAGAAACCAAAGTTTTCACCAAAGCACTTACCTATGAAAAAAGCCATTCCTACGCTCCTGTGTCTTTACTGATGCTTTTGATTCTGCTTAGAGATCTTACTCCCTTTACTTAGCTGCTTGGTAAATTTCACTCATCTTGCCTTTGAAGACCCACATGAAATAACGTTTTATGCATTTTATTTCCAAACAATCTTTGATCCATTTATTTCAGATTTATCTCTCCTTCATCTGTACACTCACAGATGTTTGCCTGTTATTTGATTGTAATATTAACCACAAAGCATTTCTATTTATTTATGCCTGTCTACTTAAATACCGTTTGAGATCCTCAAGGGCAGAACACGGTTTCTCTAGTAGAATTCTCTAGGTTCAAAATTCTAGTCAGCCTCTTACTAGCTCGCTGACTTTGACAAGTTATGTGAATCTATATTTTTCTAAATTGTAAAATTGGGATAATAAAACCAATTTTACATGGTGGTGGCAAAGATAGATTTAGAGAAAATGGATAAACTGCTTTACACAATACTGGGCATAAAATATATGTGACCATGTAGTCACATATTTTTCTTTTTCTATTTATTTGACATTTTGTTTACTTTCCATTGTTAAGGATAATGTGGAGTATATAAAAAACAAAACAGAGTACAATCTCTTGTTAAATTAAAATAATGTTGCTAGAGATACACTAAGCAGATATGTAAGAAATGTCAGATGAATTTCTGACATTTTAAGTTTTGAGAAAACTGTTATAATCACATACAAAGAAAAAAAGCCATTCAATGTACATAGTTATAAAAATAAATGGCTTACCTCCTGAATATTTTATGTATTCAAAATTACTATAACTTTGTTGCTAAAGACATGTTGCAGAAGCAATGTCATACAATAAATTGATTTTTCCTTCTATTTTATTGACAATTTTATAATTTACCTTTTTTGTTTGTTTGTTTTCTCTTTTTGGGGAGCCATATTTCTTCCTTTTCAATGTTTACCCACTTTCAATACATTTTATTTTCCCTTGCTAGTTAATTCACAAAATTTCTCACTGAAGTGTTTTATATAATAAAATCATAAATTGAGCTGGGTAATTATATGTGCATATTCTGGACATTTCTGGATTTGCATTACAACTATTGGAATAAAATTCATGGACTAATTTCTTCATTTTTCACCTGTTCAAATCAACATAATCAATATTTTTCAAATTTGTTTCAGGATAAATCAACATTGCACATAAGTCAAGGTGTCAGGATACAACAATGGCAAATCAGACTAAGAACTCTGAAGGTGAAATCGCTTACTAAAATGTTATTTTTTTTGTTACAGCTGCTAATTTTATTTGGAATAGTACAGATATTGGTAACCTAATGTTGATGTTTCTGTAACAAAAAATGACAATTAAAAACCCTAAAAAAATGTGATATCAGCTTAGGAGTTCATCACTAGGCAGAGAGAAAACTTGTAACAGAGTTGGAAATTTGGAGACAAAATATCTTCATTGGTAAAAGTGTCAGATATTCAAGAGTGACCAGGTGCCCTCTGAGAGTAAAGCTAAATGGAAAGACATTGAGAAACACTATTTTGAAGCATGTATTTACTGCAATTGTCTGAGTCAACAGGTATTAGAGAAAAATGATGATCTCTGACAAGACTGACCAAATTTGCTTGCAAATACCAAAAGCTAATAGAAAGAATCTAGAAATTTGGGGCCTCAAACGTTTGAATAGTCAACTGATTTTAGACCTCAAAAAGTAAGAGATGCAATTGGAAAAGCTATTGGATGCATAGGACCATTGGGACCTACACTTGTGGCAAAGATCAGATTAAGAATGTGACATTCGGCCGGGCGCGGTGGCTCATGCCTATAATCCCAGCACTTTGGGAGGCCAAGGCACCCGCCTTGGATCACGAGGTCAGGAGATGGGAGACCATCCTGGCCAAAATGGTGAAAACTCGCCTCTACTAAAATACAAAAAATTAGCCAAGTGTGGTGGTGCACTTCTGTAGTCCCAGCTACTTGGGGGTTGAGGCAGAGTAATCACCTGAACCTGGGAGGCGGAGGTTGCAGTGAGCCGAGATCGTGCCACTGCACTCCAACCTGGCGACAGAGCAAGACTTGTCTCAAAAAAGAAAAAAAAAAAAGTGACCTTCATCCAAACTTGTTAATGCAGGCATCCTCAAAGTCATCTATTATGTAAACAGAAATAACTGAAGAAGTTAAGAAACATAAATAAAACAGTTTCAGAAGTATCCCTGGAAAGGATTTTTGGTGTGGTTATTAGCTGACAGAACTGAACTGACTAGAAATAAACAAAGCACAAGCCTGTAAGGTTTTTGAGAGAGTTATGTTGCTAAATAAATTATTGACTAAAATAAACCTTTGAATATTTGAGTCCTAAAAACAACCCTTTTGCAGTTATAGTAAGCCTCCAAAAGTGTGGTTGTCCCCAATACTTACCTCGAACATGTCTATGGAGGATGATGAACAAGAAAAACTTTTAAGAGCACTGAGTCTGTAACACGAAGGACAACAGAGAGAGGAATTTCTATTATAAATCAAAGTAAATCAAAATAAATCAAACCTAAATCAAAGTAAACACAAGGAACTTTACTCACTGCCATAAAAGCAGGATCTACTACAGGAGTTCATCATTGCCATGGTCCAGCGGTACTGTGTTTTCTTCCCATTCTTCCCAGTAAAAGCCCTTGCTGCAATTATGGTTTACCTCTTCCACCAGTGGACACTCATATATGTGTGTTTGTAGTAGAATAAAATGGAGACAGATAAATTGACTTCTCATTTATATGGCATCAGATCACACGAGGCTGCATTTCAGCCTGGAGATAAGTACATACAGTTTAGATTTCTTAATGCTTTGAGCTGAATTAAGTAACTATGGGGTTGCTCATCTGGGGAAGAGTGTGAGAATGTTCTGGACTTGGGAAATACGTGCACATTATTTTCTGGTGGCCTGAGTGGAAGACTTCCAGAGATGGCTTGCTGTTCACCAAAGACTTTTGCTCTTTTTTCTCTGCTGTATCTTGGTGGGATGTACCTTTCTAGTCAACGATTACTTTTTCCAACTCTTATCGCATTTGAGGAAAGATGAATAATGTAGGCACTTACTAAGAAGAGAAATCATAAGAGAAAAAATAGTGGTATTGTGTCCGGAATTGGTGGGTTCTTGGTCTTGCTGACTTCAAGAATGAAGCCCGGACACTTCTGGTGAGTGTTGGAGTTCTTAAAAGATGCTGTGTTGGGAGTTTGTTCCTTCTGATGTTCAGATGTGTCCAGAGTTTCTTCCTTCTGGTGGGTTCATGGTCTCACTGACTTGAGGAGTGAAGCTGCAGACCTTCTTGGTGAGTGTTATAGCTCATAAAGGCAACTTGGACCCAAAGAGTGAGCAGCTGCAAGATTTATTGCAAAGAGCAAAACGACAAAGCCTCCATAGCGTGGAAGACGACCCCACCGGGTTGCCACTGCTGGCTCGGGCAGCCTGCGTTTATTCCCTTATCTGAGCCCACCCACATCCTGCTGATTGGTCCATTTTACAGAGAGCTGATTGGCCCGTTTTGACAGTTCTGATTGGTGTGTTTACAAACCTTGAGCTAGACACAAAGTGCCGATTGGTGCATTTACAAACCTTTAGCTAGGCATAAAATTTCTCCAAGTCCCCACCTAACTCAAGAACCCAGCTGACTTCGCCTAGTGAATCGCCCCGGAGGGGCCGCGGGCGGAGCTGTCCGGCAGTCCCGCGGCGCGCGCCCGAGCTCTTCAGCCCTATGGGACTGGGCGCGCGGAGCAGCGCCCGTCGGGGAGGCTCTGGCCGAACGGGAGCCCACGGCGGGAGCATGAGGGGGGCTCAGGCATGGCGGGCTGCCGGTCCTGAGCCCTGACCCTGCGGGGAGGCGGCTGAGGCAGGGCGACAATTCCAGCGCGGTGTGGGCGGACCAGCAGTGCTGGGGGACCCGGCGCACCCTCCGCAGCTGCTGGCCCGGGTGCTAAGCCTCTTAATTCCCCGGGCCGGGGACGCGGGCTGGCCGGCCGCTCCGAGTGCGGGGCACGCCGAACCCGCGCCCACCTGGAAGTTGCACTGGCCCGCGAGCGCCGCGCGCAGCCCCGGTTCCCGCCCGCGCCTCTGTCTCCACACCTCCCCGCAAGCAGAGGGAGCTGGCTCCGGCCTTGGCCAGCCCAGAGAAGGTCTCCCACACGTTGCAGCAGCGGGCTGAAGGGCTCCTGAAGCGCGGCCAGAGTGGACGCCGAGGCCAAGGAGGAGCCGAGAGCTAGCAAGGGCTGCTAGCACATTGTCACCTCTCAGTATGGGGGTAAGTGAATGAAGGTATTTCTTTTTTACTGATTTACTTTTAGTTGGCTGTTTAATACCTGGATGGAAATCTCAATATCAAATGTGCAGTTACAGGCACAGTTTTAAAGTTGTTCTTATTAAAATCCTTTTGGCATAATTATAGATTCTGAAGCATATGCCTCAGCCTGATGCTAAAGAAAGTATTTATCCTGGCTAACACAGTGAAACCCCGTCTCTACTAAAAATACAAAAAAAAATTAGCCAGGCGTGGTGGCAGGCGCCTGTAGTCCCAGCTACTTGGGAGTCTGAGGCAGGAGAATGGCGTGAACCCCGGGAGGCGGAGCTTCCAGTGAGCTGAGATGGTGTCACTGCACTCCAGCCTGGGAGACAGCGAGACTCCATCTCAAAAAAAAAAAAGTATTTAATTAGATAATGCTTGTATGCTTTAGCTATTTTTAGAGCTGATATCAGAACCCTATTATTCCAGAAGCCATTTGTCCTGAATAGCAGGTAACATTTGCTAGAAAGAAAGTGGCTCAAGATGATATAATCAGGGCATCTGGGTTTAGATTGCTAGCTGTATAATAATAACAAAGTTATTGAATCTCTATACATCTGTATTTCCTCCTATGCAAACATTTGTCGATGTAAAAATTAAATGAGCTACTATATTTAATACATCATCCATAGAAAGTGCTTGAAACATAGTAAAAATGACATTAATTCTGATAGTATGTTGAAACTCACCCACCAATTGTGTTCACACTTATTCCTAAATTACACTATTTCCAGGACAAGTGATTCATGGTTTGACCATTGAGAGTTTAAGCTTAGCATGTTTTGTTACAATACCCAATATACTTTTTTAAGTAAAACCATGATATCAAATTCCTAGCTATATTCTCCAAATTTATGTTATATTTCAAAGCCATACACTTTAAAAAACAGAGTATATTATTTTTAATAAACACTTTTCTTTGCCAAGAAAGAATAAAATCTGTTTATACTCTGCCTATTTACAGCATGTTGTGAAATATTCCTACAGTTTATACCCATTAATTTGCATTAAGAGAATAACAAAAGAAGGAAGCATGTATATGTATATGTGTGTGTGTATATATATGTATATGGGTATGTATGTATATATGTGTATATATATGTGTATACACATATATATACACATATGTGTATACACGTATATAATATGAACTGCCGTTGGTAAACAAGACTCAAATTCAAATTAAAGTCACTTTACACAATTATGTTGTAAAATGCTGGCAATTTTTGATTGTTTATTCTTATTTTTCACAAGGCAAACAATATAATCTGTGTGATTTTTGCCTTAAAACTTAATGTCAGTAACAAACATTTGATTTCAATAAAAAGTTTAACTAAAGAGTAATTCTCATCTGATTATTTATATTTTCTGTTCGAAGATGCTTTTTCTAATTGGGTAACTCTTGTTTATAATATACAAGAGATTATAGGAATATTGTGCATATACACTCATGCATAAAGGTGTTTCAGTCAATGGTGAAACATAAAGATGTTTCAGTCAACGATGAAGCACATATATAATGGCAGGGCCATAAAATTATAACGCAACTGAAAAATTCACATTGCCTAGTGACATGGTCATTTTAATGTCATAGCACAACTCATTACTCACACATTTGTGATGATGCTTATGTATACAAGTGTACTGCACTGCCAATTGTATAAAAATATAGAACTATTTGGTCATAAAAAAGAATGAAATCATGCCATTTGCAGCAACATGGATGAAAATGGAGGTTATTATGTTAAGCCAGGCACAGAAAGACAGATGCTGCATATTCTCTCTCATATATGGCGACTAAAATAATTGATCGAATGGAGGTAGAGAATAGAAGGATAGATGCCAGAGAATAGGAAGTGTATGTAGGTGGGAGTAGGGAATTTAAGAAAGGTTGATTAGTGGGTACAAATATACAGTTAGATAGAACAAATAAGCAACAAAATTCAGTAGCAGAGTAAGGTGACTATAGTTAGCAACATTGTATTATACATTTCAAAGTAGCTAGAGGAGAGGAATTGAAATGTTACCAAAACCAAAATGATAAATACTCAAGATGATGGATACCCCATATATCTTGACTTTATTACACAATCTATTCATGGAACAGATGCATGCAGCCCCTAAATATGTAAAATGTTTTGATTCAATAAAAATGTATAGCATGTAAAATTATGTATAGTACATAATACTTGAAAATAATAAAGTTATTGGTTTATGTACTTACTATACTATATTTTTATCATTATTTTAGCATGTTTTCTTACTTACTAAAAAAGGTAGCTGTAAAACAACCTCGGGGAGGTCCTTCAAAGGGAATTTCAAAGGAACTCATTGTTGTCATAGGAGATGACAGCTCCGTGAGTGTTTTTGCCCCTGAAGACTTTTCAGTAGGACAAGATAGGGAAGTGTTAAGATAGTGATATTGATGATCCTGATCTTGTGTAAGCCTAGGTTAATATATGTGTTTGTCTTTTATTTTTAACCAGTTTAAAAAGTAAACAATAATTATAAAAAATTAAAATTAGAAAAATATATTTGAATTATATTATTTTTGTACAGTTGTACAGTGTGTTTGTGTTTTAAGCTAAGTGTTATTACAAGAGTCCAAAAGGTTAAAATCATTTAAGTAAAACAGTTTCAGTAAGCTAAGTTTAATTTATTACTGAGGAAATAAATTTTTTAAAATTTAGTATAACCTAAGTGTACAGTGTTTAAAGTCTACAGTAGTCCACAGTAATGTTGCAGGCCTTCACATTTACTCACTGTTTACTTACTGAGTCATCCAAAGCAATGTCCAGTCCTGTAAGCTTTAACCGAGATAAGTGTCCTGTATACATGTACCGTATTTATTTTTATTCCATATTCTTTCTGTAACTTTTCTATGTTCAAATATGTTTAGATATGCAAATACTTACCATGGTGTTATAAATGCCTGCAGTGTTCAGTGCAATAACATGATGTATAGACATGTGGCCTAGAAGTAATAGGCTATACTATATAGCCTAGGTGTGTAGTAGGCTATGCCATCTTGATTTGTGTAAGTACACTCTATGATGTTTGCACGAAAAACCACCTAAACGCATGTCTCAGAACTTATCCCTGTGACTCACTAAGTGAGGTATGACTACTTCAAATGAAGTATCACAAGCTATTGGCCCAGAATTTTAATATCCTTTCTAAAAGCAGAATAATTAAATGCTTTCATCTGGCAATCTTACCTGTAAATGGTTTCTATGTGGTATCTTTCCAATGAGGAGTGATTTAAAAATTATTTTCAGGTGTTACTTGGCTTGCTTAGAAAGAGTTCTCGTCAATATATAAAAATGGCATGTTGGCCCATTTAAAATTAGTCCAAGTTCCAAATGTAGGTTAGAAATGAGCTGTGTGTAAATAATGCTCCCAAAGTACATTTTTACAGTGTAATAAGTGATGTTATTCACTGGGAACATTTTGACACTTCTACATTTGGCAAACAGTGGCAGCTCATTTTAAATCTACCTGCTTTTAGAAATAGCAACTGGTGATTTTGAAGATGGCTGAATTTGCTAAAGTCATTCAATAAACAAACTGTTGCAAATCATTTTGATGCACACAGTGAAAGGTCAGAATTCCAAAGCAAACACACAACCAAATACATTTCCAGGCAGTGATTGTGTAAAGTTTATTAAGAGAAGCAAAATGGATAAAAATTGTATGAGAATATGCAAAGGTAAATGTTCTCTAGGCTGCCTTGTTTTCCTTGTCTGCATCTTAAACTTCGAGCATGCTGGAATACTGAAAACATAAACTCTTTCCAATTAATTTAATACAGGATCATAATAGGTAGTTCACCCCCTTCTAATGGCAAGCTGCCAGTCAGAACCAGTTGATCCCTATTAAAATGAAATAAAAACAAAACTAGTGTCAATATTTGGGTAAAAACACAAATGAGAAAGAAAAACAATCTCCTTATAATTAAATTAATTGTAAACATGAATATTTCAGACTATACAAAAATATAAAGTGATTCAATCATTTAAATAGACCTGCAAAACAAAGAAACTTCTAGAAGCACATGGAGCTGCATGCCTTTTTGTATAATTATAACAACTGTTATTTTTGGAGCTTTGGGATGTATTGAATACTTTAATGTCCATTATTTTATTTACTCATTTATTCCTTTATTCAGCATGAATTTGCTGGGTACCTACTGTAAAAATTTAAAGGTGAGTTATAAATAAAGCCTTGGTGCTATTAACATATATATGGTATTGAAATTAGAAGATGGGATGAGTACTTCTCAGGTGATTACATATTTAGAATGAAACAGGCAAACGGTGGATTGATCAAGATATTCTAAAAATGATATTAAGTATTTTAGTTTATGGATAGAATTTACAGCAAAGAACAAAAATAATAAATGAGTGTGGATTTTTAAAAATTAAGTATATCAAGAGTGCAACAAAGAGGAGGGTGAGTATATAATGAATAAGTTCAGTACGATAAAGACTTCAAGTTTGACTTTCATATTTTAAGCTACATGCTGACACTGGAAAAGTAATAAAAATCTGTAGTAGTTTATAATTAGATATGGATAATGTGTATTAGACAGCAAGAGGGCTGAATGATCAGCCTTCAGGTAATCTGTACATTGCCCATTGGATTAGGTGACTGGTTCAAGAATAGGCATGTTATCTAATTTCAGTCAATTGTAGATCTCTTAAAGTATTTTCAAATAGAAACAATAAAAAAAGAATTATCTCTACTCTGGTGGTGATGAGAGCTGTATGTAACATATTGATTATAAAAATAGCCAGAAAACATCATTCCTTCTCTATCCATACTTTGCAATCAGTCTTTCCAATAAGAAAAGAAAGATATTTCAATAATCTTTGAATTTAGGCTGGCCTTCTGACTTAATTTAGCAAATACAATGTGGGAGTATAGTATAGATGAAGAGCCAGTTCTGATCCTAGAACTGAAGAGGTCTTTCACATTTTTAATTTTTGTCTTGTATCTGTGTCTCCATAAAAACAAACCTGGATAGCCTGCTGGATAATGGAAGAATATAACCTGCTGTCGAAGAGAATCAAAAACTTGAAAGCATTCCCCCTGAGAACTGGAACAAGCCAAGGATGCCCACTTTCACCACTTCTATTCAACATAGTACTGGAAATCCTAGACAGATAAATCAGATAAGAGAAAGAAAGAAATGGCATCCAAATTGGAAAAGAGGAAGTCAAACTATTGCTGTTCAAAGATGATATAATTGTATGCCTAGAAAACCTAAAGAATCATCCAAAAAGCTCTTAGATCTGATGAATTAATTTAGTCAAGTTTTGGGATATAAAATCAATATACACAAGTTAGTAGCTCTGTTATATGCCAAAAACAATCAAGCTGAGGGTCGAGTCAATAACTCAATCCCTTTTGCAACAGCTGCAGAAACAATAAAATACTTAGGAATATACTTAACCAAGGAGGTGAATGATCTCTGCAAGGAAAACTACAAAACACTGCCAAAAGAAATAATAGATGACACAAAGAAATGAAAACATATCCTATGCTCATGGATGGATAGAATCAATATTGTGCAAATGATCACATTGCCAAAAGCAATCTACAAATTAAATGCAATTCCCATCAAAATACCATCATCATTCTTCAAAGAACTAGTAAAAGCAATCCTAAAATTTATATAGAACCAAAAAAAAAAAAAAAAAAAAGCTCACATAGCTAAAGCAAGACTAAACAAAAAGAACAAATCTGGAAGCATCACATTACCAGACTTCAAATTAAACTACAAGGCTATAATTACCAAAACAACATGGTACTGGTATAAGAATAGGCCTGTAGACCAATGAAACAGAATGGAGAATGCAGAAATAAAGCCAAATACTTATAGCCAATTGATCTTCAAGAAAGCATGAAAAACATAAACTGGGATAAGGACACCCTATTCAATAAATGGTGCTGGGATAACTGGCAAGCCACATGTAGAAGAATGAAACTGGATCCTCATTTCTCACTTTAGATAAAAATCAACTCAAGATGTATCAAAGACTTAAATCTAAGACCTGAAAAAAATTCTAAAAGATAACATTGGTAAAAGTCTTCTAGACATTGGCTTAGGCAAAAAATTCATGACTAAGAGCCCCAAAGCAAAGGCACCAAAAACAAAAACAAATAAATGGGACCTACTTAAACTAAAAAGTTTCTGCACAGGAAAATAAATAATCAGCAGAGTAAACAGACAAGCCACAGAATGAGAGAAAATATTTGCAAACTATGCATCTGACAAGGACTAGTATCTGGAATCTATAAGGAACTCAAAGCATCAAGAAAAACACAAATAATCACATCATAAAGTGGGCAAAGGACATGAATAGACAGTCCTCAAAAAAGATATTTAAATAGCTAACAAATATGAAAAATGCTCAACATCACTAATTATCAGGGAAATGCATATTAAAACCATAATGAGCTACCACTTAATATTATGTTTATTAATATTATATTAATATTTTCAATATTAAGCAATTTTAAACTTTCAATTTCTCTTTTGTGCGTATATGTATTAGTTAAGGCTTGTTTTGTTTGAAAACAGTAAATCCTAAGTCAAACTTAAGTGAAAAAATATTATTAATGGAGGCTTATAAGAGGGCTTCATATATTTGCTACTAGGAAAATAGTAGCATTCCAGACCTCAAGCACATCCTGTTTGTACTAAAATTTTCCCAAAGCTCCTTCTCCATATCTTCTATTTTCTTATATCTATGTATATCAGCATAATTTTTCTTTTCACGTATGCAGGATTACCTCCACGTACTGTACTAAAGTCTTGCGTATTTTATTGGACTAGATGAACTAAAAATTATATAAAAAAGAAATTGTGGGGTCAGGGAGAAGACTGAAGGCTGAAGTTGTATCATCTCATTTGGCTCTCTGCCATAATTTAATTCAACAATCATTCCCACGTTTGGACTTGTTTTATTTCTAGGTAAATCTATATGTTGCAAAATTGTATTCTATCCCTAAAGGTCTACAATTGTATACTGCAAGTAGTTGAAGATTTAAGCCTCCTCTTTCCTTACAGTGGGAAAAAGTGCAAATGCTTCAATTTTTAAAAGCATCATGTGTTCCATAATAAGAAAAATTGGAAATGTTTTCTATCTTTTTAACATGCACTATCAATTAAATTATTATTTTTCTTAAACATGATTTGTGTTCAAAGTTAAGTTAACCTTTCTTTGAATTTTGAACAACTTTTGGTCTTTCCCATTGAAAAAAATATTTTAAATTCTTTTTCATTTCCTATTCAACTCCATGAACATTGAGATAACATAAATATTTGTTTGTACTTGTTATTGTAGCTGACAATTATAGTACCTGCAAACTCATCATAACTTGTTTAAAAATTTAATGTATATATTAATTTTTTACTATTAAGAAGTATATGAAAAAAGAATTAGAATTAGTTCCCCATAAACATTTCAAACATATTTCATCTTAAGTGGTGCACTGCCTGTAGCAGTGCAATAGCTCCCAGTTTTTTCAAGAATGAGGACATATTTTAATGTTAATTCACATGTGATAATAAGTTATTTTATTTATTTATCATGCAAATCATGTTTGATAGATAAATTGCTGAATACCTTAGAGTAACTCCGTACTTCTCATTAACCCTGTGGTCCAGAGTCAATAAGTAAGCAATCACTCCTATTGTTGGAACTCCTTGCAGTCAGAAGTATGAATACAGAATCAGCATTCCTTCACTTGAACCCGGGAAGGGGAGGTTGCAGTGAGCCGAGATTGTGCAACTGCACTCCAGCCCCTGCACTCCAGCCTGGGTGACAGAGAGACGTCTCAAAACAAAACAAAGCAAAACAAACAGAATTAGCATTACTAAAAATTTCAAATTGTCTTGAACAAGTCGTCATTCAAACTTCATAAGCTTTGGAAAGTAAGCCCACTGATAATCTGCAAGTTCCTCTCCTGTACTGTGATACTACAAATAAGGAACTTGACAGATATTTTTGTACATGTGCCACAGAGTAACACAGGAACATTGTGATTATTAGCTTAGCATCCATTCCATCATAGAGCAGGCATATGGTTTGGATAGGATTTATACTACTACCAGCTCCTGTATTGGATTCTAAGCCATTATGAGCATTAACATCTCCATTATAACAGAGATTTAGTCAAGTAGTTCAAGAATTGGCCAACCACATGGAATTTCTCTGTTCTTCAGGGGTGGCCCATTAGTATAAAACTTAATAATTATTTGAGATACAGAAACTCTGTCTAAATGATGTAAAGTACAAACATGAAAGCTGAAATAAAAGCAGTCAGTTATCCATGTTACTGACAAGATTTCAACTAAAATGGCAAATAGAAAAGAGCAGAGCTAAGAAAATCATAAATAAATAAAACTGGATTCCTGGTCAAACCAGGCCAAAACCCCACCCTGTCTCTGGACATTTAATTATTGAACTAATAATATTTATTTCTGTTCTTTGTCAGCTAGAGTTGTGTTGTCTTTTGTATTTAAAAGCATTCTGGCCGGGTGCAGTGGCTCACGCCTGTAATCCCAGCACTTTGGGAAGCCGAGGCGGGTGGATCACGAGGTCAGGAGATCAAGACCATCCTGGCTAACACAGTGAAACCCCGTCTCTACTAAAAATACAAAAAGAAATTAGCCGGGCTTGGTGGAAGGCGCCTGTAGTCCCAGCTACTCGGGAATCTGAGGCAGGAGAATGAGGTGAACCCAGGAGGCGGAGCTTGCAGTGAGCCGAGATCGCACCACTGCACCCCAGCCTGGGTGACAGAGCGAGACTCCATCTCAAAAAATAAAATAAAATAATATAAAAAAATAAAAGCATTCTGAAGGTTATTGTGAGAAATAAATATGGACAGATTTCTAAAAAACTACAATAAAAGTTTGTTTATTAAATGTTTATAATGTTTGCCATATCACAGCTACATATAGAAAGTCTTAAGAAAATAGAGTTGACTTGCTAGGAATATTAATCTCTATTGAGCAATTACTATATGACAAGCATGCTAAATATTTTCACTTCCATTCTTTTATTTAAATTCATAACAATAAGATCACCATCAACTAGTGATAATAAATAACATCTAAAATTAAACTGTTAGTAAACAGCAGAGCTAGGATGTGAATAGTGATCTTTTTTATTTCAAACTGTATTAATTTTCACCATACTACAGTTCTATGAAAGCGCATTACAGGTATCTGCCACTATGCCTAGAAAATGTATTTCCATATACAAATGTATATCTTAGCAGATGTATATGTGGTGGATATACATACTTGCTAATGTTATGAACATAGAGTATGGCACTAGATTTTTCACTTTAAAAAGACAGCATGAGTTTACCTACATAACAAACTTGCCATGTACCCCGATCCTAAAAAAAGTTAAAATATTATTAAAAATAAAGAGAGCACACATTTTATGCATTCATAGAAATAAGTAAGAGTCAATAATAGAAAGGTATACATATTTTAATAGTCTTTTGCTTGTGTTCCCAACAGGATAAGTTATTGACAATGAAACAATTTGTCTTAAATATTCTATTTTATATTTCTTCAAAAACGTTGTCTCAACAGCTTGACATTTGAAACTACTAATGATTATACTCACATGATACTAAAACCACTTTTATAATTGCTTCTAACCAATTTTTCTATATTTGCGATGGCTTTAGCATATCCTCTCTATCTTAAGTCTAGAAAAGTAATAATTAGACTCTATCCTTAACCCTTTTTTATTTTCATACTTTTTAATCTGATTCCATGTACATGTTGTCAGTTTACTATTTGCAACATCCAGCTAGAGAGTTAAATAATTTTTATCCTCCCTCATTTTTTATGTGGGGAACAACAGGCTTTGTGACAAGTCAAATGTTCCAAGCTAATGAATGATAGCTCCAATATTAGAATGCAATTATATCGTTCAAATTACACCTCAAATTAGGGTTTCATATAGCACGGAAGTATTGTTTGTTCTAGTTTGTTCTTCCTTGTGACTCATTTCTCTCATCATTTGTGTAATTTCTCAAATCAAGAGGCCATAGTAAGCATGAAAACCACATTATACCAGTTCCACCCTTCCATTAGTGTATTTATAGGCCCCTGTTATGTCATAGAATGAAATGATGCTTGAAATCATGAGCAAAACAAATGGACTAGACATATTTCCAACAGCGTGTCTGGTATTTCAAACAATTGATAAAATTCAGTTTCAACTTACACATGTATTATAAAATGTAAGATGCACATCTTTAAAATCTCTAGGATAAACAGTTCTCAATTATAACCGCATTATTAGTAATAGCTGTTTAAAAAAAAACTCAAGAGAATTCTCTCATGAATCTCTTCAAAGACAACCTGTTTTTATTCCACAGGAAGCCATGGAACACTGCACCTTGTTTCTTTAATGGCTACTTAATTTTTTAAGAATTGTAACACACTTCCCTTAAGTTCAAGTCACTTGCAGTTTTCTGTATAGCAGAGTAAAGGGTCCAACATCAATACACAAAGAACTTCTTTTTAAGTCTATAATCAATAGTTGCCAATGATGAATAAACATCAATTATTAACAATGGTTGTGGTTTAG
This sequence comes from Homo sapiens, assembly GCF_000001405.40. NCBI lineage: Eukaryota > Metazoa > Chordata > Mammalia > Primates > Hominidae > Homo > Homo sapiens. Next base: position 60,258,893 of record NC_000012.12, on the reverse strand, counting down.
GTTGTTTTACTTATGTCTGCCTTTAAAGCACTTATAATGGATTGCCACTGTCAAGTGCATCCATTAAACAGAGTTCACTCTTGCTGAAAGCACAGAGAAGGGGCAGAATTGTGGACAAGAGATGTTTACCAATCCCAGCTTACCCCTCTTTTATTAAAAAGCTTACTCTTTTTAATATAGTAAAAGTCCTTAATTACAGATGAATTTCTGCTACCCTATTTATAAAAGAAAGAGTTATTAGGATTATTACATATATACAGATTTTGTTGCACTTACAACAAATTCACCAGAAGATCAAAATTTGCCAAAGATTACACATTCTATTTTTCCGTAGAACATTTTCAAACTAAGAGTCAGGAATCTTGATTGGAATGAGGAAATGAATTACAAACTGAGTTCAGATAGAGTCTTGTTTAAGGCAGCGCATGAAAGCTTAATGGTATGAAGGGATAATACATAATTTTTTAGATGGGATTATTTAAAAACTCAGAGGACATCTATGTGAAGCAAATATTCAGATCAAACTTTATCCAAAATATCAATACCATGTTAGGAAAAAAAGACTTTGAAAAGGACTCACACGCATTTCAAAACTAGAAACCCAAGTAGGAGAACAAGAGACAGGCAAATGTTAAGAAATCAGTCACCATCTTGATTTCATACCAGGAGAGAAAATGGGTCAAAAGAGTAAAAAATAACGAAGAAATAAGCTACGGGACAAACACATAAATGTGCTTCTCTATGAACAATGACAAAGGAGATAGAACTATACTGAGTAAATTATGTGATGTTGAGATTAATCATCATGTGTACATTATCACTAATAATCAATTATATTACCAGTAACTGTAGTTTATGTGCTGGCTTCTTGCTTGTTTTCTCTTATATAAAGTATTTTATTTAATTCTTAACCTTGTATAGAAACTATTATGATAACATTTATTCTATGTGGGAAAACTACAATTCAAAGATGTTTAGTAACATGACCAAAACATTGCAGCTAGAAAATGAATAAAGCACAGTCAATTCTGTTGCCTCTTATTTGTGATCTAACATTCGTGTCTTCGATAGCAGACACTCAAGAACAAGAGTGTAACTCAAAATGCAATGTTTGATGTATATTACAATTTGCACTCTTCCCAATATCTTATCTCTTGTATGCATAGAATTGCATTAAAATTTTAATACACAGCATTTAGAGACCTCAATTTATGAGTTGGTATGTAATATCAGAATATATTTTCTCATTGTCAAATTCCAACTCTTCTGAAGTTCTACTAACAGTAGAATTTCTACTAAAAGTAGCAGCTGAGATTGTAGGTAGCATATAGCTCCTTGACCTGAAACACATTTTCTTCCAAACATTTCTTTCTTTCTTTTTTATTTTTATTTCTGAGATTTTGGTGCACCATCACCCAAGCAGTGTACACTGTACCCAGTGGATAGTCTTTTATCCCAGGCTAGTCTCAAATTTCTGAACTGAAGTGATTCTCTCACTTTAGTCTCCCCAAGTAGCTGGGATTTTAAGCATGAGCCACCATGTCTGGGCCATACTTTCCTATGATATGATTAGGGTCTCTGACACATAGCTCTGGAATTCAAGGTTTAGTAGACACAGGCTGCCCTCTTGTGCTTTCCAGCTTACTTTATTCACTCGAAAACCCACTGAGCATACACAACTGGGAGTTTCAAAAGGAAGATTTTTGTCCTCTCAGGAGATTTTGTCTCTCTATATTCTGCCAAGCAATTAGACATGTTGGACTTTCACAGACATTCTTCTCTGAAAGTTCCCCACAACACCTTCTTTCTGCCAAGGTTTGCTGGTTCTAAATACTTTAATGTTAGTTGATGGGCTTAATCATTTACATTCTTCCAGACACCACTGGTTTTATTGAATTGTATAAAGTATTTTTTCCACTTGTAATAATTTATTGACATAGATTATCACTGAAGTATGTATTGTGGAAATAAGATTTAAACATAACTGATAAGTACAAATAAAACAGACCTTTTCACAGTGTCAACACAATTTTTAAAATCAGATTGACAATGATTTAGAAATTTGATTCAAATATGCTACTCTTTTATGTAAATACCCCCAGTTTTTTGGTTCTTATTTGTCTGAACAAAAAAAAAATGCAGAGTCATTTGAAAATATTCAAGTATAATTTCCCAGACAAATAAAAGTTTCAATGTCAAGTTGTTTCTGGTCTCAAAGGTCTATTTAATTGAAGTTTTAGGGCTCAACATTTCTCTTGGATTTTATCAAACCTAGTCTAAACCAGATATCGATATCTGGAGAAGTAGATTAGTTTTAAAAAAAACTGAATTTATTGAAAAATGTGAATTTATTGTCTGTAGGATTCACCCACTTAAGTGTCTGTTGGAATAAAGAATGAAGCCTAATCAAGATAAAGAATCAGTTAATTTATCTAGGAGAAAACCTTCTTTCAAATGGTTTCAGTACAAACTTTGCTTATTTCATTGGCCTTTATATATAACGTAGTTAATCTCCAAACATTATAAATAATGAAACCTAATATCCTGATAAAATCACATTGAGGCTATATTTTCAAATGTCTGTGCTATATAGTATTTAGTTTGAAGGTTAAATCATTGCTTAATTTCTCCAAGATTAAAGATCTAAAATGTTTGCTTTCAGAAAATACAGAAGAAAGTGCCTTCCTATTTACCTTTGGGAATATTAAGCATTTAACAGGAGAGAGCATGTATTAGAAAGACTGAGAGTGTGTTATCTGAACCTTTGCTTTGTGGTCAAATGCTTTTTGCTGTAAACTGAAATAGCTCTATAAGACTCGATAACACATCACTCTAACAGGATCAAACATAATCAGACTTGTATCTAATCAACTTCTGAGAATTAAAAGATTTCTAAAACATTTCTTAAATTGATAAAACATTTTAAATTGCTAAGAGTTAAATGAGAATGGAAACTATTTTTTTCTTTGCAACACAAATTATAACAATTATATTTTGGAAAGGCAATTAAAACTTCCTAAACATAAAATATCTCCTATAACATTAATTATTTAAATTCCATATAGCTGGTTATGAAACATTCTATCCTATTAAGCTTTTTCAGTAATACTCACTACATTGAAACACTATGTAAAGAAGGAACATGGGGAACAAACATGCTATTTAGGACAAAAAGACAGCATTTGATCATTTTATTTCGAATTTGTTCAGTTTCTTGAGTTCATAGGATTATATCTGTTGCCAACTTGTGGAAGTGTTTAGGCTATTATTTACTCAGAAACATTTTCCAGCTCCACTCTTTTCTCCTCTTTTTCTAAGACTGTGGTGATGCAAATGTCACATACGTAATTATAGTCCAAAATGTTCCTAAGATTGTTACTTTTTAGTCTAGGTTCTTATTGCTGTTTATATTGGGTAATTTCTATTTTAGTTGTTATCTTAAGTTTACTAATTCCTTCCTTTGTATACCTTATTTTGTTTTTGAACCAATCCACTCATTTAAGAAAATATACTAAATTTTTCAGTTATAAATTTTCAATTTAATAGTTTATATCTTCTGTTTCTTTGTTGAGACCTTCTATTTTGTAATTCATCTCAGGCATTCTTATGATTGCTTATGTAGGCAGTTACATGACAGATGCTTTGACACCCTTGAAAGGCAGTTTTATAACTCTATAACCTCAGTGTTGTCATCTGTGATTATCTTTTCTTGTTCAAGTTGAGATTTTCTTGGTATGTCGTATAATAAGAAAGTTTTATTTGAAATCTGGAAATTGTGAGTATTATATTGTTGATCTTATTTATATCTTCTGATATAGCTGGTCCCCTGTGACACTGATCAATCAGAAGAAGGAGTAAGAGAACCATACTGTTATTGGCAGATGGTTTTGGTAGTTAAGGTTCCCCATGGGGCCAACGTTGACATTCCTCATTTATACTGAGGGGCTTGGGTTTTCCAGCTCTCCGCTAGGCTCCCACTGGTACTACCTGGTTGAGAGAGGCAGCAATGCCACCTTTTTTTTTTTTTTTTTTTTTTGAGACAGAGTCACGCTCTGTCGCCCAGGCTGGAGTGCAGTGGTGCGTTCTCGGCTCACTGCAAGCTCCGCCTCCCTGGTTCATGCCATTCTCCTGCCTCAGCCCTCTGAGTAGCTGGGACTACAGGTGCCCACCATCATGCCCGGCTAATTTTTTTGTATTTTTGTAGAGACGGGGTTTCACTGTGTTAGCCATTATGGTCTCGATCTCCTGACCTCATGATCTGCCCGCCTCGGCCTCCCAAAGTGCTGGGATTACAGGCATGAGCCACCGCGCCTGGCCGCAGCAATGTCTTCTTACCGTTTCTATACAAGGCCTCACTGACACCATAGAGGGGATGGTCTTGTTACCACTGGGGGTTGATGATAACCTTTTACCAGGACTCTTTTGATACCATCCAAAGGTGGAATGAAAGTCTAGGTTCCCTATCTGACCTTTGAAACCACTCCTACAAGGTAACTGGAGGCACTTCATTGCGCTTGGCAAATGGATAATCTGCGATCTTCAACTAGGCTTTGCTTGTGAGAGGGAAGGTGAGGTCACTTTTTATTTTTATTTTTGTTTTTGGTGTGTATGTTTGGCTAAAGTAGAACAGTTATTATCTAAAAGTTTTCTGTTAACTAAGCTGCTGCTTTCCTGTTTTTTGGTTTGCAGGCCTTTGTTGGGAGCTAATTTTGTCTGTGCCTGTTGACCACTCTGTCTCTCTCTCTCTACATTATACATGTGTATATATGTGTGTGTATATATACACATATATATAACTTTATATATATGTATAGTGTGTCAAAGGCACAGACAAAATATATATATCTGTATATATGCAATATATATATACACACGTAGTGTTTAAGCAGACAATTGCAGCAGTTATGCAGATGACAAATAAGCACCTGAAATGGTGTTCATCATTGTCATCATTACAGAAAGGTAAATTAAAAGCACAATACCACAACTTTTTAACACTACATATTTAAAATAACAAAGCTAAAACCAAAGTATAAGTGCTGTTAAGAACCTGGAGCAGGTGAAATTCTCATACACTGCTAGTGGTGAGCTAAAATGTCCCAACTGCTTTGCAACACAGTTTCACAGGTTTGTTTTTTTTAAGTTAAATGTATATCTGCCATATGATGCAGATGTTCTACTCCTGGAATTATCCCATAGGAAATGAAAGCATATATCTTTAAAATTATTTGTTAACACATCTGAAAATCTGTTGCAGTTTCTTTCATAATAGCCCCAGCCTGGAAAAAAAGTGAAATAGGTGAATGGATAAACAAATTGTAACATATACACAGGATATATGTATGGATGTTTATGACATGGAAGACTATGCAGTAATTAAAAGGAAGGAACTACTGATGCACACAACATGGATTAATTATAGCTCATTATGTAAAGTTAAAAAGTTAGACAAAAACCTGTACTTACAGTATAATTCATTTATATAAAATTCTAGAAAAATGTAACCAATGACAGAAAGTAAATAAGCGGTTGTCAGTGGGAGACTAGAGAATGCAAGGACTTACAAGGGGGATGCAGGTGAGAATTGAAAAGCTGGAAGTAAATGATGCCATCCAGAGTTAGAAGAAAATATTTTTCAGGGAGGAAGACTTAGAAAATGAGCAGAGAAAGATAAAATAGTTAAAGGAATCATTTTTTTTAGTTCAGAAAGAAATTGTAGTAGAAAAATCAGAGTTGGTATTGAACACCTAAACAAAATTATTTTAATAAGACATTCTACTGTAGGAACCTGTTTATGTATTCAAACATTGAGTTACTCTCTCACATGCCCATATTGTTATTTTTTTTTCCTTAACAATAAAAGGAGCGTCTCCACTGTTGAATTGACTCACGTAGCTTGGAGAAAAGCTTTTAATGGACAGCTGGTTTATACAGAATGTCTTTGACGAATACTCAAAGCACAACCCTTGCAATTGGAGATACATGACTCATAACTAATCAGCATGGTAGATCCATATTTGAACTGGCTCGCCAGTGACCCAGAAGCCTATTAGAGCTAAATCCATATAACAGTGTGTTAACTTTTCTAAAGCTCTTTGAAAATGAAGTGCTGTCCAGTGGCCATTAATTTTCATTATTTCTGATTAAATAGTTCTATTGGGAAGTGCATTAAAATTACCAGCTAAAATTAGTCTTCGGGAATTCCTGTAGATTTTTTTTTCCATTATTCTGTATTTTATGGGCTAATTAAGGCTTACTCTCTTTCATTCACTTCAGACATTAAAATTATGGTCTTTAGTTTTGTTTTCTCTTCTGTAATCCATGCATGAGAAAACATCGAAATGACAATTTCCTGCATTCTGTATGAAAGAGTGTGGGATGCTTTGTGGCAGACATTTTGTCAAAGGGAAAGGCTTTTCTCAGTAACACAAGTTTCTGTCATCTTGGGTTGTGACACCCTGTGTCTCACACTTAGATTTCAGCAAGTGCTGTACCATCAGATACGTTTTGAATCTCCTTTAGACATCAAGTTTCAAGTTTCAGTAGAAGATTTTCAATACAAAATACCTATACTGCCTTGTAATTCTTCACGTTTAATCAGTTGAATCAAACATGGAACAAATTAAGGTGTATACTGCATATATTTTGATTCTGAAATTTAGTAATCCTAGATGTTAATCCCAGGTACTAAATATCAAGCAGAGATATATCATGAAAGTAGAGATTTATTATACAATTACAAGTCTAAATTGCATATGTAATTATTATTACTCATTGTAAAGGTTCATAAATTCAAAATAAGAAACAAGACTCCTGAAAAAAATCAGTGCACAGCATATTCCCTTAGCTATGTATTTAAAACTTGAAATAATAATGAAGGAAATAAACATGTTAATTTTTTATACTTCTGTAACTCGGTAAATAATAAAGTCTTTCTAAAGTCTAGTCAATAAATATATATTAAATGTGTATTATGTGCAAGGCACTATTTGCTCATTTAACATTTTGCTTCCACGTATTACTAGCTTTAAGCTAAAAATGTCACACCATTGTTCACTGCTGCCACTATTTTATTTAAGCAGAATGCCCTTCACTCATACCTATGTCTGATGAAATCTTACTCAGGCACTTTTGCCTTATTCTCCCTTTATATACCTTTACTAGAGTTTCTGGAACTACTGTGCTTGAAATTTCACTATTAAATCACCTCTTTTAGTCATTTGTGTCTTCCATCTACTATATTCCTGGGCTAGAAATGTGCTCATGTCCTCCCACCCTTCACAATTTTTCTCCTACCTAACCTCTGCTCAAAGTTTCTCTCCCTCTAGAGACTTCTCCAAGGAGGACATTATAACACAGTGTTACTGATAGATTAGTAATGAATGTAGATCTGAATTTGTAAAAATTTTGAGTCCCCATCTATGATTAGTATCTTACAGTTTTGTAAATTATTTTCAGTCACTGCTCTTAATGCCTGAAGGTAGAAAAGCAGCACTTTAGAATATGTCACAGAGACTGTGTGATTAAAGGTGAGGATAGTATTTTCAGAGCTTTGACGTAAGACAATTTGAGTTTATGATCCTGAATCTCTGAGTAATATGTATCCTTAGGCAATCTAACTTGCCTTCTTGTCCCTTGGTTTCCTCATCCATTAAACCTGGTAATAATGCCTACTGGAAATGTTTAGTCTAGGAGTAAATTAGAGAACTCATGCATGGGAAACCCTTAGTGTAGTGCTTTATGTGTGCTAAACTCACAAAAAATATTGTCGATGTTGTTTTTATGTCTACTGACCACGAGCTACTATTTCTCCTTCCTCTATGCTTTCAGAACACTTTAAATATAACTCTTACGTATGCAGTGCAGTCCACTTTGTTGTGAGTATATGTCAAGATGTGGATTTCTACTATTAAACACTGAATTTCTCTGGAGTAGAGGCTGCATCTTATTCATTTGTACAATTCCAGCATCTATCTCAGTACTGGGCATGTAGAAGTATTCAGTAAATCTTAAATAATTGACTAAATGAACTAACAAAGGAACAACTTACTTATACCCCCGGATTTAGCTCATATCCTTCCTGATAAGATTTACCTGTGGTACATTTTGTTCAAATGTATCCTTCTTCCATCTCAGTTGCAGTACTTATTACAGGTTTCTGTTGCAGTATAAAATTCATAGTTCCTTATGAATGTGTATGCTTTTCTTTTCAGTGAAAATCTAGAGGATAGAAACTCCACATATTTCATGTGTGTACTTGTTATTGTCTTACAATAGCAACTGTTCAATGAGGAAGAGGGCATTAGATAAAAGTATGGTGTATGATATAAAACAAAATTAGACATGTATTGTAATAGTAAAAAAAGACAACAAGCAAAGCACTCTGGAGTAACAGAAGGAACATTTATTTTGACTGAAGATCTTAGGGAAGCTACAATTAATATAAGCAAGTGAAATAAGCTTTGAAAGCAGGATTGCAGGCTGGGTGCGGTGGTTAATGCCTGTAATCCCAGCACTTTGGGAGGCAGAGGTGGGTAGATCCATGAGGTCAGGAGTTTGAGACCAGCCTGGACAACATGGTGAAACCCTGTCTCTATTAAAAATACAAAAATTAGCAGGGCATAGTGGTGCGTGCCTGTAATCCCAGCTACTCGGGAGGTTGAGGCAGGAGAATACCTTGAACCAGGGAGACGGAGGTTGCAGTGAGCCAAGATGGCGCTACTGCACTCCAGCCTGGGCGACAGAGCAAGACTACATCTGGGGTTAAAAAAAAAAAAAGTAGGAGTACAGTTTTGATAGCAGAAATCCATTATTGTAATAAAAATGGCTATTCTTTCATAACATATTTATTATGATTCATATAAAAAATATTTCCCTCCCATAAATGAAGGTTAACATTTGGATGGTGAAAACAAGAAAATCATGCTTGTTCGTGTTCTTTCTCCATGATTTTTCTCTCAGAAGTAAATGTTATGATATGATAGCACAGCATCTGTACTCTTGTATGATCTTACATTTCCTATTAGTAGAAATATAGTAATTATTTGAATAACAACTTCCTTGAAACAAATGTTATATCAAGGTTTTATTTAAAATATTTTTATTGAAATACAGTACACAGAATGGGAAACGTATGCATGACGTGTATAGCTTCTTTAATTTTTTCACTGTGAACACACTTGTACAAGAACCACTTAAATCAAAATATAAATGATTACCATGAGAACCAGAAATATCTGTGTGCTTCTTCCTTGATATCATGTCAGGATATATACTTTAGTCTGAGTTTTATCAAGAGACTAGTTGTTCTTGTTTTTGAAACTTATATGAGTGAAACCATACATTACATACATTGGATTCTGGCTTTTTTTCACTCAAAATTATAATTTTGAGATTCATCTTCATACAACAATTCTTCATTGTTTTATGAAGCAATGATCTGTGTGATTCATCTCTGCTGCTGCACCAAGTGGTGATTTATTCATTTGATTATAATACTATGTGTGAGTATATAACAATTTACCTACTTTTTTTTTTTTTTTTGAGATGGAGTCTTGCTCTGTCACCTAGGCTGGAGTGCAGTGGCATGATCTCAGCTCACTGCAGCCTTCGCCTCCCGAGTTCAAACAATTCTCCTGCCTCAGCCACCTGAGTAGCTGGGATTACAGGTGCCTGCCACCATGCCTTACTAACTTTTGTATTTTTTTTTTTTTTTGAGATGGAGTCTCGCTCTGTTGCCCAGGTTGGAGTGCAGTGGCGCCATCTCAGCTCACTGCAAGCTCCGCCTCCTGGGTTGACTCCATTCTCCTGCCTCAGCCTCCAGAGTAGCTGGGACTACAGGCATCCGCCACCATGCCCGGCTAATTTTTGTATTTTTAGTAGAGACAGGGTTTCACCCTGTTAGCCAAAATGGTCTTGATCTCCTGACCTCGTGATCCGCCCACCTCGGCCTCCCAAAGTGCTGGGATTACAGGCGTGAGCCACCGCACCCGGCCACTTTTGTATTTTTAATAGAAATGGGTTTTCACCATGTTGGCTGGGTTGGTCTCGAACTCCTGACCTCAAGTGAACCCACTCACCATGGCCTCCCAAAGTGCTAGGATTACAGGCATGAGCCACTGTGCCTGGTCTACCTATTTTATTCTTGATAACATTTGATTTGTTTTTCATTGAGTTTATTGCTTTCACAGTTTTGTACATCTATTTTTGATGTAAAGATATACATACATACTTTAGTTATATCTCTGAAAATGAAGTTGCTGCATCATAGTATGTGCATACATTTAAATTTATTTTTTAAAAAGTGGTTATGCCAGTTTACTCACCTACCAGTAATGTATGTGAGTTCTAGTATCCCAGTACTCTCACTTATGCTTCATATTTTCAGTTTTTATCTTTTAGATAATTTGGTGGCATATACAGGTAAAAAGCTGTGATTGACTAGTGATATTGAATATATTTTAGATGTTTGGTTGTAATTTTAATATTTTATATTGAAAGACATTTTTCTAGTCATTTTCTCATTTTCCTATTGCAGAGTAAGCCCTTTTTATTGATATATAACAATCTTTTATATATAAATGTACATGAGTTCTACCTCTGACATATGTATCCTGAATATATTCTCTTATCTTCTGGTCTGCCTTTTCACATTCTTAATTGTGATATATTTTATAAACTCAAAGTTTTAAATTCTAATAAAATTCAATGTATCAATCTTTTCCCTCTTATTAATGTTGCTTTTTTAAAAGGTATTGTTGCATATTTTATGGTCATAAAGTTTTTTTAATATTATGCTGGAAATTTTTTCTTTTTCCTTTTAGGCCTACAATTCATTTGGAATTGATTACTTTTTGTGTGGTATAATGTAGAAGTCAAGGTTCTCTTCTCTCTGGATATTCTGTTGATTTAGCATAAACACAGTGGCAACTTTTGTTATAAATTAGGTGATTATATAAATAGGTTTGTATCTGGACTCAATACTCATTTGCATCTATCTACTTTTCAATTTGTATTTCAACCATAGGGAAATAAGTTGGTATAACAGACAGTACAAGTCCTTCAACTTTGTTGTTCCTTGCAAAGGTATCTTCACTATTCTTGGTATTTTGCATTTCCAAATAAATTTTATAATCATCCTATCAATTTCTTCAGGCCAAAAAAAAAAAAACAAAAGATATCTTTAGGTATTTTAATTGAAATTGTCTGGGATGCAAAGACCAATTTTAAGAGACGGAGCATTTTTATAATATTCTTGCAGTCTATGTTATACCCTCAATTTATTTAAAATTTCTTTAATGCTTCCCAGAAATATGTTTTACTTTTCTAGAAAGAAGCTTTAGGCATCTTTTATTAGATAATTCCCAATATATTTAATTATTTTGATGTTATTACAAATGTATTCTTTTATTCCATTTTCTAATAGCCTGTTGCTGATATATAGAAGTGGATTTTATTTTTGTATATTGACATTGTATCCAGTGATCTTGCTACATTTATTTATAGTCTTGATAGTTTACATGTTTATTATTTTGGATTTTCTATATAAATAATGTTGTGTCAGGGGTTTTATTTCTTCTGTTTCTCTCATTATTGTATTTTATTGTGTGTGCCAGAATTAGAGTAACAGTGTCTCTAATTTTCTGATATTTTGGGGGATTTTTTTTATTTTACCTTTAAATACGGTGCTTTCTCTCTCTCTCTCCATGTATGTATACACACACATATATATACAATTGACCCTTGAACAACATGGGCATTGGGGTGCACCCCTCCTCATAGAGTCAAATCTTCATGTATAACTTTTGACTCCCCCAAATGTAACTACTTCTTCTTCTTCTTTTTTTATTTTTTACACAGAGTTTCTCTCTTGTTGCCCAGGCTGGAGTGCAGTGACACAATCTGGGCTCACTGCAACCTCCGCCTCCCAGGTTCAAGCGATTCTCCTGCCTCAGCCTCCCGAGTAGCTTCTAATAGACTATCATTGACCAGGAGCCTTAATGATAACAGAAGCAGTTGATTCACATATATTTTGTATGTATGTATTCTGAACTGTATTCTAACAATAAAGTAAACTAGAGAAAAGAAAATGGTATTGAGAAAATTACAAGGAAGAGAATATATATTTACTGTTCATTAAGCAGAAGTGGATCATTATAGCTGTCTTCATCCTCATCATCTTCATGTTGAGTAGGTTGAGGAAGAGGATGAAAAAGAGGGGTTGGTCTTGCTGTCACAGGAGTGGCAGAAGTGAAAGAAAATCTGCATATAATTAGACTCATGTAGTTCCAACTCCTGTTGTTCAAGGGTCAACTGTATCTGTATATACAGTATACACTTATTCTCTGTGTGTGTGTGTGTGTGTGTGTGTGTGTGTGTGTACACAGGGAAAGCCCTCACTTAACATTGTCAGTAGGTTCTTGGAAACTGTGACTTCAAGTGAAACTAAGTGAATAATGTTATTTCAATCAATGTCATTTTGTTATAATGTTCATGAGAAAAAATAGATTTTATTATACATTGTTTTTCTTAAAGTTGCAATTTCCAAGAACTTATCAATGATCCTGGCTATTATTGGCTACCAAAAATTTTTTGGTTAGGGCTTGTTTCAGTTTTGTGTTCTCAAACCAAGAATGGATGCTGAATTTTATCAAATATATTTTATGCATCATATATAATTTTTCTCATTTAGTCTACTAAGTAGTAAGGTACATAACTAATTTTCAACCATGTAAATATGCTTGCAACCTGAAATAAACTATGATTGACTTTTATTTGAGGTGTTGGTTCTTCAAGTTCTGACTGCATTGGTAAATCATTGAGACTACTGTGAACTCTAAGCTTGTGCTTTCTGATGACCAAAAGTCCCAAGAGAAAAATTCCTACAAATGTACAGGTCAACTCAATGTGTTTTGTTATTGAATCTTGTCCAATTGAGTGCCGAGTACTCTTCAGTGCCTTTAAACTCATGTTTTTAGGGCTTTATTTTCTCTTTTTTTGTAAAAATTTTATCTGTCATTTATGGTCTGATTATATCTACATTGTCAAACCTGAAAGCAAAACCTTTAATAATTTATTTTCATATTAAACTTTATAAATTTGGGGGACCAGAAAACTAAATTGTCTCCAATCTAATTTGTGACAGATGCAGTGACAATGTAAGATATATTCTGTTCTTACTCACCCAGAATTTTAAGCTTTCATAAGAGCCATCATCTAGACACCTTCAGAAATCATGTGGCATAAAAATGTTTATACTCAGAAACAGTAAAAGAAATAATAAGCCTCTCAGAGTTTGGGGAACCCTGTTCATATTCTTATCCTACAAAATTCCCTCTTTTTGGAATATTTACCACAAAAGTTGAGAATACCACAAAAGCTGGAGAATAATTGTGTGCTGGTGTGCTTGACTTCCTATTAATTGTCTACAGGTGCCTCTGGACCAGAAAAATTGTCAGCCACTGTAGAATGTCATCATATCCTGGTTTCAGAAATAACATTTACTTTAAATTACTTTGGTATCTCATTTTACACTTTGGGGTACCAACTATGATACAAGACATAGTGCAAGGGTATTTTCTATTCATGCATATGTGAACTGGTATGTAAATACACTGTCACCTTTGCATAAGTGCTTGAATCACAAACACAAAATCTAAAATTGATAGAAATCATATTCTTTAGTCCTTCACATTATATTCATATTAATAATGAATGTGACAGGAACATTATAAATATGCAAAGGAGCAATACATCAGGCTAAACATCATCAGTAATTTGTAGACTTACACTCATAGAAAACCACTAATGGAAAACAGTGCATTTCCTTTTCTATGAATAGTCAAATGCCATGCATAACGTAACAGTACAACTGCTAATAGCAGACTCATGCAGGATCATTTGAACCCGTTATTATGGGCAGGATGAGCTGATCTTTAAAGAGGCCCATAATAAAACACTTCTCTGCCTTTACACTGTCCTGATTGTTCGGTTAACTTTTCCCACCGATCCTGTATTTATAGGAAGCACAAAAATGATTGTTTTGCTGTTTAGGGGTACTTATCATGATCCATGAAATATAGAAAAATGTTGGCCAATGAATACCTAAGAAATCAAAGTTAGAAGTCTCTGAAACATTTACTCAACCTATTTTTAATGTCAGAATATTAGGATATTCTATTGGATATTAATTATCACTATCTGCCCTTACGGTATAAATTACCAAAACAGCACTTGTTTATGTGAAAGATCTTACAAAAATGGTAAGGCTGAGCTGAAAGCATCTGTAAATAAGTAGGGACAGAGGTTTACTTGTTCGAGTTCACAGGATGATTAACACCTAAACAGAGAACAAGTGCTGGAAGCTCTAGAAAAGTGCCCACAGCAACTTACACGGAATTCCTGCTTGATATAAATATCCTGAAGATTTTTCCTCAGGTACTCAATAGTAGATAAAGTATTAAAAATAATACTAGTATTTTAGTTCTGTTTTAGAAACTTAAGAATTTGGGAGTGCCTAAGGTATTCTACACTCTATTCTCGAAGCTAAGAAGCACATTTATAGTGTCTATTTGATCTTTTTATAAGAGTACCATAGAAGAAAATATTGAACTGTAGAATTTTCTCAACCTAGTAGTTTTGGTGTTTTGTATGGAAGATCAAAAAATCATTATTGTATGTCCCTATGGGTATGATATAAACTTTTACCTTTAACATTGGCAATTAGAGAATTTACTTAATATGTGGAATCATAAATATTTAATGTGAAATTTTGCAGTAAATATATAATTACTTTATAATAGTATACATAATATAATTGAACCAAAGCTCTTTTGACAGGAAAATTTAATTTTTAATGTATTAATGAGATAATAATGAATATAATATAGAATTCTAAAGATTACACTTTAATGCAGCTAAAGCAGCTAAGTAGGAAACCTGGAACAAAGAACATGAGACAAATAATGAAAACCAAGATGACTGATATAAATCAAACCATACAGATCATTACACTAAATATTATTCTAAACACTTTAAGGTAGAGATTGTCATATTGGATAAAAATACAAAACCCAACTACGTGCTACCTACAAGAAACTCAATTTAAATATAAAGCCAAAGTAGATAAAAAAGTATAAGCAAAGAAAAAGATGCAGTATCTAAACACTAATCACAAGAAAGTTGGAGTACACTAAATATAAGAAAGCTGGAGTGGCTAAATTAATATCAAGTAGACATCAGAGTGACACTATATTATCAAGCATAAGGAGCATTTCACAATAGAAAAGGGTTAATTCAGAGGGCAGCATAATGTTCTAAATGTTATCAAATATAACAGAGTTTCAAAATGCATAAAGCAACAAATGACAAACATAGATATTAACAATTATATTTAGGATTTCAATTTTCCTCCATCAGTAATGGATAAACAAATAGAAAATCATTAAGTATAGGGAAAACTGGAACAAAAGTATCAAGCATCTTGACTTAGAAAAATCAAACATCAGAATTCCCAGTATTTTCAAATAAAAATTCAGTAAGATAAATAAATCATGAGTGAAAGAAAAAATAAAAAATTACAGTTGCCATGAACTGAGTGACTAAATACAAATTTAAAAATAGCAGATAAAAATCTGTGGGATGAAGATGAAGTTTTGCTTAGAGGGAATTGTATCACTTTAAATATGTATTATAAAAAAGAGAAACATAGAAAATAAGTTATCTAGGCTTCCAAATATTATACAAAGGAAAACAAATTGGATACTATACTATAGTATCCAATAACAATAATAAAAATAAAATATAGCAAATGGGCAAACAATAGAGAAAACTAATATCAGCAAAATTATTTTACTTATAAAATTCTATAAAATTGATAGTCCTTTAGCTAGACCAGTTGTTACTGAGAATTCTACATTGGGGTGGATCCTTTAACCAAGGAGATCAACAGAGCTGAAGCTCTGGAGCAGGAATCTTGGATCTTGTGATAGTGAGCAAACAATTGCAAACTAACACCAAAAGGTGAGCTCAAAGCAGTTTATTGAAGCACAGTAATACACTCTCAGAGGGAGAGCGGATTGATTTCTGTAAAGTGAAATCAGCCCCTCTTTACAAAACTCAAGGTGCTTCTGATACAGGAGGTAAAAAGAAATTATTTAGGCAGATAGTGAGGGCAACGTAGTCCTCAGGCAGAACTTCCCTTCTAACAAAAAGAAGCCCCAAAATCATTTCTTTTCTAACAAAGAGCAGCCTGAAAAATCAAGCTGCAAACATAGATAAGCAAGGTGGAAGCTTGCATGAGGGAATGCTGGCAGCTGTGCCAATAGGAAAGGGCTACTTGGGGGCCAAGCATGTCCAACATGGAGGCTCCATCTTCCCTGTTTTTGTTAACCACGTGTACAGTAAAGAAAAGTGCAACACAGTGCAACTCAGGCAGAGGACCCACTTTCATTATAAAAGATTAGGATGGGGTGGCCAGAAATTTACACCCTATGCAAATGACACACCTAGTCCTAACCAGTTTTTTGTGCCCTATGCGATTGGCACTCCTGGTCCAACTCATCTTTTGCACCCTATGTAAATCAAACACTGCCTTCTTATCAGGCATTTCTAAAACCCCTTGCATTTCACCACAGAGCTAGCAACCATTTTTCTGGCACCCCTCTCTGCAGCAGAGAGCTCTTCTCTTTCTTTCACCCATTAATCTTCCACTCTCAGCCTCACTCTTTGTGTGTCCACATCCTAGTTTTCCATGGCCGTGAGACAACTAATTTCAGGTGTTACTCCAGACATTGAGGCCATTTCACTTTTATGGGGTTTGTGGAGAGGAGTCGAGATTTGGGCTGTGTCTGAGTGACAGGATAATGTTATTTGATTGGCAGTTTATGGTTATATAAATAAAGCTAAACTGTGCATGTTTTTACCTATAATTCATTAAGAAAAGCCCACTGCAGGGTCAACTCGAAAATACAGTTTTAGCTTACTGGGCATGTGCCACTTCAGAGGATTCCACCTGTGCCCTAATTTCTCTTTCTTCAGGAAGTGCTGGCCACAGACTTTACAACAAACTCCATCTGTTAGTGGAGTGAAGGTGGTCTTGGGGCTGAACTAAGGTGGGCCAGGGCCTGTCTTAGTGACAGCCTTTCTATTTTCCTCTTTCACCTCCTCAAAGCTGCTAATGTCTAACTACCTAACACAACTGATACAACAAAAGAGATTACAAGTTATATCATGAACGAAAGAGAAATATTGTGTAAGGAATGGTATAAAATTTTTTCTGCCAATGTTTTCAATAATTTAGATTAGTTGGAAAATTTCTTAGCAAATTACAAAAAAGAGCTAGAGATTGTAAATAAACATATCTATAAAATACATTGCTTTTTAATAAAAATTCACACTAATAAAAAAATATGTCCAGATTACATCCCAGCTGAATTTTATAACACACATAAATAAGAAATAGGAAGTCTATAGCTACTATGAAAAAGTCAAAAAATAACAGATGCCAGTGAGGTTGTGGAGAAAAGGGAACAATTCTACACTGTTGGTGGGAGTGTAAATTAGTTCAACCACTGTGGAAAGCAGTATGGTGATTCCTCAAAGAGCTAAAAGCAAAACTACCATTCAACCCAGCAATCCAATTACTGGATATATACCCAAAGGAATATAAAGCATTCTACCATAAAGACACATGAGCGTGAATGTTCATTGCAGCACTATTCACAATAGCAAAGATATGAAATCAGCCTAAATGCCCATCAATGACAGACTAATAAAGAAAATGTGATACATATACACCATGGAATGTTGTTCAGCCATAAAAAGGAATGACAATATGTCTTTTATGAGAACATGAGTGGAGCTGGCTACCATATTTGGCAAACCAACACAGGAACAGAAAACAAAATATCACATGTTCTCACTTAAAAGTGAAGGCCGAATGATAAGAACTTATGAACACATAGAAGGAAACACCAGACACTGGGGTCTTCCTGAGGGTGCAGGGTGGGAGGAGGGAGAGGAGCAGGAAAGATAACTGCTGGATACTGAGCTAAATACCTGGGTGATGTAATAATGCTTACAAAAATACACTATGACATGTGCTTTTTTTTAGTTATTTAATGACTTTATTTCTTTTTTTTATTATTATACTTTAAGTTCTGAGATAATGTGCAGAAGGTGCAGGTTTGTTACATAGGTATACATGTGCCATGGTGGTTTGCTGCACCCATAAACCCATCATCTACATTAGGTATTTCTCCCAATGCTATCCTTACCCTTGCCTCCCACCCCTCACAGGCCCAGATGTGTGATATTCCCCTCCCTTTGCCCATTAAGTTCTCCTGTTCAATTCCCACTTATGAGTGAGAACATGTGGTGTTTGGTTTTCCGTTCCTGTGTTAGTTTGCTGGGAATGATGGTTTCCAGCTTCATCCATGTCTCTGCAAAGGACATGAACTCATTCTTTTTATGGCGGCATAGTATTCCATGGTGTATATGTGCCACAATTTCTTTATCCATTCTAACGCTGATGGGCATTTGGTTTGGTTCCAAGTCTTTCTATTGTGAATAATGCTGCAATAAACATATGTGTGCAGTGTGCATGTGTCTTTATAGTGGAATGATTTATAATCTTTTTGGTATATACCTAGTAATGGGATGGCTGGGTCAAATGGTATTTCTGGTTCTAGATCCCTGAGAAATTGCCATGCTGTCTGTTGAACTAATTTACAATCCCACCAACGGTATAAAAGTGTTCCTATTTCTCCACATCCTCTCCAGCATCTGTTGTTTCCTGACTTTTTATTGATTGCCGTTCTAATTGGCATGAGATGATATCTCATTGTGGTTTTGATTTGCATTTCTCTAATGATGATGGGCTTTTTTTCATATATTTGTTTGCCACATAAATGTCTTCTTTTGAAAAGTGTCTGTTCATATCCTTTGCCCACTTTTTGATGGTGTTTTTTTTCCTTGTAAATTGTTTAAGTTCATTGTAAATTCTGGGTATTAGCCCTTTGTCAGGTGGATAGATCACAAAAATTTTCTCCCATCCTGTAGGTTGCCTGTTCACTCTGATAATAGTTTCTTTTGCTGTGGAGAAGCTCTTTAGTTTAGTTAGATCCCATTTGTAAATTTTGACTTTTGTTGCCATTGCTTTTGGTGTTTTAGTCATCTAGACTTTGCCCATGCCTATGTCCTGAATGGTATTGACTAGGTTTTCTTCTAGGGTTTTTATGGTTTTAGGTCTTACACTTAAATCTTTAATCCATCTTCAGTTAATTTTTATATAAGGTATAAGGAAGGGGTCCAGTTTCAGTTTTCTGCATATGGCTAGCCAGTTTTCCCAACACCATTTCTTAAATAGGGAATCCTTTTCCCATTGCTTGTTTTTGTTGGTTTTGTGAAAGATCAGATGGTTGTAGATGTGTGGTGGTATTTCTGAGGCCTCTGTTCTGTTCCATTGGTCTATATGTCTGTTTTTGTACCAGGACCATGCTGTTTTGTTTACTGTAGGCTTGTAGTATAATTTGAAGTCAGGTAGCGTTATGCGTTCAGTTTTGTTCCTTTTGTTTAGGATTGTCTTGGCTATATGGGTTCTTTTTTGGTTCCATGTGAAATGTAAAGTTTTTTTTCTACTTCTGTGAAGAAAGTCAATGGTAGCTTGATGGGAATAACATTGAATCTATAAATTACTTTGGGCAGTATGGCCATTTTCAGAATATTGATTCTTTCTATCTATGAGCATGGAATATTTTTCCTTTTTTTGTGTCCTCTCTTATTTCCTTGAGCAGTGGTTTGTAGTTCTCCTTGAAGCTGTCCTTCTCATCCCTTGTAAGTTTTATTCCTAGATATTTTATTCTCTTTGGAGCAATTGTGAATGGGAGATTGCTCATGATTTGGCTCTCTATTATTGGTGTATAGGAATGCATGTGATTTTTGCACACTTACTTTGTATCCTGAGACTTTGCTGAAGTTGCTTATCAGCTTAAGGAGTCTTTGGGCTGAGATGATGGGGTTTTCTAAACATACAATCTTGTCATCTGCAAAGAGAGATAATTTGACTTCCTCTCTTCCTATTTGGATACCCTGTATTTCTTTCTCTTGTATGATTGCCCTGGCCAGATCTTCCAATACTATATTCAATAAAAGTGGTGAGAGAGGGCATCCTTGTCATTGCGAGTTTTCAAAGGGAATGCTTCCAGCTTTTGCCCGTTCAGTATGATATTGGCTGTGTGTTTGTCATCAATCGCTCTTATTATTTTTGAGATATGTTCCATCAATACCTTGTTTATTGAGTGTTTTTAGCATGAAGGGGTGTTGAATTTTATTGAAGGCCTTTTCTGCATCTATTTGGATAATCATGTGTTTTTTGTCATTGGTTCTGTTTATGTGATGGATTACGTTTATTGATGTGTGTATGTTGAACCATCCATGCATCCTAGGGATGAAGATGACATGTTCGTGTTGGATAAACTTTTCAATGTGCTGCTGGATTCAATTTGCCAGTATTTTATTGAAGATTTTCACATCGATGTTGATCGGGGATATTGGCATGAAATTTTCTTCGTTTGTTGTGTCTCTGCCAGGTTTTGCTATCAGGATAATGCTGTCCTCATAAAATGAGTTAGGGAGGAGTCTCTCTTTTTCTTTTGTTTGGCATAGTTTCAGAAGGAATGGTACCAGCTCCTCTTTGTACCTTTGGTAGAATTTGTCTGTGAATCTGTCTGGTCTTGGGCTTTTCTTGGTTGGTAGGCTGTTACTGCCTCAATTTCAGAACTTGTTATTGGTCTATTCAGGGATTCAACTTCTTCCTGGTTTAGTCTTGGGAGAGAGTTTGTGTCCAGGAATTTATCAATTTCTTCTAGATTTTCTAGTTTATTTGTGTAGAGATGTTTATAGTATTCTCTGATGGTTGTTTGTATTTCTGTGGGATCAGTGGGATATCCCCTTTATCATTTTTTATTGTGTCTATTTGATTCTTCTCTCTTTTCTTCTTTATTAATCTGGCTGGTGGTTTTAATCTTTTCAAAAAGCAGCTCCTGGTATGATTGATTTTTTGAAGGGTTTTTCCTGTCTCTGTCTCCTTCAGTTCTGCTCTGATCTTAGTTAATTCTAGTCTTCTGCTAGCTTTTGAATTTGTTTGCTCTTGCTTCTCTAGTTCTTTTAATTGTGATGTTAGGGTGTTGATTTTAGAATTTTCCTGCCTTGTCCTGTGGACATTTAGTGCTATACATTTCCTTATAAACACTACTTTAGCTGTGTCCCTGACATTCTGGTACGTTGTGTCTTTGTTCTCATTGGTTTCAGAGAACTTATTTATCTCGGCTTTAATTTCATTATTTACCCAGTAGTCATTCAGGAGCAGGTTATTCAGTTTCCATGTCGTTGTGTGGTTTTGAGTGAGTTTCTTAATCCTGAATTCTAATTTGATTGCACTGTGGTCTGAGAGGCGGTTTGTTATGATTTCCATTCTTTTGCATTTGCTGAGGAGTGTTTTACTTTCAATTATGTGGTCAATTTTAGAATAAGTACGATGTGGTGCTGAGAAGAACGTATCTACTGTTGATTTGTGGTGGAGAGTTCTGTAGATGTCTGTTAGGTCCGCTTGGCCCAGAGCTGAGTTGAATTCCTAAATATCCTTTTTAATTTTCTGTCTCATTTGTCTGTCTAATATTGACAGTGGGATGTTAAAGCCTCCCACTATTATGTGGGAGTCTAAGTCTCTTTGTAGGCTCTATGAACTTACTTTATGAATCTGGGTGCACCTGTATTGGGTGCATATATATTTAGGATAGTTAGTTCTTCATGTTGCATTTATTCCTTTACCATTATGTAATGCCCTTCTTTGTCTCTTTTGATCTATGTTGATTTAAAGTCTGTTTTATCAGAGACTAGGATTGCAACCCCTGCATTTTTTGCCTTTCCATTTGCTTGATAAATCTTCCTCCATCCCTTTATTTTGAGCCTGTGTGTGTCTTTGCACATGAGATGGGTATCCTGAATACAGCACACTGATGGGTCTTGACTCTTTATCCAATTTGCCAGTCTGTGCCTCTTAATTGGGCCATTTAGCCCACTTGTATTTAAGGTTAATATTGTTATATGTGAATTTGATTCTGTCATGATGATGTTAGCTGGTTATTTTGCCCATGAGTTTATGCAGTTTCTTCATAGTGCTGATGGTCTTTGCATTTTGGGTTGTATTTGTGGTGGCTGGTACAGGTTTTTCCTTTCCATGTTTAGTGCCTCCTCCAGGAGCTCTTGTAAGGCAGGCCTGGTGTTGACAAAATCCCTTAGCATTTGCTTGTCTCTAAAGGATTTTATTTCTCCTTCACTTTTAAAGCTTAGTTTGGCTGAATATAAAATTCTGGGCTGAAAATTCTTTTCTTTAAGAATGTTGAATATTGGTCCCCACTCTATTCTGGCTTGTAGGGTTCTGCTGAGAGATCCACTGTTAGTCTGATGGGCATCCCTTGTGAGTAACCCAACCTTTCTCTCTTGCTGCCCTTAACATTTTTTCCTTCATTTCAACCTAGGTGAATCTGATAATTATGTGTCTTGGGGTTGCTCTTCTCGAGGAGTATCTTTGTGGTGTTCTCTGTATTTCCTGAATTTGAATGTTGGCCTGTCTTGCTAGGTTGGGGAAGTTCTCCTGGATAATACCTCAAGTGTGTTTTCCAACTTGGTTCCATTCTCCCTGTCACTTTCAGGTACACCAATCAAACGTAGGTTTGGTCTTTTCACATAGTTCCACATTTCTTGGAGGCTTTGTTAGTTCCTTTACATTCTTTTTCCTCTAATCTTGTCTTCACACTTTATTTCATTAAGTTAATCTTCAATCTCTGACATCCTTTCTTTCACTTGATCAATTCAGCTATTGATACTGTGTATGCTTTATGAATCCTCGTGCTGTGTCATTCAGCTCTGCCAGGTCATTTATGTTCTTTTCTAAACTGGTTATTGTAGTTAGCAATTCCTCTAACCTTTTATCAAGGTTCTTGGCTGCCTTGCATTGGGTTAGAACATGCTCCTTCAGCTCAGAGGAGTTTGTTATTACTCAGCTTGTGAATCCTACTTCTGTCAATTTGTCAAACTCATTTTCCATCCAGTTTTGTTCCCTTGCTGGCGAGGAGTTGCAATCTTTGGAGAAGAGGCATTCTGGTTTTTGGAATTTTCAGCCTTTTTGCTCTGGTTTTTCCACATCTTCGTGGATTTATCTGCCTTTGTTCTTTGCCGTTGATGACCTTCAGATGGAGTTTTTGCATGTTCGTCCTTTTTGTTGATGTTGATGCTATTGCTTTGTTTGTTTTCCTTCTAACAGTCAGGTCTCTCTGCTGCAGTTCTGCTGGATTTTGCTGGGCGTCCACTCCAGACCCTGCTTGCCTGGGTATCATCAGTGGAGGCTGCAGAACAGCAAAGATTGCTGCCTGCTTTTTCCTCTGGAATTTTCATCCCAGAGGGGCACCCACCAGATGCTAGCCGGAGGTCTCCCGTATGAGGTGTCTGTCAACTCCTCCTGAGAGGTGTCTCCAATAAGGAGGCATGGGGTCAGGGAACCACTTGTGGAGGCAGTCTGTCCCTTAGCAGAGCTCGAGTGCTGTGCTGTCTCCAGAGCCCACAGGCAGGAATGTTTAAGTTTGCTAAAACTGTACCCACAGCCAACCCTCCCCACCAAGTGCTCTGTCCCAGAGAGATGGGAGTTTTATCT
This sequence comes from Homo sapiens, assembly GCF_000001405.40. Classification (NCBI taxonomy): domain Eukaryota; kingdom Metazoa; phylum Chordata; class Mammalia; order Primates; family Hominidae; genus Homo; species Homo sapiens. The sequence continues at coordinate 60,235,183 of NC_000012.12, read as the reverse complement.
ATAAGCTCCTGACTGGGGCTGCTGCCTTTCTTTCAGAGATGCCCTGCCAAGAGAGGAGGAATCTAGAGAGGCAGTCTGGCTACAGCCACTTTGCGGGGCTTTTCGGCTCTGCCCAGTCCGAACTTCCCAGTGCCTTTGTTTACACTGTGAGGGGAAAACTGCCTACTCAAGCCTCAGGAATGGCAGAAGCCCCTCCCCCCACCCAGCTGGAGCGTCCCAGGTCAACTTCATGCTGCTGTGCTGTCAGTGAGAATTTCAACCCAGTGGATCTTAGCTTGCTGGGCTCCATGGGGGTGGGATCTGCTGAGCTAGACCACTTGGCACCCTGCCTTCAGCCCGCTTTCCAGGAGAGTGAACGGTTCGGTCTTGCTGGCATTCCAGGCACCACTGGGGTATGAAAAAAAAACTCCTGCAGCTAGCTCGATGTCTGCCCAAGTGGCCATACAGTTTTGTGGTTGCAACCCAGGGCCCTTGTGGTGTAGGCACCTGAAGGAATCTCCTGGTCTGTGGGTTGCAAAGACCATGGGAAAAGTGTAGTATCTGGGCCAGATAGCACCGTCCCTCACGGCACAGTCCCTCATGGCTTCCTTTGGCTATGGGAGGGAGTTCCCCGACCCCTTACACTTCCTGGGTGAGGCAACGCCCTACCCTGCTTCAGCTCACCCTCCGTGGGCTGCACCCACTGTCTAACCAGTCCCAGTGAGATGAACTGGGTGCCTCAGTTGGAAATGCAGAAATCACCTGCCTTCTGCGTTGGTCTTGTTGGGAGCTGCAGACCCGAGGTGTTCCTATTCAGCCATCTTGTCCAGTAATAAAAAAGACATGTGTTTATCTATGTAACAAACCTTAACATGTACCCCCAAACCAAAAATAAAAATTTAAAAACAAATACCAATTTTATATAACTTTCCAGAAAATAGAGAAAGAAGGGCCATCTATGACAAGATACTTTTGAGGGCAGTAATCCATTCTCCAAAGCCCGACAACAACAATAAAATTAAAGAATAGGTTCCATGGAAATTTTACTCAAGATTATAGATGCAGAAACTTTAACAAATTAACAGCAAATGGAGACCAGTGACATATAAAAAAGCATAGTGCATGGATGTAAGACAGGTATAACACTTGAAAATTAATTAACGTGATTAGCAATATGAGCAAAATAAATGAGAATATAATATGAAGATCTCAATGCAGGAAAGATATTTTTAAAATGAATAGTCATTCGTGATAAAAACTCTTATTTATAGGAACAAAATAAAGACTCCAGAAGCAGAATCGTATGGATATGATAAATCATTTTGTTTTTGTTTTTTACAAAGGAGCCAAATGGCAGAAGCAAAGTTTTTTCAACAAGTAACACTGTAACAATTGCATTTCTGTATGGATTACCTTTAAAACCAGAGCAATTAGACAAAAAGCAGATTTCTAAAAAGTAAAAAAAGGCTAACCCTTACCTTATATCCAAGATAACTATGAATTAAGTTTTCAGTTGAGCTTAAGACATTTTCAGACAAATAAACAATTTAAAAAATTACTGCCAACAGAAACATGTATACACACTTCTAAATTTCAAAATATTCAGTTTCCCTTATTGTATGAATCCCACATTACTATGTTACATTTTTCACAACTAATGGATCAATACTGATCTTTAATATTAACTAAACTTCATATTTTATGGATAGTTCATTGATTTTTCTCTGATGATGTTTTTCTGTTTCAGGATTCCATCCAGGAAGCCATTAAAATATTTACATTAGCTGATTTAAATTAGTCTAGAAATTCCAGAGATTGCTGAGGGACACTTTCTATTGACTGCTCTTCTTCCCTGTGTGTATGGGCCAGACTTTTGTGTTTCTTTGTATGTTATGTATTTTGGGGTGTTATTGAAAATGTACCTTTTAAACAGTATAATGTGTGAATTCAAAATTACATTCCTTGCAAAGAGTTGGTTTTTGTTGTTATTACTGTTTGTTTAGTATCTTCCATTAACAACTTCTGTAATTTCTGTATCCTTTGTCATGTGTAGTTACTGAAGTCTTCGCTTAGTTAGCATAGTGTTCATTTAATAAGTAGACAGAGATCTCCTTAAGTGCCCTGAACCCATAAATCTCCCAGCTTCTGCCAAGAGACTCTTTGTGTATTTCAGCATGTTTTCAATGTTCCGTCCACAATCTTTTTGGCCCCAGGGACTGGTTATGTGGAGGATAGCTTTTCTATGGGGAGGGGCATGGTTTTGGGATGAAACTATTCCACCTCAGGCATTAGATTCTCATCAGGCATTAGATTCTTACAGGGAGCACACAACCTAGATCTTTCACATGTGCAGTTCACAATAGGGTTCCTGCTTCTATGAGAATCTAATGCCAGCACTGATCTAACAGAAGGCAGAACTCAGGCAGTAATGCTCCCTTGCCCACCACTGACCTCCTGCTGTGCAGCTCAATTCCTAACAGGTCATGGAGAGGTACCCATCGGCAGCCTAAGGGTTGGGGACCCCTGCTCTAGTAGGCGGTTTACAAGTCTATCTTTGTGTTCACTTCCTGCCTCCAGAGAGCCTCAATGTCAGCTAGAATGGAGAAAAGTGGCTCATCTCAAGTCTTTCCTGAGCAGGCACACAGCCCTACACATGAAAATTGCCTTCTAAATTCCCAGGAATGTGCCCAAGCTTTTCAAAGTCCTATATGGACATTTAATTCCCTGGCTTTTCTTTTAAGTTCAGTTATTTTCTTCTTTGTTCCAACTGTTACCATTGCCTCTTGCAACTATAATTTAAATAAATATTGCTAATCGTTTTTTTACAAATATGCTATCAAAAGGCTGTTTCAAGAGAGTATGTGCTGAGTCAGGTTAAGTACAGGTAAGTCCTTTATATGTATAAGGATTTCAAATAAACTGCAAGACAGATAAAATAATGACAAATATCAGAGCGTGGGCTTCTGGGGAGTAGCCTTAAATACGTTTTGTCTCCTTGAGAATTTAATATGAGGTTGAAGGTTTCTCTGTGAGGCTCTTGGTTTTCAACGTTATTGTGGAGCCGGGAGAAGAGTGATGTAATTAGATAGGATAAAGTGACACAAAATTCACTGATCTTGTCAATATTCAGCCAGTTTCTTGAATAAATGTTCCTCATATTCTTGCAAGCTCCTTGTTTATTTCCAAAAACCTGGAAAGTGCATTTTTAAAATATTTGCCTGTATTCATTTTGCCTTTATGGAAGAATAAATAGTCAGAGGTCCTTACTCTACTTCTTTAGAAGTGGCTCTCCCTTGGTTCTATTTATTGGAGAATAATAATAAAAGCCAGGGTCTGGACATTGGGTATAAAAATTCTCTTTTAAACATAAACTTAAGAAATTCAGTATAGAGAAAGGAAGGAAGGGATGATATGCAAATAGGATTTGAGAATTATAAATGTATAATTGAGAATATTATATTCATAAAACAATAATAATACTTCTGATTGATTGACTAGAGGTTTTGGTAGGTTTCATCACTGGCCCAAATTTTCCTTTAGCTCTATTGTCATGGCTACATAGATGGTTTAATACACAGTATTATTCCACTTTCAAGACCAAAGTAATTATTTTTCCAGATGCCAGAAATGCTACATTCTAACAGCCCTCAGCCTTCAGCCGTATCTGGGAGTTGTCCCTGGGTAGAGTAAGCTGCTTTGCCTAACGCCATACCGCATTCCTAGAGAGTTTTGCATGCAATTACTGACAAATGCAAAGGTATAAAATCTAGCCACCAATTCCAAACTGGGACACATGAAAAGAGCCTGCTCACATTGTGAGTTCCTCATGGGTTCTGGTGAGAACTTTGTTGATACTGCCACACAGTCCAAATTCTTCCTCTCTCCAGGTATTCTCCCTTTAATTTCTTCACAGATATACAAGAGCACCCCCTGATAAGCTTAATGAATGCTACTCTCTGTCTCAGAGCCTGCTTCCTAGTTAATTTGAGTGATAACATGCCCTTTGCTACGTACTCTCTGAGAAGCAGACATCAAGACAGAATTAAATGAGCAAGGGTTTTATTAAGTTAAATGCTAGTGGGAAAAAATGGAGAGAGACCCTGTAAAATCATGTACAGTTATCAGCTCTCAGTGGAAATCTACATCCAAGTCAAAGAAAAAGGAAAGAATATTTGAGTGAAAAACTTAGGGACCATAGGACGATTTAAAGTTTGACAAAGTCACTTAGATTCTTTAAATCAAAGTCAGATTTTAAAAGAGTCCTATGCCTCTCAGGAATTGGCTTGCTTTAGCACCCCTTCTTTAAGATATATTTCTTGGTCGGGCGCAGTGGCTCACGCCTGTAATCCCAGCACTTTGGGAGGCCGAGGCGGGCGGATCACGAGGTCAGGAGATTGAGACCATCCTGGCTAACACGGTGAAACCCCGTCTCTACTAAAAATACAAAAAAAAAAAAAAAAAAGCCAGGCATGGTGGCAGGTGCCTGTAGTCCCAGCTACTCAGGAGGCTGAGGCAGGAGAATAGTGTGAATCCGGGAGGCGGAGCTTGCAGTGACCCGAGATCGCGCCACTGCACTCCAGCCTGAGTGACAGACCTAGACTCCATCTCAAGAAAAAAAAATTAAAAAAATAAAAAATAAAAATAAATAAATAATTTCTTAACTTGTTTAATTCTCTTAATTTGTTTAATTCTCACAACAAATCTTGGAGATAGATGTTCAAGTATCCTGCTTTATTAATGAGGAATAGTTTCACAGGAACGTTATTTGCCCAAACTTACCCAACCTATGAGTTGCAAAGCCAGTTTAAACTAACACGATTGGTCTCAGTTCTTGTATTCCTAAGAACTATACTTCAATGACACTGAGTCACTTCATATACTTGGAATTCTTTGACGAGCAATAAGACGAGGTCACTCTAAGCAGGATCCTGAAATCCTTCCACAATTACTTACTGTAAATTGTTCTCCCAGCCTTTTCATAAAGAAACATAAGACTATTTCCAGAATGACTGTGTACTGGGTAAAGAGAAATTCCAAAGTTTCAAGGTGTTTAAACACAGGCTTGGAATTGACTCAGTCACCAAATAACATTAATATTTCATACTCTCATGAGGACTGTAAATTAGGAAAGATTATGTGGAAGCCTCTGAAAGTTCTCTACCTTACCAGAATAGCAATAAAAAAAAATAAAAAATATCACTGTGTCCTTGAGAGACCTGTAGTAGTAATAGATTAGTAGTATTACAGATTCTAAAGAAGAACAGAGGGGTGATTAGGAGAAGGGAAATAACACTAATAGTGTAAATGTTGAATTTGTTGAACAATTATCCCAAAGACACATATTCAACCTGAATTTTTGTTGTTGTTATTTGTGTTAAATCAGAAGCCTCTATTACATTTATTTGGTAAGGTGAAGTGTTTTATCAAACTTTCTATGCCCTTCTTATTTCCTACCCAACTCCACACCAGATGCAGTAAATTCCTATAATGTTATGTTGTCTTAGTATCCATTTTAATATAAGTTGGACTTTCTGATACTGAAAGCAGGATTTAGTCCTGTGCAGGCTCTTGATAGACATCTATGACATGTCTGTTATTATTCTTAAGGGAATATGAGTAAATTAGCCAATTTACTCAGAGCTGAGAGGCCAGGTAAGATGAGAAAGTTTTATTTTACTAAGAACTAGGCAGAGTTTTAGGATTTGCCACTGTTTTTCTTAGAAAGCATCAGCCTATTTTGGTGCACAAATTATATATGCATTCATTCATACACATTCACATTTATTTATATATTCTTCAAAGGCTGAATTAACTTTATTGATAAACAGTTTAGGCACTAGCTAGATGCCATTAGGCATCAATTACAATTCTACAAGGATCTAGCAAAGATTTACAGTCACAATTAATGGCATGTCAAATTGTTGGAAGAAAGGTATTGATGTTCAATAATAAAGCAATCAGATTCTCAGAAGGCCAGATAGTTTGAACATCTTTCAAAAATGTCATTTATATAAGCTGACATGCAAAATTCTCCCATATTTCAAAAACAAATGGTGGAAGTATCAAAATAAATATATTTATCTTTGTGTCTTTGTTTTGCAGTGCCAGAAAAATACAGAATACGGGTGAATATTTTAAGACAATCATCTCAATTTTTGGCAACATATTGCCAACTATTTAGAAATATTTGATTTGGTACTGTGTGGTAATACAAAAGTGTGATATTAATAATTTACATCCAGATGTTGTGGTTTCATCTGATAACAATCTCTTGTAGCAAGCTGACTTCTAAGATGGTGCCCAATGACCCCTACTTCCTACTGTTTTCATGCTTGTGTAATCCTCTTCATCTGATTGTTGGCTCTACTTAGTGATTTAATTTTAACCAAGGTAATATGACAAAAGTGATGAGATTTCACTCCTGTAATTAGGATATAAGAGATTGTAATTTCTATCTTTCTTCCTGGCTTTGCTGAAGCAATCTGCCATGTTGGGAAGGCCCATGTAGCAAGGAAGTGAGAATGGGCCACTCACCAATGAGGAACTAAGTCTCCCAATTTAACAGCTCTCAAGGAGCTGGCCCAGTGGACAACCACGTAAGTAAATGTCAAAGCAGATTTCTACCCGGTAGAACTTTCAGATGAGTCCTTAGTTCTAGAAAATGCATTGATTGCACTCTTTTGAAAGACTCTGAAGCAGAAGGCCTATCTAAATTTGGCCTTTATTCCTGATCCACAGAAATTAGGAAATAATAAACATGTGTTGCTTTTGTTGTTTTATTGTGGTAAAAAATATATATATATAATGTTTATCTTTTTAACCATTCATAAGTGTACAATTAGATGGCATTATATACATTCACAATGTTGTGAATTACTACTATTGATATGGTTTGGCTGTGTCTCCACCCAAATCTCATCTTGAATTGTAGTTTCCATAATCCATATGTGTCATGGGAGAGAACTGGTGGGAGGTAATTGAATCATGGGGGTGTTTACCTCCATGCTGTACTGTGATAGTGAATGAGTTCTCATGAGATATAGTGATTTTATAAGGGGCTTTTCCTCCTTTTGCTGGGCACTCCGCCTTACTGTTGCCATCTGAAGAAGGACGTGTTTGCTTCCCCTTCTGCCATGATTGTATGTTTCTTGAGGCTTCCCTAGCCATGCTGAACTGTGAGTCAGCTGAACCTCTTTCCTTTATAAATTACCTAGTCTCAGATGTGTTTTTATCAGCAGTGGGAGAGTAGACTAACACAACTATTTAAATCCAAAATTGTTTTTATCATCCTTCAAAAAAGTTGGTACCCATTAAACAATAAATCCTCCTTACCCCTGATATCCCAGTAACTTTTTTTTTTTTTTGAGACGTAGTATCACTCTGTCGCCCAGGCTGGAGTGTAGTGGCATGATCTCGGCTCACTGCACCCTCTGCCTCCTGGATTCAAGCAATTCTCCTGCCTCAGCCTCCTGAGTAGCTGGGACTACAGGTGTGTACCACCACGCCCAGCTAATTTTTGTATTTTTGGTAGAGACAGAGTTTCATCATGTTGGCCAGGCTGGTTTCAAACTCTTGACCTCAGGTGATCCACCCGACTTGGCCTCCCAAAGTGCTGGGATTACAGGCATGAGCCACTGCGCTCGGAACTTCTATTCTACTGTTTCTATAAATTTGCCTATTATAGGTACCTCATATAAGAGGAATTATACAGTATTTATCCTCTATGTCTGGCTTATTTCACTAAACATGATTTCATCTTCCATCTATGTTGTACTGTGTTAAACTTTAATTATTTTTTATGGCTGGGTAATATTCCATTATATGTATATATCATATTTATCTTTTCATCCATTAATGGATACTTGGGTTGTTTTCATTTTTTGAATACAGTAAATAATTTTGCTATGAACATCAGTGTACAAACAATTTAATGCATTTGTCTTTTAAAGCATATAGAAAATAAAAAGTACAGTTAAGTGCAAAATTGCAATAATGTAGATTTTTTAATTATCCCAGGTTAGCCTTTACTGGAGACCATTACTTTTAATAATGCTTTTAAATACTGTTTGCTACCTTTTCATTTGAACCTAAAGGACTCCCTTTATAATTTCCTGCCAAGAAGGTCTAGTGGTAATAAACTCCCTCACCTTTTATCTGGGACATCATCATTTCTCCCTTATTTTTAAAGGATAGTTTTTCTAAATATAGGATTCTTAGTTGAAAGACTTTCTTTAGGCAATTTGAATATATCAACCTACTTTCTAGCCTCCAAGATTTCTGATGGGAAATAAACTGTGAACCAGTTGTAGATGATGAAACAATTCTCTCTTACTCCTTTCAAAATTTTATTTTATTTTATTTTTTCTTTCTTTCGTTTGGCTTTCTGAAGTTTGATTATAATGTGTCCGAATGTGAGTCTCTTTGAGTTTATGCTACTTGGAATTTGTTGAGCTTCTTACATTTGTAGATTCATGTCTTTTGTCAAAAATTTAAGAAGTGTTCAGCTATTATTTTTTCAAAGATCCTTTGTGCCCTCTCATTTTTTTTTTACTTTTCTGCTGATATTCTTACAGTGTTTGTTAATTCTTGAGTTATCTCCCAAGTCCTTTAGGCTTTGTTTGCTTTTTTTATTCATATCTTCTTTCTCTTCCTTAGATTTCAATTTCCATTTTCCTATATTCAAGTTTGTCAGTTCTTTCTTCTGTATGCTCAGAACTGCTTTTGAAACTCTCTGATGCAATTTTCATTTCTGTTCTTGCTCTTTTCATAATATTTTTAGCCCTTTTTATAATGTTTCACTCTTTATTGAGTTCTCGTTTTGTTTACACATTGTCTTCCTGTCTTTGTCCATGCCCTCCTTTATCTCTTTGAGCATTTTTAAGACAGCTACTTTAAAGTCTTTGTCTAATAAGTTCAATGACTGAACTTCTTTAGGTACATTCTCTGTTGATTTATTTTGATCCCTTGAATGAGCCGTTTTTTCTCTTTCATTATATGTCTTGTGACTTTTGTTGAAAATTGGAAATTTAACTCTTTTATGTAGAATCTGAAAATTGAATCTTCCTGATGTTAGTGTTATTATTTTTAATTATTGTAGGGTATCTCTGTGCTGAGCCTATCAATCTGAGGTGAAAACTTAAGGTCTTCTCAGGTTTTTTCTGAGCTGAATCTTTTTATAGGCATATGTGGTATTTTCTAAATACTCCCATGTTTGTGTTCATTTCTGAATGTCTCAAATCGAAAAATGTTCTGTTGCTTTAAATCTCCTGTAAGTTGTTTCAGCTGGTAAATGTCAACAATGGCAGCCCACCGCTGTGTATACACCTCTGCAATCAGAAACAACAATCTGGCCGAGTGTGGTGGCTCATGGTAATACCAGCACTTTGAGGGGCCGATGCAGGTGGATCTCTTGAGGCCAATGCAGGTGCATCTCTTGATGTCAGGAGTTTGAGACCGGCGTGGCCAACACGATGAAACCCCATCTTTACCAAAAATATAAAAATTAGCCGGGCTGGTGGCATGCACCTGTAGTCCCAGCTACTCGGAAGGCTGAGGCAGGAGAATAGCTTGAACCCAGGAGGTGGAGGTTGCAGTAAGTGGAGATCGTGCCACTGCACTGCAGCCTGGGACAGTGAGACTCTGTCTCAAGAAAGAAAAAAAGAAAGAAAAGAAACAGCAATCTATAACCTGAACACAGAACACCAAGATCTGAAGAACTTGTTCCTTATTGTTCACCTGGCTCCAGTAGACTTCAACAGAGACTATGTTTTTGCCCCCAAGGCTGCCTGCCACAGGCTGCAGGGGTGGTATGATAGATAGCAGTGCCACTCTGATTGGTACAATTGACAGAAATAAATTGCACTTTACCATGCAAGTTGTCCTTTTAATGCTGAAATGTATAAAAATATTCCAGAGCTTTCAATAATCACTTCAGACGATTTTTGACAATTTATTTGTTGTAAAAATTGAGAGATGGATTTCTGATGCTTCATCCTTCACTGTTTTTCTCTACTGTTAATAAAATATGTGTTGTTTTAAGCCACTAATTTAAAGTAACTTGTTATGTAGCTGATACAGTTTGAATATTTTTCCCCTCCAAATCTCTTGTTGAAATGTAATCCCAGTGTTGGAGGTGGGGCCTGATGGGAGGTGTTTGGGTCATGGGAGTGGATTCTTCATGAATGGCTTGGTGCCCTCCGTGCAGTAATGGGTGAGTTCTTGCTCTATGAATTTATGCAAGATTTGGTTCTTTAAAAGATCCTGGCATCTCTTTCTTGCTCTCTCTCTCTTGCTCCCTGTCTCACTATGTGGCAAGCCTCTCCCCCTTTGCCTTCTGCCATAAAGTTTCCTGAGGCTTTGCCAGAAGTTAAGCAGTTGCTGATACAATGCTTGCATAGCCTAAAAAACGGTGAGCCAAATAAATCACTTTTCTTTATTAATTACCCAGGCTCAGGTATTTATTTATAGCAATGCAAAATGGGCTAATATAGTAGTAATAGATACTTAACACATTTATGAATAGAAATTCAGTTGGATTCAATAAGTAGATATGTAAATAACATTATGTTGCTAAAAATGTGTTGGCTTTAAGAAGAAATATGCGAGAAATATATTAAGTTCTTAGAAGAATGTTTATATAGAACCAATAGTGGATTCAGATATAAATAAATGGTATAGTCAACCTTCCTGATTGCATCAAAAATCAATGTGTATGCTTAAAGTAGCCTTAGTCTCTTCATATCCAAAATTAGCATGAAGGGTTATCTAATAAAACCTTGAGACTTGACTGGTTCTGGTAGAGAAAAGAGCAGCCTGGGATACTTAAAATATAATGATTTCATTTTTATTGTATAATTTCTACTTAACTCCTTCTCACTTATACTATAGTTGCCTAGAAATATCCTTTTATTCAGAATCTTTGAAATATGGTTAGTTGCTAGAAAAGTTGGACAATATATATCCATCTGTGCGTTTGTTGACTCAGTAATATTATGAAGCACTTAAGACATGCAAGCCACTATGTTGAGAATTCTGGTAGAATTAGTTGACAAATAGATGGTGTCTGCCCACAAAATGTAATTAACAACTTAGAATATAATATTTATTTGTATTTGTCTAGTAAATTGTGCCATGTTATTGGAAGAAACATTGAGGGGCAGTACTCCCACATACCTAAAACAATTCTGATAACCTAAAAATTGTATGGAAGGTATTGCAACAAACAGCAACTTTTCAAATCTCTATTTTCTCATGATAAAACTATACAAGCATTTGCATCAACACTTTATGTGTATAAAGGATTGAATTGCAATGCTTCTTTATTTCTGCCTTCTAATAAATTATTTCTATTATCTCAGTATTTTCATAATCAATAGCATAGGAATTTTACTGCCAAGTTGTAACTGGGACTCAACAAGATTTATCAGAACATTGAATGGTGATCCCTTTAACAATGTTAATCAACATTGTTTATTATTTAGATCTGAGAACATGTTTATTTCCTGTCTCCTAGCATGAGATACAATTGACCATAAATCTGTTGCTTGTGGATATGATGAGGTAACTGCCTGTTGTGTTTCTGCTCCATATGTATCTTTCTAGATTCCCACACTGTTCCATTTTATTGGGGCTACATTTCCTATGCTTCTTATTATCTGCGTCACTGCTAGATTTTTCAGTAAAAGACACGTGAAAGATCAGAAAATTAGAAGAAGTGCAAAACGATCTAACTCTGTTTCTATCTCTCTCAGTCTCGCCCTTACCCTCCCTTTGGGACAGGATCATTGAACTATGCCTCATCTTTTAGTGATTCCAGTTTTATGTATAGTGATGGTCATTTTAAACACCACTCACTGTCTTCATACTCATGACTACAATCAATTTCTTCTTGCTAATATCTAACATGAGAGGAGATGGCTAATATTCTAAAATGTTTTCAAAATATTATATTAAAGATATATATAATTATCATATGCATAATATATTCATAAAATGCAGATTTAGAGTACTAGAGTAAAAAAAATGGAATGAACTCCCATAATAAACCTTATGTACCCTTATTGGTACATAAGAAGAGATTTGAATGTAATATATTATCTTGAGCAACTCAGAGGGGTTTTCATAGTTGTCTTAGTTGATTGACTAAAACTTGGTTTCAATATGATCTTCATTCAATAATATTGAGAGGCTAGAACTTCCATTAAATATTATAAATAAAAGACTCTAAACGTTTAGAGAACTAAGAGGTGGTACTGTGAATCACAGATTTACCTTCCCACTATGTCCTTGGGAAAGCTTAGAGTTGCATTTCTTTAACTAAGGCATTCAGAAAAGCCTTACTGAGAGAAAAAAACACATCCTTGAAAACTTCTGCTGTGGTTATTTCTGAATGTCAAAATAAAGGGAGTTGATGCCATTGAATAATCTCCTTGATTTCAATGAAAATTATGTAAATGCAGAGTTAGAAGCCAAGGGGCAATGCTTAAAAACCAGATGCTTGAAATTGCCGTAATGAGAAGTAGGACTGAATAGCAATTAGACTATTTTGACCCATAAGGATCTTTGGTTATACATTGTCACCTTGTGTCTTGAATAAAATGGATAGACAGCTTACTAAAATATTACTTGTACTGACTCCGAAAAATTCTAGGCCTGGTAAGCAAAAAAATGAATTGAGTCAATACAATCGGGTGTTGAGACTCTCAGTAAGTTTCCAAAACCAAGCCAATTACCAAATAATTACTCTATTATTGAAAATTTAAATTCATTTGAGGAATAAATGGCAATACTATTAAAAGTATAGACAATATGTTTTCAATCAAACCTTTACCAAAATTATCTGTAGCCATTTAATTGTGTACCTCTGTTCTCAGTGAGAGGAAATATCCAGAATATTTGGAGGTTTCTAGAACCATTTCCTTATTAGCCCCTTAAAATCTCCAAGGAAATAAATCTTTATTGGGGAAAGCTTGAGGTCATATGATAAGTAAAATTTGAGTCCAGTGAATTTGCAAAACTCTCTTATGGCAAAATTGGGAATAGTCATTTTTAACAACTCTTTAAATATCCACAACAGGTTCTTTATAATATAATTATGGCAGGCCAATTACATAAGAAGAACCAAAAGCAAACCTCTAAATTTTCTATATCTTAGCAGAATTGCAAGACAAAAGCAATGTTGGCCAAGATTGTACAACAGGGACTAGAATTATCATTTTGTCTGAAACAACTAAGCACCAGTCCAAATATTTGAAGTGATGGTTAAAAAAATAGTTATTAGGCAGTAAAAGATAATATTACCTAAAAGGCAGGAATAAAAAATGGTGAGCCTTAATATTTGTCCAGCTGACTTTACTGAGAGGGTTTCCAGATCTCAACATGGAGGAGAAACCGTGAAAGAGTTTGGCAGACAACCTTAGTTAGGATGTGGGGCTGAAAATTCAAGGAGAATAAAAAATCCAAATTATTGGACAGAAAAACAGAGGCGAGCACTTAAAAAAGAAAGAACCCTGGATATTTGTAGGGAACCTCCTAAAGTATTCAGGAGAGTGCATTCTTATGAGGAAAGCACCCAAGGAAAGGAATCATAGGGAAGGACTAGAGAAAATGGCATGTGGTTCTCCTAGAAGGCCATAAATAATACCTATTTCCACAAGTCCTGAAAAAATTATTAACTTATGGAGGATGGAATAGAGTACACAGAAAAGTCTTGCCTCAACTGTGGGGAATTATTCACCCTTTACTAAACACTGCCTTGGTCCTGTCAAGCAAATTTAAAAGCACATCAGAAAGAATAAAACTGTTGACAAGTACACAAATTGTGTCCTAGAACAAAGCTCAAGAATAGGTAAACAAAAATATCTAGCATCCAATAAGACAGCATTTAAAATATTGGAATGTAAGTTCCAATACTATAATATACTAGAATATAGGAAAATTATTTAGGCATGCCAGCAAGCAAGACAATGTGGTTCATAAGGAAAGTTTAAAACTTAACCAATTAAAACTGACCCAGAATTAACACAAAAGTAAAGAGATAGGAATATTAAGTTAGTCATTATCCCATATGTTCAGAATGCTAAGTAGAATCATAGAACATGTTTTAAAGACACAAATGGGGCTTTAGAGACAAAAACTGTAATGTATGAGGTGAACAACATGTTCAGTGTGATTAACAGTAGATTACATAAAGATTTGAAAAATTATCTGAACAGTGAAAAAAAAGATTAGAAAAATTTAAGTCATAACATAGGCACTGTATAAAATAAAACATATAAAAAATATTAAAGTTTCAGTAAGCTGTATGACAACTTCAAGCAGCCTAAATTTATGTATAATTGGAATAAATAAGAGATGGGAGATGAGATTCTCTTCTAAGGGCATGCTTATTGGTACATTTGATTTATTACATTAGTTCATTGCATTTTCTTTATCCTAATACTCTTACACTGCATTTAAACTTACATTTCACAGATTATAATCTGTTAAGAGGATGAAAACAGAAGATAGCCTGCAGAAAAATATTTTCTAATTACATATTTGACGAAAGGCTTTTATGGAGAATGTATAATAAATTGTATAAACTCCACCACAAGTAAAAAGCAAATCAATTAGAAAATGGTCAAGCAAATTGAAAGAAGTTACATGGAGGGCAAGTAAGCATGTGAAGAGGTGTTGAAACTCATCAGCTATTAGAGAAATGAAAATTAAATCCAAAGTGATATGGCACCTAAAATAAATAATGACAATACCAAGTGCTAGTGAGAATTTAGGTCAAATGAATATTTCATACATGGTTGGTGGTATGTAAAAGAGTACAGCCATTCTGGAAAACAATTCGACATTTTCTTGTAAAGTTAAACATACACTTAACCATATGAATTAGCAATCATACTCCCGAGTATTTTTGTAGAAAAATTAGAACTTATATTCACAAACAAAAACATGTCCAACACAGCTTTATTTTTACTAGATAAAAAATGGAAGTAGACCTAAATGTTCTTCAATTGACCAATGGATACACCCTGATACAGCCATGCAGTGGCTTTTTACTCAGCAATGAAAATTATGAATCACCGATATACACAACAACTTGGATGGACATGAAAGGTATTATGAAGAGGACAAAAAAGCAATATCTTAAGGCTATATAGTACATGATGCATCTTTCTGAAAATGTCGAAATTATAATAATAGAGAACATATCAGTGCTTACCATAAGTTAGCATTGGGAACCGGTATGACTAAGGGACAAAAACACAAGGAGGTTTCTTTGTGATGATTGAACAATACCGTATTCTTTTGTTTTGGTAACGTTTCATAGAACTATGTAACAGCATGTGATAAACCAAAATAGATTTCACAGAACTGAACTGCAACAACAATGGGGAAAAAATGTGGGCATGCAAAAACTGTTGCTCTTCAAATAAGTTCTGTAGTTTAGTTATAGTATTATATCAATGTCAATATCCTGATTTTGATAATGTATTATGTAAAATATCATTGCAAGAAGCTGGGCAAGTATATGGGAAACTTCTATTTATGTAATAGCATCAAAATATGAAACATTAGAGATAAATCTGACAAAATATGCAAACCTGTGTACTAAGAAAAAATAAAAATATGAACAAGCGTGTACATTGTTAAGAAAATTCAGTATTTTGAAGCTCTCAATTCTTCCAAATTTATCTAAAGTTATAGTGTGAAGCCATTCAAAATCCCAGCAAAGGTTATTTTGTAAACATTGGAAAGCTGTTTCAAAAATTTATATTCAAATCCAAGAATCAGAAATTTGGCCAAAGAAAATTAAAAAAAAAACTTGGAAGACTAATATTACCTTAGTTCAAGACTAGTTATAAAACTTCAGTAATCAAGAAATTTTGGTATGTCCACGCTGATAGACAAATTGGTCAATGGAGTAGAAAATATGCATAACTAGATTCATATAGAAAAATGATTTTCAACAGTGATGCAAAGACAATTTAGTAAGAAAAAACATGCTTTTCAAAATATAGTGTGAATGAATTCACATTCAGTTAAAATCTATGCTTTTCTATCCATACCTACCACAAAATATAAAAATTAACTCAAAATGGATGATAGATCTACATAAAGAATTTAAGATATACAATTTCCACAAGAAAAGAGGAAAGAACATTTTGCAACCTTGGGTTAGGTAAATTTTTCTTGCATGTGAATATAAAAACAAGATTCATATAGAAGAATAGCATATTTTCACTTTCAAAATGAAAATCTTCTGATATTCAAGTTGTATTCATAAAGCATGAAAATACAAGGCTCAAACTATGAGAAAATATTTGGAAATTATTTAGCTGATAAAGGATATATCCAGAATATATTATAAAAATCTGTCAAAACTCATTAATAAGAACAAAGACTTGTCCTGCCACCACTAATTTGGGACATAATTTGAACAGATACTTTATAAAGATAGCAAATAAGCACATGAGAAGATGCTTGATATTATTAGTTATTAAAGAAGTGCTAATGGAAATCACAATTATATATAGCTATGCACACATTATTAGAGCTAAAATTTAAAAGAATTTTTATTCTAAGCATTGATGAGGATGGAGAGAAAGTAGAACTTTCGTATACTGCTGGTTGAGATGTAAAATGGTACAACCATTTTGGAAAACAGAGTGCCATTATTTTCATTTACTGCATGTTATAGACATTCATTATAATACATGATCCAGCCCTACCACTCCTAGGTAGTTATTTGCCCAAGAGAAATAAAAACATATGCCCATATAAATATTTGTATTGAAATATTCATAGAAGTTCTATTTTTAATAACCCAAATCTGGAAGCAATCGAAATATTCATCAATAAGTAAATATATGAATAAACTGTGGTATAGTCACATGGTGATAAATTAACCAGGAATGAATAAAAATGTATTGCTGAAATACACAACAACATGAATGACTCTTATGATAATTATACCAGGCGAAAGAAACCAGACAAAAAAAACAAACTACATGACTTAAAATGGTCACAAGGGCCCTTTTGGGGAAAATGAGTATGTTCATTAACTAGATTTTGGTGTTGATTTAATATGTATGTACATATATCTGTGTGTGTGTGTGTGTATATATGTAAAATGGAAATATATATAGTGGGTATATTAAATATATAACGGTATATGTATATGAATTCTTATCAAGTTGTACAACTTGATGGAGTATATTGATTGTAATTGTATCTCAATAATGCTATGAAAAGAAAATGATTTTTGACTTAATACTAATTTTAGATATTTATTTCAAAGACATAATTATTAATATTCATAGAGCTATTCCTATAATTATGTTCAATTCAGTATGTACTATAATAACAAAAAAGATAAAAATTCAGGATAAATTCTCAAGGTAATGATCAAATAAACAATGATACACCAGCAAAATAAAATCCTAAAAATAGTAATATTACCTACTTGAAAATATCATTTTAGTTATAGGTACTGTAATTCTATATTTTTATATTTTAATGTAATATAACATGAAACATATGCAGATGCACAAACTTTATATCAATATGTTTTAGTTCAATTATAGATAATATAAATATTGTACTTTCCTGTGGAAGGAAAAAATGCACTTTCTTTATAGACCAAGGGAGAAAAAACAAAAATAAAGCCACTACAATAAGTAAATTACTAAAGCTTTTCTACTTTTTAACAAGATTTTTCATATAGTAGATTTATTATCATATTCCTTTCAAAACAGAAAAGATGCTTACTGTATTTTAAACGTTATAGAGATTGCTACTGAAAGACAAATTTTACACAGTCACTGTACACCAAGGTTTCAAAGCTGTCCAGAATGAAAAATGCGTTAGAAATCATGTGAATAAAAGAAAAAGATAATGTTCGTCTAAGGAAAGATGAACGTACTTATAATGTGTCATCTAAATGTGGATACTCATTCCTCTTGAAGTTGCTAAGATGTAGAAATTTTTTTGCTTGCTCCCTTTTTACTCATTATCTTGTGTGTTTACCCAAAGATCTAAAGAAATTGTGCACAAATAGCAAACTGTAGGCATTAAAACAGGTTAACATATTTAAAGCCTTTCAAAATATAAATTAAGGGTATTTTTATCAGACTAGTGACAAGAAAAGATGAGCATGCTTGTTAACAATGTTAAAAAATTTAAAATTCAGTGTCCAAGTAATTTCTAACAATGTTTCTGTAGCTTTAAGCTCTAAACAGTATGGAATTCATGCAAATACATTAAAAAATTCATTAGTAAATTACACCAAGCAGGTTATTAAACTTTACATACAGAAAGTAAATGATCAATCTAGAATTAAAAGAATCCTGTTTTTCTTTATATCCTTGAAAATTGACAGACTTTTTGAGGGCAGTTCTATAATTCTAAGCATTAACTAACCACAGGATTTGGGAAACCTAACTGCACAAACCAATTTAAAATATGCAGGATGACTTTGTAACATTTAATACAATTCAGGTCATAGCTAATGCCACAAGACAACATTTAACAAAAATAATTATAAATTGACTTAGAAATTAACTGTAAATACATATGACTACAAACTCTAAAATCCATCTTAAAATGAACATTAACCGTTTATTCAAAATTATATTACTTTGAAGGATTAAATTCTTCTGAGACGTAAAGCCGTTTTAAATAGTTTCATGTATCAACTGAGCAGGAGGCAAAGGATGAAAGAATAAGTGAGTGGACCCCATTCGGGCAGCTAGACTGTAAAAACAGAGTTAATGGCAGCATTTCCTGACCTGCTGCTCTCTCTGATAACCTGTATGTGTTGCATAGCAGCAGCATGCTGAGGGCCAATTTTAATGCTATTTGCCCCATTATCAATGTGAGAGACTCCTTCTTGGATTTTGTTTATAAATTTCTTTCGTTAAGAAATGCCTCTTCTACATTGCAAGCAATCTTAGCAGAAGTTTTAATGAAGTTAAGTCCATGTTCTTACGCAAAAGTTTTACCTTCTCTGTCTACTTCTCTTCTAGATTCTAAATTACTGTTATTTCCAATAAGCATAATGGTAGAATTGGAGTACTGGCAGACATCTTATAACCAAGTTGTCAGATGATTGATTGTATCTCTCATTGTAATATCATACACTATTACATATGTAATATACATAATACAGCTCCTGCTGCCCCTCTGTAATATGACCTAGTGATAAGACAAAATGACTCCATAATATTTCAAACAATTGAAAAATATGCTCTATAATGTGAAAGCCTAAGTAAATTCTCAAAAATAAGGCAACCTCCTCATTCCTGAGGAATGATTTTGAGAAAAAACAATGGTTGCTTACATTTGCACAATTTTTTTATAAGTTGAGAATCAACCTTCCATTTTCAAAATGACAGTATAGAAACAAACTGATTTTACTTCCCGCCTTATAGAAAAGCAAAAACAAATATACAGTGCTAAAATTATCACCAGCAATATCCCAGAACTCAGATATGGAGAGGACACAGTTCCTGGGGCCACGAAAAAGTGAAAAAAACTCCAAGCAGACAGGAAAAGAATTGGACTTGTATATCCACAATACCCCTCCTCCAAATCTGCCTGGAAATAAATGGGCAGAAAGTTTTCCTTAATTCATGGTTGCTGCATTGGTAAAAGTGTGATTGAGGTGGACACCTATCTTTTCTACCATCTTGGGTTCTTTGGCAGGAGACCAATCCCTGCCTCAACCCATGGGAAGCATTGTCAGTGCTGGAAGGCAGAAATATTCCTGAGGACAGAAACAAAGTGAGGAAATGGATCAACATCCCTGGCCCTTGAAACTCTACTGTTTAACTCAGCCAAAGAGATCCCAAATCAGATTTGCTGCTCATCAACACCATGCTGTAGTAGATACGTTCTACCCATGCCCTGGGCATGAACTTCTAGCCAGCCTTCCCACACTTTCAGGATATCCCCTTAGGGATGTATCCTATTTGCAAGGGGTAGCACTTTAATCCTTTCCTAGATCTCAGGCAAACCTGATCTTAAAGCAGTATTAATGCACCATCTAGAACCAAAAAGGAGGCAGAAACATTGAAGTAAAGAATCCCTAAGCAAATATCGCCAATAAAAAACAAAACAAGCCAGAGACAGAAAATGGAATAAATAATGAATCATTTAATGCAAAGCTATAGATGTACATTCATGAGGAACATCAACAAACAAAACTATGATCTCCTTAAATAAACAAAGCAAGGAACCAGTAACTGACCCTAATGAGATGGTGATTTGTGAGCTCTCCAACCAAAAATTCAAGACAGCAGCCTTAAAGAAACAGTGAACTCCAAGATAACATATAAAAGCTGAACTTCAGAATTTTATGAGACAACTAACAGACATTAAAATAATTAAAAAAAAATCTGGGAGATCAGAAACATATTTGCTGAACTGAAAATTGTATGAAGGCTCTCAACAGCAGAGTGGATCAAGCAGAAGAAAAATCAGTCAGCTTGAAGATAGGCTATTTGAAAATACACAGTGAGAGAAATAAAAAAAGGAAAATAAAAGGATTTTAAAATGCCTGGCCAACATGGTTAAAAGCCTGTCACTACAAAAACAGACAGACGAAACCTGGGCATGGTAACACATGCCCATAATCCTAGCTACTCAGGAGCCTGAGGTGAGAGAATTGCTTGAACACAGGTGTTTGGAGCTGAAGTGAGCTAGGACTAAACCACTTCACTCCAGCCTAGGTGACAAGAGTGAGACCTCATCTCAAAAAAAAAAAAAAAAAAAAAAAAAAAAAAATTGCAGAAGAATGGAAAGGAGGAAAGTTCATTTAAAAATTATAGAAAATTACCTGAGAAGACTACATCTAAGAATTATTGGTGCTCAAGAGAACAACAAAGTGCTTTCTAAAACCTAAGAAAAAATATAAGTATATAGTTACAGGAAGGTCAAACACCAAATTAGGCTACCCCAAAGCATAAAATAATCAAACTCTCAAAGGTCAAGCACAAAGAGAGGATCTTAAAGGCAGAAGAAAAGAAAAAAGCAGTAAATAAAGGAGCTCCAACCATTTGGCAACAGATTTCTCAACAGAAACCATACAGGCCAGAAGGGAGTGGAATGACATTTTCAAAGTCCTAAAACAAAAAACAAAAACCAAAACAACAATAACAACAACAACAACAAAAACTGCCATACAAGAATACTGTATACAGCAAAGTTACCCTTCAAGTATGAGGGAGAAATAAAGTATTTTCCAGACGAACAAAAACTTAGAAAATTCACCACCAGACCCATTTTACACAAAATGCTAACGAAAATTCTTCAAACTGAAAACAAACAAACAAACAAAAATTATGTACAAAAAGAAAACATTAGAAGTTATATAACCCACTGGTAAAATTAACTGTGCACTGTATTAGTCTGTTCTCATGCTGGCAATAAAGACATACCTCAAACTGGGTAATTTATAAAGGAAAGAGGTTTAATTGACTCACAGTTAAGCATGGCTCCGGAGGCCTCAGGAAATTTACAAATATGCCAGAAGGGGAAGCAAAGATGTCCTTCTTCACATGATGGCAGCAAGGAGAAAAATTAGAGCTGAGTGAAAGGGTAAGCCCCTTATAAAACCATCAGATCTTGTGAGAAATTACTCACTATCATGAGAATAGCATGGAGAAAATTGACCGCATGATTCAATTATCTCCCACCGGGTCTCTCCCATGACATGTGGGGATTATGGGAACTACAATTCAAGATGAGATTTGGGTGGGGACAAAGGCAAACCATATCATTCCCCGACTGGCCCCTCCCAAATCTCATGTCCCCACATTTCAAAACACAGTCATGCCCTTCCAACAGTCCCCCAAAATCTTGTATCATTTCAGCATTAACCCAAAAGACCAAGTCCCAAGTCTTATCTGAGACAAGGCAAGTCCCTTCCATCTATGAACCTGTAAAACTCAAAAGCATGTTAGTTACATCCTAGATACAATGCAGGTAAAGGCATTGGGTAAATGCCTGTTCCAAATGGAAGAAATTGGCCACAACAAAAGGGCTACCAGCCCTATGCAAGTCCAGAATCCAGTGAGGTAGTAATTAAATCTTAAAGCTCTGAAATAATCACCTTTGACTCCATGTCTCATATCCAAATCATGCTGTTGCAAGAAGTGTGCTCTCATGGTGTTGGGTAGCTCCGACCCTGTGACTTTGTTCATGGGCTGGTGTTGGGTGCTTGCAGCTTTTCTAGGCACATAGGTGCAAGCTGTAGGTAGATCTATCATTCTGAGGTCTGGAGGACAGTGGCCTCTTTTCACAGCTCCATTAGGCAGTTCCCCACTGGGGACTCTGTGTGGGGGCTCCAACCCCACATTTCCCTTCTGCATTGCCCTAGTAGGGATTCTTCATGAGGGCTCTTTCCCTGCAGCACACTTCTGCCTGTACATCCAGGCATTTCCATACATCCTCTAAAATCTAGGCAGAGGTTCCCAAACCTCAATTCTTGACTTCTTTGCACCCATAGGCTCAACACTGTGTCTAAGCCACCAGTGCTTAGGGCTGACACCCTCAGAAGTAACAGCCCAAGCTGTACATTAGGCTCTTTTAGCCACGGCTGGAGCTGGAGCAGCTGGGACACAGGGCTCCGTGTCCCAAGGCTGCACAGGGCACAGGGACCCTGGGCCTGACTCATGAAACCATTTTTCTCTCCTAGGCCTGTTATGGGATGGGCTGCTGTGGCTGTCTCTGATATACCCTGAAGATATTTTCCCCATTGTCTTGGTGATTAACATTCAGCTCCTTGTTACTTATGCAGATTTCTGCAGCCAGTCTGAATTTCTTTTTGGAAAATGGGGCTTGCTTTTCTATTGCATCATCAGACTGCAATATTCCAAACTTTTATGCTCTGCTTCTTCTTGAATGCTTTACTACTTAGAAATTTCTTCTGACAGAAATGTTAAATCATCTCCGTCAATTTCAAAGTTCCACAGATCTCTAGGGCAGAGATGAAATGCCACCAGTCTCTTTGCATAGCAAGAGTAACTCTTACTCCTGTTCTCCATCTCCATCTGAGACCACCTCAACCTGGACTTCATTGTTCATGTCACTATCAGCATTTTGGTTAAAGCCATTCAATAAGTCTGTAGGAAGTTCCAGACTTTCTCACATCTTTCTGTCTTCTGAGTCCTCAAAGTTTCTAGGAAGTTCCAAACTTAACCACATTTTCCTGTTTTCTGAGCCTTCCAAACTGTTCTAACCTCTGCCTGTTATCCAGAATTCATCTTCTTAACAGTTTTTTTTAAATCTAGACTTCCAGATATCAGTCTGACATAAATTATGAAGGGTGTGACAATTGCCCAATAAATTGAAGCTATGGAAATGCTTAAAAATTCATGCAAATGTTTCATTTGGGTTGACTTAGAAATCAGTGTTGTCTTGTTAGTCAGAAAATCTCAGGCCAATTATTTTTATTTCACCATAGTCAACTTTTCTCTTGCAGAACTTTTCAGATTTATTTGAATTCCCCTAACCAACCCGCACACATTAGTCTCAGTCAATAAACGTGCTATCCTGGTTCTTAGTTGCAAATTACAGAAATTAAGTCCAATTAATGTAGTTAGAAGATTGATTATTAGATGAATAACATGAACCTCACAGATTTCACTGAAAGCCTAGTAAATCAACTTCAGAAAGTGGGAGGAAAGAGAGAAAGGTTGAGAACACAGAGAGATCTCTCAAATACCTCCAGACCACCACTCTTCACGCTGGGGTACAAATGACTGACAGGCACAGCCAGCATAATCATCATCAGGAGATAATAGAGCATTGATGGACTTTATGATTCTGGTGTCATTGTCTTCAGTATACTCCAGATTCTGATGGTCAGAGTAATAGTTGGTAGAAAAAATTCTTAACTGTCACTACTTTTTGGTGTTACTAACACCAGAATCAAGGTTGAATATTCACTCCAGGCTACATCAGTTAGCACGGTGTGATTGGCTTAGCTTTTGTCACAAACTGATGAGCTATTATATATGCCAAGGTGTGAAAGAAGCAGAGAAAAGTGTTCAGGTACTGGACAAAAACAGTAAAAAATTCACAGTAGCTTATCACTTTTGCTGCACAATATCCATATACATCATTCGTTGCATAATTAAAGGTGCTTCTGCCTAACTTAATGCAACTATTTTGCATGCTGCCAAAACCACATTCACCCAACTATAATGTATTATAAATAGCTTCCTCGAGATCTGACATGCTCCTGTTGGGGAACACGAAACAATGCCTTGAAAAGTGTGGCTTTGACATCCTGCACTAAAGCAGATTCAAGGTCTCTTTGAACCTTCACTCTCCCCCATCAATAGGGTAAGGTTATTCTCTGAAGCTCCCTTACGTAACTAGAAACTAGAACCTCAGAGAGGAACACATTTGACTTCCATCTCCTCCGTGAAATCTATTATTTGTTTCAAAAAAGAAGACTGAAGAAGGCAACCATACCTGGACAGACTTTTTTACAACATAGTATCTGCCTCCTGGGTTTATTCAAATTCCAGAGGGAATTATTTACAAGTTATTTCTGTCTCCCCAGGTCTATTAGTGCTTCCTAATAATTATTTACAACCCCTCAAAAGAACTGTTTACATTTCTCATCTCCGCATATGAAGAAGGGTATATAAATAAGCATCTGTACCACGTTAGGTTACTAGGTAATCCTTCTGTGAGTCCCTCATGCTATGCATGTTAAAATAATTTTATATGCCTTTATTTCTCCTATTAATCTGCCCATTTTCAGTTCATTTTCAATAAAGCCCCAACTCAATATTCTTCATATTATAAACATATTATAAAATTAAGCATCACAGTACACATTATATAATAAGATCCGTGAATATTTAGGCAGAAGACAAATAGTTAAATTATTTAAAAATTCATAGGCTATAAGAATAAAGAAAATATGGGTAGAGACTACAGTCTTCATTTCTACAAGTCAAAAAGCAATTATTTCATGGTGAAATGAGTTTCTTAATTACAATAAATTTAACCAAGGTCACAGCTAGTAAGCAGTATGTATGGCCCGTTTCCAGACCAGGTGATCTAGTTTCATTTTCTATAGTCTTAATCTCTAACCACTATCGCTTCTAAGTCGTAGCAGGAATTCCAACTTGCTTACATTCTTTTTTCTACTTTTTGTAATAAATTGTTTTCCGAAGTTTATCTGTCTCAGGATCTTTAGGATGAAGTTTCCTAATCTTTATTTTTCTAGAATGTTTTTAATACTCTCATATTTCTTCTACATTTTCACTTCTATTTACTGTAATTTGAGTATGCAAAATTGTGTTTAGATTTTGTTTTAAGACTAGCAGAGTATGTGATCCATCCCTGCACCACTCTTGTGCCTTGTGGAGCTTTCTCATTCTTTCCCTTGATTTCCCCCTTTGCATTCTCCTAAGTGAGAAATAGTCAGGGCTGTTTCTCTTATGGAGTCCCTGACTGAAGGTGTCCTCTGTCAGCAGCCTAAACTAGCCACATCCTACACACTGTGTCAACTCTCTTGCTCTTTTACTAACTCTTCTTCCTAGTGGGACTATTTCTCCTACACTAACATTTCTCAACTGTGTTAGAGGTATTGTTCCAAATACTTAGCTAATCACTATGTATCCATCAATCTTAGACAAAACTTTTCTACATCATGTAGCTTAGCTTATCATAAAATTTTATTTGGTTGTAGCCACAAACTTTTATAAAACTGATGGACGTCCATTGCTTAAGTTGTGCTCCTTGAAGGTATTTTATTAGGAGCATAATGGAAGAGTGAAAGGGTATTCATGAATAAGGTCCAAGGATTTCATACCCTTTTTATTGTCCACTTAACTCTCAATTATTTCCCTGTTTCCATCTCTAAAGGATGTGTAGGCAAGAATATTGCTTTGGGTTTCTCAAGAAAAAGTGCATATATAATAGAAGACTTATTACAAGAATAACTGGTTTTGGCCTGATTGAATTAGAGTGATTTTAAATTCTAAGCATAATATCAATTATGAACTTAAGATATACCTTAGCATGTTAGTGATATAACCATTCAGATATAATTTGTTATAAAATGTTTAAATTTTTTTTAAAAAATATTTTCTTTTAAGTTTCTTTTTTAGTCAGTTTGATTTCCTTCTTTCTTTTTCACAGTCAGTCCTTAAGGCCTAACATTTCTTCTTTAGGCCTTTTTCAAGTTGGAACTTTTAAAAAATATGTCTTTCTAGGTCAGGCCTTTATCATATCTTGATGGCATCATTCTAATGGTTTCCTGGATGCTAGATTATTGGCATGACTAAAATAGGGACTGTACCTCTCTGGTGCCTCTGTATCCTATATGCTGAGCACAATGCCTGAGTGCAGTTAGGAGGTTTTGACAATATTTCATAAATTGATGAGTGAATAAATGAATAATGAAGATGCATTTTCTTTTTTAATTTTTTTAATTGACGAATAAAATTGTAAATATTTATTGTGTATGATATGATGCTTTGAAATATGTATACATTGTAAAATGAAGATGTGCTTTCAAATTCAATCTCCCCTGTACACCAATAAATGCCCACTAAATAATCAGACTAATCAATTGCTTGTATTACAGCATTTTCCTGATCAAAATATACAATCACCATTTTTCTCAGAGTAAATTACATTTATTCTACTAGTTTGAAAACTCGTTGAATTTTAAAAATTATCTAGGAAATTAGTTTCATAAGTCTTACCATATATTTCTCTTCGTGCTGATAGTAAATCGCAGACCTGAAGTCTCTTCAAGATATCAGAGGAAAAAAAAAGCCATGCACAAAGAATACAGAAGGGGCAAAAGATACAAACATTGATTGTCCAGAATTTTCTTTTGATATTGCAAAAATTTATGAAAATTACAACTCATGCTTGCATGGGTTTAATATTTTTCTCCCATGCTGCTTTCAAATTTGCTTACATAAAAGCTTTCCTTTTCTCTTTTCTTCTCTATGTATTCCATCTTGTTAAAATCTGCATGTGAAAAAAATGGAGGAATTTATGCTACAATATTAAGACGGTAAAGTACAGTGGTGAAAAGCACGAACTTTGAAGCTAGACCACATGACCTTGAATTCTTTCTGTGCAACCTTGATAATTTTCTTAAAATCAGTTTCTGATGTGTGAAATGGGGATATAGTACTACTTACTTTATGGAGTTGATGTGAGGATTAAATCAGTGCCTGGCACATGGCAAATATTGGGAAATGTTAACTATTTTTATCATTTGAGAAAATGATTCTCACATAGTTTATTGTCACCTGATTTTCATTTTAACTCTGATGTAGTTTTCATATACAGAATAAAATTAGTAATTCAATAACTCATCAACAAAACATAGCAAAGTTAAAGGAGATTACCTTCTTTTCAAATATATTTCAGTGAAAGTCATTTTTAGGTATAAAATATATAGATCATCACATAAATGTGTGTTTTTACTAAGAATAACTTAACAAAACATAATCATCTAATTTTAGAGATTTGTTTACTCTCATTCTACTTACATTAAGGAAAAGCAGTATGGTATTTACCAAAAGTGATATTTAATTAAAGTATGAGTTTAATGTTAGTATATAAGGTTAACATATATTTTTTCTGCATGTGCATACTACTGGAAAAATCTTAAAGCCATAGATTTCTGGGTTTTATTAAATAAATTTAGCAATTACTAATTTTTTATTGGAGTGTAATATCAGATCCTGTAACTGAGGCTTCAGTGCTTCATGCTAATTTTCCTCCTGTCCATTTACCTCACAGTTTGTGGTTGTATACTGAGATGATAGGGCAGATAAACCTTGAAAGTTTTCTGCCGTGGCATTTGGTCCATTATCCTCTGACTAGCAATGCTAATCATAATTTGTTACTCATATAAAGAGAAGAAAAAAAGGGCACACTAAAATACCAAGACAAAAATATTCCTTGCTCTTGATGTCAAGAATCTATTTGAAGGTAGTCTACAAACAGAAAAATCTCAATAGGCAGTAACTCTATGTTTGCTTATATACAATTCAATTGGAAGTAAGTTCCAGTGAGAAAATGCAAGCACCTTGCTTCCTCTATGCATTATTCATTGCAAACCAATAAACATCTGCCATAGTCACCCAAATGCAGGTGCCAGGCCCCCAGTGGACATAATGGACCAGAATTTAGATATTTACTTTTTTAAATATTTGATGAAATTCACAATGACCACGCTTTGGACAGCAACCTTTTGTTTAACGCATGTACCCTGTGTTATGGCATATTTTATTATTTTTCGTTTCCACAGAAATCAGCTTTCTTCTGTGTTGTTTGAAGCAAAAATAAAATTAGAAATATTTTTGATATGGAGATTAAAGAGAGATAATGTAATTTTTTATGGAATTGTTTTAGTGCTATTCTACTCATAGAGGTGGAGAATTGAATTCAAATATGTTTTCCAAACATTGAGAAGCTGATTCTATTATATACAAAGTATAATTTTATATAGTAAATCCTAAGAGTGACACTACCACATTGTTCACATAAGGTTTTTATTCATAAACCACATACATAAATAAATCACATACATACCATGTATATATTTTAATAAGAATAGTGTTATATTCACTTAGAATTTTTTTTTCTACAGAATTTTACTGAAAAGAGTTAGCTATCAAATTTGCTTTTGATAAGCTGTCAAAAAGAGATCTATGGAATTTCTACAAGTTAATATAAATGCCTATAAAGAAAGTGTCACATCAGAGCTTTTAAAGTTGACACTATCTCTTGTTAGTTTAAGTAAATAACAGAATCAAGGACTCTGTTACATAATCCCAATTCTTACTTTGCTGTAGGAAAGGTAAAGCTGTCCTTTCAGAACAACAGTAATTCAATTTCCTTTTTCTGAAATCCAAAGAATTATTTCAACTGAGTATAAAAACTGGAATATAATCTTGCAGTCATCCTAAGAAACTAACAATGTGCATGTTATCCAAAAACTTAAAACAATAACTTGTCCTAATAATCACATTACATATTGAATACCAAGAAATGGGCTGCGCCAAGTTAAGATTAAAAGTTCATGTTTCTGACTTACAGAAGGAAACCATTAAAACGTGAAGAGGACAAGGGGATATTTTTTTCCTACCACTCTTATCTAACTTAGCAATGTCTGTTAAACAAGAAATATATCCTATTACTTATATATTTTTACATAAATATATAAAAATATTACATATATTTTATCAGACATAAAGTATTTATTGAAAGCATGTGTTACTATATACTTCCAATATTTTGGTATGTCTTCATTTGAAAAGTAAGCTAAAGAATTATTTCATAAATTCTAGTGATGCCCCCATTTGTATTACTTTCTATTCTTTCTGTTTTAGTCCATTTTGTACTGCTGTAACAGAATGCCTGATGCTGGATACTTTATTGCCAGAAATGTATTGGCTCATAGTTCTGGAGGCTGAGAATTCCAATATGAAGGTGCTGGCATCTGTCAAGGGCTTTTCTGCTGAGTCATCACATGGCAGCAGGAGAGAAGGCAAGAGAATGGAAAGAGGCCAATCTCATTCTTTTATAGTGACATTACTCCCACCTGTGAGGGCAAACCTTTAATGTCCTCATCACCTTTAAAGGTTCCACATCTTAATATCATTACAATGACAATTAAATTTCGGCATGTGTTTTGGAGGAGACATTGGACTGATTTTACAATAATAGAAATAATAGCATAAATGGTTCACATTTATTCAGTGTTTTCCTCTTGCCATGCTCTGTGTTAGGCACTCTACATTCCTAATATTATTTTCTGTTTCATTGTAACGAAAATAATATCTCAATCTAGAGAGCCATAATTTAAACCCAGGCAGTTCTGGGACTTAATCATTATTTTATTAACTCAAGCATATTTGCCACAAACTCATGTTTAGTGCTGTGCCTGAATTACAACTCTGACTCTGTGCCTGAGTTGGAAGGATGAGGTGGCAGGTGCTGTAAGGGAATTGTAGGGAAGTCAATAATAATGAAAGGGAGTCTTGTGAGGTTTTCCTAATGCCTCTCTAAAGAATCACTTTCCCCGAAGATTGTATTTTTTAATAACACAGAATAAGGGATATCTTGAAGTCCCTTTATTGAGTCTCATTTTCAACAAAATAACAGGCTTGCTTAATTAGGCTATCACAAGGGTCTCTGGGCTATTACCTTTAATCCTTCCCACAGCCAATGCTCCAGTCCACAACTTCATTTTTTTTGGATGACTCTATTAGCTTTATTTTGTTTTCCTTTTGCATCTCTCTCTCCAACCTCTCCCCACTACAATACAACCCTGCTTTATTTGAAATTTATAAATTATAAAACCTGTCATGTCACTCTGTGGCTTAAAAGTTTTTCACACTACTTACTGTTTAGCATAGTTGAAAACTGACTAGCTGGACAAGTATGACCCTTAGACTGTTTCATCTAGTTTAGAAAATATTTGATTTCAAATCTTTCATGGCTGGGCATGTATTCTCTAGTTCCATGGACTTTAAGTTTCCCCAGTATTTTTTGTTTTTTGGATTCATATGTGTATGTTGTTTGCTGAACTTATGCAGGCAGTAGATTTTGTGACTTCTTAATTAATTATGTAAAATTAAATATTCTTAGCTAAGCTTTCATTGTCCAGGAAGTGGTATGGAATTTGGAGTCATTTGGCCTCGGTTCAGATCTTAACCTTAGCACTTACTATGTTTCTGCAACAAGTCTGTTGTAACAATACTATAACCTTAGTTAAGTGACTGAATCTTTTTGTTCCTCGATCCCTCATCAAATAAGTGGGATAATAATGTCACGTACTACAATGTCATAATGTCATTGAGATTTTGCAACCAAAGATCTTAACATAATTCTTGGTGCATAGTAAGTGTTTACTAGAGAATAATTATAATTATTTACTTTTATATTTTCCCAATTTCAAAGAAGTCAAATTGGTCTCTACCCCCTCATAAATATAAACATCCTGTGTTCTGACAACACCAGAACGATGTTCTTGACACACAGGGACATTTTTATGCCTATGTTCATTCTAGTATCTCCATGTGGAATTGCCTTTTCTTCCTTTTCTGCACAGCTTTCTCTTCATCCTCTCAGGCTCAGATCAAATGCCTTTTCTTCCCTGTATCTTCACCTCACTCTTTCAGTGAGAATAATTTACTTTGTACTTTCATAATACTTTTTGCACACCTTTAATATGATATTTGTCACATTAAAATTCAATTAAATACTTATAATAATAAGATTTGTTGAATCATTACTGTGTGACCAGATATTAGGCTAAGTATTTTACATGCATTATTTTATTTGAAGTTTCAAAGTAATCCTCCATATCATCTATTGTTATCCTCACTTCTCAGATTCACACATTTAATTCAATCAAATTTTATTGCATATGACAGAAAGAAGTAAATTTTTCAAGTACACAGCATTTGTAAGTGGCTAAGCTAGGATTTAACTCAGGACTATATGATATTAGAAAACCATTTAATTACTATAAAATAAGAGTAGTAAGTACCACATTCTCCCCCAAAACTCTAGTGCAGGGACCAAGTCTTACTCATCACTGTTTAAACCTAAACATCTAAATGAGCCTCTGGTCAAAGGAAGTGCTTAAATATATGGTGAATATATACATCACTTCAGTAATTTGTCCTTAGAGGAGATGTAGTACCTAAAAATTGCTAATAAAAGAAAGCATATGGAGCCTCTTTAGTATCTCTGGAAGAAACTTACTAGAAGACCACCATGAGATACATGGTTGTTAACAGAGAGATCTAAGGATCAGCTCTGAGTAATCTTAGGCTACAGTAGAAATACTTTGGATACCAAAAGCAAGATGTCAGGAGGAATAGTCATGAGGATGTACTGTGACACCTTACAGGACACGTGAAATACAAACATTTAGACCCATTAGAATTAACAGAGCTCACAAAGGCAGTCAACTGCAATATCAGCTCTTACTGTAAAACAAGCCATAACAAACATCTCGTCTTGAATCGATAACCATTTATTTTATTCTCATTCATCTACAAATCAACTGGGTTGTTTGAGTAATCTGTGTTGAGCTCTCCTCATCGTGGCTGGGCTAACTCATGCATATATGGTCAGCTGTAGAGTAGATCAGGGCTGGCTTAAGATGACCTTGGCTAAAACGGCTTACAAAGATACAAAGATCAGTTCTCAAAAAATGACCAGATAGTAGAATAGATGATATTTATGGAAGCAACTGTAATTCAATACATTGTGTGATATATAGTTCAGAAAACATACATGATGCTATTGAAGCCAGAAGAAATAATTTCGTTATAATGATTGGAGATGATTTCATGGATGTCACATCACTACTGTGGCTTAAAGAAAGGCTAGGGTTTTGACAAATGGATATTTTAGCAGATGCAATGACAACCGTAAATACACTGAGGCTACAAGGTACAAGATATGTCCAGGGAAGAGCAAATTGTCCAAGCTGAGCAGAATATAGACAGGTAATGAAAAGAGCTCAGGTGGGAGTGGTAAATTGAGATCTACTTTACGCTGAGTTATTTTGGATATATTTCATATTCCTTATTCAGTTTTGTTCTTAGGTATTTTATATTTAATTGTGAAACAATAAAAAGAGTTACAGGAAGAAGCAATTACTCATTTGCCAATAGAGAGACTACTCATTTGCAGAATCATGCATAATGAATGAATATAGTTACATGACAAATTTCAATGTAGCAGTAAAACCTTGCCTAACTATTTCCTCACAATTTTGGATAAAAATATTCGAACCAAATCTAGCTAAGACTGCTAGTGTCTTTAGTAGGAACATATAAGCACTCTTATTTTATAAAGGGAGATTTTTCTTATTAGAAAACATGGGTAATAATATTATAAATATTCCATGTAATTTTTCCTGTTCAGCTTTTCCTTACTTCTGCAAAGTAAGGCAAGTGTTGGGACATCAGAAACAAATATTTCTTTTCTTATAGAGTGATTAAATGATATGGAGCCTGTTTTCACTAGTGATGGTGAGAGAGAATTGTATGGAGGAGACTAACAAAAACATTAGCACATGTCCATGGAATTCTCTCCAGAACAGAAACACGAGAAGCAGAACGCTTCTGTGGACACGGCTGCTCTGCATTACTGCCCTATCAGACTTCTGAAGTGTATCCCTTTCATCAACTATGGTGAAATGTAACAACAACAACAAAAATTGCCTGAGAATTCTAGTGTAAAAAAATTCATTCGAGTCTTGTTTTACATGGAAGTTTTGGAATAAACTATTTGAGGTACCATTGAATTCAGGCAATATCTAAATATAAATATTATTATTCCAAAAAGTTTTTAAATGAGAAAACAGGTTCTATATTGATTTATATTTTGTGAGTTAGATTCAGGCCTGTTTCAACAAGTGTTAACTGCTTAATATGTTGTGTATGTATTTCAAGTATATATTAATTTTTAATTTTAGACTGGATATTTAAAACTTGAGTATAAACTTTGTTCTTCATTTAAACAAACAGACAAAGATTTAATTTAGCCCTGGACTATTCTTACATAAACATACAAAGTAGAACATTAACTTATCCTTTACATTTTCTTCCAACTTTTAAAAAATGATATTTATAGAAAAGAAATTAAAGAGGTCCTTCTTATCCTGTTTTGCATATTCAGTCTGTATTACAATATTTTTAAACATTCACTTAATCCAACTGACATTGTTTTGGGGCCTATAAACATTTGCTGATCATTGGATTATCAATGAGCTTTGTTAAAATGACAATCAAAAATTCTGGATGTCATCAGAAAGACTATTTTATCATTATAGCATTTCTTCCCTTTCATAAACCATTGCCTAAGTATTCTAAATGGTTTCCTATATCAAGTTTTGTGATTACATTTTTCTAGGCTTTCAATATCATTAGAAATATGCATGTTTAAATACATATAAATTATTTGAGCTTCTGTCATTGTAGTTTTGAATATATCTTATTACTGATTTCAGTAGCATAAAAGGCTGCTAAACAAAACTATTATTATCTTTTATTCAGGTTTATCATTCTTATACAATACAATGCTATTCAAGCATTTCTTCTGCATCATATACATTTATGAATTTATACAACCATTTCTTAATTATGTACAAGTGGATAATGAATTCTACATCTCCATAATGTTTAATGTTTGAGGAACCAAATAAATGCTAAAATAAATCCTTTTATTTTAAACTATAAGTTTTGACCTGTTGATACCACTAAAAATTGTATTCATTTGCTTAACTCATCTGTTTCATTCAAAATAGTTTCTGCCTAGCAGAAATATATCATTTATCTGAATTAATATGTTTAATATGTTTGTCAAGATAATATAGTATGTTAACACATTTGTCAGATAACTGTGGCAATCTAAGTGTCTATTGTGACAAGGTTAATAGTTAAAAGCACAAATTCTGCAATCAGACTCCCGGGTTTGCCTCTTGCCTCTGCTACTGCAAATTTTTTACCTAGGGCAAGTTATTGAACCTCTCTGTCTCATCTGTCCATCAACAGATGAGACAAAGAGTTAAGTGTAAAAAATAAAAATTTGTTGCTCCTGAGAATCTAATGAATATGTGATGTGGGTATGTGTATGTTATCTAAAAAGCACAGCAGTGATACCTAAAATATCTAGCCTCTTAAGCAACAGTTTCTATTACTATTATTCATAATTACCCTTCCTTCTCACATCAGCACCAAACCAAAAATGAATCAAGAACACCACTAATTCCCACAAAGAAACTGAATCAGAACTCAAGGAAGAAATTTGAAAACAAAATAAGCTTTCACATGATTATTTTAAAAAGTTATCTGTCTAGATGAGGATTAATAATGATTGATAAAAGTGAAAGAATAATACTGTCTGGGACCTGAAGTCTAAGGTCAGATGTTAAGAGAGCAGTATATTGAGGAGGCTTTCAACCAAGGCAGTGTGAGAACAACTGTTGTTCAAACCCCAGAAGTAGGCATTATGTCTCTCTGGGACTTACATATGGAGAGGATAAGGCTTAGTATATATTTTATTCATAACTAATACATTGGATTTTCTTTTGTGCAATAAGAATCACAAAATTGAAACTTAAACTCTAAGCTCTAATGTCATTTCTCATTTCCAAAGGAGACTGTCATTTTATTCCTCTGCTCAGCACTGCCTCTTATTTTCGCAGCAGTATTTAAAAGTTTCTCTACTCTGCTAAAAACACTGAATCACCTTCTTCTTATCCAGGCTCAGAGATGACCCAACATCTTATTTCACATGAGAATGGTAAGGTAATAAATAATAATTACTTCAACTTTGCAAAGCCACACCCTAATAGATTGATCCCTTCTCTTTTGTTTTTCCATTACATTAGATCCTCCCATGTGGGATTTTCTTATTTAAAAACTATTTATTTAGTTTTTATTTCATATTAGAAATATCATGTCTCCTTCCTGGAACATCAGTGCTGTCTTTCAGACTTACTTATACTCGTTAGTATTTAAGCATGTTTACATTTCTCCCATTTTAAAATTTAAGCAAAACCGCATTTCAGCACAACCAAAAAAAATCAACAAGAAATCTAAAACTATGAGTTGACTCAGCCATTCTTTCATCACTTAGCTTTTGATGCCTAATGAACTATCCAATAACTACTTAGGGGCCTAAAGGAACATAAGTTTATTATTTTCATAATTTTCTGTATTGGTTGTGTAGTTCTTGTGTGTTGGCTAATCTGTGGCTGAATTATCTAGGATGGCCTTGCCCAAATGTTTGACAATTTGCAGGCTGTTTGGTCACATGATTGGGAAGCCCAGTTATGTTCTCTCATCTTTCATTGGTTTTACCTGACCCTTATACATTATTCATGAGTACTAGAACTAACTAGTGTGCTCACTTTCTGCCCACTACAATATTAGATAAGAAGCACTGTACCATTTTATGGCGATATCAGAGGATCATAATATGATACCAGTATTTGCACAAATATAATTTAGATAGTCATGTATCACTTTATACCTGTTAACACTCTCAAGAAAAAGATATGACAAACCAAGAAAAAAAATCACAAAAAAGCTAGACAAATGGTGGAAAATTACACCTAAAACTGAGCCACAGGACAGCTACTACTGCACATTCCAAGACCTAGAGATAATTATGATTAACACTTTTATGACTTAAGAAGACGTTTTTGCGGTAGAACAATTATCAGTTACAGAATGCCTTATGAAAGGCTTTCCTTTGTTCTTCTGAATCAAATAAAAGCACTATTAACATCTCAGAAATAACATTTCGAAGTTTATATCTGACGCCTAAATTATGTAATTTAAGGAAATTGAGTTAAATGCACACAGTGCTTTGAAAGGTGGAGGTCAATTAATTGTGCCTTAAAAATATTGGCTAAAGTTCAGCAACCCAGAGAGAATAACTTCTTCTCTGAAAAAGAAAATAATATTTGAGAGCCTCAGGTATACATTTATAGTAGAAACTAATATAAAAGAGAGAAAATGAAAATTCTAAAATATACATTGGTTTTCTTCAAACTATTTTTCAGACATTTTTCTTATGACTTCTTCCTGGAGACCCACGTCCCTATTGAGACCCCCTCCTTGGCAAGCCTGTCTCGCCATAAGCTCATTCCTATAATTAGAATCTACCTTTACCTATCCCTGTCTGAACTTTCCATTTTCTCTTAGCTCAATGTTAAACTAAAAATAAAATAGGTATATAATCACATTTTCAAACAATGATAGATATTGTCAGACAGAAACCCAACATTTTGCACTCTGAGAGAGATCTAGGAAACTTGAGTTGCCCAAAAGCATAGCATTAAGACAAAATCAAGATTTACAGACTAGTGTCCTTTCCAGTCAATCACAGATTAGCTTTGCTAAAGTCCTAATAGTTACCGTTATTATGCGCTTCTTTCTGGACTTTTGTATATTTTTATTTGCACAAAAGTCCTTTGAATTCTAGCACCTATTTAGCAAAAAGTGTCATTCATATGCTACTTCATGAGGTCTTGCTTATTCCAACTACATGTAACAGTTGCAGTCACATGAAGTCTATTAAACTATTCTGAGATCATTATTTTAAATATATAAAATAACATGTATTGAATAGAAAATAAAATTAATTACATTGAAAAGCAGCTATCAAAATATACACAATGTGATATTGTGACTTATGTGATTTTAAATGAACTTAACAAAAAATACATTTAAAAAGTTGGCAAAGTGTAAAGTCTATTGTTTAGCTTGAATTAGTGCATTATATTGTAGGATAGTTTTAACTTACCTCTTCATCAAACAACAACTGAAGATAAGGAACCTTGGAAAGCAATGTTAAGAAGATGTGACTTTATTTAAAGTTTAATCACTGAATGACTAAGCACAGGGTTGCTCATTGTTGGGCAAGTGTTACGTGAGTGTCTGTAAACAAGAAGTCTGTGATTGTGTTGGTAATTTCAAAATGAAAATGAGAATAAATTTTGTTGAGATAGCTTCAACAACTGCAATATGATATAAATGTATTTGGGATTTCTCTTGATAGCAAATTCATAAATACTTTTATTACGGCTGTAGTTTGTTGCCCACATTCATATAAAAGGGAATGCTAAATTGCAGTTAGGCCTAGGTGGAAATAATGATGTAATTTGTTTTCCATTCCACATTCATAGACTCCCTGAATCCGATTTAATTCTAGACGCAAGATGCAGAGTAATAGAATCCAGAATTATCCTTTAAAAGGGCTTGGATTGCACATTAGAAATATATCTTCAAAGTAGAAGATTAAGAGAACTATAAGCCTGGCTGCTTTTATAAGTCATGGGGTCATGCAGATCACTGGAATGGGTGGTAATTAAATAACACTAAA
Organism: Homo sapiens; assembly: GCF_000001405.40. Lineage (NCBI taxonomy): Eukaryota > Metazoa > Chordata > Mammalia > Primates > Hominidae > Homo > Homo sapiens. The sequence continues at coordinate 60,197,299 of NC_000012.12, read as the reverse complement.
GCATCATTGTTATGCTATTTTTATGAGTTAAACTGGAATAGAAGGAAATTAAAATATAATTCAAGAATCAAAACTATATATTAAAATTTCAGTGGACATGAGAATACAATTTTTGCTTTGAACCTATTTCTCTTTTTTTTTTAATTGCCCCTTCTACTCACTTATGTATGTGACATTTTCTCACCTCATTTCTCTCTGCGTGCTTCATAATCATCTTTCTCCCTGGTTACAAATAATGTATGAGCAATGTTGCCAGTCACTTACACATTTTGCCATCTTTCCAACTAACTGCAATCACAGCAGCATAGATGTTCCACCGCCACATATCCATACACGCATTGCCCCAGTCTGAACTAGGAACCTGTTGTCCCTCACCTGCACTAAATTGTCTACTGGTCTACAGGTCTATTGCCCTGCTTAGTTTTTTCTCCTTTCAATCTAGCTTACATGGTGCTTATAAATTTTCCTAAAATACAAACAAGCTCATGTTATTTACCATAACCTAACCAAATCAAAACTCTTTGTCTGGCAATCAGATTCCTCCATTATATGGCCCCGATTGATTTTCCCCTAATCACTTGCTCTCTCTCTCTCTTCTCTCTTTGAGACAGAGTCTGTTGCCCAAGCTGGAGTGCAGTGGCATGACCTCGACTCATTGCAGCCTCCGCCTCCCGTGTTCAAGCGATTCTCATGCCTCATCCTTTTGAGTAATTGGGACTACAGGCATGCGCCACACCCGCGCACCCCCCGGGCTAATTTTTGTATTTTTAGTAGAGATGGAGTTTCGCCATATTGCCCAGGCTGGTATTGAATTCCTTGTCTCTAGTGATCCTTCTGCCTTGGCCTTCCAAAGTGCTGGGATTACAAACATGAGGCAACACACCCAGCCCCCCAGTCTCTTAAAACATCATACAATTCCCCCAATTAAGACTTCACTACTTTGATGTGTTCTGTGCTTTTTTGTGTTATTAAAAACTTTCAGTATGTTGACTATACTGGTTTCAAGACTAGTTCACCTATAATTATTTTTGTAAAAAATCACCAGATGATACAAAATCTAACTTTCATGGAGTATTTTTATATGTATTTGGGAATCCTAAAAGTAACATTATTATGTTATTATATTTTAATTACTTAACCTAAAATTTTACATGAAATTTTTTATTTAGGAAACAATATAAAAGTAACTAACTTTTAAAGAATTACTCTTTACAAAATCATTCATTAGAAAATCTGTAAGGAAACATATATTATAATTTTGATTATAATATATGAATTGCACACATATAGTGTATTTAAAAACAAATAAAACCATTAAAGAATGTAAGTTCCACCTGAGTACACAACAATATTTTGTCAAAAGACAAAATTATAACAAATTTAGTTTTAATATTTCATTGCTTTTATTACTGATGTATAAATTGGCCATCTCATCTGAAGAACAGAAAAGTGCTCCACTGGATATGGCAGAACAGTTAGTTTTTATAAGATAGCTTCAGAAGGAACAACAATAACTACAAAAATAGCACATACAAAAAGCAGATTGGTTAACATCAGGTTACTTTAGATTGCTTTCTTTGCAATGGTTAAACCAGAGGGGACTTTCTTATCATGCTGGCTAAAACTGGCCTGTGTGGGGATTTGGCTATCATTTCTCCTCTGATTTCTCAGAAGGTCAGATAAACAACTTAGTTTTGGTTTGGTGATGTGGAAATTTAGCATGAGCGACTCAATGTTGGTTTGGTTATTGAGAGTTAGTACAGGAGCTGAACCCAAATCAATGGTTTCTCATAATTTTTTTTAACATTTCTCATTCTTAACATTTAATAATTTTGACAAATATGAAAAAAATTTAAATTATCCTCAAACACTGATTACTACAGAAACAAATGGAGACTTGAGCAGATGTTAAAACATTAAAAGGATGATTGAATTTTAGGGGAAATGTCATTAGTTATTCTAGTCCAACATAACTTCAGGATACATAATGGTTGACTTGACTGGTATCAGGTGATAATTTTCTCCTAGCTGGCTTTGTCTGATTATGCTACTGCTGATTTCTGGCCTTCCTACTGTCTCTGAATGATACCTTCCTACTGTCTCTGAGTATCTAAAGCCTACTTCAGCTTCCTGGTCAGGTGCGTTTTCTCCATACAGTGATTCCTGATTGTACCAGCCTGAAGTAATTATTTCTTCCTTCTTCTATGGTCAACTTCACTTTAAATACATGAGGTTGTCAGAAAAATCACTTTGAATCAGTGAAACATTGACTAGTATATGAATATGTGAATATGTGAATGTTTCTGTTTGTGAACAAACATATTTTAATCATGTATAGTATATCTAATTTGAATCAAACTACAACAGAGTTACAAATAACCACTTTGCAGAAGGAAGAGGATGATGACATTTTGAATTCCATTTTAATGATGTCACCTGGATTCTTTATTTCATGTCTGTTTTACAGCTGTTACATACAATGCATAGTATAAAACACTAAAGGGCAAAGACTCCAGCAGCATTAGTGATTATTGCTATAGGTCAGTTTGCCCATTTACCATTCTAAGAAAACTCAACTATATCATTTTAAGTAATTACTTCTATGGATAATGCCTAAATGTATGTGTTTATACAGATGATAAATCTGCCATATAAATGAGTTAAGGATACCTGGAGAGCACTGTTAAGTGATAATTAGTGTCCAGCTTTCAAACATTATCCTTCTCTTTACATATCAATGGGTTGTTAATTTATTTGTAATAAAATCGATATAACTCACTTGATTTCATCTATAAAGAATATTGTCAACTTGCCTCAATGCCTTTAGAAATATCTCTGCTCATATGCATTGAAAGCATCAAGAATACTTAGTTCTAAGATTTTCAACTCAAGCTATTGTGGCGTTTCCATGTAGAGACTAAAGACCAGAATTTCTCATCTAATAAATCTTCAATTTATTGACCCTTCAAGCTATATGCAGAATGAACAATGTTCTTTTTGAAAGCCTACTTATAAGCCTGTTCATTTTATTTGTGTAGTGGCTTGCATTTGTGAATTTTCTTGAAGTTTTATGATAGATATAATTCTAAGACTTTAAATCTCTCTATGGCCTTTAAATAAAGATCAATTGTTTAGTTACTAAGTTCTATCAGCTAAAAATTACCACAAAAAAAAATGAGGGAAGAATTTTCTATTGCTCAGTGTGATTGAAAGACAGCTGAGGAAAAAAATATGATGGATTTTCATCTCAGCCACAGTGGAGCAATCACTAAACTTTTTGTATCTCTCTTTATTTATTTATTTATTTATTTATTTATTTATTTATTTATTTACATTTTTTTAGATGGAGTCTAGCTCTGCCGCCCAGGCTAGAGTGCAGTGGCACAATCTCAGCTCACTGCAACCTCCGCCTCCCAGTTTCAAGCAATTCTCCTGTCTCAGCCTCCCAAGTAGCTGGGACTACAGGCACCTGCCACCACGCCCAGCTAATTTTTTTTATTTTTAGTAGAGACGGGGTTTCACCATATTGGTCAGGCTGATCTCAAACTCCCGACCTCAAGTGATCCACCCACTTCGGCCTCCCAAAGTGCTGGGATTACAGGCGTGAGCCACTGCACCCGGCTTGTATATTTCTTTAAAATGAGGATGTCAAATCAAATAACCTTTAAAATTTCTGTCAAATTTAACATTTTGCAAGGACCTACAGGATACAGAAACTCTATCTGTGACTACTCTGACAGAATTTACCAGATTCAAATAAAATGAATAATTGTACTTATGACTTTGAAAAAAAGGTCTTTTTAAATTTTTTTTCTTCATTAAGTGCCTCCTTTTGTCATTACTGTCAGTGGCATAAATATAAGCATCTCTAATATGTTAGTTGCTTTCTCTATGAATTTTGAAGATTGTTGCCATTGGATCAAATTAGTTTTCATTGTTTCTTTTCACTGATGTTCACAGTGTACCAAATTTTTATTTTTTTAATTTTTATAGCATTGGAACCATAATATAAAGGAATGTTCTTTCTTTATTTATAACCTTTCCTGCATTGAGCAGTCACTGAACTTTGGTAACTGTAACTTGCTAATAACTGCAGGCCCCAGTTACCTTGTCGGAGAAGTATCCAAGAGGAAAAAGGTAAATTGGATCCCAGTAGAGAAACTTGGCAAATCCACCATCAACACAATTTTGTTCAGATCTCAACTAAAACAATAGTCAGCACTTAATAAATTGATATCAGGTTTTATGTCTTTCCAGAAATCACGTAATATTTCCTTGTTTGTTCATGCTTTTAGATACCTCCCTTGTTGATAATGTTTTTGTGTTGCCACCAAGCCTAATTTGGCTTTTAGCAAAGCCTTTGAATTTTTTATAAAAAAGTCATTTACAGATGCCTGTAGATAAATTAGCACCACAAATGCAGCTAAATTGTATAATCACTCCAATTGATTTTGTGTTAGCCTTCAATATGTATAGATACCTCATGGCATCTCTGTCACAGTAAGGCAGTGAGAATTGAAGTTCTTCAATTTCCAGAAAACAGGGGAAAACATATTAAGATAATAATTCTCCAAATAAAATTCCTGTTTATAGATGCTCAAAAATGTGCTATCACTTTGCTCTGGTTCTTACACACATGTGAAGGCTAGCACACAAACATAAATACACACACAATACACAACACACATACACATACACACTCACACACACTGATTTCTGAAGAGAATACCTAACCTTACAAAATTCTAATAGAAATAGTGGCCATAGCTGACCCTGACTTGTTTGCTTTTGATTTACCAAGGTGAAAACTAATGGAGATGTTACCTACTTTAATAGATTTATTCCAGTTTTTGGTTATTTTACTATCTCTCTCCAAATTCTACACTACTCAGTATAAATAGAATATTAGAGGATTAATATACCATTGTAGAATTTTCCCAAATTGAGCCAAAGTACACAGTGATTTCTTCATTTTATACCTTGATCCAAATACTTGGGCAATTTTATACTATATGCTCTAAGATTGTAGCTGTGGAATAATATGGCTAGTCATTGGAAATGATCACATTTGAAATCTCTTGAGAATAAAGGAAACTCAGATTCATTGTCTCTGTGATACAGAGAAAACCATATTAGTAGCATGAGTCATACTGGCTTTTCTTTGGGATGCCCTGTATCAAATGATGCCAGATTTAAAAGTACTTTACATCTAGCTTCTAGAGTACTTTTAAGACATAGAATCACTTTCCTTCAAACTAAAATGGAACTAAAATGGAACTATTTATGGAATAAATGTGTCATTTGTTCAGAAAAGAATAAAACAAGATGAAAATAAACTAAAAGTAAGCTCAGTTCAACTTTTAAACTTTTATCTGTACTATCAAATTCCTCTTAGAGTTAATCACTTACTAGGCTACAAATTACAAGCATAGTGGAAATACTAAAACTTGGGAGTCACATCAACTTAGGTTTGCTTTAACTTTTCTTATAAGGATACTTGACTTCCAGATTCTCAATTTTTCATCTGTAAGCATATGGTAAGGATGCCCATCTTTTATGATTATTATAAGAATTCAAGTAATAAATGATTTAGCATAGCTTGGCACAAATGTAAGTGGCACCATTTTCTTGTTGGTCTGTTCCTAAACAAGAAAAGCCTGTGTAGTTGACTGTTCTGTGCTCCCTAGATCCCCATCAGGACTAAAGGATTTATTCTCCCAGCTATTAGAAATGTTCCTGATTGACAACTCCAACTTTTAGCCTTCTGCTGAAGGAAGACATCTTACCCAAGGTCAAGCCCCCTTTCTGATGACAGCCAACATTCAGTGATTGGTTGATAAAAAGTTTTAATTTAAGAGTCTAGCCACCTCACTCCAACTCCTGCAACTCTCAAGAGCTTTCTCAGCTTCATTCTTTGCATGGAGTCACCTGAGTCCTTTGTCTAACTGTAGCATAACCTGTCTTGCCCCTTTCCTATACCTATTTCCTTCCTTTCCCCTACAGGCGTTGATCCAAAAAGAATTACCCAAAAAAGACTCCTGTAGCTAATTTTCATCTTACAGTCTACTTTCCAAGGAACATGGAACGTATATCTTGCTGCAAAGTCTACTTTCAAAATTTTATGCTGGATTTCTTTGGAGTAGAGTTTTCATGAGTTTTTTTTCTATAATTTCACTTTTAACCTTTGGATATTATTGTTTTTAAGAAGTATCTCTTGAAAGCAGCATATTTCTGAGTTTTGTTTTTATTCAGTCTGACAATCGTTTCTCCAGCAGTGTATTTAATATATGCATAATTATTGATATGTGTTATTTGACAATTACCTTATACCATTTGATTTTTTATTTGGTTTTACCAACTTTTTTTTTCATTTTTATTCTTTCTTTTGGGCTAAGTATTATTAATTATTCATTTTCTCACTTTATGAACTTGTTACTTAAACAGTTTTCCTATTTTTACATTATTATCTCTTGAGCAGTATAAATTGTTTTCTTACCACATCCTTTACAATGTTAGGTGCTTTAAAACACCTTAAATACAGTCCTCTCCTATTTTTGTGAACTTATTGTTACATGCTTTAATTCTACATATTTTTAAACTCTAAAATTTGTTATTATCACTGTTTTATGCGTTAATACTCATTTGTCTTTATAAACATAGTTACTGTTTCTTTGTTGTTTATTCCTGCCTGCATTTACATATTTTCATCTGGGATCAATTTTTATCTGCCTAAATAACTACTTTATTAGGTGTCCTCTCTTAACTAGTTTTGTCAGTTTTTTTTTATTTGTTTGTAAATATCTCTTTTAAGTTTTCTTTTTAGCACCATTTTATTGGTTATAGAATTAAAAATTGACAGTTGTTTACTTTTCATCCTTAAGATAGTCCATTTCATTATATTTTGAGTTCTTTCATTTCTGCTTAAAAGACAATTACCAGTCTTGCTTTCATTATTTCAAAGATAGTCTTTTTTTCCCCTCTGACTGTGTTTAAGATTTTTCTCTACGTTATGATTTTCAGCAATTTTACTCTCATGTAACTCAATGTGTTCTTCTCCAAATTTATCTTACCCCCTTTACTTCTTCTTAAATACATGCCCTTAAATTGATTTTTTTAAATTATCATACATTATCTCATCAAATATTGTTTCTGCTCCATGTACTTTTCTTCTCCATCTGGGAATCTAGTAACATGTGTTTGACTTGCTCTTTGAAAGGTTCTTTGTTTCTCGGGCTCTCTCATACAGTTTGACAAATGCAAATTTCATGAGAGGAAAGGAGGAACACAATGTCAAACTCATTTCTTTACATTTCCCTTCTAGCAAATATGTTGGCCCTGCACGTTTTGACTGTCTTGGTATTTCTCCAATGCCTTCAAAGAGATTTTCTTTTGTTTGTCTTCATGTTTCATGAAAATTGTCTAGGTGTTCCCAGAAGGAGGAATGGGGTATACAATCTGATCTACCACAGTTAGAAATAAGTGTTTCAAAGACATTCATTTTTCTTTGCCTACTACCTAGTAAAGTGCTGTCTGTTTTTAGGAGTCATGCAGTCAATATTTGTCAAATGACTGAAGGCAAGAAAGAGTAAAAATTTAGTTTCATTGTTGCTTAAGTTGTTTGGAATATAGTGATCAAATACAAGACTAGTATGATAATTGGATGCTGTATTTTAAAGGGCTTTCCATGTGTTTGGATGTTGTTGTGAGAGAAAGGGAAAACTCTTTTGGTAAGACTCTCTTCTCTCTGAAGACTCTAAGGGAGAATCTGTTTCCTGCCTCTTCCAGTTTCTGGTGACTGCATGACCATTATTCAGCTTACTGCAAACATTGTTCCAGAATGAACACATAAGCAGATCTGAGAATGAAGCTCTCTCCTTTCAAGCCTAAAGTTAAAGAGATTTTTTTAATGTGAAACAAAACCTGTTTTCAATAAAATTTTTATTTGGAAAATATAACTATTTTAAATTAAAGTTATATATAAAATTTTAGATCTTCATAACTCAGTAAACAGAAATGTTCTAAGCAACCAATGCAGGATGTTTCAAATCATCTGTGGTTAAAAGAGCAATTGAAATCACAAAACTGATGAATGGATTTTAAAATAACAGAGTATGAAAGTTTAAGCACCACATTACAAACAACCTTTAATAAACACTACCATCTATTGAGTTTTGGCATAGTATCAAATTAAAGGTCTGCAATTATCTTAAGAAGCTATTAAAATAGTCCTTTTCCAACTATTTATTCATATGAGGTGACATTTTCTTCATTAACATCAAGTGAAATAACATTGTATTAGTTTCCTGTGGTTGCTATGACAAATTACTACAAACGTTATGTCTTAAAACTAAAGACATTTATTCTCTCAAAGTTCTAGATGTCAAAGTCACCAAAAAACAGTATCGCTGAGTCGAAATCAAGGAATTGATAAGACCCTGTTCTCTCTAAGACTCTAAGGGAGAATCTGTTTTCTGCCTCTTCCAGCTTCTGGCAACTATAGGCATCTCTTTGCTTGTAGCCGCATCATTCCAATCTCTGTCTTTGTGATCACACTGCTTTCTCTTCTGTGTCAAACCTCCCTTAGCCTCTGTTTTATAACAATACTTGTGATTACATTCAGGGCCCACCCAGATAATTCCGGGTAATCTTCCCATGTCAAGATCTTTAACTTAATGACATTCGTAAGGATCATTTTTCCTTATGAGGTAACACTCATAGTTTCCAGAGATTAGGACCTAATATCTTTGCATGGCCACTATTCAGCTCACTGAAAACATTGACCTGGAATGAACACATAAACAGATGTGAGAATGAAGCTCTCTTTTCAAGCCAGAAAGTAAAGAGATTTTTTAAAATGTGAAACAAAACCTGTTTTCAATAAAATTTTAATTTGGAAAATGTAACTATTTTAAATTAAAGTAGGCTATTAAGGTCAACATGTAATGGGCTTACTATTTTTTAATATTGTTATTTTACATAAACTTAAAAATAAATATTTTTAAATGTCTTAATATCAACAGATACCACCCACATAAACAAAAGTTTGTTAGGATCTTCAATTTTTAAGAATGTAAAGAAAACACATCTAGAACTGTGAGAGAATAAATGTCTTTAGTTTTAAGCAACCAAGTTTGTGGTAATTTGTCATAGCAATCATAGGAAACTAATAAAGAGTGAGTTCCTGGGAGGCAGGTAGTATGTTTTTTATTGCCTTTTAATATGTGCCTTATACAGTGTCTGGAGTTCAAAATATTAGACCATTGTCATTTACTATATGGCTCAATTTCATATATAATATTATAAATAGGAACACTAAATCAAAAATTCTGAATATCCTTGAAACCAAATTCCTTGAGTAGCTTTTACAGTCTCTCCAAGGATATTTTGGCAAATTTCCATTTGGCAAAAGTTTCCCATATTACCTACTAACCTTTATCAATCTCGATGTTGTCTAGTAACATACTCCTTAATTGTGCCTGCCTTTTAAATCACAACATCTTTAATACCCTACCAAGGGAGCAAACAGCACCCTCCAAATGCTACCAATAATATTCTTGAAATGACTTCTTTCAAAGGAGTCACAAGAATTTGTAAATATTAGAGATTTCTCTTTCAAATACATGTCCTTCAGCTGCACAAGTGATTCTACAAATTACTGTGACATTGTAGAGATGTCCTTTGTATTATTCAGGACTTTTTTGTGGGGTTATGCATGTATGTATTTATGGTGACTAAACTGTCACTTAACAGAGTGTTGGCTTAATTCATTTTCGACTAACACAGTTAGGCTGTGAAGAAGTTACTCTTTGGACTCAGATAGACCTTAGATCAAATCCCATCAGTCATAAGGAAATCACTCAATTCTGAAGCTTAGTTTCTTCCACTACAATATGGGAGTAACAATGTCTAAGAGGTTTGTGTGAAAATTAAAGACCATACATAAATCAGTTATATTCAATTATGAAAAGCTATCATTGCCACACCAAGACATTGCTTTTTTTTTTAATTCCTTTCTTCGTGTTGCATATATGTGTCTATTTCTTTGCCCACCAATGTTTGTTTTGCTTAATATTTTAGGATTAAAAAAAACTCCTGCTCAGTCTTATTAAAATAAGTTAGTATTTCCGACCAAATTGACAGTCTGAATTGAGGCCAAAATAGAAAGCAGGGGCACTTTGTTGTCCTTTAAGTGAAAAATATTTTTACATTCTTGGTTTTCATGTTCAGCTCACTCATTGATTACCCTGCCGTTGGCTCCTGGTTTGCTGCTTCAGTTTCTCCATAAAAATTTACCTTTGGATACTGAATATAAAGCATTTGTTTAGGCCACCATTCCACGTAAGTATGACCCACACTGTCCACCTCTCCTAAAGTTAGAAGTGTTCCCCAATAGGTGAGTTAAAATGTGCAATAATTTACCTGAACTCCTAACCGTTTGTGAGCATTCTATGGGAGAGAGTGTTTTAATTTTACCTTTTCTGGTCCTAAATCATTCTTAGCCTTTGCACCGCAGAAAGGTTGCAGCTGGGACTACCAAGGAGTAGATACCAAAAAGCCTTTTTAGACCATAAATTCATTAAGAGCAGTGGTCAGTCCATGATCATCCTTATAAACATCAAGAAGTATTTGTTAGATTAAAATATAAGTTTGGTATCTTATCAGGACTTCTCAAACTTAAGGATCTCTAACTATTAGAAAAATATTAAAGAATATGCAATAATATTAAATAATTAATCAGTGAATGAAAATTAGTTCATCTGTATACCATATATAGATCTTATCTGTCAAGAACTGTCCTGAGCACTGTATATTCCTTCACTCATTTTTTTTGATTAAAGCATTGGAACCTTCTGGAGCTTCTCGGTCTTGCAAGTTTACTGAGTTCAAATGTCAAGTCATATATACTGTCATACTAATGGATATTATGTTAAATTTCCCAATTTATATTAACTTGGTAAACAGAACTTTTAATATCGTAACTGAAATGAGTCAATTACCCAGAACTTTCAGAAGAACAAAAAGAAACAGCATATTATAGGGGAAGGAGGATTTTAGAGTTTTTAAAACAAAAAATATAGGTAATAACCAAGTAGTCATATTATTACTGCTAAAGAGTTCTTGGATAAATAAATTAAAATGGTGATTAACACATTTAGAATATTTAAGCCTAGAAAATAAAAAGAACATTATAAAACACTAAATCTAAGTAATAATAGCATGACATTTCTTTCCTATCAAACCATATCCCCCCCCATTCGTTTACACATTCATGTATTCAGTAAATTTTATTTTGTGTAAGTAAATGCAAGAAACCTGACTTTTAAAAAGGAGCTCCTAGTATAGATGCAGAGATTGACTATAAACAAATACATATAATTTATTCTTAAAAGTAACAAAATAATACTGTGCAGAAAGTTATCTGTGAACGTGGAGAAGGGAAGTATTCATACAGATGGAATACTTGAGTGAGAAGAAGGGTATTTTTTTTTTTTTTTGAGACAGAGTCTCACTCTGTCACCCATGCTGGAGTGCAGTGGCGCAATCTTGGCTCACTGCAAGCTCCGCCTCCTGGGTTCACGCCATTCTCCTGTCTCAGCCTCCCGAGTAGCTGGGACTACAGGCACCCGCCACCACGCCTGGCTAATTTTTTTTTGTATTTTTAGTAGAGACGGGCTTTCACTGTGTTAGCCAGGATGGTCTCGATCTCCTGACTTTGTGATCCACCCGCCTTGGCCTCCCAAAGTGCTGGGATTACAGGAGTGAGCCACCGCGCCCGGCCCAAGAAGGATATTTTTTAAACTTTAAGAATATTTGAGTGAGTGACTGGAACTTAGATAACAGGTCTAAATGACAAAGGATGAAACTGTAAAAATCGTTTGACACCAGATTATGAATTTTATCAGTAGGAAATGAATATTCTATTTTCAGTTTTTTTAACCAATTTTTAAAAGTGGTTGTAGCAAGCAGACTCTAAGCTGGACCTCGTGATACCTGCCTCTCAGTATTCACAACCTTATGTGATGCCCTCCCTTTGAGTGTGGGTGAAACCAGTGGCTTGCTTCTGAAAAATAGAATATGGCAAAGAAGCAGGATGTGCTTGATTATGTGTACGTGGTTGTGTTACATAAGATTATAATGCCTGTCCTGCAAGGAGATTCTCCCTAAGTAGCTTTGTAGAACCGAGCTGTAATGGAGTGAGCTTCCATAAGAGGGTCAAATGGCATAGAACTGAGGGCTGCCTGCAGCCTAGTAAGAAAGAGAGATACTCAGGCAAATAGTCCATAGAGAGCTGAATGCGACCAATAGCTATGAGAGCATTCGCCTTTAGGTGAATTCTTCTCCAGTTGAGCCTTTAGATGAGAAACCAGCCCTGGAAAACACCTTCCTTGCATGCAGCTTTGCTGGGGACACAAATATATTGTGGCCTGATTCCTCATTCATAGTAATTGTGAGATATTAAAGTGTGGTATTTTAGGCTTCTAAGTCTGTGGTAATTTATCACACAATAATAAGTAACTCTACAAAGACATTGGCCTATTTTGGTTATTTTAGAAACGTGTATGGTAGCAGTGAAGAGGATGTCATAGTGTTCATCCATTTTGAACTCATTAGCTCACCCCTCATATCTAGTGTCTGTCCTTTAGATCAAATTGAAATATTAGCTAATGAATTATTAGACCAAATAAAGCCAAATGACATTTCAACAGCTACCCATATACCTCAGGAATATTTTCACTAGTAACTTAATGGGAAATAAAATATTTCTAGAACTATATTTCTGTGAAATGTCATTGGCTTTTGAAAAATAGTAAACATATTGTTCTTTAGTAATCATGCATGATATTAACATATAGCAGTGTACTTCTTAATGTGGTGCATTTATGATGAATTCTTGTGTAATATTTAAGGCAAAATGCTTCTTGCTTTCATTTGAGCATTGATTAAATCAGTCATTCTCAGGTAATGTTTGATTTATCTTTAAATCTGTTCTGGAATGCTGGCAAGAAAAGAATTTTGTGACAGTGTGTAGTGAACAATACATGTTTGACAGCATGCATCATGCTTTCTTTGAAATGAAAGTTATTAGATTTTTGCAGTCGGTAATCAGTTCAACTGCATTTTCCTCAGAAAAAAACTTTCAGTAATAATAACAATTGTTTAGGAATAAATTTATTAAAAAATTCTCTATTTAAACTTTTTTTTTGGAAATACATTTCAGGTAATGTAGCAGTATTCAGTTTTGAAGTACATGTAACTCAAGTAACTAGTAAAGTAAGTACAAACCCAACCCAAAATTAGTAGAAGGAAATAAATAATAAAGATCAGAGCAGAACTAAATAGAAACAAAAATACAAAAGATCAACAATGAAAAGTTGGTTTTTAGAAAATATAAACAAAATCGATACACCATTAGCTAGATGGACTTAGGAAAAAAAAGGGAAGACCCAAACATTACAACTGATAACACAGAAATAAAAAGAGCATTAAAACTATTATTAACAACTATACACCAACAAATTGGAAAACCTGGAAAAATAAATAAATAAATTCCTTGACACAAATGACCTACCAATTTTGAAACAGGAATAGAAAACCCGAACAGTCCTAATGAGTAATGAGATTGATCAGTAACAAAAAGTCTCCCATCAAAGAAAAGCCAAGGAAAGGATGATTTTACTGCTGAATTCTACCATGTATCCCTATGGCATCACTCACTGGGATGGGTGAGGACCCAATTTCTTTTAGACATTGGTACAGATTAATACAAAGGATCATACTGGATCCTTTTTTAAATTTTTATTAATTTTTAAAATGAGAAATACAAAAGGCAGCAAGATTATAGGAAATTTAGACTAAAATCTTTACAGGGAAATAGGAAAAAGGAAGAGAACACGTATTTGTGGCTATGGTTTTGTTTAATGTATCATCACAAAAGTCTCCTATAAGTTGGAAAGCATGCTCTTCACAGGTAATCAAGCAAACAAATCTGTAAGTGGTCCATCAAATGCTGGGAAGAAAATTTTAGCCAATCATTGTTATGAGAGCTTTCTAAATTTTCTAGCTATGCTGTTAATATGGTAGCCACTGGCCACATGTAGCTATTGAAATTGAGTTTAAAGCAAACAAAAACAAATCAAATAAAATTTCAGTTATTTAATCACATAAGTCACATTTCAAGTGCTCAATAATAGCTCATGAGGCTACTGGCCATTTTATTGAAGAATACAGATATATATTATAAAATTTATAAATTTTCATCAGTGCATAAAGTGATACCAGGGAGCATTGTTTTATAGCCACAATCTGTGTGTAATGGCTATAAAATGGTGATGTTGATTTATAAATATGTTCAGAAAGACCAAATTAATTCCCTCTGGATCGTAAGTCGGTGCGGTAGAACCTATAGCTATATTGTAAAATTGTAGCTGAGTGTATAGTGGTTCTGAATAAATGCTACATTCTCTATACTTAGTTACATAGTATATAGTATGTAACGCTTTATATAGGAGTGTTATAGGTCAAATTCCTGGAACTTTCCCTGAAAGGCAGTAAGCTGTCATCCCTGTCCCATTTTCCTAGACCTGTTTTTTCAATCTGCTACCTGAATGTGAATTATATGTTCCAGACCTAATTAACATATTTAATCATTAGAACAATGCTACATACTATTGATGAATCAGGAGGAGAAAAGGCTGAGTTCCTAGAGACCTCATGGAGAAGGACCACCATACTAACCTGGAACTGCCCACATCCTGACCTCCATGAAAGAGTCATACACTTTATTTGACTTAAGCTTTTGTATATATAGGTTTGTAGCTGTTAAATCTACTGTTTGCATTGCCTATGACTAAAAATGTAGTTTTTGGTTTCCCGGGTTTTTTTTTTTTTTTTTTTGGCTAGATGAGAAATATTTTTTGAAATGACTTTTGTGACAGAGTTAATAGAAACAGACAAAAACAACTGGATTGTCTACCTTATATAAATTAGTCCTTCTGGGTAGCCTTTTAATGTCTTCCTTTTATGTATATTGGAGTAATTAATTGCAAATTCCTTTATGTAGCCCTCCTATATGTTGTGCATTTTTCTGTCACTCTGCTTGTTGATGCTAATATCTATCTCCTCTTAGTGGGTTTTAAGCATTAAAAGGATAGGTCTGATATTTATTTGTCTTGTCTTCTACCACGTGGTAGCCACTTGCATGTTGGTAGGCAAGAAGGAAAGAAAGAAGAAAAGAAGGAAGTAATGACTATATGAAATGAGAATAGGCACAAATAACTGTGGTTATGAATGGAGGATTATAATGCAGTAATGTTGGGAAACAACTTTATTCATTAGAGTTGTTTCTAAAGTTAGTTTTGTCAGTAGGTTTTAACTCCTTGTCATATTACTGAGGTTATGTCATATAGTACACCCCAGTCGTTTTGTCACATTCTGTTTTCCAACATAGGATCTCACAACTTCCTAAATGTTTTTAAAATTTGCATACATTTAGCTCACTTTTTGTGCTCTAAGGTTCCTTTTTAAAGGTTGGAGTATGGGCAGCCTCAATAGTAATTTAGATTTGCAAGAAAGCAAAATTGTCATGTGCCAATGCATAAAGTTTAATGTAAAAAAAATAATAAAAAAGAAAACTGGTTGGGATATTGATTGTGCTGTTTCAAAGATGTGTGGCCTTGGGAACATTAAGCATTTTCTTTTTGAGAAATTTTTTTTCTGTTAATGATAAAATAAAGACAATAATATAAATTATTTTCTGTAGTTCTTTAAAATGTGCATGGCACATAGAAATAACTCAATATTAGTGATGATGATAATGGTGATACAGTTTATCTGTTATTATTTCTATAGTATCAAGCACATCTCACAGAAATCTTTAGATGTTACAGTGTCTCTTGTAATGCTCTGTAGTCTATTATATTCTGCCAAGAATCAGAAGTAATCTTAGGAGGCCAGGGCCAACTCTTACTGGTGTCCTTTGGGGATGATGAGTTAGAGCACATTTGATTGTTAATGTAGTAAATGAAAACAAATGTCTCCAACCAATTAGGTCTGTTTTATTGACAGGGACTCTCTTGAAGGCTTTTAGAGAGCATTTGATTATATGTCGTTCCAATACACATATGTGTCAAATCATCTTCTAATGAATAGTGACCAGAGAGTCACTGGCCTCATCTGAGAAGGAGCTGTCTGCAGCATGTTTTGTCTAGTTGAGAGATGTTTCTTATTAGAAAGTTGTATTTTCTTCAGGATTAATGGTGTGTAAGACAAGAGTTTATAATTTCAGAAACCACATATTTATAAGCCTAAATGTAACTTCTTTGAACAAGCCCTCATGAAACACCAAACTAAATGAAGACTCTGAGTTGTAATCTTCATTATATTTTTCATTTTTTCCTTTCTACCACTCACCCGTTTGCAATTATGTCACAAGGTTTTCAATTCCCTCATGTACTGGATATGGGGCATATCCCCACTGCTTTGAGACTTACGCTTGTAAAGAATAGAAAAAAAAAAGTTATGCAAGGAAACATAACAATAATTTTGGTGAGGCTTTGGTGGTCTTGTAACTTTCTTGTAAGCAATAGAAGCAGCAGATATTCTGCTGCATTACTTCTGAGGCTTCATCAGAAGAGATGATGATGCAGTTTCCAGCTTAACTTATTCAAACATTTACAGTTAGGGCTCCAACTACCCTGAGGTCACTATATTATGCAGAAGCCAGGCCTAACAGAAATGCCGCAAGTAGGTGGCCCACTAAGCAGCCCCGATTTTGAGTCCTCCATGAGTGGGCACAAAATATATGAGGGCATGTGCCTTCAGATGCTTCTAGCCCACAACCATCTGAGTCATCACCAGCCCTTGAGTCTTGACATCTGATGATCCAGATATTGTGGAGCAAAATCAAGCTGTCCCCACTGTATTCTTTCTCAATTTTTGATCCTCTGAATTTGTGAACATAATATGGTTGTTGTTTTAAGCCACTAAATCTGATGATAATTTGTTACACAACCGTAGTACCTGGAATGAGGAGGATAATGGATATATCACACGAATATTTTAGAATTTGAACAAAGAACTAATTCTTTAGGAATTTAGGATTCAAATGTGATGGACTCTGAATACAGAGTCTAATATGTACAATAAGAATTATATAATGAGTCCTTACTGTATTCTCAGATTCATGCTAATGACTTTACATGCATAATCTCACATATGATCATAATAACTCTATGTATTGTGTACTACAATTATTTCAACCTTTTAAAAAAATGAATGCAAAAGCTCAGACAGGCAAAGTAACTTGTTACATGTCACAGACATAGCAAGGCCTCAGAGGGCTTTGAAGCTTGAAATAGCCCTTCAGAATTGCCCCAGGTGTGAAAAAGGAGCATGGGGTCAGCCTTTTGTCTATGCCAAACAATTATTAGATGCAGGCTACTTCAAAGAATCCTTTTCATTTGTATAAATTTCAGAAACAAGATATACTATTCCATGATGACAGAAATCAGGAGAGTGTTTTCAACTAGTGGACATTTTGGCTGAAAGGTGAAACAAGGTGTGCTTCTGGGGGAACTTATACTAACATCTTAGTATGTTCAAGTTCCTGTAACTAACTACCATAAAGAGGTGGCTTAAAAACCACAGAAATTTATTTCTTACAGTTCTCAGGGCTGGGAAGTACAAGATCAAGGGCTGATAGATTCCATGTCTGGTGGTAGCCTCTTTGCTTGTTCATAGAAAGCAGTTTTCTTTCTGTGTTTTCACATAGCACAAGGGGAAAGGAAGCTCTCTGGTGTCTCTTTTATAAGGGCAATAATCTCATTCATTATGACTCTGCTCTCATGACCTAATCACCTCCCAGAGTCTCCAGAATCACACTGAGGATTAGGTTTCTTCCTACCAATTTACAGATCGGGGCATATACAGACTAAGTCTGTAGCAACTGGCCTATATATTGAACTGGTTTTGGCTTCCAAGAATGTGTTTCACTTTTGAATATTTATTGATTTACACATTTATCATGTGTAAAATTATTAAAATATATTATGAATCTCCAAATTTTAAAAATCTGCTGTGCAAACTTGATTATTCATGGAGACAAAGTTGAGTTTATTCCAAGAATTCAAGGTGCTTTAAAATTTTAAAATAAATTTATATCATTCAAACTAGCAGAATAAAGAAGGAAGCCCCCATATGATGATTTAAATAAAGAAAAAACATTTTGATAAAAACTATTACTGAAAAAAACATTTGACAAACATTATTTTCTTTTTTTTTTTTTTGTTTTTGTTTTTGTTTTTGTTTTTTTTTAATTATACTTTAAGTTTTAGGGTACATGTGCACATTGTGCAGGTTAGTTACATATGTATACATGTGCCATGCTGGTGCGCTGCACCCACTAACGTGTCATCTAGCATTAGGTATATCTCCCAATGCTATCCCTCCCCCCTCCCCCGACCCCACCACAGTCCCCAGAGTGTGATATTCCCCTTCCTGTGTCCATGTGATCTCATTGTTCAATTCCCACCTATGAGTGAGAATATGCGGTGTTTGGTTTTTTGTGCTCAGTAAACTATCGCAAGAACATTATTTTCTTAATAAGAACTTTTGGGCCACATCTTATGTGTACTTCTTTAATGGCCTTTCACCTCTGTTTGTCTTCAGTCAAGATAGAAACATCCCAAGAGAAAATCTCTTTGGCCTAATTCTATTTATGTCCACACTCCTCTAACAAGGACGAGAGAGTAACTCTGTCTCCTACTATACAAAAAGTAGCACTAAACATAGATCAGGCAAAATTGAGAGATAATCACTTCAATGTTTAAGTATTTATTTGAACAAATCAATGGACCAAGAGGTTCTAAGACATAGATACCTAAAACTAAATTTTGTATATTATGAATTATAAATGATTCACTGTGATTGGAAAGAAGGATGAGAGTGAGACAATTATTAGATACAAAATAGTAAATATAGACAAGAACTATTCTAGAATGACTTGTCAGTCCATGTAAGTAATATGCTCTTTCTTAACTAAAGCACACAGTAGGTGATGTCTATTCTGCTCTAACTTCTTCAGTGGTTTGCCACATGAGCTAATGTGTACTTTAGTTAAGGGCAAACTGATATCTACGATGAGAATGGACATGAGGAGAGTGACCCTTGAGAACAGAGTTAATTGTAATAATTCAAATGAGAAATAAAGGGGATGAAATAACTGCAAATGGAATAAAGAGAAAGAAACACATTCAGTTGCAATTTATAAGGTACCATCCATAAGGCTTAGTAGCTGGCTGAGTACACTGAAATGATGTCAGAAAGAATGAAGTGTCAAGGTTAGTGACAGGGTTGAGGGTGAGGATAGATATCAATAGAAAGGACATAAAAGGATTGGTGGATGGGAAAAGGCAAAGATAATGACTTAATTTGATCTAGTTTCACTCTGAGTTGCCTGCTAAAGGTCCTGCTTGGTAGGCATCTAGATATATAGACCAGTATCTTTAAGGCATACCACTCTTCTTGGTAGGTGTTCAGTAGATGGTAAATATTTGGCAAACCAAATAAAGAAACATTGAATGAATGAATCTTTGAACAAAAAGACCCTATAGAAGCCCCATTATCCCTGATTTCTCTCCCAGCACCTGACAAATACTAATATGCAATAAATATTTTAATTCATGAAAGTTTATCAAAATAAAAATATTTTACACTCTACAATAAATTCATAAATGTATGTGACCTATATACATTTTCTTGTATTATCATTTCTAACATTATCTCTTTTTTTGCTAGAAACACTATATATATATATATATTTATTTATTTTAGCTGAAAGAATACATAACAGATTTTGTATCATATTTAAATAATATGCATCATATCAGGAGTGTGTGTTACATACTCCTTGCCCTTCTGTGTAACTTTTTCATTACTCAAGGCACTAGAATTCTACAACATTCTTTTGTACTCCATTGAAACATTGTAATAGATACTTAATTCTTTTCTTCATTATTTAACATTTTAGCTATCAATAATATTGGGAAATAATGACAAGTGGAAAACTTGTTGACAAGTTCCAATTCACTGTGGAAGAGGATTTTTAAACACTCATTGTCTGGATAATGCACCATAAGTAGAAATGTACAGCAGGTTTTGTATAGCCTCGATATGGGAGGCCGATTTAACCTTGCTACATTTACATGCACAATCCTGATTTTATCTTCCAACGTTGTTGCGGTTAAAGACTGTTTACATATGGAATTGTGAGAGTCTATGCGTCTGTTGTGGGTATAGAATTGCTGAGGGAAAATATACTGAACATAAATAACTTTCCAAGTAAAATGAAGCTTAGTTCTGTGAGTAATTACGTGATGATCTTTAAAAGTAGAGGATACTGTTTCTACACTTATTGTTTCTATGCCTTGATTTCTAATTTTGAGTATCATATTTTATACCACAAGTTCTTGATAAAATTTTACTTTTAAAGTTATTCTCATATACTTTCTGTCAATCATTGAAAACTCAGCAGTAATGATATTTTTCTCAAATAACCTGCATAGTTTTTCTACTGCCTTTAATCTGTTTGTGGCTAGTAAAATATGTATCAAAGCTTTTATGGGTTATATTTTATATAAGAATCAATATAGCTCAAAATGAAGCCATATGAGCAGAATTCCAGGCTGTAGTTGAAGTCTTGCAATACAACATTTCATTGCTAAATATTGTTTTCTCTTTGTGTGTATTTGAATCATGTAATTTGTTCTGATATTTGTGGAATTCATAATTCTCTTAAAATGTGGTGTTTCTCTACCGAAATCAAAATACTTACATGGGAATAACTATTTTCAAAGTGTTATGAGACTAAAATTATGAGAGTTTTATTCTACCCCCTAAATGAGAGGTAAAATAATCTAGTGAAACCACCACCTTCTTTGGAATCAGAAATGTACATTTAAACTACTGAACAAATATTTATTAACTATATTAACTTATGAAAGTTAGCTTGTGAACCTCGATCACTTACCTATAAAATGAGGGCACAATCTCTTATGTCACATTGTAAGAGTAAAAAACATCATAATAGAAAACTCTACCATAGTGCTTATGTGTCAAAGTAGGTTCTAAGTTCTTTACATATATTAACTTATGTCTATAGTATACATATATATGATTTCTAGGATAGAGTTCAGTACATAGACTCAATCAGGGTAAATCCTATTAGTCTAATAATGAAAGTTTATGACATTTTGAGCATGCAAATACCATGAGAGGAAAAAAAAATCAACGCTGTTTGAAATACCAAAGGTAATAGTTCTATTTTTTTTAATACAAGGAAGGTGCATAACATGTACTTCTTGTTATTCATAATCCTTAGGTAACATGAAAACTTGGCATTTTTGATTTCTTAATATAAAGCTCACATAGAGAACCTAATAGCTCCAGACTGATTCAGAATTCCCAGTATTGCATAAAAAAGACTAATACAGAAAGAAGTCTCAAGAAATTTTCAGGCAAATATCTTAAAGACCTCTAAAACTCACCCTGTGCGTAGTCTTAAGTAGCCAGAGTGTAGCTGCAGCATCCAAAATAAACAAAAATCCTGGTGCGCAATTAACAGGTTTGTGAATAATGTCTGGAAAAAGAAAAGCTTCTTTCAGGATTCCAGGATGAGACCAGTGAAGATATTAGCACAACTATAATAAGTTCAGAAGATTATAATTCTTTTTTGAAAAATGAATTCAAAGGACACATGTGAAACTTGGGAACTATCACACCCAATGATTTAAAAACAGGATTCAGTTATTCAAATGCCATAATTGTAAGGATTATAAATCATCTTTTATTCTTCTATTCCTGAGGAATTTTAAGATCCATCTAAAGCAATAAAACTGTTCTAATATCATTTTTGTACAGCCTGTACCTTATTATTTATTATTAGGGATTTATATCTGCCCTTGGCTTCTTTCTGAGAATTTCTTTGAACACTTGCTGAGAAATTATCTTCTCTAGCAGTGGGAAACAAATGACAGGAATGAGAAGTATAACTCAAATTAACTATATTTTTAACCATTTTTAAGCACTTTTAACAATTCCTACTGCTAAATGTCCTGAGCTTCCACTTAATGCTGTGAATCAGTGCTGTCTAGCAGATGTTAACAGAGACTTCCTTAGACTGATGGAAATACAGCGTTCCCAGAAGTTCCCATGTGCCCAGAATCTCATTGCTAAATAGCTTTATAAAAACATACACTAAGGGGCAATTTTCTTAGTCTATTTCCAAAAAGAATCAGAAGCACTAAATCTTAGGACTGAAGGCTCAAGATTATAGGCCAACTTGATGTGCCAGAGTTGTATAACCTAAAGGAAAGATACTGCCATGAAAAGGATGCATGATCCATTGATTGCACTGGAGGTAATTGGTGATTAAGTAAATTTTATGTGCACACCAACCTCTTTGCAAAATGTCTTATTATGTCCAACACATTAGAAACCATGAATCAACATAAAAACAATAATCTCCAAAAATAATGAGAAAAAAACTAAATTTGTGCTAGGTTGAGTCAGAATTAGATTTTTGGCAAGAATTTTAACTAGAGGAGTGTAACATGAGGAAAAACAAACACAAATGCTATGACTTGGTGGTTAACTGATAGAATAAGGTTCAGCCTTTTGGTGGGTACATGTCAACACCTTGACCAAGTCTCACTTAAGAAGAATGAAGCATAAGGTCCAGATGAGAGAAAGCAAAAGGAAAACAGTTCTGAAGAAGCATGACCTCTTTAAAATTGTGAGGTAGGTGACTGTTTAGGGGTTAGAGAGAGAGCCACACCTGAATAAAGCTTGCCTAATTTGGACAGAAGTTGTCTATCTGGTATATACATTCTAAGTTTTTGAACTTCAGTTTCTTTTTCTGTAAAATTCTGTAAAATATTTCTGTAAAATACACATGCTCTCTAATGTTTCTGTGTGATAGGCAACTGAGATAGTGCATGAGAAATAATATGAAAATTAGAGAAAACACTAGTTACAGAACTGGGGGAGAGAAGTATAATGTCAGTGTTGTAGTGAGAATTATGTAATGTTGGAGAGCACAGTAAAGTGCCAGTACAACGAACTCTGTAATAAAATGAAATACAGTTTACCTAAGTTTTCTGTTTCTAATGCATCAAGATTGTGAACAAAATATAATGATCGAATTTCCAGTATTTTACTGGTCTGCAAACAAATTTTATATTTATCTCAATTCATTTTAAATGTGGAAGATCATCACCATTTTTATATTATTTTCTGACACTTTTTAAAAAGGTGCTAATGGCCCAGGTACAGTGGCTCATGACTATAGCTCCAGCACTTTGGGAGGCAGAGGCAGGCAGATCCTTTAGCTCAGGAGACCAGCCTTTCTCTACGAAAAATTAAAAAAAAAAAAAAAAGTTGGGTGTGCGCCCTGTAGTCCCTGCTACTTAGGAGGCTGAGGTTGGAGAACTGCTTGAGCTGGGAGGCAGAGGTTGCGGTGAGCCGTGATTGCGCAACTGTCTCGAAAAAGGAAGGAAAAAAAAAGAAAAAAATACTAACGGTAAAATATCAAAAATTGTTGATTAAATTTACAAAGCATCAACAATTATTAAATTAAATTAACAAAGAAATTAATGTGGCAATTAAATTAACAAGTAAAGGATCTACAATTATTGAAAGATACTGTTTATTTAAAAAATAAAACTAAATATGGGTGAACAAACAGCTCTGAAATTAACTGCCAATTAAACATCTAAAATTATGACGAAATAGAGATTTCACTCCTCTTGTCTATTTAAGTCTAATGTGTGTGTGTAAGAGAGAGAGAGAGAGCAATTAGGCTTGACCTCCCCTTTATTGAGGTGCAGTGGCCTGCTTGCCATCTGTCATGCCCCAGATTACAGTTTATCAGCTGAATCAATTAGTTCATACAACAGAATTTGTTGCCAACCTCAGTTTTATTTTCTTACATGATCTCTTGAAAGGAATACTGTTTTACATAGACAAACCTCTTTCATGAGCAAATACCAAAATGTATACATTTGCTTTTTACACTGGGGGGAAAAACTTTATACACAGCACACCATTATTTGTGTTTGGTGTTTTGTTTGCCGCAAAGCAGCAATCATAAATAACAGCCGGTAGAGGACAGAGACTCAGCCTTCAATAATATTGTTTTGGGAATACATCACGTAGCATTGAAAATGTCATATAAAATTCATATCCATAGCTGTTTACAGAGGGAAGAAAGAACATTTGTACTTTGCAATGCTAGCACAATTCTCCAAAACATTGAGAAAAATGCCGCATGTTCTGTCTTTTTTTCACACTTATTTTTGGTATCCGGAGCTATGTTTCAGGGTTATATTGATTTTCATTCTGGCTGTGGTTGATTAATGTTTCAGGAAGTAGTCAGGTGCATTAGTGTAGAGCTGAATAGAAATACCAGTGCACTTTCTCAAGTCAAAGTAGGGTGGGCGGGATGCGGCAAAACCAACCCACCTACTGATTTCATCTGGTAATGTGTCCACACAATAAAATGAATCTCTAAAAGTGACAGCCACACAGACTGGTTAACAGGAAGCTTGACACACTTTTCTATGCTTGCTATTGTTATTAACAACCTGTCAGCAACTTCTAGCAACCAATAAAATGCTAATGTTTTGTGAGAATATTAGTGATCTTTTCTTTTTTTTTTAATTTAGTCTCTAAGTTAAGTATGTTCACCTTATAAATTTACTTCCCAGAAGGTACATTCTTTAGTAATTGTTTTTTCTTGATAAGGATTTCTGACTCATTATAGGAAAACTGCAAATGTAATAGTTAAGGAATGATTCCACTGTAGTAACATTTTTCATCCTGACCCTATTCCCTGGTTGAGAAATTGCTCATCAGTTTACTGTTTTCTATTTGCTCCTTTGCCAACTGCATTTTTCTATTTTAATAGCTAATTTTCCACCATCCACAATTCTCTCTTTCATATCAGGTGGCTTTTTCATTATATGACTCTTACACGATGCTTACAGATTTCTCTGAAACTATTAAAATGTCCAACATATGTCATTCAGATAAACAGTCACACCTAATTATTATGACTTGCAAACTTCCATTAATTTCTGAGAAGGAAACACATATTGTAGAAATAACAGATAACAATTTAGACTCATTGATTATTATGGGTTTGAAAACATTACATTTTATATAAAGAAATATTAATGATAGAAAGAATAAAAATGCATTTAGTAAAACAGACAGGAATCCAATCCAGTTGTAATCAAAAGTTATTTTAGCACTTTGGAAGAAATCAACACTTTTTTGTAATCTTTGGCAGTTTGCACATTTGCTAAAATTATACAGCTTACAGAGAACATGATTAAAAATCCAACTTAAAGATGTCTTTAATAGTGCCAAAGAATAATTAACTTAAAAAGGTCCAGTAGCCAAATAATAATGAATGAAAAATCTATATGTGTAATAAATGGAGGATGTCCCTATATTCAAGGTCAAATGCATATGCTTACCCAACACTTCTTCAGTTTTTTGAAACAATATCACAAGTTACTTTGTACCAACTAATCACCGCTTTGATGAACAGCTTTTTGTTTTCCTAAAATTGCTGAATAACAGTCATTTCTTAATGCTGTCAAAAAATAATAATGTGGCTTCTTATTCACCTCATGTATATCCAGCCTTAAAAGAATATTTCCTTTTATGTGAAGTCAATTTATTTTCTCTGAAACACCTCTTCGGGAGCCCTAAAGTTTCAATCTAGACTAATTGCTTTCTTGACATGTTCCAAAACTTTTCTCTTTACTGAAATCTCAGACTTCTTCTTTTATTGGCATTATTTTGTTGTGGTTTATGAAATATCTTCCTCTGAAGGGTATTCAAGGAAAAAAAGTGTGTGTTCTAGAATGGGTAAAAATATGTTTATTTTGACTTCATATTTATTGCATGGGGATAAAATAAAATTGTCAAAAATAATTACATTGAGGAGATTTGAGTGTTATCTCTTCTGTTCCATTTTTTTAGGTGTTCTAGATATTGTTTTTTAAATTGAGATAATTGTAGATTCACATGAAGTTGTAAGAAATAAAGCAGAGTAACACCTTGTACAGTTTATCAACTTGACCAGATGGTAATTTTTTTTTTTTTTTTTTTTTTTTTTTTGGTGACAGAGTCTCACTCTGTCGCCCATGCTG
This sequence comes from Homo sapiens, assembly GCF_000001405.40. Lineage (NCBI taxonomy): Eukaryota > Metazoa > Chordata > Mammalia > Primates > Hominidae > Homo > Homo sapiens. The sequence continues at coordinate 60,171,083 of NC_000012.12, read as the reverse complement.
GAGTGCAGTTGCGCGATCTTGGCTCACTGCAACCTCTGCCTCCTGGGTTCAAGCGAGTATCCTGCCTCAGCTTCCTGAATAGCTGGGACTATAGGCGCCCGCTACCATGCCCAGCTAATTTTTTGTATTTTTAGTAGAGACACGGTTTCACTGTGTTAGCCAGGATGGCCTCAATCTCCTGACTTCGTGATCCACCCACCTTGGCCTCCCAAAGTGCTGGGATTACAGGCGTGAGCCACTGCGCCCCGCCCTGATGGTAATGTTTTGTATGAAACTATAGTACTATATAGTATCACAATCAAGATGTGAACATTGATAGCATTCACCAATCTTATTCAAATTTTTCCAGTTTTGATTGTGTGTGTGTGTGTGTGTGTGTGTATGTGTGTGTGGATGTGTATTAAATCCTATGCCATCGTATCACCTATGTAAGCTCTTGTCTCCACCACCACAGTCAAGATATTGAGTACTCCCATCACCACAAATATTCCTCCTATTGCCATTTAATCGCCTCTCCCTCAACTCCTCGCCACTAGAAATGTGCCTCCATTTCTAAAATGTTATTATTTCAAACATTTTATTATATAAGCAGAAACATATATCATGTAAGCGTTTAGAAGTGGATTTCTTTTGATTCAGCATAATTTCCTGAAGATTCATCCAAGTTGCTTGTGTATCAATAGGTTGTTCCTTTATATTGCTGGTTAGTAAACCAGAGTGTGTATGTAGTACAGTTTGTCTAACCATTCACCTGTTGAAGAATATCTGAGCTGATACTAGTTGTTTAATATTACAAATAAAGCTACTTATAATACTTACATACAGATTTTTGTGTGTGTGAACATAGCTTCTTATTTCTTTGGGATAAATGCCCAGGGACGCAAGTGCTGGGTCATATGGTAGCTGTATGTTTAGTTTACTTCATATTCTACCAAACTGTTTTCAAGAGTGACTGTATCATTTTAAATTCCTATCAGCAATGTATGAGCAATCCAATGTTTCTTCATCCTTCTCGGCATTTGGTGGTGTCATCATTTTTTATTTTAGCCATTCTGATAGGTGTATAAAGTCTCACTGTGTTTTTTTTTTTTTTTTGCATTTCTGTAATGAATTAACGCTGCTAAACATCTTTTCACATGCAACTTAACATCTGTACATCCTGTCCGGTGATAGCTCCGTTCATGTCTTTTGTCCATTTTTATATTGAATTTCTTCTAATGTTGAATTTTGAGTTTTTTTTTTGTATTCTAGATACTGGTCCTGTGTCATATATTTGGGTTATAACTACATTTTCCTACTCTGTAGATTTTCTGTTTATTCTCTTCACATGGGGATTCACAGATCAAATAATCTTTTAAATTTCATGAGTCCCATTTTTTTAATCGTTTTCCTTTTAACAGATTATGTTTTTATTTTAAAATCTAAGAACTCTTTGCCTAGCCCCACATCCCAAAGGTTTCCTATTATTTTAAAAAAGATCTAGAGTTTTACGTTTTACAATTGAATCTGTGTTCCATTTAGAGTTAATTTTTGTATAAAATGTGAAGTTTAATTTGAAGTTTATTCATTTGCCTACTGTTACAGGAATGTTTTGTGAAAAGGCTAGCTATCCTCAATCAAATTGATTTTTATTGTCAAAAATCAATTGGTTATACTACATAGGTCTATTTTTGGATCTCTAGTCTGCTCAATTGATCTATGTGACTATCCTTTCATCAATAATACACTGTCTTAATTATTATATATGCATACATACATTTGTATATACATATATAGAAAGCTTTAATATTATGGAAAATAATTCCTTCCTCTCACTTTATTCTTCATCACAAGGTTGTTTATTCTGGGATCTGTGCCTCTTCATATAAATTTTAGAATAGCCTATGTCTACCGAAAACCTTACTGAGATTTTGATAGGAATTGTATTAAACCTATAAGCCATTTAGGGGAGAATTGATATCTTAAATGAAAATTCATGAACATAATTTATTTCTCCATTCATTTGGGTCTCCTTTGATATCTTTTGTCAGAATTTTGTAATTTTTGTACATATTTGTACACATTTATATTTTGTATATGTTAAATTACTTCGATTTCAAAAGGAGAATCTGCAAAAATATCTACAATTCTCATTAACTTGAAATAAAATCCTAAGCTCCCCACTGACTGAATGGACCCCCTTGTGGTGAAGGGGACCCCATAATAACTTTAAAACTGAGTTCCTCACCATGACAGGATAGGAGGTCAGACACGCCTTGTCTAAATCTCTATTTTGTGGTTTAGATACAACTTAATGTTAAAAAGCTAAATGGAGATTCTAAGACTAACAGAACAGACTCTTTGTGGCAATACTATACCAAACTATAAATAAAACGTAAGGCCGTGTTGGGCAAGGGTTAAGTCACGCATCCCTACACTTAAAGAAGGAACTATGTTCCAATTGGCGCAAGGTTTTCTTTACTCTAGCAGCTAAACAAACACTGTCCTAAAGATAAGCAATATTCAAACAATTACAACTCATCCAGCTCACAGACACTGACTAACTGATGCCCTGTTCTACCAGTCATAACTATAGGTTTGATTAGAAAAGAAACTGATTTCAGTAACTCTCTCATCATAAGAAAACCACTGTCTGGACTGGTTCTGGTGCTGGTGGGTTTATAGATATTGCATACTTGCCTGCCTTTGTGTCCTGAAAAGACATTTTGACCAATAGAACCTAATTGCAATACATTTGAATGTTAAGTTTCCACCCCAAAGTGAACATAAATAGTGTGTCACATGCATGTTTGTTCAACACACATGTGTCAGGTCCACCTTCGTGAATATTCATAGTTCCTTCTGTAACCTGTTGAATATGTATGTTTAGCCAACCCATTCAGCATAAAGCTCCCGATCCATCACCTCCTCCTTTGATGTACCTGTCTTGTCTTGGCTGAAGGCACCATTCCTAGCCTGTAGGAGGGCCACCTTGCAGGCTATAATGCTTTATCAGAAATAAAGTCTCCTCTCCTTTTCTAAATTTGTAAATTGTGTTTTTTTTAAGTTAACAATACCCAAGTATTTATTTTTTATTTGTAGTGATTGTGAATAGTATTGCATTTTTAATTTCTCTTTCCACATGCTCGTTGCTGGTGTATTAAAATGCAATTGACATTTATTTGCTAATTTTGCATCCTGCAGCCTTATTATATTCATTTATCAGTGATAGCTGTTTTTTGTAGACTCTTTAAGATTTTTAATATAGATAATCATTTATCTATAAATAAAGATCATATTTTTAATCATATATAAATCGGTATGACTTTTTTCTTGTTATCATTAAAACTTTCAATACTATGTTGAATAAGAGCAGTGAGAGTAGGCATCCTTGCCTTTTTCCTTATCTTTGGGGAAAACATTGTCATTCATCCTTTAAGTATGAAAATTGTAGATTTTTTTGTGATTCTCTTTTTCAAATTGAAGTAATTTCCCTATATTCCTAACGAGCTGAGAATTTTATCATGAATGAAGTTGGCTTTTGGCAAATTGCTGCTATAACAAACCATAAACTTTTGGCTTAAAAAAATACAAACATATTACTTTTTAGTTCTAAAATCATGAAGTCCTAAAACAATGTGTTGGAAGGATTGAGTTCTTTCTGGAAGCTCTGAGAAATCAAGTGCTGCTATTCCTTTTCTGGGTTCCAGGGTCCTTCTGCATTCCTTAGTTCATAGCCTCTTCCAACATCTTCAAGACATGTGATGTAGCATCTTCAAATCTCTCTTTCTCTGTCCCTCATTCACCTCTGCTTCCATCATCATATTTCGTTTTCTTACTCTGATCTTCCTGCTTTCATCTTATAAGAATTTGTGTGATTACACTGGGCCTACTCCAATAATCTAGGATAATCTCTTCATCTCAAAATCCTTAATTTAATCACAACTGCAAAATCCCTTTTGTCATTTAAGATGACCTATTAACAATTTTAGAAATTAGGACTTGGACATTTTCGGCCATGGGAGGTGAGGGTGGGGTGCGGGTGGTATTGTTTTGTCTATAGAATCATATGATTTTTTTTCTTTAGCTTGATGATATGGTGAATTACATTAATTGATTTTCAAATGTTGAACCAGTTTTGCACACCTGGGAAAAATCTCACTTTGTCATGATGTATAATCATATCTATACAGGGTTAGATTCTATTTGCTAAAATTTTATTGGGGGCTTTTACTTCTAAGTTGATGAAAAATACTGGTCTGTAGTTTTTCATTTGTTTGTTTTTAATTTTTTGGTTATGTTTTTGTTACAGGATAATAGTAATCTCATAAAATGTGTTGTAAAGTCTTCTCTCCATTTTCTATATTTTTGGAAGAAATTGTGTAAAATTAGTGTTACATTTTTTAAAGTTTTTTAGAATTTTCCAGTGACTCCAGACCCAATTTATAAATTCAGTTTTTTGATGGATATAGGCTGTTCAGATTTTTAATTAATCTTGCTTGAGTTTTAATAGTTTATGGATTTTGAGGAGTTGGTCCATTTTGGGGGGAGTTTTCAAATTGCAAATTAAATTTACTTAATAGTTAGTTTTAAGGTAATCCAAATTATTTATTTCATGTTACATGAGTTGTTAGAATTTGTGCTTTTTCAGGAATTGGTCAAATCCATCTGTTTTAATTTGTCTAGAGCTGCTCTTGTTAGTCTGTTGTCTTCCTTTTGATACTGGCAAGTTCTGTAGAGATAGTTATCATTTTGTTGCTGATATTGGTAGTTTGCATTTTTTTTTAAGTTTTGCTAGAGGTTTGTCAACTTCAGTGATTTTTATTTAAAGAATAAGCTTTTGTTTTATTGACTTTGTCCATTATTTTATTGTTTTCCATTTTACTGATTTGTGCTCTTCATTACTTCTTTTCTTCTGCTTGATTTGAGTCTCTTTCTCTCTCTCTGTAGCCTGTTGAAGTGGTAACTGAGATTGATTTGAGATTTTTCTTTTTTAATGCTAATACTTAGTCCTATATATTTTCCTCTCAGTACTGTGTTAGTTGCATACCACAAATTTTGATGTGGTGTGTCTTTGTTTTCAGTGGGTCTTTTACATTTTTAAAAATTTTCTTTAAGACTTCTTTGCTGCAGAAATTATTTAGAAATGTGTTGTTTAGTTTTAGTATTTGGAAGAGTGCCTGTTGCCCTTCTCTTAAGAAAATACACTTTTGTAATTTTAATTGTCTAGAGATTTGGTTTTTAGCCTAGGATATCGTCTGTCTTGATGAATGTTCCATGGACATGTGAAAAAAAAATGTATATTCTGCAGTCGGGTGGAGTGTGTTATATATGTCAATTAGATCCTGTTGGTTGATTTCTTGTTCTGCTTCTCTATCTCCTTGCTGATTTTGTGTGTAATAGTTCTGTCAGTTGTTGACAAGAGTATGCTGAAGTCCCCAGCTCATCATTTTAGTTCTTTCAGATTTTGCTGTATGTATCTGAGACTCTAGTGTGTACACTTTTAGGATTGTTTTCTTCCTTGTGAATTAATCCTTTTATTGTTACATAATATCTCTCCTTATACCCACTCTAAAGTCTACTATATAAGAAATTAATATATCCACTTCCTTTTTTAAATTAATGTTGGCATGGAATGTCTTCTTTTTTTTTTATTTTCAGTATATCTATATCTAGTGAGTTCTTGTAAGCAGCATAAATCTCACTAAAATTAAGTGAATTTCTTGTAAGCAGCATAAATCTGGGTTCTACATTTTGTACTCTGTCAATCCTCTGTCTTTTGACTGTTGCATTCAGTTTATTTATATGTATGGCAGTTATCGATGGGTTAGTATTTAGTCGGCCATTTGACTATTTGTTTTCCATATTTCCTTTGGTTTGCAGTCCTCTGTGTTTTCTTACCTTCTCACAGGTTACTTACTTTTTCTAGAATTACATATTGATTTATTGATAGTATTTTTGAGTGTATAGTAAGTCTTCATTTAGCATCATTAGTAGGTTCTTGAAAATCATTACTTCAAGTGTAACAAACCAATTTTAACAAAACCAATTTTGCTATAGGTTAATTGAGTTAAACAAGTGAAGTTTCTATGGCATATATGTGGTGATGTCACCATCATCAAACATCTAAATAAAGACCAAAGCACTTTTAATATTAAACATTGAAATACATGTGAGCTATACATATTTCAAAAATTTTAATGAAAACATAATTATTTGCCCATTTTTTGGCTCATCAGTGAGTGACTGGGATCATACTGATGGTGGATTAAATCAAGGAATAAATACTTGCAAAGTGAAAATTGCAGAAAGCATGTCCTACCACCACACAGTTTAAAATCAAACAATAACTTATCTGGCAGTGCACTTTTTTACCCCACTGTTTATCATTGTGCATTTGAATGATTATGGTACACTTCATGAATTTTTGTTTTGCAATAATTTGTATTAATTAATTAAGTAATTCCAATTCACTTATTTCAGGTGTGAGTCACAGTTGGCCAGAGTCTATCCCATAAGTTCAGGCTGAAAGGTGGTAACCAACCCTGGAGAGTACATTCTTCCCTTGAAGGACTCACTCACACACATCCTCAGGTAGCACAATGTAGACATGCCAATTAACCTAATGTGCACAGCTTTGGGATGTGAAAGGAAAAAGGAGTACATGGGGAAAATCCATGCAGATAGTGGCTCCAGTTAGAATATAGTTCTTTTTCTCATCTACATTACAATAAAATAACATTGAACAAAACTATGTCATTCAAGGACCTGCTGTATCTGTATAATTTTCAAAATGGTTGCTCTTTAAAGGTATAAATATATGGCTTATAAGAGTGTATTGATATTAACATTTTACCCATATAGGTAAAATGTGGACATCTCCTTCCCATTTAAGTTCTGTTATCTTCCCCACTTTTAAATATCACTGTATTGGCTGGGTGCGGTGGCTCATGCCTGTAATCCCAGCACTTTGGGAGGTTGAGGCGGGCAGATCACCTGAGGTCAGGAGCATGAGACCAGCCTGGCCAACATGGTGAAATCCTGTGTCTACTAAAAATTAAAAAAAAAAAAAAAAATTAGCTGAGCATGGTGGTGTGTGCCTGTAGTCCCAAATACTTGGAAGGCTGAAGCAGGAGAATCAATTGAACCTGGGAGGCAGAGGTTGCAGTGAGCTGAGATTGAGCCACTGCACTCCAGCTTGGGCAACAGAACGAGACTCTGTCTAAAAACAAACAAACAAACAAAAATTATTGTCTTGAATATCAAAAAGTGGCAGAATTTTTGTTTCAATCAGACGTAATTTATAAATCTGAGGAAAAGAATAGCAGTGGTATACACCCTTATTTCTGCCCTTCATGTTGTTCCTTTTTTTTCCTGATGCTCTAAATTTCCTTATCAAATAATTTCAACATCTGTTTTATCTCAGCATAGGTGTCAGTTCTCTTTTCCATTCAAAATGTGATTTTCTTCGTTCTTAGTATTGAGGTACATCAACAGGACTTGTTTTCTGATCAGGACGTTACTGATCAAAACAGGTCGTACTAAAGATACCTGCTGAAACCAGCAGATGTCAAAGAAAGCAACCTCTAGTTGCCCGCAATGCTCGTTAGCATACACTCCTACCAGCGCCATGACAGTTTGCAAATGACATGGCAACTAGGCAGAAATTACCGTATATGGTTCTGAGGACTCCCACATCCTTTTTTCTAGAATATTCTGAATAACATGCCCCTTTGTTAGGATATAATAAAGAGTGGGTATAATATAGTTAGCCAGTAATCCACTGGGGCTGCTGCTCTGAACTGCTGCTATTGCCGTACACTGCTGCTGCTGCTGCTGCTGCTGCTGCTGTGGGCTGCTGGGCTACGGAGCAGCCATTTTGCTTTCCACTGATACTGTGAGCCACTCTCCCTACGGGACAGCCCTGCTCTGTGAGCCGTCATTCTGCTGTCCACTGCTACTCTGGGCCACTCTGCCTATGGGACGGGCCTGCTCTGTAGAGTGGTCGTTCTGCTGTCCAGTGCTACTCTGGACAGCCCTACCTGGGATGAGTAGGAAAAACAAGTTTATAGCACCTTCTCCAAATGGAGAGTCTTCAACTTTAATTTTATCTTCCTTTGGTGCTTGGAAATTTTACTAGCAATGTCTAGGTGACCGTTTAAAAATTTGCCTTCCTGTACATTGGGTGGATATTTTCAACTTGAAGACCCATGTTTATTTTCAGCACTGGAGTTTTTTTATTGGTCTCCTATACAGTTAACTTTCTCCTATACAGTTTATCTTTTCTCTCATACTGAAACTTATTACTGGAATATTGGCTCATCTGTATTGATTGTTTATAAGTTTCTAATTTTCTTTTTCCTCTGAGGTTTACTGTATCTTTATATCCTTATCTTTTTTTCTAAGAACGTTACTCTTGTATTCAAGCCCTTGTATAAACTTTTTCAATTCAGCAACCATATTTTTAACCTTTAAGAATATTCTTTGTTTCCATTTTTTAAAAAATCATTATATTGTTCCTGTAAGCCAATGGTAATATCTTTTGATAAAGTTCTGATAAGGTTTTTGTTTAAAAACAAAGTTTTGTTTTTAAATTATTTTCTGTTCCCTGAATTATCTTTCATTTTTCCGTGAATGAGTTTTTGTTCATTTTCTTGTCTTTCATTTTTACTTAGTTGCTGTTTTGAGTCTCCTCTGCTGAACATGTAATACATGTCTATTTACTATCAAGCTTGCCTATTGTTAACGTGACATGTGAGAGGGGAAGTTTTCTTCCATTTACAGTGAGTTTAATTGTGCTGTTTATTGCTGTTTCCTCAAATGCTGCAATAATAACAAAGAAAACTCCCCACAGGTTTGCTCAGTTCTTCAGTGAAGACATCTACCATTTTTTTATCCTGGGGCTATAAACACTAGACAGTATGGTATTTTTCACTTGTGTAGTGTACCAAAAGATACAGCTGTTTCTCTATTAAACTTCAACTAACCCCCCTGTTTTCAGCACCTCTCCTCATCTTAGCCCTGCAACAAACTGCCAAAGAGAAGCCTACAGCCTTTCCTGGGTTTGACCAGGCATTTGTGACATACTGGCATCTTCTTATCTGCCTCATCCATTAGCATTCTACCAGTGTCCAGCTACAGAATTTATTTTATAATCTCTCATCCACTTATAAAGACCCCTTTCTTCTCTTTGCTGTTGTTTCCCTGTTTCTATTATTTCGATGGGCCATTGGGTGTGCAGTTGGGAAATAATGGTATTTAAATGCTTATTCTAAGTCTTCCATCTTAAATTGCAAACCTATACATAACATTTAAGTGTTAAATTGCATTTCTTTTAAGATACATTTACCAGCACAGAAAAAAAAACTCTCTTGAGCATTATAGTTACTAAAAAAATTTCAAGAAAAGAGAGCAGATATCTTGTCTGTGTTATTCTTCTCATGACAATGAAATTACAGCAATAATTTCCCCCAAAGAATTAAAAAGGGACAATAGCCATTGGATTCTCTTAAGTTCCTATAAATATAATATTTTTAAAAGACTCCTTTCTATGACTTTGCACTCATACAAAATAAAATTTTCTGAGTTTCTGAATATTGCTGATTTTATTTTGTTGATATTATTGTGATCTTAATATACTGATGTTCCTGATTCTATTTTGCCTACATAAAAAAACTCTTACTTTAAAAACCTGAAGCATGTAAAAGAATGTCACATTAAATAATTCAAATGATGTGTTTGAATACCATGCCTGTATCGATATGTGAAGCATTGTGCATAAGAAAATGATAACATCATTATGTATACGTGTATACATATATTATATGTGTGTATGCATTTGTAAATATATATAATTTAGCTAGACTCCACAATGATTCTTCTCTTTGATCTGTTATTAAGAGTTTCACTTGGGCAAGGGATTTTATTTCCCTGGTTTTTAATTCTCCACCTGAGAAAACAGGGCCCATGCTAGATAAATGTATATTTTCCCTAGGATTTTACATTTATGTAGTTTATGTTTTGGTCTACGGATGCAACTTTTGTTTGGAACATCAGCAGTGAAGTTGAAGAATTTCTGCTTTCAGTGATCTATCATATTTGCGAATTTTTGAATATCAATAATTTCTTAGTTACTGAACTATTTAATTCAATAAATGCTATTGAATCTTTATTTCTGTCAAATTACTGAATTTATTTTACCAAGCAAGCTAAAGCTATTTTAGGGACCATCTCAATACACAGATCAAATACATTGGGAACCACATATATTAAGAATGTGCATGCATGTGCTGAAACTACTGTGAAATTTATATACAAAGAAAAATTAAAGTTAAAGTATTTATTAGATTGGTGCAAAAGTAATTGTGATTCTTGCCATTACTTTTAATGGAAAAAAAAAAACAGCACCAACCTAATATTTGCACCAACCTAATATTGCACCAACCTAATATTTGGCAGGACCACATGTGATAGATACTCCAAGGTAGCTACTAATGTCCATTCTCTGTATATATTTTTTCTAATTGAACTTGGACATTTTCCAGAATTATAATGCACCAAGTAAGAATTATTTAACATTCTAAATTCCCATGCAGTTAAATTCGTATAACAGATCTATATCTGGCCAATAATGTATATAAGCTTTAGTCCAGGTGGCGCTTTGAAAAAGCTGTTGATATCCTAAGAAAATATATCAGACTTAGGTGGTCCTCGTCTTTTGTCGTTCACTTTCTTTCTGCATGATAATTATACGTGCTACCTATAGATATAGCAGCCATCCTTATAGTGTAAGGTAACAAGCAATAGAGTAAGGATACTGAAAAAGCCAGATAAAACCACTTTTGGAAACTGATCAAATCATTGAAGTATTCACACCAGCTCTGCAATTCTTATGCCTATTTTGGCATAAGTTATTCTGTTACATGAGAGAAGTTTCCATATGGACAAGTCTCTACAGGTTTATCTGCATTATGTGAAGCTGACCATTTTATTTTTAGTTTCTTCATTTTTCAAGTAAATAAACACATGCTGATTTAATAGCATATGAATAGTATAACAATATTAAAATTATCTGTGTATTATTGTAAATGAGGGCAGTTGGATTATGTGTGTATATGTACATATATGTGTGTATACATACATATATATACTATGCAAATTCAAATAACATCAATATTTTTAAATCTTCTCAGAGAGGTGACATGCACTTGCTAGAAGTTGTGATTTCTAAATATAGATAACGGCATTACTGAATTAGTGTAATTCACAGACAGCTTTAGAAAAAAGAAAACTAGCCATCTAATTACCATATAACTTGGCCTGAGGGAATAAGGAGAAATTTGTTAGGTGTTCCACATATGAAAGGATATTTAAAGCAGAAGGATCAACATGTCCAAATATATAGAGAAATAGAATTGCTTACTGTGTTTAAGGCATGTGACACAAATCAGTAACTGTCTTTTCTAGTAATCAATGAGGACTGGTGATTTTGTAAAACAGATTTATCTGTAACATTTAGCACTGTGTGTAGTACCTAAGAAGCACCTTCAAAATATTTATTAAATAAGTGGGTAAATAAATTTATAAAATTTCCATATGGTTTGGATGTGATAGGGAAGAAAAAGACAGAGACTATATTTATCCTTGTTTAATGATTTTTTTTAACCTGGTTGTAACCCTCAAAACCAGGCTCTTACTATTTAACATGAAAATAATTATCTTAGGAAGGCAACGTTTCTGTGAAAGAGAAAGCAATATACCTATATACATCCAATATTAATGAATGGGTATAATTTTTAGGGGTTTACTAAACATTTAATATGTACCATGTCAGACAGAGAATTTGAAAAACAAATGCTAGGTAATGCCTATGTGCTTCAGAAAATTAATCAAGATTTCAGCATTTTATGAGTTTTAGTAATTTGGTATATAAAGATATATAAATTTAAAACATATTTCCAGAAGAGTTTGGTTCATAAAATTATATTTCAGACATGCATGTGACTAGTACCAGGTCAGGTGAATTATTTAAAACTAATAATTTAGAGATTTAAACTTTCTTAATTTATATAAATATTTCCTGTAAGATAACATACATTCTTAAAAATTAAATCTGTCTGTCTAGCCAATCTCCATTTCATTCTGAAATATAGCTCACTTTTACATAAAGTCATAAAAATTGCATTCCTCCAATTTCAGTTGGTAATCAACTGTGACATTAAAAGGCATAAATCTTTGTTCAATTCATTTCCTGCTTCTTCAAAGAAAATGAAAATAAAATACATCTAAAATGGCGGTTATAGCAAGCACAAGAGATTCTAACTTTTGTCACTAAGTTCTTGAAAGTTTCTATCTGGATTTAACTTCTCTTGCCATGTTATCTATAGCAATAAAAGAAAACTTGCTTTATTCTTGAAATAAAATGATAGTTTAAACTTAAACTTTTTTATTATTTCAGATCAATTTGAAAGGCATCATTTAAACATAGTCCTGTGTTTTTTGGAACAAACTTCAGGCAAAGCCTTTGAACGTTACAGCCTAATGTGAGGGTAGCTGGGCAGCCGGAGGAGACGTGTTCAAGCCAGAGATTCTCCCGAGACGGCCTTGTTCTGTTGCATTGGGCACATTCCTAAACCTCTCTATGCCTAAAGTTTTTCTTACCCAGGAAAGTTCAATGATATTATCATATCTACCACTTGGAAGGGATAATCTGTAGACTTAAGGCATAAAGAGTATTTTTGAATCAGAAAGATTTTTAAAGTCATAAATTTGGGGGCAGATTTTTATGAAGAAAAATTTCAAACCTACAAAAGTAGATAAAAGAGTATAATTAAATCCCTAATACCCTTGTTAAAGGTTCAACAATTATCAATATTTCTCTTCTTCTACTCATTCTTAAAGTGTCTGTACTAAAAATGTAAGATAAATCTCAGAACTTAAATAATTTCACTTTATGTATTTCATTTAACATATGTTTTCAAAGTGGGCATCTTATTACCAAAGCACTGTACTTACATCACACATACATGTATTTACACCACCACCACCAATAACAAGAAATGTTTAAAATAATCATGTATCCAGTTTATATTAAAGTATCACATATTATCTCAAGCAACTCCCTTTTAGAATTCAAAGTAGGATTTCAATGAAATTTATTGATTACTTTTAGTTATTATAATCTTTTAAGTCTCTTTCAACTAAGACTTTTCCTCCCCTTTTTATGCCATTGATTTGTTGAAGAAATATAGTGTTTTAATAAAGATATATTTTTGTGTATTATAATAATATTTCTCTCTTAAAATGTCATGGTATATTTTAGATCTAATTTTCCAATCCTAAAAAGTCTTTAAATGCTGATGATACTAGCAACATGAATTCTTAACTTATGCATGTAGCTTGGAAATGCTCACTAGGATATGAGCTTACCTGTAGCTCAGAGCCTTCTCCAATTCCACCCCATCATGTCGGTATCATTTTTTAGACACTCAGGGAAGGGGTCGCAGCAATGGAGGGGGAAAAAAAAAAAACAAATTCTCAGAAAGAAAATCTTCTCTTATTTAATTTTAGCCTTCTAAACAGAGAACTTTATCATCACGCTTAGAGCTAGTTCTGACTACTTGTATATGCTGTGGAGGAAAGACTGACAAGTACACTCTGATCAGTCAACGATGGTGCATTATTCCATGATGTACTAGGACTTGGGTGAAGATTTGGAGTAGAATGGCTGTGCTGCTGACTCTGTTTTGCAATCTACCATATGAACTTCAGGGAAGAAGTATTCATGCCTCTAGATTCAGAGTCTTTATGAAGACAGAATTTATATATCCTTTGCTCTATCCCTCTTTCCATTGGATATTAAAACTATCTGTCTAAGCCAGATGGAAAAGCATACCCCATGCCATCTCTTCCATCACCTTCTATTTCCTTATCCCAGATTCCCTTGTATTAATAGCCTCTCCAAAAAATAAAAAATGGAAGAAGCAAGACTTCCTTTTTGTTATCTATAAAAGACCCCATATATGTGATAACCTCTGGGTTACCACTGACCTCATTGACCTTCTTTTTAGCAACCAGAATATTGTCTGGGCTCCACTGGAAGACCCAATAATGAGCACTTGATGGTATTAGGTGAACAAGAAGAAACACATAGAATGAAATGTGAGGCAAAAATACATTCATAGTTTGGATTGGCTAGAAGTGGCATTTGAAATAAGTGGTAAAACATTGTTGTCACCTTTAAAAAAATAATGATAAGAATAAACTTCACTCTTTACATTAGGATTAACTTCAGACATCAAATATTTGCATAGAAAAATAAAACCATGTTTTAGATTTACCAAAAAATATTTTAAATTTCAGCTATAAAACAATTTAAAAGTCCTACAAAAAAAAAAGCATACATGCCAGGTTGGAAAACATATTTCTACTCATTTTACAGAGAAAGAGCCATTTTTCATAATATATAAAGAGCTACTATACAACAATGAGAAAAATTCATAATGATAGAAGAATGAGCATAAGCTACAATGAGATTTCTCAGGGGAGGACATGCAAAGAAACCTTAAAGGATGAGAAATATTCATTTCACTCATAATAAAATATAAAGATTACACTAAGATGACTTTTTTTCTATTTTCATATTGATAAAGATGAAAAAGTGAGTACACAATGGGTTGGCAAAGCCTAGGTAAAACAGACCTTTGTTTACATTATTAGGGTGTGAGACATAGCGAAACCTGGAAACAGTCTAAATGTCTATCAATTGGAAAATGGTTAAATAAATCCTGGTGTATCAATGTAATACAAATGTATGTAGTTGGTTAAAAAATACAAGAAAGCTTCTCATGTAATGATTTCTAAGATACATTGTGATGTTAAAAAACTGTCCAACAATGTGCATAATTGCTATCAACTATGCAAAAAAGGAGGGTGTGTGCATGAGTTTAGATGCACATTTGGTTTTATAACAAATCTTTATGTAGAAAGTAGTCACAGAAAATGATAACACAGGTTGCACTTAAGGAAAGAAAGTGTATAATTGTAAATCAGGTATTTTAAATAATATGTGTTTTACTGTTGTTCTTTTACATCTTTTGAATTTTGAACTATGTTAATGTATTGCATCCATAAAAATTACTAATTAAAAACTTTAAAGTTTCAAAAAATACAGTGTGTGGAGAATGCAATATACTAGCAGTCAGAATTTTTAAAACCACATTAGAAATTTATTTACTCAAGTAAGTATATTCATTTACTCTTCTGCCTCCCTCTTCTACATTTAAAGCTAACCTTAAAATCAGGGCATTATCTTAATTATCTGCAACCCTAATTCTCTCTTTTCATATAACAACGTCTTCCCAGGTTCCAGGGATGAGGATATAGATATCTTGATAAGGCCATCATTCTGCCATCCACAACAGGCAACCGTAGGAAATGCCTCCACTTTCCTCATGTGTTTTATGTGGATATAACAACCTTAAAAGCAATTTATCCTTGAGCTCGTTTGCTATACAGAAGTATGAATGATGCTATTAAATAATGTATGGTTAAGAGTCAAAGAGGTGCAGCTACTAAGATGAGATAGGTCTGTCATCTTCCAGACATGTGACCTTGAGGCCTTTCCCTCAAATTTCTTAACTTTGATTTCTTACCTTTTAATATGACAATAAAAATATGTACTTTGTGATGATCTTCTGAGAGTTAAGTGAAGTAATGTATATAAAGCTCAAAAGACACAGTGGTGAGACTATTTTAACAACATAAATTAATCTTAAAGTTTAATGTTGAATAAAAATGGTAGAAAACATATATTACCATTTTTGTAAATTTAAAAGTCAAAACTTTCATGTTTAGAGAGCCATATCTACATGGTAAAACTATACAAAAATCTAGGAAATATAAATTCAAAACTTAGAATCATGATTGCTGCTGAGGTTGCATGGAAGAGAGATACATACAGAAGCATGTAAGCATTTTTATGTATTGAAAATATTCTAATTCTTAAGTGATAAGTGAATTCACAAAGGATAAAATTATAATTTTATTATTATAGTTTCAAACATATAAACAGGTTATCAATATCTATCCTGTGTTCATCAAATGTTATATAATATATATATAATTAGTAAATTTCCCATGATTGAAATGGATAATAAAAATAGCCTGTTAGAAGAAAAATGCCCTCTTATTATGAAAAATAATCACTGTATTATCTTCCCAACACATAAATTAATCTGTTCATTATTTAAATGCAATGAGAATAAACTCCTCTGGTATAATAACAGTAGGAAATTAAATAATATCAAATATTCTTAGAGAAATATTGATTCCATTCATTGAAATCTTCTCAATTATCATTTTTTATTAAATTATCAATACTCTCTTGATTCTAATTTCCTCTCTTGAATTGGATCCTACAGTCCAGTTCAGTCCTGGCAAATTTTATTGGGTTGACCCCACAGTAAATCTTGGCAAGTGGACTCAGCATACACTTCAAATGAGGAAAAGAAAAATAAACCTGAAGAAAATTGACCTGCATCCTTCAATTGACTTTGAAACAACCACAGAGCATTTTAAAAATCACGTTTAGGACTATTTATCCTAGTGGAAACCTAGAAAGAAAATGCTCTTTACACTAAAAGGGGATACAAAAAAAAAGCTGGCTCCAAGGAAACATACAGATTAAAAGCTTCTTATCAATAAAAAAGATCTAATTACTATTGTCAGGATTGTCTTTTATGTAGCACCTCAACACTCAAGAGAGGATACCATCTGGGCAGATTTCAGTTAGATGGTGAAGGTAACCTAGCAGAAATGTCAGCAATAAAAACTGCTTTCTCAAATCTTTCAGATTCAACACTCTAGCATAAATTTACTCAGAGTTATTAAGGAAACCATTGAAGTTCATTTGTTAATCCTTGAAAAGTTTAGTCCTGAAATCCACACATTGTTTGAAGTCTATTCTGTAATCTGATTCATATTACACAACCTTAATTGAACCACAATTATCATTTTTGATGATGTGATAAAATAAGAATGGTGCAACTCTCTATGATGATTGAAGGATCATGTATCTTTAGCGCCTCAATTCTTTTTTATAAGGTTCTTGGTTTGCCAGTGAACTGAAATCTGCAAGCCTGCATTAAAGCAGTTAAATAGATATGCTTTACACAATGAAATGTGTCGAGGGTATACTAGTTTCCATTGTTAAATCTTCCTCCAGTATAAAAATACTGTGAGATAATTCTACCATATGAAGTTCACCAATTTTATTACCAATAAAAAGACCCTCTTTATGGAATTATTCCATCTCCTTTCCTTCTGGAATAAATCAGAGATTGATTTGAAAGTATGCCAATGATACTTTGTAAAGTCAAGTTGGGATCAGAATAGGATTTGTGAATATGTGGGAAAGCCAAATATCCTTAGCATAACATTCTAATATAATTCATGTGCACAGAAAGGAGAAAGAGATTTCTCCCCTTTAAACTCAGTTGGGAAAGACCTATTTGCAAGCTTTGACTTTCTTATCTTCCTGTAGGAAAAAAATGTCCACTCTTCTCTCCTCACATAGTTTTTCAAAAAAGATGAACTTTTCCCAAAATAAAGTATTTTCTCTTTGAGCATGCTATTATTGAATTTGATGTTGCTCATTAAATCTGTTCATCAAGAATAATCCAAATATGAATTCTGAAAATGATCCCCATACAAAACTATTTACTGCCATTCATAAACTGTAAGTGCAATGACCTGCCTGACTCTCTTGGCTTTCTTTATACTTATTCAGCTATTTCCTTTACCCTTTGCCTTCAGGTTGAGTTTCATTATGGCTTTGGATTAGCTTTGTTCAGTCAAAACATGCAAGGAGCGTTTTTCAATATTAAGCAGACTTAAGTAAAAGTAAACATAAGTCATGTCTTAATGTCAGAAGCATGCCCTGTTCCTACATTGTACACCAGTGCATGGGAGACAAGGCTCCCACATTACTAGTCCTCCTCACTAAATTTCTACCTTGATCTCCCGTATGCAGCATGGGGCCTCACTCCCTGTTCCATATATTCCTGGAGTTACATCTCTTTGTCATTCTCTGTGTAATTCCTGCTTGCACAAGCTGCTTTGTCTTTGTTGTACTGTTCTACCTGCTAAGACATCTACTTGTTGCTTCTTTTCAAGTCAGAACACACCTACTGCTATGACTCAGTATGGAACTGGCATGGATCACTAAATCATCTGTCATACCTCTGTGAATATCAGCAGGTAAATTAAACTTAATGTATAGCTGACTCTAGTAAGCATCACTATTTTCCTAATATCTGACTCCCATGATCTGGCCTATCCTACTACTGACAGAGCTTTGAAGCACATTTCTGAAAAATATTGAGTTTTTATATTCAATTTTCCAGATAATTGACTAACTTTTCAATTTTAATATATAAGTTTATTGATGAAAACAACGTTGTTATGAACAATCCCTGTGGATTAAAGGATAGCTTTTATCTAACATTTATTCAGAAATACTTAAATGTTTCCATCTAAACTGAACACTGTGTCATGGGGGAAAGAGTTGGGGATTAATGGTGACAGCTAGAAAATCTCTAGAATACAGACTGTAATCAACAAGTTTCCCTTTCTGTTTTTCTTCAGAGCCAACTTAAGTTTATGAGTAGCATTAAAGGGTGTTATGCTAGTTTCAGCACAATGGGTTAGGCAGATAAATATAACTTCAAATTCAACCATCATCACTTCTCTATATCTACCTGTATCTATCTATCTATCTATCTATCTATCTATCTATCTATCTATCTATCTATATTTTCATTAATGTTAAATGTTCAATGCTGCTCATGCTAATCACACCCAAGAAAATCTAGTTTATACCTCTTATTTCACAAATGACAAAAGTTTAATAACCTGACCAAGGTCATAGGCCTGGCTCATTAAAGGCAATCCACAGGTCTATCTGCCCTTCACAAATCTATGGAACTAGAGTGATAACTGCCCCATTAATGCATCAAGAGGATAATGAAATCTTTTCTGTTTTGATGTAGTTTCCTTAAATTTGCCTTACTGATAATTATTGAATATAAAAGAGGTTTCTTAGTATTTTCAGTATTTTTAGGTAACTTATTGAATTATTGCACAGCAGTTTGGCTTTTGAAAAGTCTAATTTGTATTCCTTCTACACATATAAGGAAGGTAAAAATTATACAAAATTTTTAAACATATGAAAATAACTGTCATATATTATTCTCATTTAATAGATGAACATATTGAGACTTGACAAAGTAGAGTGATTCATTTCAAATTTATGGAAAGTTTTAAACTTACACAAAAGTAGAATAAAATGAATCTGAGTATACAAATCATCCTGATCCGACAACTATTAAATTATAGCTAATCTTTTTCACATTATATCATTTCAATCTTCCCAAATTATTTTGCAATGCATCCCAGAACTTCATTTATTTGCCAGTGTGTGTACATTACTACTGAATTGGTCATTCTTTCCAGGCTTTTCTGTAATTAAAGTTTAAAAATATATAATATTTTTAAGATATAGGGGTGAATTCATAATTCTGCTAATTTCAAATGAGCATTTCAGGGTGTTTTACTTAACTGGTACATGTTTTTGGTTATATTTGATATTCTAGATTTCAACCATTTAAACTTTTTTCTGACTCTTCTAAAAATGTCTTAGTGTTTACTTATCTTGGCTTTGTTACAGAGTTCAGAATTGGGATTCTTACTGTTGTAAAATTCTTCCTGCCACTCCATGTACTGTAAGAAATACATCATCTTGATACCAAAACCTGTCAGAGACACAACAAGAAAAGAAAATTTCTGGCCAATATCCCTGATGAACATCGATGGGAAAATCCTCAATAAAATACTGGCAAACCAAATCCAGCAGCACATCAAAAAGCATATCTACCATGAACAAGTCGGCTTCATCCCTAGGATGCAAGGCTGGTTCAACATATGCAAATCAATAAACATAATCCATCATATAAACAGAACCAATGAAAAAAACCACATGATTATCTCAATAGGTGCAGAAAAGGCCTTCAATAAAGTTCAACACCTCTACATGCTAAAATCTCTCAATAAACTAGGTATTGATGGAATGTATCTCAAAATAATAAGAGCTATTTATGACAAACCCACAGTCAATATCATACTGAATGGGCAAAAGCTGGAAGCACTCCCTTTGAAAACGGCAAAAGACAAAGATGCCATGTCTCACCACTCCTATTCAACATAGTATTGGAAGTTCTGGCCAGAACAATCAGGCAAGAGAAAGAAAGAAAATGTATTCAGATAGGAAGAGAGGAAGTCAAATTGTCTCTGTTTGCAGATGATGTGATTGTATATTTAGAAAACCCCATCGTCTTAGCCCCAAATCTCCTTAAGCTGATAAGCGATTTCAGCAAAGTCTCAGGATACAAAATCAATGTGCAAAAATCACAAGCATTCCTATACACCAGTAATGGACAGAGAGCCAAATCATGAGTGAACTCCTATTCACAATTGCTACAAAGAGAATAAAATACCTAGGTATACAACTTACAAGGGATGTGAAGGACCTCTTCAAGAAGAATAGAGGCCTCAGAAATAACACCACAGATGTACAACCATCTGATCTTTGACAAACTGGACAAAAACAAGCAATGGGGAATGGATTCTCTATTTGATAAATGGTGTTGGGAAAACTGGCTAGCCATGTGCAAAAAACTGAAACTGGACTCCTTCCTTATACCCTATACAAAAATTAACTCAAGGTAGATTAAATACTTAAACATAAGACCTAAGACCATAAAAACCCTAGAAGAAAACCTAGGCAATACCATTCAGGATATAGGCATAGGCAAAGTCTTCATGACTAAAACACCAAAAGCAATGGCAACAAAAGCCAAAAGAGAAAAACGGGATTTAATTAAACTAAAGAGCTTCTGCACAGCAAAAGAAACTATCATCAGAGTGAATAGGCAACCTACAGAATGGGAGAAAATTTTTGCAATCTATCCATCTGACAAAGGGCTAATCTACAAGGAACTTAAACAAATTTACAAGAAAAAAAACTATCAAAAAGTGGGAAAAAGATATGAACAGACACTTTTCAAAAGAAAACATTCGTGTGGCCAAGAAACATGAAAAAAGTTCATCATCACTGGTCATTAGAGAAATGCAAATCAAAACTACAATGAAATACCATCTCATGCCAGTTAGAATGGCGAGCAATAAAAATTCTGGAAACAACAGATGCTGGCGAGGATGTGGAGAAACAGGAATGCTTTTACACTGTTGGTGGGAGTGTAAATAAGTTCAACCATTGTGGAAGACAGTGTGCCGATTCATCAAGGATCTAGAACCAGAAACACCATTTGACCCAGAATCCATTACTGGGTATATATCCAAAGGATTATAAGTCATTCTACTATAAAGATACATGCATGTGTATGTTTATTGCAACACTGTTCACAATAGCAAAGACTTGGAACCAACCCAAATGCCCATCAATGATAGATTGGATAAAGAAAATGTGGCACATATAAACCATGGAATACTATGCAGCCATATAAAAGAATGAGTTCATGTTCTCTGCAGGGACATGAATGAAGCTGAAAAACCATCATTCTCAGTTAGTTTGCTAACACAAGAACAGAAAACCAAACACTGCATTTTCTCACTCATGAGTGGGAATTGAACAATGAGAACACACGGACACAGGGAGGGAAACATCATGCACCGGGGCCTGTCAGGGGTTGGGGGGCTAGGGGAGGGACAGCATTAGCAGAAATAACTAATGTACGTGACAGGTTGATGGGTGCAGCAAGCCACTATGGCACATGTATACCTATGTAAAAAACCTGCATGTTCTGCACATGTATCCCAGAACTTAAAGTATAATAATAATAATAAAAAGAAATACAACAAAATCCTATATGCTCATTGCTCATTAGGGAATAGTAGGAAAATTCCCCATGTTATGCCTGATAGTGTTTATGATACATTCTAGTAAATCCTAATAGATGAGTCAGAGCCTGGGTCAAGTCATGCAAAATACTTTCCCTGTTGATTTACCAAAAATTCTTTTGTTGCTCCATTCTGAACTGTAACAGTTATGATTCAAGAGTAGAAGGGAGTATTGTCTAAAACATCTTAGCTGTACTTTGTCTCCCCAGTTATTACATTTCCCATATGAAACAGCTTTTCCTGATATGGGTTACCTGGGTTTGTAGCCAGAGTCATGTGCAGATGAAAAAATCACATATTTATTTATAAAACTTTGTGAATAAAATAATAATATCTGTCTTTTTACTATGTTCAATCTATATAGTATATATTTATGTAAAGAAGAGATGAGAGTAAAAAAAGGCAGGAGACACGGTTTCCTAGAAAGCGTGGAAGATTAAATGTGGAAGAGACATAAGTGATTATTATTGTTCAGTGTTTCTGATACCTTGTTATACATGGAATCACCTGGGAAGCTTAATAAATAAAACTCTGTGCTTGGGCTCTACTTTCAGAGGCTAAGACTTACTTTATTTGGAGTAAGGTGTAGATTTTTTTTTAAAGCTCTTTGGGTAAATTTAATGGGCAGCCAGTCTTGAGAACCTGTGATGCACTCTAAGCTCCTCATAAGATAACTGAAGCCCAAAGAACCACACATCGCTGGTTAATGGCAGAGTTTGTCTTATGCACGAGCCCATATGTATCATATATCTGTATGACATGTGACCTCTTGGTGCCTTTTTAAATTCTTTGCTTGGTAAATCATATTTTTCCTCTTGTATCACTGTTCATGTGTAGTCACCATGTGTATTAGGTACTCATGCAATGAGTCAGGAGGCATTTCCAGGAAGAAGCAGACATCTTGGCAATAGTTCTTTGGACAGTTTTTACTGGCAGTCCTGCCTATCAGGCTCTGTGTAGGCAGGGTTGTTCATGGAAACAGCTTCAGAGGATAACCAGCTACTACTAATCAGGATGTTTTTTACATTGATAAAAGGCTTTGTACTTCTAAGTCTTCACTACATCTCCTGGAACTATATTAGCTCCAGTTAACTTACTGCATGTAATAATATCCAAAGGAAATGACAATCTGTAAGAAATTATGGCATTCTCAGCAGGGATTTTCACAGCTTGCAAAAGAAATAAAATAGCACAAATCTGCTCATTTATTGTGGGATCTTTTTCCTCTTTATTTTTCTATTCATTCTTGTTGTACTTGAATATTTTAATACTGTGCTGTTTAAAGCACAGGGTATATATTTATCATCTTGCTAACCTGAAATATACGTGCTGCAAATACTGCAATACCTTTCACTAAGAAGTCACTTAATTTCAGCAAACCTTCACCTTGAGAGTTTTCTAGAATTATCTGGAGAATTATTGACATATTATCTCTGAGAGAACCCTCACAGTTTAAGTCCATGACTATAATTTTTATTTAGTCATACAATTGAAGTAAATAGCAGCAATGTCTCTTTTGTAAAATCAGAAATGATATTTTCATTAGTTACTCAATCAAATGTAACAAAAAAAATTCAAACTTTATGTCTAATTGCTTAAGAAAAATTATGATTTGGGATCATATTGTACAATAGCCGAGAGAAAAATAGTTTAGTAAAACCAAGGTCATCCTTTGCACTAAATCTGATGGGTAAATTTCATCTTTCCTAGATAGCACTATATTCTAGGGCCATGGTTCTTATAAATTCTGTGTGCCTTTGATTTTCCTAAGATTTAATTTAAAAGCTTATTTTAATTCAGTAGTTTCAGGGAGAATCCTGAGATTTTGCATTTCTAGTAAGCTCCAAAATATTCCCTGCACTGCTTGTACATGGCACCTTCAGAAACCTAGGATCTTCTTATGTAAGAAGTTCTTAAGGTACTGAGAGAAGGTCACAAATCAAAGGTAATTTTTTTTTCTATGAAGAGATTGTAATAATATCAAATGTCAAATTTTCCAGCTTGTGTTTTATGAACACCCTTTCAGGCCACTTATACTTACTTGGAACTAGCTGTACTTCTATTTACAAAATCAGAGCTACTATATAAATGATACCTAAAAGAAGTGGTGAAACTAGAACAACAGTTTAATAGCAATGGGTTTTTCAAAGACAGAAAATGGCCTACAGTTACTTCCTCTCCCTCACCCGTATGTTAGAATCATCTCTATATTATAATTATCTATGAATTTGCTAATTGAATACAAAAGATTTATTTGAATGTTGTTACAGATATTTACTTCAAAGTGAATTACCTTTCAAAAAGGAAAGCTCAGACCATGTCTACACATTCAAGTCTGGTGTAATGGATTAATCTGCAGAATTTTTATAAACAAGTGAAAATATCATTCTTTCAAGATTATAAAACAGTATCTCTCTAAAACCACATCTACTTTTCTAAATCCAGCACTATTTTAGTGCATTCAATTCTTAAAGGTATTTCAAGAAACATATCTTGTGTCAGGGAGTGAGGAAATTGGTGATCCATCTGATCTAGGCTTTTTTCCTCTCTCTCTTTCTCTCTCTCACACACAACAAAAGTTTCTTTTTACCAAAGTTTCTTTATCAAAAGCTTTACCAGAAACTTTACCAAAGTTTCCTTAGAAAAGTTTACATCTTTTCCTAAATAACTCTGCAACATTTTGAGAAATGAACAATTTTGGAAATCCTTGAAATTCCCTCTGAAAAGAAATTATTCCACATCTATCATGTATAAGGCTGTAGCTAATGTGAAAGTATTTCTAGTGAGGGATCTATTAACTGTAAACATCTTCCAACGGTCTCATAAAACATGTGGTTGTCAAATTGAAGTTCAGGAAAGAAAAACAACTGAATTCATATTCCAAGACCTTTATATAACACATAAATTTTCAAAAGTAATTAGATTTTACATTTTTTTATAAATAAAAAGAACATTACACTTGAGATTATGTTTAAACTACAGTTAGTTGGATCTAATTAGGGTAATGATCATCTATCAGTGTGAAACTAGAAACTGTCTATTAAATTAACAAGATTATTTTTCTGAGCAAATAATACCATGAGATTTGATGGAAACCAACATAATTTGTGACAATAAAGCCTTAAGAAAGTGGCTTTCTAAAATAATATGGAATATCTTCTGGTTTACATGAAAAAAATATTATGAGTGTAGTTGATATATTGGTCAAATCAAAAGAAGGATGAAGAATAAGAAAAGTTATTCATATAGTTTAATCTCTGAAAACATCTGCTAAGCTTTTATAATGTCGCATACCTCACTTGACTAACATACAAACTCATTACTAAATAAGCTTCAAGTCTTAGGCTATTCTAAAGTGCCAAGGTTCATGATTTATTATTATTATAACCCAATGATTAATATTATTATTAACCCAATGATTATAACCACCAATTAAAAAGTGATCAATATATATCAATAACCAATGTATTAGTTTTTCTCAATATGTAAGAGTATAACCCTTATTGTAAAAAATAAATTTCTCAGATCCATAAAGTTTCATACTAAGTATTCTAAAATGAGCAAATCTTTCTCTTTGTTTCATCTGAATAGTAGAATGTTATCTTCTTCTCTGTTCTCAACGAGATACATATTATTTTGCACCACATGGGGATTTGAAAGACCAAACACAAGGTAAATGATCAGAGACAGAAATTACTTTCTTTAATATAAATCTTCATTTTGAATGAATATAAAGAGTTTTGTACTTAAGAACAGTGGAAAATTGTATTATAGTAGAAAATATGAAGAATGAGCTTATTTAAAATATTTGACACTTGAGGAAGACTCAAAATTAATATCTTTTCTCATAAAAATTGAATGAAAATGATAAAATACAATGAGAAATCATAAACAGAGAAGACATATATTTTGTTTGCCATTGCACCTTTTTGTATTGACTATTTTTCATTATTTTATGTCAAAGAGAACTATCAAATATTATAGCAGCACAAATGCACAACAAGAAAAGAACACTATATATTTATTTCAGATTAAGCAACATGAATGAGAGGAGATACTTAAATGGCTTGCTAAAGATTCTCATGAAAACACAATGTTAAAAATTATAAACCATAAACAGACATTGGGAAATGTCTAACTTAGAAATATTAAAAATATTGTGGTTATCCATAGTACCAATGTAAATGAGATTTTTAAGAAATATATCTTTGAGAAAATACAATTTTATATTTAAAATATGTTCCAAATATAATAGTAAAACACTTATAAATGCACTATGAAATTTAACTAAAATTACAATAACTGGCTGGTGTCCATTTATTATTTGAAGTATAAAATGAAATAAAAGGATGAATTTGGTATGTTACTGTTATGAGTTTGTTTAATATATTTGCTGCTTTGGCATCCATCTTTAGGCCTCACATAAATTTCCTGAAACTTTGCTGTTTTTGGTCACTTTTGGCCTAGTTAAAACTTCCCCTCCTTGTGTGGTGGTTTGTGATATTGTCCCCTTATTTCTTATCTCGCTGAGCCAAACCCAGCATACCCCACAGATGCTGATCATGATAAAACTTAATGGTTAACACAAGAGTGATGTAAATAAGATTCTCTCTTCAGTAGTGTTTTCTTTAAACTAGCCAATCCACCAACCCCCTTGGAAAAACCTAAGGGATAATGCCCATGAATGGTAATAAAAGATTAATCTTACAGGTTTTTTTTTTTTATTTCTCTCTCTCTCTCTCTCTCTCTCTCTCTCTCTCTCACTCCCCACCTGCTGGTTGAGCTCCCTGCCACCTCTGACTTCCCACTGGACTCTGATCAGCACCACTAACCTGTTTGGGACCTGTGAATAATAAATTTCTTCTGATTCATGCATTTTGATTTCAATTTTTCATTGTGTCTCACCAGACACACACAGCTGAACTTAACTTTCCTCCTGGTCAGGACTGGGCTAGAACTTATGGCCACTCTCAAGAGACATATCTCTAGAGCAAATTAGAAAGAAATCATAAGAAATTAAAATCTAAACCTTTACTCTGTTCATGGATATTCAACACAGGCCTGCTATACACAGGAGAACTGAAACTGTAAGATAAGGAGAGCTTTATCTAAGCTAAAGCACTAACATTATGCCTCTAAATTAGTATTTTCTCTTTCAAAATAATCTTCTTGCTTTTCTAAAATATTTTAATTAGGCTATTAAAATCGTCTTCTCTACCAGAAAAATAATTCAATAAATGAGCTGAAGAATATAAAAATTTTACCCTTTGAGATTCAATTCAATTTTATGATAAAGCCAAATATTATTAAGATAATACTAAGCTCAATCAGAGTATTATTATTGAGGGCCAAAAATAATGCATAGCTGAAAAGATTGAGAATATTTTAAAATCTGGGCTAGAGGCTAGTTCTGAAAACACTTCCAGTTAGTGTCAGAATATTTTGATGAGTGGAAGTGTTATAGGAATATTAAGTTGCTTCTCAAATGCTTTTCTTAATTGGATATCCCCTATGTGGCTCTAAATATTTTCAACATTACTTTTTAAAAAGTGAGAATCCTTTGCATTAATTATAATCTCATGGAAGTAGGTGAATACAGAATAATCAACATTTTAATTTTTACATAATTCATATAATTTTAATGTAAATTATATAAAAATTAAAACCAATGGAGGTAGACAGTAATGGCAGCCTTGTTCCCTGTCTACTAATATTGCCTCCAAGAACAATACCAAACAACAAAAGAAAAAGATAAATCTACAGGAACTTGCGCTCAAAATGACTTAAAGAAAGAGAATGACAAATTTCTAATTAACTGTGAATAAAAGGAGAAAAACACCAAATCCCTGTACATGAACTTGTATTCCCAACCCAATTTGTTGCTGCTACAAGTCTTTCTCTGTTCCATCAAGGGAAGTTTAAAAAGTAACAAAAACAAAAAGTAAACAATAATACAAAAGAATTAAACAACAAAAAAACAAAATTTTAAAAAGAGTGCAGGAAGAGAGCAAAAGAGGAAAGTTAGTAAAGGGGCCCCAGTTTCATTAGAAAGTGCCACCAGAAAGATTAAGGCTAAAAATGCTAAAAATGTATCCATGCAGATTAGATTATAAACCACAGGGAATAAACCTCAAAGTACATTTGATTTCAGCCTGGCCAACATGGTGAAACCCCGTCTGTACTAAAAACACAAAAATTAGCTGGGCGTGGTGGCATGCGCCTATAATCCCAGCTATTCAGGAGGCTGAGGCAGGAGAATCGCTTGAACCCAGGTGGCGGAGGCTGCAGTGAGTCAAGATCTCGCCATTGCACTCCAGCCTGGGTGACAAGAGCAAAACTCCGTCAAAAAAAAAAAAAGGCATTTGATTCGAAAGGAGTACGTATGCTTTAAAGACAAGGGCACAGTTTAATGAGCCAGGTAAAATTTAAAAGCTAGACATTGTTATGCGTACATTCTAGCTGTCTAGCTGGAAGCCGCTGGGGTGGAGAACATACAAAAGAAGGGAGAAGCACCCTTTGGCATTGAAGTAGTGAAAGAAACAAGAAGAAATAAGGAACATTTTAGAATCTCCAAGACAATAAACAAATCCATGAAATCAGAAGACTCACAACTACATTTCCACCAAAATCCAACCAACCAACCAAAATGATCCCACGAAACTACCTGTGGTACTTACGCTGACAGAATACCTGTACTGACAGAAGAGGGCATCATTAAACTAGGATTCTTGTAAAATGCATAAAAATGATAAAAATGAACGGGAAAGCCAAACTAACACAAAGTAATTGCAGGAATTCAGGAAATAACATTTCATGCAACTGGGGAATTTCACCATTTCAATTAAGGGAGATCCTCTTGTTCTCCCTCAAAAAATCAATGAAGCAGGAAAAATTTAAGTCAGCAGTCCAAAGAAAATTAAATATACTTGCACAAGCATTTAATTATATGAAATCACTTTGATTCAGAAACTTACAAATTACAAGCAGAAATGAACAAAAATCATAGAAAAATATTTGAATGAATTTAGCACAAAGCTTAAAAAAATCAGATGTAAATAATAAATGAGAAGTTTAAAGTGGAAAAGACTGAAATGATAATTTAATAAAGCCATTTTATAAAGAAAGGAAAATAGCCAAATAAAGAAACTAGCATAAAGAAAGAAGTGAAAAATGATCAGAAAGAAAGGAGTAGAAATGTTGGAATGATATTGGAAATAGTGAAAATGCAAAGAAGAATAATTGCAGTATCACAGTACCTAAGAGCTAAAACAAAACAATTTAATACAGCTATTATTTAAAACTACAATCAGAAAATTTTATGGAAATAGAAAAGAGCTAAATTTAACATTAAAAAGCCTCAATGAATGGATACCTAACAAAATCAACTTCAATTAATCAACTCTGAGATATAGCCTAGTAAAACTTTTAGATTTCAAAAATAAATAATATATCTTCTAAGCCTGAAGGCAAACAGTTTATGTAATTAACAAAGGCAAAAGAATTAGATGTAATGGCTTAAAGCTTTTCAAATAGACTTACAGGACTTCTTGCTTCAGCACAACATAGGCATTTCTTAGAAGTAAATACTCCAGGCCTTACAACAAGAAAAAACTGAACAAATTGAAAATCAGTGACTTCTTGAACCCAGTGGAGAAGTGATGTTGCAGAACAAAGTACCACACCTGCATGATGAAAGATGGGCAAATCTAGACAGATGTAGATGAGATCTACTTGGGGCAGAAGCTGATGAAGCCATAAATTGATAGGAACACGTAAATAGTAACTTCAATGAATTAATGGTGACTGAGTGTGGATTAGCTGGAGAATGGGAAACTTCTGTGGGCCACAATCATAGCAAAACCTCCATATTTTTGTGGGGTTTTGGTAAAGAAACTCCATCAAGTTCTCATTGTGAAGATCCAAGAAAGATCCTCTCCCAGTTCTCACCACCATACCAACAAAAATCCAGTATAATAACAGTGAATTACAGCTGAAAGAGTTGCAAGAGACAGTCCCTTTCTGAAGAACAGTGCTTTGAGAAACCCAAAAACAAAATAGAGGCAAAAACAAGGATGTTGCAGTAAGATGAAGTCTCTGACACCTAGAGCTACAGCAAACATTAAACATACCTCAAATACTAGCCTCATAAACATAACACTTAACACTAAAGGTCTATTTACAGATAAACCAGGGAAGGACACTAGCATTATCCATCTGCTAATAGATTACAGTTGGAGACATTACTATGAAACTTTGTTTAGCTTAATATGGACACAGAGGGTTTAGAAGTAATCACATCCTGGCATAAATGAGTGTATCTCATATTCAGATGCTGGTTTCTGCTATCAATCATTTTCCCATAAAAGCCTTTCCCAAGGCTCCTTGGTGAAATAAGTGATTCCGTCACTGGGGCAGCATTATACAAGATGAGCCTGGAGCATTTTTTAGTAGCAGAAAGTAAGTAAGTGCTCAAAGCAAAGTAACAAACAAAAACATCTCACAATGATGTCACAGAGATACAGGAGCCAACTGAAAGAGTTCTCAATGGCCAAAGCTAGAATAATTTAAGGAACAAAATAAATGAAATAACATTGGAATATAACCCAAAGTATAAAATCCATGTCCATGAGTCTATACCAATATACATAAATCATAGACTAAATAAATAGGGAAAAATAGACAAATTTCCTATTCAGAAAAATTTCAAATAATTTATGTAGATAATTCCCCCCATGAGGTACATAACTCCCCACTCCTTAAATGCAGACTACACATAGTAAATTCCTTCAGAGAGTTCAATATGAAAGGGTGAGAAAAACACTAATAAGTTTATGTTAGAGAAACATGACATCTGCCTTAGACAGATGCTCAAGCTTTGCATCAACAGAAATACATCATGTTGATAATAAGTAATCTTGATAGGATATGATGTAGCTGACACTTTACCTCCGTGATCTTTCTCTCCAAAACATCTAACTTCAACCCAATATAGAGGAAACATCAGAAAAATCCCAACTTAAGGCTTTCCATTCATCAAAATAAGGAAAGTAATGAGAAATTGCCCCAGTTAAGAAGAGCCAAGGATATGACTGCTAAATGTAGTGTGGCACCCTGGATGGCATCCTGGAATAGTAAAAGGACAGTAGACAAATCTAAGAAACTTGAAAAATATGTTGACTTTAATAAAAATATATCATTATTTCATTATTGGGTCATTAATTTCAACCTTGCTAATGTCAGATATTAATGAAAGTGGAAAATGTGTGTGAAGAACATGGGACTTCACTACACATCACAATTTTTTTGTTCTAAAATAAAAAGTTTATTTTAAAACCGTAAGATGTGAAGAAGAAATAAGATAATATTTTGTTTAAATACATTGAGTGAAAAAAAAAGTGTAAATCAAGGATTTCTATCTGAATTCTTCTTTAATTCTTGTGGTTGTATAAAAAAGGTTTTGAACAAAAGCTAGAAAAACATGTACCCATAAGCCTTTCTTGAGGAATCTACTTACATAAGTCTTGGCAAACTCTTTTGTGAAAGCATCAGTTGTCAAATATTTTAGCCTTTCAAGAGCATAAGGTCTCTGTTGCCACTACTCAGCTCTGTCATTGCAGTGTCAAAGTAGTCACAGACAATACACAAATAAATCCAAGGACTCTGTTCCAATAAAACTATATTCGTAAATATGTTTGCAAGGAGTATTTCATATATTTTTCACATGAGATTTTAATCTTCTTTTGAATTCTTTAAACCATATAAAATGTTAAAAAAGAAATTATTCTTTTTAAATTGGTTGGCTGGATTGGCTCAAGAACTAATTTTTCAACTATTACAATTATGATAGAGGATGAGATTTATCTAAACAAATGATAACTGGGAAAATTTCAGCCAAAGAACTAATGGTGTGCATTTTAAAATATATTAATGTAGACTAAAGGTAGCCTCTAAGACTGAAGGTACTATCTCACTTGATTGGCAAACATTCTATATATTTCCATTCACATTAGGAATAAGTAAAGATGACCCCTAGCTCAGTTACTATTCCAGAATGTACTAGAGGTATTTGCCATTCAAAGAAAAAAACTTAAAAGAAGAAATAAAATTATATTTTCAGATCAATGATAAATATCTCATACAGGATAATAATTCAATACTAGAGTGAAATATAAAAGTATCATACGAACAAAACTCAATAGCCTTCATCCAAACAAACTGTGACCAGTTAGAGAACACAATGATAGAGAAAACCT
Organism: Homo sapiens; assembly: GCF_000001405.40. Lineage (NCBI taxonomy): Eukaryota > Metazoa > Chordata > Mammalia > Primates > Hominidae > Homo > Homo sapiens. Next base: position 60,138,876 of record NC_000012.12, on the reverse strand, counting down.
CATTTGCAATGACAAAAAAAAAAAAGAAAGAAAATTAAAAACTTAGGAATAAACTAACAAAAATATGCCAAAGAAGAAAATTTTAAAACACCCTCAAAAGATACCAAAGTGAAAAGTAATTCATCTTTCTTGTATGGGATGACTCAGCATTATAAAAATTTCAGTTTCCCATAATTTACAAAGGTAACGTTATCCTAATAAAAACATCAACAAAATTTTCCTGGATTAGACAAGTTGATACTGAAATATAAATGAAAAAGTAAGCATAATGTATAACCAAAAGAACACAATAGGGGAACATTGTGAAATGTTCCTCCAAACACTGAGAAATATTATAAAGTCACTATAATTAAGACAATGTGGCATTGGTGTATGAATAGACAAGTAGAACACTAAATTAATTATAAAGCCTGGAATTAAAACAACATATAGGTGGAAATTTAGTGTATTATAAAATAGTTCATCAAGTCACTGGGGGAAAGCTACGTGTTTTAATAGTGGAAGGGGCAACTGGGTAACTATTTGGAAATAGTTAAATTAGGTTTGTATCTCATACACTTAGCTAAAATAAGTTCAAAATAGGAATCTGCTAGTTAAAAATGTAAATATTAGAAAAAATGGGCGAATTTCTCTTTAATTTTGTGATAGGGAAAGGGTTTTTTTTTTTTTTACCTATACCTTAAATACAATTCAAAAAATTTGATGAGAATATCTCTGCATGTGTGTATAGTACATGCCTAAAAAAAAGCATAAATTAAAAAAAAACCTGACAATTTGTGATAAACATTAGCAATATATAACAGACAGAGCTATATGCCTTACATGTTAAGAACTCTTACATGTTGGATGACAAAAAACTAAAAACTGCAGTTAAAAGTGGAGAAAACCTGAATAGACAATTCAAAAAAAAAAGAAATAGAAATGGCCCTCAGACCAAAGAAAATATCTTTAAACCTATTCATTATGAGAAAAATGAAATTGAAATAACACTGAAGTGTCTTTTCTCATATATCAACTTAGCAAAGACAAAAAAAAATTCTCCTTGAGAAGCTCTGGGGAAACAGGCAGTGTAATACACTAATATATAAAATGGTTTGATATGTAAACTGGTAAAACTCTCAGCAGAAATTTGTCAAGACTAACAAAACTACGTATGCATTTCCTCTTTGACTCAGCATTCTAACTTGTAGGACTCTATACTGGCAATACAGCTCCATCTATATGAAAATAGATAGACACAAAGTTATTGTTTGCAGCATTTCTTGTAATTGCAAAACATCAGAAATATCCTGTTTGATCATTTATTAACATGTGGCTAAATAAATGTTGGTACATCCTTAAAATGGAATACTAAGGCTCTGTTACAAAGAGAGAGAGAGTGAAAAGGAGAGAGAGAGAAGGTAACTTCTATTGACTTAAATATGGAATGCTTACCAGAATATACTATTGTTATGGGCTGAATTTTGTCATCTCGAAATTCATTTCTTGAAATTGTAACCTCAGTACCTCAGAATGTGACTGTTTTTGGAGATAAGGTCTCTAAAGAAGTAATTAAGTTAAAATGAAATCATTAGGGTAGGCCCTAATCCAATACAACTAACACCTTCATAGAGAAAGGGAGATTGGACTTGCATACACACACATACACAAGGAAGACCGTGTGAAGAGATGGGGAAAAGATGGCGATCCACAAGACAAGAATAGAAGCCTCAGAAGAAACTGTCCCTGCTAATATCTTGATTTCAGACTTCTAGCCTCCAGAATTATAAGACAATACATTTCTGTTTTTTAAGCTCCCAATCTGTGGAACTTACTTATGGAAGCCCTGGCACACTAATGCAACTGTTAATTTACTTAAAACAAATTTTAATTTAATTTAAAAAACAAAAAAAGTTTTTAAATTTAATTTAAAATAACAAAAAAACAGTGCAAAAGAGCACAATAAACTATACTTCCTGAAAGAGAAAATACACATTTATTTTTTCATCCATGCAAAAGACATGCAGAAACAATAAACTGGAAAAGAAAAGGATTGCTTAACTACAGGTATTGAGGGGAAAGAATGGAAAGAAGAGTGGAATGGGTATAAGGTAGTAGGTATTAGGGAGGAGTGCCTCTCTCCTAGTGTAGATTTTTATATAGCCATCAACCTTACCACCATAGTAGTGTTTCAGAAACCCTCAAAATAAATAGAACAAATCAGAGTGGGGCTGGAAAATGGAATAAAAGCAATAACAAAAGACCCTGACTGTATTATAAATGGATAACTACATTGAGCAAGAAAATAACTAATACTTTACTTTGTGAAAAAGTATCTGTACTAGATACTACTATGGAGCTAAATAGCATCTTTACTAGTCACTACTATGGAGCTAAAGACAAAGGACCTCTACAGAAATACTGAAATACAGCTAGCAAATTGTTTTTTGACATAGATATGATTTAACAATTCTGAAACTCCAATATGTATATATAGAATTGAGAATACATGAAGATGCATTGTATATATTGAACTTAATTTTTCACATTTGGAAAAATCCTCCAAATAAGGCAAAGAAGCAGGCTAGAATAAACTGCACTATTTAATGAGAATCAATGATATTAATATGAATTCATGTTTTTCAATATGTAAATATATAGATACAGAAATATAGGAGTGTGTATATGGTTGAATTAATATGGATACATATATTTGCTAGTTCTGTCAACTGCGAAAGCCTAGACCCTGCTACTCCAGCAGAATTGAACACTCGTAGCAACCACATTTGGGTTTCTAAGCACTTTTATGCAATAAAAATAACCAGGTCTCATAACTGTAGCATCTTTCGATGGACCTCATTTGCAGCAACTATAAATATGATTATTTAAAAGATGATTTTCTAGTTTCCTCTATCATTTTACATTAATTAGAATTTGTTTTCTGCAAAAATGCATTCTCATTCTATTCAGGAGAAGATAAACTAGTAAAAAATGAGGGACTAACCAGTATTCCTCAAAAGTGCCAATGTCATGAAAGGCAAGGAGAGACAAAATATATCACAGATTGGAGGAGACTAAGGAGACATTAAAACTAAATGTAATATGGATCTTGGATTGGATTTAGGAACATGAAGAAAAGCTTTAGTGGAAAAACTGGTGGAATTTGAATAAGGACTGTAGTTTAGTTAATAATATTGCACTAATCTCACTTTTGGGGTTTTGATAATTTTATTATCATTATATGAGATGCTTATATTAGGGGAGGTTGTGAAATGTACACATAAATTCTCCATACTGTATTTGCAAGCTTTTTTGTCTAAAATTATTTCAAGAAAAAAATTTAATATATATTAAATGCCAACCAGTATCTGAGAATAGTGATTTAAGGTAATAGACCACCTTTAACATAAACTGGGAAAATCATTAAAAGTCTTCACTAGAAACAAAGAGGGTAAAGAATTCATGCTATATACTGTATGAGGAAAGGTACTATAATTTCACTGTAAAATGGGTTAAAAGAAAGAATGTAGTTATTCTTATAGTTTTCCAGTTTTGCTGAAGTATATTTTACAAATAAAAATTTTATATATTTAAGGGTTACAACATGATGTTTTGATATAAATACCTTGTGAAGTGACAATCACAATCAAGCTAATTAACATATCGTTACTTCACATAGCTATAATTTTTGTGTGTGTGGTGAAAACACTTAAGACCAACTCTCTTAGCACATTTCAATTATACAATATGGTATTATTAGCAGTCAGCATATTCTACTTTAGGTCTCCAGAGCTTATTCATCCTACATCACTGAACGTTTGTACTCTTTGACCAAAATCTCCCCATTTTCCCCATCCCCCAGCCCTTGGCAGCCAGCTACCTTTCTACTCTCTGCTAATGTGAGTTCAACTTTTTAATATTCCACATATAACTGAGATCATGCATTGCTTAAGGATAGGGATATGTTCTGAAAAATTAATTGTTAGGTGATTTTGTCATGCAAATATCACAGAATGTACTTACACAAACCTAAATAGTACAGCCTCATACACACTTAGCTCTACCGCTCCAGGCTACAACCTGTACAGCATGTTACTGTGCCAAATACTGTAGACAACTATAACACAATGGTAAGTATTTGTGTATCTAAACATATCTAAGCATAAAAAGATACAGTAAAAATATGGTATGAAAGTTTAAATATGGTTCACTTGTATAGGACACTTACTATGAATGGAGATTGCAGGAGTGGGTGTCAGTGAGTGAGTGATCAGTGAATGTGAAGGCCTAGGACACTACTGTATACTTTATAAATACTGTACACTTAGGTTGCAATACATTTATAAAGACCATTTTTTTCTTCAGTAATAAATTAACCTTAACTTACTTTTTTACTTTAGAAATTTTTTTACTTTTTTCAACTTTTTGACTGTATTGCAATAACACTTAACTTAAAATGCAAATACATTGTACAGCTGTAGAAAAATGTTTTCTTTCCTTATATCCTTTAAGCTTTCTCTATTTTTGTTTTGTTGTTTTTGTTGTTGTTTTACTTTTTAAACATTTTTGTTTAAAACAAAGACACAAACACACACATTAGCCTAGGTCTACACAGAGTCAAGGTCATCAAGACATCACTAGGTAACAGGAATTTTTCAGCTGCATTACAGTTTTATGGGACCACCATTGTATATGTGGTCCATAGTTGATCGAAGTGTTATTTTATGGTGCATGACTGTACTTTTCTGCCTGCTTCTGTCTTATTTCACTTAGTATATTGTCCTCCAGGTTTATCCATATTATTAATGTCAGGATTTTTTTAAAGACTAAATAACATTCTTTTGTGTGTATATATACACACACAGACACCACAGTTTCTTTATCCGTTCATCTGTTGATGGACACTTAGGTTGTTTCCATATCTTGGCTATTGTGAGTAATGCTGCAATGAACATGGATGTGCAGATTTCTCTTCAAGACTGATTTTCTTTCTCTTGATATATACCAGAGTGGGATTGGGTGGGAGACATACCTGTCTGCACCCTTGGTAACAGACCCACCAATCTGAATTCTCCACTGTTAACCAGAAAGCAGATATATGACCTATCTCCAACCCCAATCAACTGCTTTTCAGGAGGTTGCCCCATCAGTACTGGTTTCCAGGAATCTTACAGTTTCTATATCTAAAATATATATAAAGTGCTGACCTGTGATAATAATTTTAAACTAGTCCATGCAGTCGTTCCTACAATTAATTGTTGGTAGAGTTAAAAAGTTCATAATCCTAATAGCTTCTACCTATTCATTGATATACACAGCCAATTGATTTTATGGCTCTTATATGATATTCAAGAATACATAGCTTCCAGTCCCCATTCAATTTGTAATGCAGGCAATAAAATTATTTATGGAAATTCTGGAACCTACACAAAGTCTAAATCGCCTTTAAGGGAAAAAGTTCATAATAAAAGCTTTTATCTAGAGTGTTTTGCTTTGCGAATTTTTGTTTAATGGAGATGTTTAAGAATACACAGGAATTCCTGAATTATGTAGGAGGTCAGACCTGATGCCTTATTAAATCCCCTTCTAGCCTACAATTGAAAATTGTGATTTTTACTTCAAGTGTATCTATAATGAGATAAAGAGATATATTGAGCATTAGAAGGCAGAACTTAGAATCCACATTGTTTTCCCACATTTTATATATAAGAATTCTTGGCTTTTAAATTATGCAAATTTATAACAAAATTCTACTCAAGAGTTACGACTCTATGATACTATAGAATTAAGAAATATTCTTGACAACAAAACAGTAATAAATATTAAACATATTTCCTTTAATGTTAGGCATTTGAAGGTTTAGAAATCATTGGCATTAGTAATCTACATAGGCTTTTTCTGTAAATATTTATTTTTGACAAATAAGCTATTTTATATTTTAACCATTGTAGCAAATAAAATGTTTTGCTTGATTTATGGTGAAAGAATTAGACCCTAAATGCTTGAAAAGCCTACTATGTTCAGGTACTTTGTTATAAACTACCAACTACTGCTCCTCTGGTTCTGTATTTCCCATATCTGGATTTGATCTGTGGCATCTTTCTTTCCTTACCATTGCAAGAGTATATGCTCAAACCCCACCCAATCTTGCATTATACTTGTCTCTGACACACAATTCTCAAATTTCTAGGGTAATAAAATAGAGCTCACATGTACCAAACTTTGGAGATTCATTAAGGCAATTAGCAATATAAATTAAACTTCAAATGCTGTAGGAACAATGCATACTTTTGTAGAATACACAGTATAATTACTTGATTTTGTTTTCCAACCTTCATTTCTGCCCTCTAAAATGTTACGTGCCTTAGATCATGAAATGAAAGGCAGGTACACTAAAAAGTAATCTCTTTACCCTGTTGGGATTTACAAGAGTTAAGAATGATATAGCTATCAGTTTCATGCCCTTTGATGTTTTTGGCATTTATTTTCTGATTCTATAGGTTTGACAATAATATGTTGTAATATTCAAACTATATTTGACTTATTGGTAGCTTTTGCTGTCTAGAGTTCTTCTTGGCTAATTCTCAATAGGGAGCCTAAACTTTGGTAAGATATACTATGACACTGATCATATTAAATAAGGCTATGCCACACAAAGCAGAATATAATTAGTTCCAAGGTGATATGGTTTGGCTCTGTGTCCCTACCCAAATCTCACCTTGAATTGTAATAATCTTCAGGTATCAAGGGTGGGACTTGGTGGAAATAATTGAATCATAGGGGTGGTTTCCCCCATGCTGTTCTCGTAATAGTTCTCACAAGATCTGATGGTTTTATAAGGGGCTTCCACTTTCACTTGGCACTCATTCTCTCTCCTGCTGCCCTGTGAAGTGGTGCTTTCTGCCATGATTTTAAGTTTCCTGTGCCCCCCCAGCTATGCAGAACTGTGAGTTAATTAAACCTCTTTTCTTTCTTTTTTTTTCCCCCACCTCCCTATCTAGTTATTGTTGTACATTTTTTTTTTTTTTTTTTTGAGCCAGAGTCTCGCTCTGTCACCCAGGCTGGAGTGCAGTGGTATGAAATTGGCTCACTGCAAACTCTGCCTCCCGGCTTCAAGCGATTCTCCTGCCTCAGCCTCCTGAGTAGCTGGGATTACAGAAGCATGCCACCACACCTGGCTAATTTTTGTATTTTTAGTAGAGACAGTTGGCTCATGCCTGTAATCCCAGCGCTTTGGGAGGCCAAGGTGGGCAGATCACGAGGTGAGGAGCTCAAGACCAGACTGACCAACATGGTAAAAGCTCTTTTCTTTATAAATTACTGAGTCCTGATTATTTATTCACAGCAGCATGAGAACAGGCTAATATACAAGGCATAGTCCAACTTGCACATTTATCATCTACTTAAACTACTGAAAAGTGCCAGACTGGTTCAAATAATCAAATCTTGCTTAAAATTTCAGTGACCTAATTTCATGGAATGGAATTGTGCTCCATCTGCTATCAGCAAAATGTCTTCAGTTGATTTACAAAATATTGATATAGCAAATACTATAACTGTTATCAGGAAGGCTCTAGGGACATTTTCTGAATTTACCCATTCTTCGTCTTGTCATTTGTACTCAGTGAGGACAGAAATAGACATAGATTTAGGGCGAATACAGAAAAACATGCAATTTCTATGACTAAGCCAAGTTTGAAGCATTTCATTTAAATCAAGTTTGACTTTTTTTAGGGTAATTAACAAATATTCAAAATGTTCTTCAAAATTCAAAGGAAAAATGTAATTCTTCTTTTCAACTGATTTTTGCCATTTTGAAATTTATACAAGTAATACTCATTGTAGAAAAATATAGCAAATCCAGGATAACAAAAGAAGGGAAAAAAGTGTGCTTATTTCTCATATCTAAGAGATGTTGTTAAAATCTGATGTATATCCAAGTAGAATTTTCTAAAAATATATTATGCAAATATTAAACATAGTGTTTTATTGGCTATAAGTTGTTCTCATTTATGGTTTATTACTATAAACAGTCTTTCAATTAACTTTCTACACATACATATTTGTCTACTGTGTGATTATTATCTAAGGATAGATTCATAAAATAGAAAACTTGGGATCAGAGGGAAAACATATTGTAAGAGTTTGATGCAAATTAGCACTTGTTAAAAATAATTAATGTGAATTTTTCAGTTCCAAAATATTTGTCATAAAAAACTAAAACTGTTTTTAAAAATTAATAAAAGTATTTGCTAAAATTTTTCCCATAATTTGTCTGGAAGAAAAATGTTTTATATACATATTTGAGAATATAGTTTTAAAAACTATTATTAGACACATTATTCTCACAAGTAGGAAACTATGAAAAAGATACATTTCATTAAAGGGGAAAATAACAATGAAAATAACATTGATTGAATGACTTATGTGAGATCGGAACAAAAATAATTGCTTTTGTATATATTGTCCTATTTCATTTAATCCTCACAATCACCACATAAAAGACACATTACAATCTTTTTTTCTCTTCTAGAAGACAGTACAACACAGTGATTTTAAATAATGATCACTGTTGACGTAACTAATGAGTAGTAGAGCAAAACGTGAACTCACATTTGTATGACCCTCCAATTTCTGGTTTCTTTATATTAATTCCACAAATTTAAATTTAAAATGATTGTTTCACTATAATAATAAAATATTTAGAAATCTTTTTTTTTTTTTTTTTTTTTTTTTTTTGAGACGGAGTCTCGCTCTGTCGCCCAGGCTGGAGTGCAGTGGCGGGATCTCGGCTCACTGCAAGCTCCGCCTCCCGGGTTCACGCCATTCTCCTGCCTCAGCCTCCCAAGTAGCTGGGACTACAGGCGCCCGCCACTACGCCCGGCTAATTTTTTGTATTTTGTATTTAGAAATCTTTTTATACAAGAAAATGGGAACTTGAGACCTATAAAGTAAAAGATTTCATAACAATAATAAAACTCCTTGCAGACGTCTAAAGGCTATTCTAAGTTAAACAGATTGACTAATATCACATTTTTTAGTCTATTGTATACAATGTCAAATGGTATACTAGTACAAGTAAAAATTAATAAATGAACACCTGGTTAAAGAATCTGGGGAAGTTTGAGTTACACAGGATAATCACATTTCTTTTAAGCATGCCTTAAGTTTAGGCTGCTATAACAGAATAGATTGCTTGTAAACAACAGAAATTTCCTTCTGACAGGTCTGGCAGCTGGAAAGTCCAAGATCAAGGTGCTGGTAGATTGGTGCCTGATGAGGGACTCCTTCTGGTTTCATAGATGTGCATTTTCTCCTTGTATCCTAATATGGCAGAAGAAGTGAGCTTTCTGAAGTCTTTTTTTATAAAGACACTAATCCCGTTCACCTGTTCACGAGGATGGACCTAATCACCTACCAAAGGACTCACCTCCTAATACTCTCATAATGGTGGACAGGATTTCAATATATGAAGTTTTAAGGAACTAAAACTTTCAGTCTATAGCAGAGCAAGACCTTATAATGCTTTTGAATTACCAGTATGCTTTGAAGATTTCAAAGTGAAGGGTACAATATGCAGAATTTCAGGAACATGTATTTTAAAGGAGGGTTGCAAGACCAATGCTCCAAAGAATATACTTTGCAAAAAGCTTTAACTATTTGGATGAATGAGGTTTACCTAAAATTACCAGGTCAAATTTCCAATCCAGAAGGAAGGGAGGAAGTGCAAAGCCATTTATGATTATTACCACCAGACTAAAGGCAAATGATCAACATGAGAACCATACCAGCTCCTGCTAGAAACTCTCTCTGATGTTGCCACACTGCTTACCTTTCTTTATATCCACAAAGAATAGTTAGCCTCTACTTAGGATACATCTACCTGCTTCTACTCAGCCTGTCCATTTCACTCTATCTATTAATTTGTTTTAGGATTGATATATCCAATAATATATTTGCTTATCCCCTGCTGTTCTCTCTCCTGCCTTTATCTTCACCTTAATCCAGAACTCCCTTTGTTTCTGTTCCCTTGGCTCCCACCTTATTGTCTCCACCCACTTGTTACCTCATTTCTGAAACATACTAAATTTCTATGTGTTTTCACCTTCCCAAATCAACACACCACAATTATATGTTTCTAATTCAATTTTTAAGAAATCTCATATACATATGCGAGATTGATAGCATCTTATCAAAGTCACCCCAAATAGGATGAAAACCATTCAATGTTAAAATAATTCTATCTCTCAACATATACCATTACTTTTGTAAACGTGTATTGTGTTTCTGGGCCTTAAAACAATGATACTAGGAAAAAGGATGAATGCCACAGGTGTTATTTACTTTACCTACGTGGGCTGAAACCATCAAGAGGTGCTTATGATTTCCATTTCTGGGAGAACTAATTTCCACACACTGTTCTTGACCAAACAGCATTAATGTTTACCACAAGAGCAGTTTTAGAAGTGTCTGGATGCATATGCTCTCCTAGCCTCAGATTAAGGACAAGGCCCACAGCTAATTTAGTGAACAGTGAGTTAGGAATCTAAAGCAAGGAAAGCTGAAGCATGGGTTGTGGGGTGAATAAAAAGACACATGACCCTTTAAACAATAGGAAGAATGCAAAAATTGTACAGTATGTCTCTCTGATTAGAGCACTAGACACATGGTAATTTATAGCTCTTTCAATGAAGGGACAGTCCACTATGTGGAACCAAAGATGTAAGGCAAGGAAAACATCTCATTAAGATCAATGGGATTTGAAAAGAAATCTACCCCTACCTTCTTTGAGTAGGTTTTGGCTGTATATGAAGCACATATGTAGAAACCCTGTAGACAATAACATTAAAATTGTATAATGTGGTTTTTAAATATCTGGCTCTGCTACTCTTCCTCATAAAGTTTAGCTAAGGTTTCTTTTTTCCTTTTGTCTTATTTACAGCATCTTAAAAATACCCTTTAAACATTTTTCAAGTTGTAAGTATTAGATCCAAGCACAGATAGTTTGCTCCAATTTTTATATGTTCTGAGTTTACTATCCAGACACTTTGCGTTTATGTGCTATTTCTTTCCGTTTTACATGAACAGACATTTTCTCCACAGAATGAATATGTAATATTTAGTTCAGTTGTTAAATACTACAAGCAAGATTTCGTAAACAAACAGTTTCAAACTACATTTATTTAAGGAGTACTTAGTTTTGTGAAAATTGCATAGGTAAAATGGGCTGTTGACATTGAAAATGTAAGGCTTTTTTGTCATGTTCAGCTTTGTTTAACTTGGTAAAAAAAAGTTTGCTTTTTTTTAGGAAAAAAAGGAAAGCATGGTTTCTTTATTTGGAAAGTTTTGTTTGTCTTTAAATTAGACACTCTTTTATACATAAATCAGAAATAACTATACAAGTTATCTATAAGGTATTATCCCACACAATTAACATAAATGTTGAAAGTATGAAATGTCAGATTAATCATATAGTATGAAATACATTTGAAAAATTTTCTTGATTAGAAAAGAGATTAAAAAACAAACCACCTGTATTAGTCCATTTTCATGCTGCTGATAAAGACATACCCAAGTCTGAGCAATTTACAAAAGAAGGAGGTTTATTGAACTTACAGCTCCACATGGCTGGGGAGGCCTCACAATTGTAGCGGAAGGTGAAAGGCATGTTTCATATGGTAGCAGACAAGAGAAGAGAGCTTGTGCAGGGAAACTCCTGTTTTTAAAAAAAATCAGATCTCGTGAGACTCATTCACTATCACAAAAACTGTGCAAGAAAGACCCACCCCCATAATTAAATTACCTCCCACCGGGTTCTTCCCATGACACATGGGAATTGTGGGAGTTATAATTCAAGATGACATTTGGGTAGGGACAAAGCCAAACCATATCATTTCACCTCTGGCCCCTCCCAAATCTCATGTTCTGACATTTCAAAACCAATCATGCCTTTCCAATGGTCCTCCAAAATCTTAACTCATTTCAGCATTATTGCAAAAGTCCCCAGTCCAACGTCTCTTCTGAGACAAGGCAAATCCCTTCCACCTATGAGCCTGTAAAATCAAAAGCAAGTTAGTTACTTGCTAGATACAATGGGGTTATAGGCATTGGGTAAATACAGCTGTTCCAAATTGAAGAAATTGGCCAAAACAAAAGGGCTACAGATTCCATGTAGGTCCAAAATTCAGAGGGGCAGTCAAATCTTAAAGCTTCAAAATGATCTACTTTGACTCCACATCTCACATCCATGTCATGCTGATGCAAGAGGTGGTTTCCTATGGTCTTGGGCAGCTCTGCCCCTGTGCCTCTGCAGGGTGCTACCTCCCTCTCAGCTGCTTTCATGGGCTGGCATTGAGGGTCTGCAGCTTTTCCAGGTAAACAGTGCAAGCTGTCAGTGGATCTAACATTCTGTAGTTTGGGGCCCTCTCCTCACAACTCCACTAGGCAGAGCCCCAGTAGGGACTCTGTGTGGGGCTCCGACCCCACATTTCCCTTCTGCACTGCCCTAGCAGAAGTTCTTCATGAGAGCACCCCCCTGCAGCAAACTTCTGCCTGGACATCCAGGCATTTCCATTCATCCTCTGAAATCTATGCAGAGGCTCCCAAACCTCAATGCTTGACTTCCATGCACTTGCAGGCTCAACACCACGTGGAAGCTGGCAAGGCTTGAGGCTTGCACCCTCTGAAGCCATGGCCTGAGCTCTACCTTGGCCCCTTTCAGCCACAGCTGGAGTGGCTGAAACATATAACACCAAGTCCCTAGACTGCACATAGCACACAGACCCTTGGCCTGGCCCACAAAACCACATTTTTATTTTAGGCCTTTGGGCCTGTAATGACAGGGGCTGTCATGAATACCTCTGACATGCCCTGGAGACCTTTACCGCTGTCTTGGGGATTAACATTTAGCTTCTCGTTAGTTATGCAAATTTCTGCAGTTGGCTTGAATTTCTCCTTAGAAAACGGGATTTTCTTTTGTATCACATTGTCAGGCTGCAAATTTTATAAACTTTTATGCTCTGCTTCCCTTATAAAACTGAATGCCTTTAATAGCACCCAAGTCACATCTTGAATGTTTTGCTGCTTAGAAATTTCTTCTGCATGATACCCTAAATCATCTCTCTCAAGTTAAAAATATTACAACTCTCTAGGGCAGGGGCAAAATGCCACCAATCTCTTTGATACAATATAACAAGAGTCACCTTTGCTCCAGTTACCAGCAAGCCTCACATTTCCATCTGAGACAACCTCAGCTTGGAGTTTATTGTCCATATCACTGTCAGCATCTTGGGCAAAGCCATTCCATAACTCGTAACTCTCTAGGCAGTTCCAAACTTCCCCATAATTTCCTGTCTTCTTCTGAGCCTTCCAAACTGTCCCAACCTCTGCCTGCTACCCAGTTCCAATGTCACTTCCACATTTTCAGGTATCTTTTCAGCAATGCCTCCTCTACTATTACCAATTTACTGTATTAGTCTGTTTTCACGCTGCTTATAAAAGCATACCCAAGACTGGGCAATTTACAAAAGAAAGAGGTTTATTGGACTTACAGTTCCACATGGCTTGGGAGGCCTCACAATCAGGGCAGAAGGTGAAAGGCACATCTTGTATGGCAGCAGACAAGAGCAGAGAGCTTGTGCAGGGAAACTCCTGTTTTTAAAACCATCAGATCTCATGAGAGTCATTCATTATGAGAACAACATAGAAAAGAGCCACCCCCATAATTCAATCACCTCCAACCTGGTTCCTCCCACTACATGTGGGAATTATGGGATTACAATTTAAGATGTGATTTGGGCGTGGACACAGCCCAACCATATCACCACCTATACTGAGATAAAAAGAAAATTGAATTAAAAAAAGAAAACTGCACAGTAAGAGCTATTGGCAATAAACTCAAATTTAGGGACCTAAAAACCTGTTAATAAAGCTGAATAAATGTTCCTCTATATGACGAAATTGTTTCAAATACTAATCTATATGAAATGAAATCAAAGTGGTCAAAAATGAAACACAGAAGTAAAAGTGTTTTATTATACTTCAAAAATATAATCATGCTAGTAAAAATAAATAAAATAGGAAATAGAGAAATTACCATTACAAAAAAGGAAAAATGATGTGCTAATAATTTTATTAATATATTTTTAAATAAAGGAAACATATGTATACTTAAAACCATCAGGCTAATAATAGTATTATATTTCTGTTTTCAAGCCTTCAGTTTGTGAAGTCGTCAATGGCTTTATCAAAATTTTTCTTTGAATATTCATTTTCAAAGATTGTACACCCAAATTTTTCAATCTGCTTTCATGTGTAGTTGATCAAAGAATGATTTTATAAACTTTACTTTTGAAAACTTTTTTAACGTAAATAAAAGATATACCCAAAGGGAAAATCTTATAAATAAAGAATGTGTTTGGTTTAAATAAAAATCCAACTCTCAATACAATGCAGAATTTGTTTTTACATTCAAGTGATCACATAGAAGGATTGCAGAAACTTGAGTTCTGCTTCTTTGTGTTTTAAATTGCCATTTTATCATAGTTTATTCCAAATTACCATTTAAAAGCAGGATGTTTAAATGGTAATTTTATACCATTTTAAATGGTAAAATGGTACCACAATGGTTGGAGACACATACTGTGCCCAAAGTAAACTTAAACAAATCTGAAATTATTCTTCATGCAGATGCCTAGAGTTGAGTGTATATGACTATATAACTGGGAATTTTCTGAATTAACTTTGATGTGTAATACAATGATCATTAAAGGATTAGCAATAAAGTTTTTCTAATTTGAAATATATATAGTATTGAATCCAGTATTCAAACCCAAATCTACCTGACTCTCAAATCTATAAAATGCAAAGCAATGTAAAGGACGTTTATACAGCGTTGAAAATATAAAAAAGCATAAAATATTTTGGAAACCATAAGTAACAATTCAAAGTTATGGGTATCTAGGGATTACTGAAAGACTATGGTATGAGAAAGGGCTAGAATGGCAAATTGGATCCATGCTACAAAGAGGATTGGAAATACTTGGTGAGTCATTAAAGGTCTTTAATTAGGTGAGAGGGCAGATTTGTGTTTATAAAGAATCCTGGCAGAAGAATGGAAATAGATTGCAACAGAAATACTAGAAGTGAAAAAGATATTAATATGCTTTTACAACAGACTGTTGAAGACATGATAAAAACGTCAAATCATGGTAATGATAGAGAGAAGATGGTGAGAGGTTTTAGTGAGGTGAGTCATGAGGGAGAGGGAAGTGTTTATTCTCTTGTTCTGTATAAATACTTATGGGTGTGCCTCATATAACCTCAGTGCCATTATCAATAAATCTAAAAACATCAGCGAGAGACAATTTGGCTTTTTTTTCTCTAAAAGCTGATGGCCAATATGACAGTAGTTTGACACAGTCCTGCAATGTGGATAAGAATTACCTATATAGAGATTTTCAGCAGCCAGAAAACTAGTAGGAAGCTCAATGTAATTTTTTAAATAAAATAAACAAAATTAGTATCTAAGTTTTTGGTTTGAAATGTATCTCTTCAATCTTTATCTGACATAGCAGTTTTGAAGGATTTATTACTTTTACCTATAGTTCTTAACTAATACTTAAAATATTCCCTCTTGCCTTCTAGAAAATCATGTGTCCCTGATTTTTCACTCACCCATTGTTTATTATTTCTCTTTCTCAGTAATAGACTCAACATTTTTTTGCTTTCACTTCGTATAGAGATCCCAATCCTAGATGGTCCATTCTTCTTCATCTGTCTACTTTCATGGTGACCACCCAAACACTAATGGTCTCAATGTATACCTATATAAATTGTTACTCAAGTCTATCTTTCTAACTTAGAAATATATGTTAAAGTCCGATTTCCTATTTAACACATCTGCTTGTAAATTCTATAAGTCATTAGCTATATGCTCATTAACTCTATTTTTTCCTCTAGTCCTGCATCTTTATTCCATGTACTGAATATTTAGGCTATATTCTAACACTAATATATCTGTTTTGTAAGCAAAATAGATCTGTTTTGGGAGATCGATTATGGGAGGTTGTGTTTCACAAACAATATTTTGATACCACACCAAAAACATGATCCATAAAAAATGATAAATGCCATTTAATCAATATTTAAAATTTGGCTCCTGGAGACATTATTAAGAGAATTAAAAGATAAGCCACAGTTTGGGAGAAAATAACTGCATATCTCACATATGATAAAGGGCATTTTTTCCTCAAAATATGTGAAGAACTCTTAAAATTCACAATGAGAAAATTATTATTTTAAAAAAATAAGAAAACATCTGTAAAGTCAGTTCACCAACAGAAGAAAAACAGATGGTAAATATGAATATGAAAAGATGTTCAACATCATTAGTCACTATGGGAATGCAAATTAAAAACACAATAAGATACTACTATACGTCTATTAGAATGGCTAAAATAAAAAAATACTAATAGCTGATGAGGAAGTTGGACAATTGGAACTCTCATCCATTTCTAGTGGTAATGCAGAATAATACAACTATTTTGGAAATCTACCTAGGAGTAAAATTTATTACCAAATTACCATAAGACCCAGCATTCTCACCTTAGGCATTTATCCAAATGGATTGACAACTTATTTTCTCCACTTCTTTCCCCAAACCAAAATCTATTATCTATCTATCTCCATAATTTTATAGTAGTCATTCATATCAACAAAACCTGATGCCAATTTAGATGTTCTTCAAAAGGTAAATGGATAAACAAAATATACTATAACCATACAGTGGCATACTTCTCAGCAATAAAAAAGAATGCACTATTGACCAATGCAAAAATTTGGATGAAACTCATCTGCTTTTTAAGTGAGAGAAGCTAGTTCCACAAGTTTCAATACTATAGTATTTTTTACAAAAAAGAAGTAGACACAGAAAACTGAGACCATGTTATCCAGGGACATATATTCAAAAGTCTGCAAGGGATACTAATCTACTAATACATATATAAAGCAGGTGCTGAACTGATAGTATTATAACCCAATTTTTGTAAGTGTCATCCTCTTCCAAAACACAATCTAGACATTAACAACAACAGCAAAGGCATGTTTAATAAATCGACTCCCATACACAAATTTGGATGCAGTTTGGCTCCTAATCTAGCCTAGAGAAGGAAAAACTTACTCATAGCTCACCTACTGGAAGGGATACTAACTTCAGAACATGGTTTTACATTTCCGTTCAGGTCAACATATAAATAAAATTATGAAAATGTTTATGGGGAAACATTTCTCTAAAACACTAGTACCAGGTTTAGTTATCAAAGGATATTACAGAGCTTTTCCCCTGAAACTTTTATAGCTATTTGAATACATAGTTTCTAAGCCGAACTCAGAAATCTCTACATGGTCATTTTAGCCTTCTGTGAATCTGATGATTGTGAGGGTCTACTGTGCATACTTAGTTGTTTAACCTAAATCAATTCTAATATTGAATTTCTTTAAATATGCAACATGCAAGTCAGCATCAAAATCAATAGCACTGGCTCCTCATTGTCACCTGCCAAGGAAACATTTATGAAATACAGCCCAACACTCATTCTCTCCTTCATTCACAGTCACTAGTATTCTGCACATAACATTCACCCTATCACTCTGAATAAATGTGTGCTATTCAAGTGATAATTTTTCAAGTGTGAGATCAGTTTGGATTTGACAATTAAAGAAATGTGCAATCTTTCTGAAAATAAAATAAGGCCAAACTTTTCTGTTTTCTATTTATCTACAAAATGATCATGCATAGGGGTAATTCGAGTGAAGGAGCATCATTCATAAAACCTAGATTTAATCCAAACCATAAAACATTTTTAATGCATCACATCAAAATATCAAAGTAACAAGTAATAGCCTAGGTTTCTGAAAATATTTGACTTTCAGGAGGACAGCCAGGGTACACAGAATGATTATACAAACATTGTAGCAATACGCTATTCTATGTTTTTCCTCTCTTCAATGTGACTGGCAAAGCAATTGGTGAATGTATTCACCATGCAGTGATCAGACTCTTTGCATAGGACTGAAATAGCATCATCTACAATGCATGGTTATTTGAGCTAAGTGTTCAAATTATTGATTCTTTGAGTAATAACTATCAAGATAATAGACAGAATTTAGTTTTAAAACTATACGTTATATGAATATCTTAAACATCATATGAATTATTTTTTCCTAAATAATTTTTCTGTTTTTTCTTTTTAAAACCTTAGTGTGTTTATTTTTACTCTGGGTGTTCAAAGTAAACAACAAACATAAAACGAAAATAACTATACTTGGTGGCATTGCAGTGAGTTTGCATTATCAGAAAGTAAGTTATTTCACAAAGAAAATCGATGAAATTCAATAAAATATGACACAATTCCTATATTAACTTTAATGAAGCTCTCCTGGAGCTAGACGCTTGGAGAGTTTTAAAAGCAGGTAGCTTGGATGCCAGCTGGAGTTTTCTCAGCTCAGTCAGATTAAGCAAAGAACACTTGTTCAGCTTTATTAACACACACAATTTAGCAGAGTAACAGTCAGGCTTCTCTATTTCATGGGTTGGTTGCTTACTGGTAATATCATTCCTGGGAGAATTCAGGACTTTTAATTACGCTGTGAATAGTTTACAGTATTGAGCTACGAAATGGAAATTAAACTAAGGACATTTTATTTGTGAACTGGTTAATTAAATAGCAGACAAAAGCAAGCTACACTTGTATAAAACCTCAGCAGATTTGGTTTGCCAGCCATGTGTAAAAATATTTTTTTCTTTTTAATTTCAATTAGTAGCCCACTGCACTGAACTGAAACTGAGTCAAAAATGGGTTTTGAACTTCTACGTAGTCACATAACATGAACCAGACTTTAAGCGCTCATTAGATATTCACAACCCTCAGTAAATCCACTCTACCTTTTCAAGTTTATATTAAATGGATAAATTATGACTCGAAAAATACAGCTCATTGCTAACTCACAACATATCTAAAATAATATAAAAGGAGGAGGTGTTTGCATGAAGCAATACAATTTTACAGAATTGATGGAAAAGCTACTTTCCAGTATTAGACAATAATAATGAAATTCTTAAAATCTGATAATTAACAATATAGCTCTGAATAATCTCACATACATTTAAAGAAAATTGTTAGACCTCTGCTGTATACCATGAGTCATACTAGATGTTGTAGATAAGTAAGATTTAATTTATTTTCTTAAGGTTCTTTTCCAAATAAAAATCTGATCATTTACTGACCTGGTTTAGTGTCCTTCATTGACCTCTCATTGAGATAATGATCAAAATCTTTCACAAGGTTTAAA
Source organism: Homo sapiens (assembly GCF_000001405.40). Lineage (NCBI taxonomy): Eukaryota > Metazoa > Chordata > Mammalia > Primates > Hominidae > Homo > Homo sapiens. The sequence continues at coordinate 60,119,547 of NC_000012.12, read as the reverse complement.
AGACTCTGGAAGATCCTTGCTCTATCCATATACAAGGCCTTGCTTGAATCACCTTCCTTCGGTGTTCTCAGGTCTGGCCACGTGGCCTTTCATTTCATCAAATGTGATAGCCTCCTTCCTGTCTCAGAGCCTTTGCTGAGTCTCTTCCTTTTCCTCCAAAAACTCCCTGCTCCCACTTCAACTTGTTTCCCTGTATTTATTCTTTATAGTTGACTACAAATGACAGTTTATTTAGGAAACCTTCATGGGCCTCCCCCAGATTAAAATCCCATTAACTCTTTCTAAGAAGGGAATATTCAATATTGTTGCTGTTGAGCAGGTAATTGTGTATATGACTATAAAGCTCCGGGAATAAGTTTGAGGTGGAAAGATCAACCTGGGAGTCAGATTTATCTCATTTATTTAAATACAGATGAATTAATATTTAAATGAATGTCAAGCCCAGAAGCTAAATGATAGCATCACAAGGAAGTATTCAGTTTGCCAATTTTTTCCTTTTAACTGACCAGCTTAGTACATTTCTATTAATTATTTAGATCTGCTTCAGTAACATATTTTGTTATATCAGCTTATTCTGGTCTTTTGTTTATTTTAATCCTTCCTTCCTTAAAAATAAAACAGTACTTTTACTTTCAACTTAAGAATAAAATAACTTCACCACATTATTAAAACTCTTGATAACTTCCCAACTTCATTATTAATATTGCATAGATTTATAAGACTAGGTTATGAAAGATGATAAATAGATAAAATTAATTAGATAGATAATAGATTAATTTAAATAAATAAATATAGAGATACATGTTTTAAGATAGTGACAAATGTTTGTAAGATATCTGCTCAGATTTTCTTCAGATAGCTCCTTAATCCATGTCTGCTGGTATTTATGTACTTTATACATAGCTCTGTTCAAGGTGGTTCTCATGTAACAAAGCTTCTGAAGACTTACGTAACTAAGAATATATTTCATGCCCTCTGTTTAAATGACAATTTGCTAGATATAAAATTCTAAGTTTTTTTTTCAAACTCTAGAAATATAATTGTATCATCTTCTTTCATACAGTTTTTGTAAGTTATTGTCAATCTTCTTTCTTTTTTTCCCTTTCAAATTTTATTTTAGGTTCTGGGGTACATACACAGGTTTGTTACATGGGTAAATTGCAAGTCACTGTGCTTTCATGTACAAATTATTTTATCACCCAGTTGGTGAGCACAGTATCTGATAGGCAGTCTTTTAATCCTCACCTTCCCCCAACCCTGCACCCTCAAGTAGGCCCCAGTGTCTGTTGTTCCCTTCTTGGTGTTTGTGTGTACTCAATGTTTAGCTCCAACTTATAAGTAAGAACATATGGTATTTGATTTTCTGTTCTTGTATTGATTTGTTTAAGAAAATGGCCTCCAGCTGCATCCATGTTGCTGTGAAGGACATGATTTTGCTCTTTTTTATGGCTACATAGTATTCCATGGTATATATGTACCACATTTCCTTTATCCAGTCCACCACTGTTTGACATCTAGATTGATTCTATGTCTTTGCTGTTGTGAATTGTGCTGCAATGAACATACACATGCATGTGTCTTTATGGTAAAATGATTTATTTTCCTTTGAGTATATACCTAGTACTACAATTGTTGTCAAATGGTGGTTCTGTTTCAAAATCTTTGAGAAGCCTCCAAAGTGCTTTCCATAGTGGCTGAAATAATTTTTCTTCCCACCAACAGTTTATAAGTGTTCCTTTTCCTCTGCAACCTCATCAGCATCTGTTATTTTTAAAATTTTAATAATAGTGATTCTAACTGGTGTGAGATGGTAACTCATTGTGGTTTTGATTTGCATTTCTCTAATGATTACTGATGTTGAGCATTTTTTCATATGCTTATTGGTCATATGTATGTCTTCTTTTGGAAAGTGTCTGCTCTTGTCGTTTGTCCGCTTTCTAATGGCATTTTTTGTTTTTTGCTTGTTGATTTGTTTAAGTTCCTTATAAATTCTGGATATGAGACCTTTGTTGGATACAGAGTTTGCAAATATTTTCTCCCATTTCGTAGGTTGTTTACTATGTTGATAGTTTCTTTTCTGTGCAGAAGTTCTTTAGTTTAATTAGATCACCTTTGTCCATTTTTGTTTTGTTGCAATTGCTTTTGGAGTCTTCATAATGAAATCTTTGCCAGGGTTGATGTCCAGAATGGTTTTTTCCTAGTATATTTTTAGGGTTTTTATAGTTTTAGGCTTTATATTTAAGTATTTAATCTATTTTGAGTTGACTTTTGTATACCATGAGTCATACTAGAGGCTGTGGATAAGTAAGATTTATTTATTTTCTTAAGGTTTTTTTCCAAATAAAAATCTGATCATTTAGTGACCTGGCTTAATATCCTTCAGTGACCTCTCATTGAGGTTTGGGAATCTCTACCTAGATTTCAGAGGATGTATGGAAACACCTGGATGTCCAGGCAAAAGTTTGTTTCAAGGACAGAGCCCTCATGGCGAACCTCTGCTATGGCAGTGCAGAAGGGAAATATTGGGTCAGAGCCGCAACACAGATTCCCAACTGGGGTGCTGCCTAGTAGAGCTGTGAGAAGAGGGCCACCATTCTCCAGACTCCGGAAATGGTAGATCCAATGACAATTTGCACTGTGCACCTGGAAATGCTGCAGACACTCAATGCCAGCCCATGACCTCATCAAGGAGGGAGACTGTACACTGCAGAGCCACAGGGTCAGAGCTATCCAAGACCATGGGAACTCACCTCTTGTATCAGTGTGAGCTGGATGTGAGACACGTAGTCAAAGGAAATCACTTTGGAGCTTTAAGATTTGATTGCCCATCTCAAGGGAAATGCTTCCAGCTTTTGCCCTTTCAGTATGATATCGCCCTCTCCTTCATCTTGCTCTTTTTGTCTCTAATCTTCTTTTCCTCCCTGCAATATTTTCTGTTTGTCTTTGTACATTAAATTTCCTCATATATCTAGAACTGTGTGTTTTTTTATTTCTCCTTTTTGGCAATTCATAACCCTTTCAATATCAAGATATTTTATCATTTTATTTTTTAAAATTTCAATACATTTATGTCTATTGTTTTTTCAAATATTTTTTCTTCTTCATCTTTATCTTTCAGTTCTTCTGAAATTCCTGTTACCCACATGTTACATTTCCACCTTTATTCTTCATCTCCTTTGTATTTTCTTGTTCTTGGGATGTTGCTGCTATAGTTTGGATATGGTTTGTTTGGCTGCTCCAAATCTCTTGTTGGAATTTAATCTCCAGTGTAGCAGTGTTGGGATGGGGCCCAGTGACAGGTGTTTGGGTTTGGGGGCAAATCCCTCATGAATCACTTGGTGCCATTCTCACAGTAATGAGTGAATGTCCACCTTATTACAGTCCATGAGAGGTGGTTGTTAAAAAAAGCTGGTATCTCCCCTCCTCTCTTCTGTTTCCTTTCTCATCATGTGATCTCTGCACACACTGGCTCCCTGCCTTTCACCATGAGTGGAAGAAGTTTGTGTCCCTCACCAGATACAGATGCCCAATTTTGAACTTTTCCTGACTTAAGAATCATAAGCTAAATAAATCTCTTTTCTTTATAAATAACCATCCCTCAGGTATTCCTTTATAGCAACACAAACAGACAAATCTTTCTTCTATGAGGCTTTTGATTCTGATTTTTTCTAATTCATCCCTCAGCTGTATCTATTCTATCTATTTAAATATGTGCTTTAATTCTCACATATTTCCATATCTAGTATTATAACTGGCTTTTTAATGTTTTCATGACAATATACTTTCTTACGTAAGTTACTATGATTATTAAATGAATAAAATTCTAGAACTTTTTAATATTGATATATCTGTTCTTGATACAATGTGTGTAATACAGTGCATTTTTTGTTATCTATGAAAATAAAGGTGGTCTTCAAATTTCTTGTTAGTTTGGTTTATGGGCTCATTTTCCTCTGGAACAGGTTTGTCTGTCAAAGAATGTGTATGGGGGAAGGCCAAGCATACGTCTGGTTATTCTCTATGGGCTTAAGGAGTAGTGGCAGATGAGCTTCAGAGTCCTGTCTTGGTGAAGGGACTCAGCAGTCATATTGTTTGGTATTGTTTTTAGAGCACTCTGAGTTTTAGAAGTCTGGAAAATGGGGAGAAAACATCAAATGGAACTGTTGAGGAGCAATGAGTGGGAAAGAAGAGAATCAAAGAGATGGTGGTGTGCTGACAGAAGAAAATGTTTCAAGAAGGTAGCACCAATCACAAAAATGTAGAACAATGGCCAGGCACAGTGGCTCATGCCTGTAATCCCAGCACTTTGGGAGGCCAAGGCAGGTAGATCACGATGTCAGGAGTTCGAGACCAGCCTGACCAACATGGTGAAACCCCTTCTCTACTAAAAATGTAAAAATTAGCTGGACGTGCTGGTGCACGCCTGTAGTCCCAGCTACTCAGGAGGCTGAGGCAGGATAATCGCTTGAACCCAGGAGGCGGAGGTTGGAGTGAGCCAAGATCATGCCACTGCACTCCAGTCTGGGTGACAGAGCAAGACTCCGAAAAAAAAAGAAAGAAAGAAGGAAGGAAGGAAGGAAGGAACGAAGGAACGAAGGAAGGATAGAACAATAAATAGATAGGGGAGTGGGATCCAAAAAAGACATTTGTAAGTCTGGGGAAATTAAATAATACAATTTGTGTGCCAATGTCAAGGTTTTCTCTAGAATAATGAGTCAGTCGTTCCCAAATAATGAGACAGTCATTGTAAACTTGATACACTCAATAAAATTGATAATTTTATTTTAATTTTTAGTTACAATATATTGCCTGATAATTTAGGATTAAAAATGCATTCTTTCTTTCCAGAAAAAAATCTGTATTTTGGAACTTCAAAAAAATGCACATTTCATAACAAAATGTTAAACTACTCCAATATATAATTTTACATTCTCTTTAGATCATAAGGGAATTTTATTAACTATCCACAAAAGTTTTGCAAATGTTAATACACTTGGGTTTCTTATTTTAGCACTGTTTCTGACTTACATAGTTTATGAAAAATTGAGTAATTCGGAAGGCAAATCAGAAAATGTATCATGGCTTATTTAATTGCTATTCAACTATAATACATGATGATAGATGCCTGTTTTGATTGTAGCTTAGCATGCCCTTAGGAAATAATGTGTTTGTACATATTCATTGTTATAACTGACCTGTTACAGCAACTGGCTAGCAGTAATGCCAAAACAAAGATTCATTATAAATAGATCAGTTTATTTTAGTAACAGTTTAATTGTGACTCCATAATCATTAACTTTTACATGCCAATTAAAAATATCAAATAATTCTCCCACTACTTTGGTTTTTATAAATGAATAGTGACTGTGAACCATCTTGCCCACTCTGCCCTTATCCCACAATTCACCGTTATGTTTATATCTAAATCCTTAGGTTGCCGGGCACAGCTTACGGATAAGTGGGTGGTTTGCATGTCTTCAGAATGGCTCTGAAGGCATATACTGACAGAAGCACTAATTAGTGAAGCGTATTTCAAAGTAAATAATTTGGTGTAGAGAACTTCACCAGAAGCCTCGTTCATGAAACTAGACACATAATTGCTAATATAGATGACCAGGTATTGCTGTTGTCTTCTCAAAATCACATGGGCAATTCTAGTCAATTCAGAACTGTTGTGTGTTGCATCTTTTCCTTTGAAATACATAAGCAAAATTACTGAGCCAATTTCAGGCTATCAAATAACAGAAAAAAAGGAAAGTTTTGCAATCTGATAAAGTTAAACTTTGCCTTTGGATTCAGAAAGATTTTAGTTCATAACTCATTTCTGGTAACCATTAGCTGTGTCTGAGGAAAATTCTTTATCTTCTCTGAATCTGTTTTTTTATTTTATAAAATATAATTGTATACTTCAAAAAATTGTGGCATACAAACAGTCAAGAAAAATAAAGAGGTGTAAGGCAAGATATCTAGTACAATCCTTTTCACTCAAGAAATGGTAGTGTTTTTAAAAGTTATTATTAAGTCTACATACAATGGATTGAATGAAATACAGACAAGGGAGAATTTGTAAATTTGTACTGAAAATTTAAATTTATTTATTTTCCTCCTTCTCTTCCTCTTCTTCTCCTTCTTTTTCCTCTCTCACTTACCCTCTCTTTGTCCTCTTCTGCAGAGTCCTGCAAACATTCCTACATTTGCAGAATTCTCTACTTTTTATTATAACTAGTACTACCTAACAAACAATCTCAAAATGAAGTGACTTAAACAGCAATTTATTATGACCTCGCATGTCCATGAATTCTGTGGGCTTCCTGGGTTCATTTGATTAGTTCTTGTTTATGGTCCCTCAAGGGGTTGAAGTCATATGTCAGCTGAGAACTGGAGAGTCTTAAAGTTTGAGTGGGCATGGGACCTAAGATGGCTCACTCACATGGCTGAGAGTTGAGACTGTTAACTGAAAGTTCAACCAAGGCTGTCAACCAGATTCCACACATGGCTTCTCATGTTCATCAATGTGTGGTGGTTGGGTTTTAAAGTAAGTAACTCAAGGGTGAATGTCCCAAAAGACCCATGTGACAGCAGTAAGAAATTTTCTGACCTTGCCTCCACCACATCCTGTTGGTCAAGAGTGAGTTACAGTGCCAACCAGATTTGAGGGGAAGATACCACAAAAGGATAGATACATACACAGAGGAGATGGCATTTTTTAGATTGGATGCCACATGTTTTATACTCATTAGGGGGGAAATAATGCCAAGAAGAAGCAGAACATGCGAAATATTTATTTTCCTGGTGTATGTTGCTTCAAGAGCATAGACATATGCTCTAGATTCAGCCAAACACATATAGCTGCCCTAATCATAAAAGAAGTTGCTAAGGAAGTCATTTCTGGCAGGACCTTCAACCGTGGCAGTATCACTTCATTTCCAAAGGCAGTAGTGCCTGGATTAGTGCATCAGTGACATCAGCAGCTTGCATCAGTGACAGTTGGATACTCCAGTGAACAAATCAGAATGGTCACAGCTAGGGCACAAGTTGTGACATCTAGTCCTCAACCTTGAATAAGCAGATCTACTTGTTTGTATCATGCTGTTGGATATGACTCTGTCTTCATGTTTTTGAGCCTCATCCATCAGGCTCTTCAACGATTCTTTTTGCTGCCAATGGTCTTTTAATGTGTTATTTTTGCTTACTTTAGTCAGGTATAATTTTATTGCTTATATCAATAATTATGTTTCATGATTTTTTTATATGAGAAAACTTCCCCAGGTCCAATGCTAAACTATATAATCTGTTCATATTGAGTAACCTATACAGAATAAAACATAAATACTTGCATTATTATAACATTTAAGGTCTTAATATTACATTATAATTAACCACTTTATGCTTTATCTTGAATATTTTTTATTTTATTTTGGTTTCTGAAGATAAATATCATGCTCCGTAAATGTGATCTCATAGCAAGTACACAGCTTAAGCCTCTAGGTGCACATATTCTAATACAGAAATAAGCTTGAAAAACAAAAAAATGGAAATGGTGCTGTGCAAGCTATGTATATAATGGTTAACTTTAGGTTTTTCCAGTTTTGTCTTCACAATTTTTGCTTTTATTTTTTATGGTTAAATATATTTTAGAAGAATCCTAAGAAGAAAACCTGAGGCAGAGCAACTCTTCAGTAATATTTTAATGGAGCTGAGTCATCTAACCTATCTGCTAAAAGTCAGAAAGCTAAATAGTTATGGGACTTGTATTATCAGGGGGAAGGAGTGAGGGCACATCCTCACCAAGGGATAAGTAATGAAATTATAATAAGCAATTATATTAATAACAGTTATAATAACAATTATAAGCAATGGAATTATACTAAGCGAAGCAAAGGACATGCCCTAGGGTAAGCGCCTCTTAAAATACTTTTAGCAGGTTACTTACTGACTATACATCAGATTTTCTCACAGAAACAAAGATGTTACAACAAACATTACCTAGCAGAGTATTGCTAGCAAAGGCATATTACAATGTTAACTCTCATTCTGATATTCAAATAAAAATTTCCAAAAATATATAACCAATTGGGAAGATACACATAAATGCAAAATTAAAGAGGGAAAAATGATTAACAAATACAACCTGGGTCCCCTAGTCATTGTAGTTAATTCAGACAAACATCAGACTAGCACTGAATATGCCTCATGTTTGATTCTAATACAGTGCAACATTTTTCTGACCTACTCTTTACCTGGCTTATCTTTCAATAAATAGATGATTTAAATTCTCTGTTTAACATACTTTGTATCAGATGAGTGTATGTGGTGTATGTGCATGTGCATGTAAGAGAAAGGGAGAGGTATGAGAGTTAAGAGTAAAAAATATTATGAAGAACCAAAATAATGCAAATTCTAGTTATATCAATCCCTTTCCATTTTTAGCAGCACAGTCATTTACCAAAGCCTGTATATCAAGGCATTGATTGAAATTCCAATGATGCCATAATATTTTCCAAAGAAAAAAATTAGTAAAAGTATGGTTTTTCTCCAAGGGGACAGCTCACTAAGTTTTATAAGGGAGTTTCTTGGTTTTGGTGAGATACCTAAAAATTCATTAATAAGAGAGAATAAATATTGCAAAATATAATGTTAGTATTTTAATTGAACTAACCTATGCCTGACTTCTGAAAAATAAGTTACATTCTGATGTTTTCCCATATTTATACATGAGAATATCTCTTAGGGGACCATAACTATGTTATAAGCATACTTTACGTTCTCTATCACTTTCCTCCAAGCACTTTTCTCAGTATTAGGCATAAAGTATTGTTAGTGAGCATTTACAGTGGTCATGCCAATATCACTATGAATCACGTTTATGAACAGTTAATGAAGGCTAGTTTATCAAGTCACGATCAGGGTAGAGATACCTCATGACTCCCACACCAATGATTTTTAAAAAGTTACTAATGCTCATGTAAGATATTTATTTTAATGAATTTTCTACCATTTTCTAGAAATATTTCAAAAGAACTGTCAGAAATGATCAAAACAACATATTATTCTAAAAATATCTGGCAAACCCCATAGAAATAATAACTTTGCATATGTTTATAATGGTCCAGATGTTCTCTTCAGTTAATTCTTAAAACAACCTCAATGTCAAAGATACCATGAATCCTCATTTTATTTATAAAGAGATGCAGACACAAGCAATTAAGTAACTAGTCAAGGGTTACACATGTCGTGAGTCAGAGGGCCAAGATTTGAATCTGGGTGGTCTGGCTCCAAAGCCCATCTCTTTGAGCTCCTGAACCTTGTCTTTATGGAGATCACTATATGTGTCAATTCTCCGGGCAGGGTCTCATAATGTATTTCTGAGGATTTACTAACTTGAGGTTATTTTTATTTTCATTCGTCATTAAAAGTTATTCAATTATTTAAAATTCCAAGCACTGAAGAGTGCTTTAGTGATTGAAACAGGACTTGTACATAGGAAATGAAGCAAAATAACATATTAAGAGACAAAAGCTTATTTTGAGTTGAGATGTTGTGAATCAGTGGAATAAGATTGATAATTGTATTTCTATACTTGAGATTCTCTGATTATGACACTATGGTTTCTTACAGAAAGTCAAGTGGGTACTTAATATAAGAGGATGGTCCCTGAAGCTTTGCTATTTATTATGTTTTCTCTCAGAGAGAATTGTTACCTTTTTTGACTCTAAGTAAAGACAATAAAATATGAATACTTAGGATATTCCAAGATAATGCCATTTGGGTATTAGCATTTCTCAGTTTATTTGCCCAGTGCACACAATTTAACTGAAACATAAAATGACAAATCTTGTTGTTGCATAAACCAAAATATAATTATCTTTCAACTCAGGAAACTCCTGTCTGGTCATAAGATAATCCAAAAAGTACATAAATTATGATGAAGATTAGGTAAAATGTCATTTTCTTTCTATTTTTAAATGCACTCACCATTTAAAAAACAGAAACAAAAATTATTCTTCAGTTTTTAAAGAGATTTTTAATTTTTATTTTTACTTTGATGCTTTCATTGCCCTTTCTCAGTTGCTCTGTAATTTATGGAAGATACCCAAAATTATTTTTTCTTGTGAATAGTCTGTAAATATTTGAAAGTGCTATTAGTGCTACTGCAACTTATTAAAAAACCAGTTTACCTAGTTACAAGTTACATAGTTTCAAGATCATTTGAATCTCATCTCCATTTAAAATAAAATTTTTCAGTCATGTTCATTTGGCTATTTAACATTTATTGATTGATTAGTTTTATATTCTCAGAGTGGGTAGGAATGAACACAGAGACAAAGCTCATGCTTCAGTAGAATTGTATTCTAGAAGAGGGAGACAAAAATACACAATTAAATAGATATAATGACAATTAAATAAATATAATATGCATTTACATAATTGCTACGTCAAGAAATTAACAAATTAGGCAATATAGAGTTATAGGATGGTGATGCTACTCTAGTACATGTGGTTCCAGGAACCCTCTCTAATATGATGGCATATAGGCAGATTTAAATGAAATGAGGATATTGGCCCTCTGGCAGGCCAGTAAGTGTGGGATAGGAAGATTAAGTTCCATGATAGGGGAAGCTTAGAGTGTCCAATTATATGTAGGGCAAAGGCCTGGGAGCTTGAGGGAGGTGTCATAAAAGATAAGCAGAGTGATTTGAAATTTCTGTGACTTTCATGTAACTATTATGAAAAGCAATCTTGCCAGTGACAGGTAAGAGGTTAACTTTACAGTCATGGAATCTCTAAATTGTCAACTGATATCTCTTCCCATCAAAAAACACATAAAACAGCACAAATATCTCATTATTAGAATATGACAATATCATATATGGACATCATAATTGAAGTATGACAGGGAACAAAAGGACAAAATTATAATAGGTGGGCACTTTTGATGTCTGCTTAGTTCTCAGACAGAGATAAGATGTGAATGAATATTCCAACTTAATTCCGGTACAGCAGGATATTATTAACTGGTCATTATACCTTCATTTCCTCCCCCTCAAAGGCCACCATGCACATACAAAGTCATCTTTTGGTAACATCTTTTCTTTGAATAGTGTATGGATAGAGGTTAAGATTTAGGCATTGGTAACTGAAAACGTATTTCTTATAAAATATCACCTTAATATTATAATCCATGAAAATAACAATAGCAAGCCCTTATTATGGTCTAAACATACTTTTAAACATCCTGCTGGAAACCACATCATTTAATTTGTATAACAATTCTATGAAATTGTATTTTAAAAAATCCCATTTTTATACCCATTTTACAGATGAGAAAACTGAGGTAGAGATTACTGTTTAGCAAAGTGACACAGCTGGTGATGAATACAGTTGGAAATGGAACCTGAGCTAATAAGCTTTAGAATCCATGCCTTAACTGCTATGCCATGTAAAACTTGGTAAAAACAACAAAAAAACACAATATGTGAAATACAACATAACAAAATAACAGAATCTTAAAAATTCACTTATAATTTGGCCAGCCCAACATTCACCTATTACATTTCTTTCATGTGCATTTTCTATGTTTATGAATATACATTTTTTAATTAATTCTAACTGGAGTGCTCTACAATTTTCTATTCTATTTCAAAGGTCATTGAAAACGTCAATGTTACTTTGGGAGGCCAAGGCGGGCGGAACACAAGGTCAGGAGTTCGAGACCAGCCTGACCAACATAATGAAACCCTGTCTCTACTGAAAATACAAAAAAATTAGCCAGGCAGGGTGGCGGGCACCTGTAACCCCAGCTATTCAGGAGGCTGAGGCAGGAGAATGGCTTGAACCCAGGAGGTGGAGGTTGCCGTGAGACGAGATTGTGCCATTGTACCCCAGCTTGGGTGACAGAGTGAGACTCCATTAAAAAAAAAAAAAACAACAAAATAACAACAACAACAACAAAATACAAAAAAAGTCAATGTTGGGATCATTTACAAACTAATTATTTCAATATCTCAATAATATCACATTGAGTGGACATGACAATCATTTGGGATGATTCCAGCATTGCAAAAGTCATCTGTTTTTTTTTTTTTTTTTTTTTTTTTGCATGAAGATATTCTTTACTTTTTCAGAACATTACCTTGAGAAAGCATTCTAGAAAATGAGGTTGAAGTGGTTTAAAGATACAAACACATGTACGGCTCTTGATACACGTGCTGTTTATAAGATATTTTATTTGCCTGATACCTATTGTATGAAAATTGATGATAATCAGTAACTGTATAACTGTATCTTGTCTAATCATTCTGATAATATATTCTGTTATGCTAAGGCTCAGTCCCAGAAGCTGGGCCGGTTTATGAATTTTGCTAAAGGAAAATAATACAATTCAGGTGGTAACACAGGTAGTAAACATTTAGGAGTGAGTAAAATGTTAAGCACTGGGAGAAAAAGAGTGAATACTATTCCAAACTAAGAATTTTGTATCTCTCTTCTGATTTATCTCACTTTAGAAAAAATTGTAACCCGACCTATTAGTGGATTAGATACTGCCTGTGTTTTCAAGACAGCTAGATAAAAATTAAAGAACAATGCAATTTAACAACCAAAATATTTTCAACAACATAATTTTTCTAGGAATGATTAACATGACAACTAGCTGGGACGACTTTATGTGTTGCTAGAATTATTGCATATCACTCAGACAAAACATAATAGTCTGCATATGCATTATGCTAGAGCATAAATATGACAAAATGTGTGCCTTTCCAGAATGCTGAAGAAAGTTATTGGTCTTTCCATCATTTTTAATATTTAATGTTTAGTGATTCATACTGAATTTTTTATGAAATATTATTATATGTGTTAAAAATTAAGAGTGGTGCTGTTAGGAAACTTCATGAGGTATTTAACATATAAGCTAATATTTTCCATAAATATTTCCATGCATTCACTTTCACATCTTTACTTATCTCAAATGAAAGCCTATGGAAAAGACCTCATTTAGGCATTCTGAAAAAGATACTTACTGAGATAAAGAAAAACAATGACTAACAAATAGCAGTCATTTAATACCTTGAAACTAATGGTTTTACCATTAAAAGAAGCTACGAACCACATTGCATGAAAAGATGATCTTCATTAATGTAACAGCACCCTCTATGTTCAAGAGTCTGCAGTAGAGAGTAGAGTAATAATGTTTGAATAGTTAACAAAACCTGTTTTTTCCATATCAGTTTTTATACCTCAGGGTGAAATTTTCTTATTTATCATTCAATTTTATAGTCCACCTTCATAAAACCAAAAGAATATAATTAAGATTTTATAAGGAAAAAAATGAAATAGAATTTTAAATCCTACTGTCAATTTCTTTGGAGAAATGCCATTGACCAATCATGTTTGGATATTAAAAGCAGAAATAATTTTTTGAGCAGGAAAATAATACATTTTAATAGATATAATTAATGTTTAAAATCTTCTATGTAATAAAAAAGTATTAGGCTTTGACATAAACTACAGGCACCAATTATAGGTTTCATTCATAAGGCACCTCTTAACAAATTGTAAGGCAAGCCTGGCTGAATTATATAGAAACCTTTTACTAGAAAAATATTTTACTAGGAAGATTTTTATCATAGAAATAATACCAGAGGAACATATAAAAGTACCTTCCAGGTAAAAACAAAACAAAACAAAACAACAACAACAAAACCTTTATTCCCTCTCTACCCTTTAGTATCTATAATGTGTTCATAAATTTTCCAATGTAAAGCTTTGACTTATTTCACTAACTTTGCCCTTCATCTGTTAAAGGCAATATAAAAATTATAATAGTAAAGGCTAGGTTTTTTGAGGGCTTACTTAAATAGGAATAGTTCTAAATGCTTATTTGTTTTTATTAGGAACTTAAAATGCTTGTTCATTTAAGATACCTATCAGTTTATGTTAATTGTTTGCATACTGAGGCCATAAACATTTAAGGATACTGAAATATCTAACATAAAATGAAATGCAAAAAATGAATGATACTTGTTTGTTTGTTTGTTTGTTTGTTTATTGAGAGATAGGTTCTCTCTCTGTTGCCCAGGATGGAGTGCAGTGGCATGATCATTGTTCAATGCAGCCTTGAATTACTATGCTCAAGTGATCCTCCCACCTCAGCCTTCTGAGTAGCTGGGACTACAAGCAAGCACCACCATGCCCAGCTTTCATTATTATTATTATTATCATCATCATCATGTACATACACAGTGTCTTGCTATGTTGCCAAGTTGGTCAAGACTATTAAAAGACTATGACCATTTGAAGAAATAATTCTCCACATTGTTCTCTAAAACTGCCAAACTTATTCTACATGATTTATAATACAGTGTTACCAAATATTGAATGTATAATACTTGAGATGAAAAAATAGGCAAACTAAAACAAATAAATTTAACAGATGCAAAGCTAAACACGAATATGTCCAAGTTTATCCCTATGATTTCCATCAAATATATGAATAAGCTATCTTATGGCTAATAAGAAATTAACCATTGAGATGCTAAAAATTATCAGCAATGTAAGAGTAGAATCTGTCAGTTCCAAAATACAAACTCACAACCTTTCATATCTCCAATTATCATCTTTTTTGAAAAAATGAGGGGCCTTAAAGTAGAGGTTATAAATAGAGGACCTATGCTTTTATTTAAAGGGTGTGGTGAATGAATAAATTGCTTTTCAAATTATAAGTATATTCTACCCTTAATATTCAGAAAATTATTAAATTGTTGAAGACATTTACTTTTCTAAAACCAAAAATATAATTTTAAAAACATAAACTCTATAAAGTTATATAATTTTAAATACTAAGAAAAAAAGGAGTGAATTTATTTACTTTTTTATTTCAAGGGTATGGAAGAAAATTCAAACAACATATATTTGAACACTTTTGTTTAAGATACGGTGAGGGGAGCCAGTACTTACATATCAAGTATAGAGCAAATTTGTCTATATAAGAATTAGTTGCACAGTACAAAAGATAAATGCACAAATAGCTACTGCAGTGGTAGTACAGTCAATTTGGGCAAAGATCATGTAAATTTGTGAGGAGGTTAGTAGATATTTGTGGTAAAGGAGGAGTGACTAACAACTCATTACCATGTAATGTACTATTTAATTGAACATGACTGTATTCCTGTAATGATTAAAAGAAAACGTCCAAGAAGTCAAGGTATTCATTACCCAAATAATAATATTTATTCATGAATTTAAAATATTGGGAAAAGGGGCCTGAATTCATCAATTCAACACCCATTATTGAGTTAAACAGATATAGAACATTCTTAAAAATCAAGAATGCTTGGAATCAATGACTTCTCAAATGTTGTGATTTTAGAGTCAAGGTTAAATTAGTAGTCAAGGACTGAAAATACAGTGACAAGCATAGACAGTACCTGCCCTTCACCCTCTCCTTCCTTTACAAAAAGAAGTTGGATCTAAATGCCTCCTACCCCAATATATCCTCTTGTCTGTCACCAATGACATCCTTGTTGCTAGATCCTGAGTCCCTAGCTCAGACGATCATCTCTGTTTGCTTCCTACTCCAGTTCCTTCTATCTGGTCTTGCTTTGCTACAATTTATTATTTATGTTACACCAAAATGACCTTTCAAAACCATCAATCCAGATAATAAGCTCCATGAAGGAAAGGCCCCTGACAAAGAGAAATTCACTGCTGTCTGTAACTTCTAACCAATGCACCAGCACCTGGCACATAGTACACTAAGCAAGCCTTGAATGCATATATTTGAATGAGTGAATGAACAAATATAACACCTATTTATTGCATTCCCTTCAGTGGCAACACATAAATTTCAACTTTGTTAATGTGACCTAGGAGGCATTGCAAACACAAATCTCGTCTTTTTAAATCTCTCTGTCCATATCCTCCCTTACCACGACAATGTACTCTATTATCCAATAGCACTACACCTCTTTCAGTTCCTGCAATAAAATAAAACAAGACAAAACAGCAATATCAAAATAAAACTACAAGCTCTCCATTTTAGTTGCTTTATTTCAGTCTGGAATATTCCTATCTTTTTGCTGTCTTTCTTTCTTTAAGTGGCCCCTCATAAGACTACCACCTACTCATCTCTCATCTTACAATCTCAGCTCCCCATCAATATATCACCTTGAATCCTTCTCTCAAAGCTCCCAAAATATGAAAGACAAATTTCTCATATTTAATTTAGCCTAGAGCCTAATTCAGGTAACTCAGTGTACTCTGAATAAATGTATGTAGAAAGAAAAAAGAAAAGAAAAGGAAGAAAGGAAGGAAGGCTGGCAGGAAGGCAGGAAAAGAAATGTCAGTTAATTGATAATTAGTTAAAAGAAGGTTATTCATTAATTTTGTAAATCAAAGTTGCTTTTGCATATGTTTTGCAAAAGACTCTTGCTGTCATCATTGACATAAACCGGTTATTCTTAACAGATCCCAATATAAAATTTTTGTCTGGGGAAATAATAATCATATCTTGTTCATATTCAATAAAGCTCTGTTATGAACACTGTATAGATATTCAAATATGGATATTCATTTATATATTAATAATAATTATAGATGCATTTAATCAACAAAAGATTCACTGATTGACAGTGTGACGGAATGGGACAAGCATGGAACTTTAGATATGCAGCCACCTGTGCTGAAATCTTAGACTTACCAATTCAAGTTTTCTGACCTTGAGCTAGTTGCTGAATATCTCTGTGTCTCACTTTCCTCATGTAGAAAATAGAGATACAAGCACCTTGTAGGGTTTGGAAAGAATGTACAGTACAAGAAAGGTTGAAGGTGTTCAAAAGTGAGTATCATTTCAAAGTCCTTGTGTTGAAATCTGTATCATCAAATGTTTCTATTTTAGTAGAAAGAATATTACAAAATAAAAGAAATTACCACTTAAAAATATCATAATAGATATCTTTATATGCCTACTGTTTTCCTATTTAAGAAGATAATTAAGACTTGACCATGACTAATTACCTTAGAGATAGGTTTCCTGCCTCTATTGAAAATTAATTTGTGTCACATAAAGTACAAGAAAACATACATTACATTAGATATTTAGTGTCTGGTAATCAATTCATTAAAAAATGATTTAAACACTTGTAAGTATATCATTGATGCCTTTTCTAATTTTAAGAAAATTTTATCAGAAATTATTGAAAACTTTTAGCTTGATTCTTCAAAGTTTAAACCCTTCATCTTTTACCCAACAGAATTTACAGTTAAATATCTAGGGGTTGTATATAGGATTAAACAGTATCACACTCTTCATGGTGTTTAGCCAAGTAGATTAATTGGAATTATTTCTGAAATGCTTCTTAAATATCAAGTCCAGTTCTAGGAACTAAGGGCTTAATAGTAAACAAAATGGGAAAAATCCCTACCTACATAACATCTTAACACACTGCCAACTTATTACTTCAATTTCATAGGTCAGAAGTCAGACTGGTTTTGCCTGAGTCTCTGCTTAACTTCTCACAAGAATGAAACCAAGTTGCCAACAGGGCTAGGCTCTTAACTGGAGTCTCTGGAGAAAAATCTGCTTCCAAGGTCATTCCAGCAGTTGGAAGAATTCATTTCCTTGCAGTTGTAGAGTGAAGTCTTCATTTTCTGGTTGGATGTCAACCAAAGGTCACTCTCAGCTCTTTGTAGCTGTTACTTGTACATGACCCATTCTATTTTCAAAACCAGCAGTGACACATCCAATTCTTCTCATGCTTCAGGTATCTCTGACATTCTTTTCTGCTGTCAACCAGAGGAAATTATGTTTTTAAAAGGCTCATCTGATTGAGTCAGTCCCATCTAGATGGATAATCTCTGTTATCTGAAAGTCAACTGACTTGGGACTTTTATTACATTTGTAAAATCCCTTCACAGAAGTACCTAGGTTCATGTTTGGTTGGGTGTCCTGCAGACAGAAATCTTGGGAGCAGGCATCTTTAGAACCCTGCCTACCACAGAAGACACCAATACTTAAAGAAATAAATGAAATATATATTATGTCAGATGATAAGGGCTATACAAATAGAATACAAGAAATGCTTATGTGAAGATGACAGGCTAAAAGGAACATTGAGAATCCCCCTAGAATTTAAAGCAGAAGGTACTGGGATAAAGCTGAAAATGTCAAATGTGAAGAAAAAGGGAGGGATCTTGGCAGGAGTATCTAGTCTTTGGTCACTCCACTCTTAATTCCTATTAGTGGTTACTGGTAGAAAAGGTGGGAGGGGCATCTTACAAAAAATATAGACTAAGCTGTACCAATTTAAGAAAAATACAAATGGAAGCTGTACCTATCCATCCTCAGGTGCATTTTCTTCTCACCAGCCTGAATGTGTTTGTTATTATTCCAATGCATGCTCTTACTCTGAGCCTTGAAACAGAAACTATATTTTCAAAACTATATTAGGACTCACAAAACAAATAAATTGTACCAAAGCATGACACACAAGACAAACTACCTAAGCTCAAACCTGTTTAACGGGTTTATTCAGACCCTATGTTCTAAGCTAAAGCACAGATCAACTGATCTAACAGTAACTCCAAGACACATATATTTTAAAGATAAGACCACTGATCTTCCAGCAGCTTATTTTACAAAATCATATCAATCCCTATGAAGACCATCTGATGACTAATTCCAGTATCCAAAATGCTATAAATAACCTCCAGTATCCAAAATGCTATAAATGACCTTCCCTGATTCTCCATTTTGAGAATCTTCGTGGTTCCCCATCATTTGCATTTTCTTTTCCTGTAACAAGCTAATAAACCTAACAGCAGAGTGTCCCTAATGGTCTTAGTCTGTTAAAGCTTAACAAGCAGAATCCTCAATGAGATTTGTCAAGTTCCTTACTGATATCTACAGGGACCTCAATTCTGTAATAGTGTGTACAACTGAGACATGTGACATTGCCCCCTGCTGAAGGCCACCCTGCCCATGACTATGTAGTTAAGTTTTACACTGAATCTGAGCTCCAACTGTTTCACAGAGTCCTCAATATTAGGTTTACTTCTTTATCCTGAGAAAAGAATGTCCCAGACTTCTTGGTCACTTGGTCAAATTTGTACACAATTTCTTTGTGATGATTTTCCAAAGCATTCCTTTGCCATTAACCATCTTCTCTGCCAATTGATTGTCTGTAAGGCTCTATGTCTAAAAAGCTTCAGCAAATATGCTTGTGTAAACAGTCCGATAGTAAATGTTTTAAGCTCTGTGGACCAGACCATTTCTGTTGTAACTACTCAACTCTATTGTAGCAGTAAAACATCCATAAATATGTAAATGAATGAATAAATCTGTGTTGCAGTAAAACTTTATTTACACAAATAGGTCTTGGTCTGGATTTAGCCTCCATTACTGTAGTTTGCTGACACTTGGTTTATAAAATGAAGTTTAAAGGTGAGGCAGGAGAATAGGGTCTGGAGGCAGAGGGAACCTAAGGCCGATTCACATTGACTTCCTAGAACTGAGTTAAAAGGAAAACACCATGTCTCCACCCCCAAGTAACAAAATGATCAGCGGCTACTCTCTTTGCAATCCCCACCCCTTTTTCTTATTACAGATGAAAAATGAAAGTACCTCTGATTGGTCTCCTCTTGCAACTATTCAGATTGGTTGCAGACCAAGTTTTTATGTGTAACTTTGTATTAATAATTTCACTTCTGCCTCTCATTGGTCACATTCCACAACCAATCAGACTGGTTGCAGGCCATTGTTTCATTTATATAAGGTATAAACCAAGTAACCAATGGGAAACCTCTAGAGGGTATTTAAACCCCAGAAAATTCTGTAACTAGTGCTCTTGAGCCACTTGTCCCAGCCTGCTCCCACTCTGTGGAGTGTACTTTTGTTTAAAAAAAATTGTGCTTTTCCTCATTGCTTTGTGTGTTTTGTCCAATTCTTTGTCCAAAATGCCAAGAACCTGGTCACCCTCCACCGGTAACGAAGGGAAGAAGACAGATAAAAGGTAAGGTAAATTGGCCTCCAAGCTAAAACAGCACCTGACTGCTTCAAAATTTCATGTTCCACCATGTTCTTTGGACAAATTTTATGTCAGTTCACCTGTTCAAAACCTTCTAAGAATATTTCTTAGTATTGCCTTTGTGTTCCTCTGAAACATTTCATTTAATTCCATGTGCCAGAGCTAGAGGTTTCTTTTGGGCCACAAATTGGTAATTACTAGTCTATGGTCATGTTCTGGAGACACATGTTTTCATGAGTATAATCCTTACTGATATTCGCAGTTCTCATGGAGCCTTTTAAATCTGTGTTCCCTCCAGACTGAAAACGTGTTTCTTTCTTGCCTCATATTGCAATCTTAACTCATATGTAAATCTCTCTAACTGGTATAATTTCACCAAGGGCAATTTGGAATTGCAGTGACATTTAGAGGAACTTTTAATATGAATAAGGTTGTTCATTTGAGAGGCTTTGTAAAACAAGCATTTAATGACTCAGATTATAAGGTCTTGTACCATCTATTGAATCTTATATAGGTATTTGTATAAAGGTAAAATGAAAATTAAAAGAAATTTTTAAAAATGTTTAACTCCCAATGCTTTAAATATTTTGACCCTTCCAAGGAGCCCTTCCTCCCCACATACCAAGTAGCTCAAAAAAATGTTTTTTGTTTTAAAATTCAGTGAATTAATCTAAAGGCCTTGGCCTTGGTTAGCACTGAGAATTCTTGGTTGGCACTCAGAATTTTTAAATATAATTTTTAAAAGTCTTTTAAAATTTGATTCATATATATAGAGTTTTATAACTTTTATTTTTTTAAGTTCATTTAATATTTCTGAAGAATAGACAAGAAAGAAAGTTCTTTTTAAAAAATTAATGTGACTATACTGATTTTAAAACAACCTTGCCCATGCCTATGTCCTGAATGGTATTGCCTAGGTTTTCTGTAAGGCTCTATGTCTCGGGTTTTTATGGTTTTAGGTCTAACATTTAAGTCTTTAATCCATCTTGAATTAATTTTTGTATAAGGTGTAAGGAAGGGATCCAGTTTCAGCTTTCTACATATGGCTAGCCAGTTTTCCCAACACCATTTATTAAATAGGGAATCCTTCCCCCTATTTCTTGTTTTTCTCAGGTTTGTCAAAGATCAGATGGTTGTAGATATGCGGCATTATTTCTGAGGGCTCTATTCTGTTCCATTGATCTGTATCTCTGTTTTGGTACCAGTACCATGCTGTTTTGGTTACTGTAGCCTTGTAGTATAGTTTGAAGTCAGGTAGTGTGATGCCTCCAGCTTTGTTCTTTTGGCTTAGGATTGATTTGGTGATGCGGGCTCTTTTTTGGTTCCATATGAACTTTAAAGTAGTTTTTTCCAGTTCTGTGAAGAAAGTCATTGGTGGCTTGAGGGGGATGGCATTGAATCTATAAATTACCTTGGGCAGTATGGCCATTTTCACGATATTGATTCTTCTTACCCATGAGCATGGAATGTTCTTCCATTTCTTTGTATCCTCTTTTATTTCATTGAGCAGTGGTTTGTAGTTCTCCTTGAAGAGGTCCTTCACCTCCCTTGTAAGTTGGATTCCTACGTATTTTATTCTCTTTGAAGCAATTGTGAATGGGAGTTCACTCATGATTTGGCTGTTTGTCTGTTATTAGTGTATAAGAATGCTTGTTATTTTTGCACATTGATTTTGTATCCTTAAAACAACTATGTCTTCTTCTAATTTTATCACAGAGTAAACAAGATTCTACTTTCTATAAGGCTAGGGATTATTTTATCATGATTTGAACTCTAAATTTTCTATGTTAAACTCTAAATTATCTATGTTGATTGGGGTTCAGAAATTTGAATTTTAGTAAGCATGATACTGATCCAGACTATCCATATACTTGATTATACTTGGACAAACACTGGGCCCCTATTGTAAGATGCTCCTTATTTCACACACATACCAGTGATCTTATCCCTTTAGAAAGATCCCAGAATATGTAGTCTGTTTTTTTTCCCAAAATTTCTACATAGTGCCTTCAAGGATAGGCATATGTGGAAGACAGCAATTCATAGATTTCCAGAGAAATTAAACACATCAAGTTAAAAGGTATCACTAGAATCTTAGCAAATATTAATCAAGAAGACCAACATGATACACAAATTTTATAAACCAGTTACTTAACCACTTATGAAGTATTAGCATCATTACGTTGAACTTGGTCTATGACCATAAACTAAGTACTGAAGGAAATCACAAGGGGTTTTCAGGAATGGGGTGTGTGTTGCAGGGATAGGAGGGTAGAATTAATAGAAAAGGGACATAAACTAATTTTCACAGGTGATGGAAATGTAAATCAGAAGAGAGGTTTACTATACCATACACACATTTGTCTAAAATCATTTAACTTACACTTAAGATCTATACATTTCAACCTAAGTTTTACCTTATTAAAGCCAATCAATCAATAGACAAACACTGTGAAATAATGTTCTACTTTTTGCTCCTTCCTTACACCACCCTTCAACTCTGGTCAGGGTTCTTGGCGTTTTCTGTTTCTGTAACCACTGAAAAGAAGTCGTTAGGCATGTAGCAATTCTGGAAACTCTCTGTTTGTATCCACTCTACATGAACTTCTCCAAGTCACCACAGCACATCACTTAAATGTACAGGTTTCGAAAATGCTGTTAAAGCAACATTAATGTATCGAGAGGTTGAAACAGATTGTGTGCATTCTTTTGTCCAGCTTATATTTATTTAGACAATGTGTAAGAAGCAGGAAAATAAAGAATGGCTTTTTCACCACCAAGGGGCTCAGTTTAGCCAGTGAGAGTGATAGTTTGACAGTGGGCAAGAGCTTTTGTTGCCTCTGCTATTTTGAGATAGAGGGTAAATAATGCGCATACAACTTAGTTTCTCTCCAGAAATTACATTTCCTCAGTTATACTATAGAAACCAACCTGAGGAAGCTCAACAGAGGAAAACCAACAAGGCGCTGTAAAGTGTGACTTGGCTCATAGAAAGAAAATGTACGTAATATAAATAAAAATATAAATTTGTTATTGAAATTTATCTAATGTAATGGTTTAAAGGTCAATTTTTTATTCTAACCTTTGACTTTTATACATCTTCACCTTGCCACATGTTAAATGTAGAATAAGAACTTAGTATGTATTATTCATTTGACGCCATATTAAATGGAAGATAATTTTAAAAACCAAATAATAAAAATTACTGAACTGATTAAGAACTTTAATCCAACAAACTCAAAAAATTAATATTTTAAAATAATTTTTGTTTAATTACTATCAGAAGAAAACATTTTCATTTACAATGTCTAAACTACAACAAAATAGAGGAGGTGACAACATATGGAAAAAAGCATTTAACTCTATTAACTCTATTCAAGTTCCCCTCTTTGTAAGCACTGCTGACTACCTAAGTCTAGTGACTTCATAAATAATGGCAATCAATAGCAATGTCCTTTGAAAGTAAGAGAATGCTGATTTATTAATGTTTTATTTATTCTTAATGAATGAAAATATATATTCATGAAGTATAATTTATGTGTACAAATAAAAATAAAGAGTAAGTATGACCAGAATCCAGACATACAAATGAACAAGCATGCCATATCAGAATTTTTTAAGTTTAGTTTGTGAATGAAATAACCTTATAAATTGATTATTACAGACCAAGAGAAAGAGCTTGAAATGCAGCTTGAAAATGTGAGCATAAAATTTCAACATGTTTCTTACAAATGTTATATATAACAAGACATTTCAAACGATGAGCAAACATGATATCCACTACAGAGAGAAACACACCAAAAGATGATGAATGAAAAGAAGCATGAATAAAAAAGTAAATAACTCTGTTATAAAAAAAAACTGCTGACAGAGAAACTATAAAGATAGATTGGTTAGTGACAAGAACCTTACAAACATTAAATTTGAGATAACAATTTTGCTAATATAGAATATAAATGTTATAAAATGGAGTAGTAATAGACATAAGAAAAAAGGAAAAGGAAAAATAATATATAAGAAACACCTCCACTACATGCATTACATTCACACCCACGCACACACACACACACATACAAACACACAAATCAAGAAAGGGCTGTTAAAGAATGATCATTAAGTCTGGGCGCAGTGGCTCATGCTTGTAATCCCAGCACTTTGGGAGGCTGAGGCAGTCGGATCACCTGAGGTCGGGAGTTCGAGACCAGCCTGGCCAACATGGTGAAACCCAGTCTCTACTAAAAATATAAAAATTAGCTGGGCATGGTGGCATGCACCTGTAATCCCAGCTACTCAGGAGGCTGAGACAGGAGAATCGCTTGAACCTGGGAGGCAGAGGTTGCAGTGAACCAAGATTGCACCACTGCATTCCAGCTTGGGGACAGAGCAAAACTTCATCTAAAAAAAAAAAAAAAAAAAAAGAATGAGCATTAACAGGAATATCCTCTCTATGATTTACAAGGACTTATAATGATACTTTATTTAATTACCTACTTGTGTCCTTCAATGTGGTTTCAGTATTTCAGATAAATATTACTGATTTTTAAGAAAAGAAAGTTTAATAGAAACAAAGGTATTAAACATTTTTAACAAATGGATTAATTTGATTAATAATGCATATAACTTTTTAACATTTGAGAGATAGAAGAAATATTGCCTTATATCTTTCTGTAGAAATATTTGGCATCCAGGAAATAAGTGCTTCTTTTTAACATGATTCAAGAGAAACCATGGTAGATGATGGGAAAATATGCCAAATAGAAAGTGAATTTGAGAAACAAATTATTATGGTAGAAAGAACCTCAGCCTAGAATTCAGAAGACTGGGAATCCCAGCTCTGCAATGTACTTACTGAGGCACCCCGGTTTAATTGCTACCCTTCTCTAAACTTCTATTCTTGTCTCTTTAAAAAGATGACTAATACTAAAGACATAAAGTAGTGTTAACAATTTTAAAAGGCAATGTTTATATTTCCTTATTTCCTAGTCCTCTGATTTTGAAATACAAATTTATCTCTCTTGAATTTACAGCTCTCACTGAATAGCATCTATTCTATTCACTTATTAACAATGGACATTTCACATATTAGAAATTAGTACTGGTACTCTAAAATTTGGAGCAGTTGGTTGCAATACATTGTTCAAGATAATGAGGAGAGTGACTTTCATAATCAAATTTCCAGGTTATAGTAGTACTCATCTTAATATGCAATGATGCAATTTCTATGAAATAGGAAATATTGAGGTTTAGTCAAAGATAGGAAGATATAAAAGGATTAGGGCAGTGGTGTACTGGTAAATATTTAGTAGCTGGCTCTATAGTAAAATCTTGGATTTATAGCCTTTGTCAATCTGTATAATCTAACTACTTCCATCATACCCCATTCAAAGGTACCAATGTGACGTGACCTTGGAAACAGATGTGCAGCAGTATACCATTTACAGTATTTCCAGAATATAGGTACAAGAGATAAAAATGACCTTAAGAACATAGATAATAGTAAAATGTGGCAAAATAATTAGGAAATTATGATGTTTATATTTTCATTACCAGTTATTTTAACATCACTTATTTAATTGAAAGTTCATGTAATTTATTTTCTAATAACATCTATTTCACAACCAACTCATACAATTTTTTAAAAATTATGATTGGCTCTTGCTAGTCAGTATGAACTTGTTCCAGCATACCCTGAGTAAGGCAGAAAGTAATAGGAAGAGGGTACCATGATAGCCTAACCAGCTACAATGATGCTACAGTTTATTCACCAATTCTAGTGGTCACCTGGGCCACAGGTGAATGAATATTAGCATGAAACTAGGAGATGGTAACTCACAACTATTCAAGGATGCAGAGGTGTGGCCAAGTCTGGAAGAGATGTTATAATCCACAAAAAGCAAGAGAGAAGCAGACAGAGGAAGTCTGGCTTCTTCTCAGACTTCAATTGTGTCAGGCAGGTTTGGAAATACTAACCTCAGCATGTAAGGCTTTTTCATATCTAGAAAATATTTCTGGTTAATCCCTTCCATTTCTCAATGTCTTTTAAGTAATACATTTTGAGTTATTGTAATTTTTAGCAAAAACTTCAAAAGACAGAATCTGAACAAATGTCACCATTTCAGTTTTGGTTTTTATTTTGAAAATACTTCCCTGAAAAAAGCGAAACTCTAAAAAATTACTCTTCTTTAAAAATTTTCTTATATATCAGTAAAAAAAGCTGTGGCAACCAAAAAACATGCTGTTGGAAGTAATAAACAAATTCAGCAAAGTAGCAGGACACAAAGTCAACACAAAAAATGTTAGTTGTATTTCTATACATTAACAATAAAAATATGAAAAGAAAATTAAGAAAATGATTTTGTTTATTACAGCATTAAAAAGAATACAACACTTGGTAATTAACCAAGGAGGTGAAGAACTTGGACAATAAAATCTGCAAAATATTTCTGAAAGAAATTTAAAAAATGAAAATATATAAATTAAAAGACATAACATCATCATGGATTGGAAGATTTATTATTGTTAAGATGTTAAGACTGCCCAAAGTTATCTACAGATGTAAGGCAATCTCTATCAAAATCTCAATGATGTTTTATTGTAGAATTGGAAAAACTCACCCATTCATATGGAATCTCTGGGGATCCCAAATAGATAACAAAATCCTGAAAAAGAATAACAAAATTAGGGACACACACTTCTTGATTTTAAATATACTACAAAGCTACAGTAACCTAACAGCATTGTACTGGCATAAAGACAAACATACAGGCTAATAGAACAGAATAGAAAGTTCATAAATATTTTCATATGTGGCCAAATATATTTTTTCTCAGAAGAAATAACAGCTAAAAACTTTTTAAATTTAGCAAAACAAAAAAGAACCAAAATAAAAACATGAACTAACAATTCATGAAGAAAAGTGAACTTAAAATAGGATAAATCCAAAGAAATTTATGGCAAGATTTCTAATTATACTTCTGAAAATTAATAACAAAAAAATCCTTACAGTCAGACAAAAACAACTCATCATGTACAGAATATCACCAATTTGAATGAAAGCAGAATTCTCCTGAAATCATGAAGGCCAGAAGGAAGTGGTACAATATATTTTTAAATAAGTTTTTGTTTTAGGTAAGTTTTAAATTAATAGAAAAATTAAGAGAATAGTATACAGAGTTCCCATATATTTCATACCCTATTTCCTCTACTGTTAACATCTTACATTAGTATAGTACATTTATCAGAATTAATGAACCAATATTAATGTTAGGGTCACCCCAACCAGACTGTTTCCCCCTCCCTTCCCATAGGTCTTACAATGCAGTCCTTTGTGACCTCCGCACAGCTCCCCCAGGGCTAAAGACAAACCCCACTTCACTGACCCCTCCAGTAACTGTTTGTCCAGGCAGTTACAGGATGCAGTTAACATGTCCGTTCACCTCGCATAACAAAGCTAACAAAAAACATCTCCAAGATGCGGTCAAGACATCTGTACCCCCGACTTAGCTCCCCTACCCTGACTCAGCCCTCCTGCACACCCAACTCAGCTTCCCCACCCTGACCTCATTCCTTGCCCTATAAAGCCCTGCAGTAGTCTGTAAGCGGGGCTGCCTCCTCTGCGTTTGTCAGGAGGTAGCCTGACGGGACTGACAATAAATCAGCTTGCCTGAACTTGGGTCTACTGGCCTCATTCCTTTCTTGGCTGTCCTTCCAATTATCCCTTACAATTAATACATTATTATTAACTGAAGTTATTTATTCAGATTCCCTGAGTTTAACCCCACGTATTATATCAGTTCTAGGATTCTATCCAGGACATCACATTATATATAGTTATCATGTTGCTTTTGGCTTCTCTTAGCTGAGACAATTTCTCAAAGTTTCCTTGATTTTGATGACCTTAATAGTTTTAAGAATACTTGTCATGTATTATATAAGATGTTCCCATATTGCAATTTGCCTGATATTTTTATCATAATTAGTTGTGTGTTATGAGTTTGGGTAGAAAGACCACAGAGGTAAAGTACTTTTTAAATCACGTCATATCAAGGGTACATGTCATAAACATGACTTATTACTATTAAAGTTGAACTTGATCACCTGGCTCAGACAATCTTTGTCCAGTTTCTCCAGTATAAAGTTACACTCCCTCCATTTCCATAATGCATTTCTTGGCAAGAAATCTCTGCATGTCACCCGTAATTAAGAAGTGGGAATTTTTTCTCCTCCTCCCTGAGGTTGACATACAAAAATTATTTGGAATTCTCTGTACCAGATATTTTTCTATTTCCCCATTTATTTATTCATTCAGCTATTTACATCAGTATAAATATAAATATACTGATGTCAATATGTACTTGTGCTTATTTTATATTTTGAGTTATTATTTGATAAGATTTTACTCATGGTGGTACTCAAACAGTTCCAGCTTTGGCCATCAAAAGCTCAGAATTTCTTACAGAAGGCTGCTGTGTTCCTTTTACATACCACAATCAATGTGTTTGTGTTTTTGTGTGTGCATGTGTAGGTATTTTTTTTTACTTTCTAGCATTTTAAGATGCTTTAAGTTTATATTGTATACTTCCTGCCCCATTGCTAGAATCAGCCAGTTCTTAAAGGCTCGTAGTTTCCTTTAACTGGGGAATGGTATTAGAGACCAATAGCTGGGTGCGAATGTGCTTACTACTACTATGATGTCACTGCTTTTAGACCTCTTAACTGACAGAGCAAGGAAATATATGTGTTTATACAAAACTATGTTTATATACATATTTATAAATATTTCTATATGTAACCATCAGTAGCTATATTATGCTAAACATGAGCTCACACTATGTCTCTAGCTCTATCCACTACTATGCAGATCAGTCTAGCCTCCTCCACCTGCTTATGTATAACCACTTATTTTAACAAGAGCAGTGTAGATCCCTCCATGCAAAATCCATTTACTTAACTATTCACATATGTAGCAGTACAAGTGTTGTTAACTCAAAATGCCACAAGAAGCATCTTTGTTAACTGACTACAATTCATAAATACTTTTGGTTTTACTCTTATAGATGCCACTCATTTCCAAGGTTACTTAGGCCAGCAACTTGCCAGATACCTCCTTCAATGAAGTTCTTTCACATATTTGTAATACAATGAGATTATTGTGTCACAGTTTTATTCCATTCTGAGG
Organism: Homo sapiens; assembly: GCF_000001405.40. NCBI lineage: Eukaryota > Metazoa > Chordata > Mammalia > Primates > Hominidae > Homo > Homo sapiens. Next base: position 60,090,345 of record NC_000012.12, on the reverse strand, counting down.
TCTCTTGACCTCCTAAATGATGTTATTTAAATGTATACACTGAATCCAAAGCAAACAGGAGAGATAAAAATAAGTACACAAGAAGAATGTAAAGGCTCTGGTACCTAAAGCTACAGCAAACATCCACTGTCCAGTTATTAGCCAGATTAACAAAAAAAGTCATGTTAAAATCCTATTTACCTTAGTTTCTATTCCTTAATCCAAAGGCATGATGAAAAGCAAAAAAAAAAAAAAAAAAAAAAAAAAAATCTAAATAGACAAACAAGCATCAGAACCAGATTCATATATGATGCAGATGGTGAGATTATCAGATAGGAATTTAAAATAACTAGGATTGATATGCTAAATGCTCTAACAGAAAAAGTAGAACAATATTCAAAAACAGATCAGTAACAGAAATGAAAATTCTAAGAAAAAAATTTAAGGAAAATTCTAGAAATCAAAACACATAAAGAGAAAGGAAGAATTCCTTTTGTGGTCACATCAGTAGACTGGACAAGCATAAAAACACGTGAGCATATTCCATAGAAATGTCACAAATTGAAATGCAAAAAGAAAATAATAATAACAGTAATAATAAACAGAACAAAGCATCCCATAATTGTGGGACAGTTACATAAATTGTAGCATATGTATAATTGGAATATAAGATGGAGAAGAGTGATAGACCAGACCAGAAAAAATACCTGAAGTAAAAATAACAGAATTTTCCAAAATTAGTAACAGACTCCAAACTGTAGATTCAGGGAATTCAAAGAATATCAAGCAGGACAGATATCCTGAAAGCTACACCTAATCATATTATATTCAACTGCAGAAAATCAAAGGCAAGGAAAAAATCTTGAAAAGATTCAGAAGCAAGCAAATAAACAGTATACCTGCAGAGGAAAAGGAACGATAATTACAGTAGACTTCTAAGCAGAAATTCCAAGTAGGAAGAGAATGCAACAAAATATTTAGAGTTTTGAATTTAAAAAAAATAAAATATCAACCTAAATTTATATATTCAGCAAAATTATTCTTCCACAATAAAGGTTAAATAAAGACTTAAGCAAGCAAAAATGGAATTCATTGCCAGAACACATGTTCTGTGAAAAGAGAAGATTTTCAGAGAGGAGGTAAATGATATGTCAGAAACTTGAATCTATTTAAAGAAAGGATGTCAGAGAGTAAAAATAAAGGTAAAATAAAATATGTTATTCACTTATTGTTAGTCTAAAAGAAAACTGTATCAAGTAATAATCACAACGATGTATTTGATGATTATAGTGTATGGATATGTGAAGTGAATGACAGCAATAACGTGGTATGAAAGGGAAGAATTTGGAATACATTGTTATAAGATAATTACACTACATGTAAAGTGATATAGATTTATTTGAGAGTGAACCAAGATTAATTATAATGTAGAATGAAAAATCTATGGAAACATACAAAATAAGAAGCAAAACTCATATGCTGAGAGGAGAGAAAGTGGAATCATATAAAATGCTCAATTAAAATTAGAGAAGGCAGGTAAAGAGGAGGATAAAAGGAACAAAAACAAGTTCACTGAAGAGCAAACATATGCAGCCATAATAGATATAAACCCACCTATGTCAATAGTCATTTTAAATGTAAATGGTATAAATGCACAAATTGAAAGCAATATTATCAGAATGGATTAAAAATGAAGCAATTCTATGTTTTCTGCAAAGTCACTATAAAAACAAAGTCTCAGGCATGTTAAAAGTATAAGAATACAGAGAGATATAACATGTTAACACTAATCAAAAGAAAGCTGAAAATCTGTGATAAGGTTCAGGAGAAGGATAATTATTCAAGGTCCATATGTAATGAGAATGGAGTCAGTCTCTTACAAGACATTACAACCCTAAATAAGTATGCACCTAACAACAAAGAGTAAAAATAGGAGAGGCAAACTCTAATAGAACGGGAGTGAAAAAATAGGTACATCTATTATAGTTGGAGACTTCAATATTTCTTTATTAATATCCTATGATAAAATCCTCACATGAACTTCTTATTCAAGCATCACTAAAACCTTATTTTTCCCCATTTTACAAAGAAAAAAAATTGATTTTAATTTGTCCAAGGTAACAAACATCTGGGATTCTAATTCATATAAAAGTTTTACATGATGCCATTTTCTTTTATCCCATATTTGGGTTGAAGCATCCCACAAGTGCTCAGTACAAATTGATTGAGAATAATCAGTACTATTATTTTAAATGTTCATGTCTTTACTTATGCATCCCATTATAATGATATCAGTTAGCCTTTCCTGAGTATTTGATATGTATTCAGATATTATTTTAAGCTTTTGACATGGACTCTGTCATTCAGGCAACAGCAAATATATGAGGAAAATAGTTCAAAATCCTCATTGTACAAATGTTGAAACTGAAGCATTAAATTATTAAATTAGAAATATATAGGATTAGATTTTAAAAACACAATCCTACTCCAGAACACGTTGCTACAGTGCTATATTCTTGGTAGGCATTTCAAAAAATTCTTGCTCAGATCCCCTTTGAAGAGTCAGTATTACTTCGTTCTCATGCTGCTATGAAGAAATACCTGAGACTGGGTAATTCATGAAGAAAACAGGTTTAATTGACTCACAGTTCCACAGGGCTGGGAAGGCCTCAGGAAACTTACAATCATGGCAGAAGACACAGGGGAAGAAACGTACCTTTTTCACAGGGCGTCAGGAAGGAGAAGTGCTGAGCAAAGGGGGCAAAGCCCCTTATAAAACCATCAGGTCTCATGAGAACTCACTCACTATCATGATAACAGTATGGGTGTAACCACTCCCATGACTCAATTACCTCCCACCTGGGCCTTCCCACAACACCTGGGGATTATGGGAACTAAAATTCAAGATGAAATTTGGGTGAGGACACAGCCAAACCATATCAGGGTCATACAAACAAGTTTTTCATTGGTCTGTGTATCTCTGTATGTGGCAACAATATAGTTCACTCTTCTTTCTTGTTTCATCTTTCTGACTTAAACTCTCAAGTGCAGGTTGAATGTGCTTGAATCTCTGTACAATAAACATAAGGAATATAAATCTCTGATGAAGTAACCAAAGGAAATGTCTTGTCACTCAAAAATGAAAGGGCAACGTAAAGGTCATGATATTTTATTTCCTTGCTTGAAATCAAGAAATTAAATTTCTGATATATCCTCATAGCATAGATTTTAATAAATAGAAAAAATAATACAATGCATATCCCTTTTATTTCTGACATTTATTAATCAGTCAGAAATGACAGTTAAGTCAACCCTTAGCATTCTCAATTTAGTCTCTTTCCTTAGTATGTTTTGCTTGGAAACAATTGCTAGATAAAAATTTGTTCCCTGCTATCATTTCATATGTCAGTAAAAAGGGAAGTATAAATAAATACACACACACACGCACACACACATGTATACACACACACATATATACACACACATATATATTACTTGGAACTTTTGTTTTTATCTTCCTATTTACATGTTTACTTGAACTATGTGTGAATTGGTATTAATTTTTCAGTTGATGTTTTTCAGGTACTCCTGTGAGATTTTCTGTTCTTCCTCATGCATTTAATTCCTTAGATCAGGGCATTTTTTTTCCTCCCTCTCCTCCTTACTTTCCTTCTTCTCTCCTTTCTCTTTCTCCTCTTTATCCCTTTTCTTCTTCCCTTCTCTTACTTCCTCCTCTTCCTCTTTTTCTCTTTCTCTGTTTTTCTCCTACCCTGTCCCTCCTACCCTTCCTCTGTTTTCAAGTACATACTTTTTCAAGCACTCCAATATAATTAATAAATAAACTAAAATTTCTATTAATTAGTGTGTGGTCCTGAACCCTTCTCCTGTAGTTCCTCTCTACTCCTTGTGCTTTGCACAAAGTTTTGGACTCCACAGTAATAATTTGGAAACCACTACTCTGGTTGATTGACAAAAGCCATCAGTGGACAATCTACATAAATATTATAATCAGAAATGTAAGCATTTCTGAGACACTCATATTTTGGTATCTAGGGTTTTTATAATCTAGTAGAAAAATATGTTTTTCAAAATACTTCTTCTACCTGAAATTGTTATTAGGATCAAGCTCTAGACTATCAGGGGAGATGCCCTGGAAATAAGTCAGTCTACTTCCCCACCTGATGAATGGATTTTATATGCAAGCCGCTTTAGACTCAGGTCATTTCAGCTTAAAAAGCTAAAATTTTGAAAAAATATATATTCTTTATATCATCAGGAATTTAAAAAATATTTTATAAACTGAATAGGGCTCTACAAATACAAGACATTACTATTCTACTCCTGATTTTTGCATTGGCAAAAAATGTACCACTACTTTTTTCCTCTAAAAATCAGGAGTAGATTAATCTACTGGGAAATGGAAATAAGTGTGAGCAAAGTTAGTGTTAGTTATTACCATAAACTTTATTATTATAATAACATGAATTATTAATGACAATCTGTCCTTTGGTAGAAGAAAACTTAGTGAAGTAGTAACAGTTTTTTTCTTCTGTTTTTTGTCTACATAACTGATGTTTATTTTACTTATAAAGGTTCATGAAGCACCAGCAGCAAATTTCTCTTTGAATGTGTCTGAGAAACATTTATTAGAATAAAGATGAGAATTTTAACTCAACAGCTGTCAGACCAAATCATTACATATTAGCCTTGCAAACTCTTATAACTAAACTTTTATTTATACTTTTAATCATGTCTTCAAAAGTTAAAATTAAGCTGATAGAGACAATACTATATTTTGCTTAAAATACATTTACAGATTTTTAAAGCCATATGTAATGACAAAATTTATTAAGAAATAGAAAGTGTTCTATAGTTCCAGGCGGCAGACTTAAAATCCAAAGGAGACAATGTATTCATTCTACAAATATGTTTGAGTATGCAGAATGCAGTATGAATTGTATTATCTCCCAGTATTAAAAGCTAGGAGATAAAGAAGGCAGTCTTTATATCAAGTAGCTCAGAGGAAATAAACTGAAGGTTATGATAAGGGCTTTATAGTAGTATTAACAGTGTGATATATAAGGGCATAAACAGCCATAATTAGCTTTCCCAGGCCTAATAACACCTAATATTTATTGGCATCATGTAAAGACACAGTGCTTTTCAGATGAGCAACAATTGTATTGGGCCTTTTTTTTTTTTTTTTTTTTTTTTTTTTGAGACAGAGTCTCGCTCTGTTGCCCAGGCTGGAGTGCAGTGGCGCGATCTCGGCTCACTGCAAGCTCCACCTCCCGGGTTCACACCATTCTCCTGCCTCAGCCTCCCGAGTAGCTGGGACTACAGGCTCCTGCCACCATGCCTGGCTAATTTTTTTTTTTTTTTTTTTTTTTTGTATTTTTTAGTCGAGACGGGGTTTCACCATGTTAGCCAGGATGGTCTCGATCTCCTGACCTGGTGATCCACCCGCCTCAGCCTCCCAAAGTGCTGGGATTACAGGTGTGAGCCACCATGCCCAGCCGGGTGTATTGGGCCTTATAATAACTTTACTTCAAATGACAATAAGAAGTGAGAATATATGCAGATTATATTGGTAACTACCCTCACCTACAATTATCTACCATATTTTCTCCTATTCTACAAAGATAGACCAATGAGAGAAAATACATTCATATATTTATAAGAAAGTCCACCTAACTGCAATGACCTCTTTCACAGAAATGCTGGTTATCTTTATTTAAGCCTATGACAACCTTAAAACATTTGTATAATTGGCTCCGATTTCAACACAACTATTAGGAAATATTTACTGCGCACAATGAACTAGTATATTTATGGATGTAGAGATGTTGAATAAACCATAGTCCGTGGCTCACACTACAATTTACAGGCATGCTCACAACAAGAAAACAAGTGAGAATACAATATTCTACAACAAAGATATAAATATTCTATGATATGTTCTAAGATAAAAGATAACTTATTCCAATGAGGATTTAGGAAAATATTCATGGAGAAGCAGGCCATTAAAGAAAATTTCCACAGGACGAGATAGGCTATGCACACATCATGAATGAAGACACAGATACTGAGATCTTATTAACAGAAATCCATCAGTGATGTCAGCAAGATGTCAGAGTAAGACACCAGTCTTAATGCCTTCACAAAAAACAGCAATTAGACAGCTGGTCAGGAACAAAAATAGCCTTGAGAGGATTCAAGGCTCCAATGAAGAAACTGCAGCAATTTAATTGAGCAAAATATGGAGAATAATGACGAAGAAATGGTCACTGAGGACACTGACTTACCTGAGAGGTCTGGAGGTGGCTAGGGACAAAGAACAAAGGAAGAGACTATCAATGTAAGCCACACAGTGGGTATCACTGAGATCCTCAGTGCCTGCTCTGCAGAGGACAGACATCACTAGCACTGACCTTCCCCTCAGAGAGGGAGAAGCTGATGATGATCCCATCGAGAAAGAGCCACTGTTGTGCTAGCCCAGGACCACGGCCACCCCCTCAACCCTGTGTGTGCCCAGAGCTTTGGAACTCTGGCCACTCTATAAATGCCTGTGCTCTACGTGTTGGCTCCATAGCTGCAGAGCACACATCAATGCCTCATGCGTAGGAGACACTACCACTGCAGGGTAGCCTCGGCCTATACCCTGAAGCTATGGTCACTCTGCATGCCCATGCTGTTGATCCCAAGTCCCACCATCACTCCATGAGCACCTGTGCCTCAAACATCAGAGCCATAAACACAGTGAAATAGCCCATGCTCCAGACACCAGAACCACTGTCACTCCACAAATGTCTGCCCTCTGGACCCTAATTCTGCAGCCACATCACACAAACTTGAACATCAAATGCTGGAGCCACCATCCCAGCAGACAGGTTTGTGCTTTGCATCTGAGAGCTACTGTTGCTCTGCACATGTTCGCACTCTAGAAAGACCCCAGCTCCATGGCCACTACAATAGCACCAACACTGTAAACACAAAAGCTAAGGCCACAACTTCCCTCATGGAATAGAAAGATTAGGAGGAGTACCCCAGCAGTATTTGCCACTGAGACGGCAGCAGCCCTTGCCACCACTGTGGACACCCACATCCTTGGCCACTGAAAATCCCTGCAATCTTTACCAATCAGCTGGCAGAGGTACATGGGACTGCTACTACACTCTCATTGGAGCTGAAATTGCTGCACCCCATCAAACTAGCACCCTCACATCCATTCACAGGTAAAATTCTTTTCTCACTAAAACTAGATCACAAAGTCTGAAAGAGGTGATGCACCATCAAATGTTCACACATCAACATAAGCAATAAGAAACATGAAGAAAAAGAAAGAAAATACAACATCACTGAAAGAACACACTAAGTTTCTGGTAACCACCACAAAGAAATGAAGATCTACAAATTGGCTAACCAAAAATGTAAAATAATTATTTTAAGGAAACTAACAGCTGCAAGAGAGCACAGAGAGGTAAAAAGAAGGTCAGAAAAACAGTACATAAGCAAAACAAGAAGTTAAACAACAAAGACATATAAATTATTTTAAAAAGAGCCAAGCAGAAATACTGAAGCTGAAGAGTACAATAAGTTAGATGAAAAAATGCAAAAGAGACCATCAACAGTGAACTGGATGCAACAGAAGAAAGAATCTGTAAACTCAAAGACGGTTCATTTGAAAGTATTCTACCAGTGGAGAAAAAAAAGAAGAATGAAAAGAAGGGAAGAATGCCTATGGAGTTAATAGAAAACCATAAAGAGAGCTAATTTTCACATGCTCAATGTTTCAGGAGAACAGAGGGAGAAAGGGACAGAAAGCTTATTTTAAAAGGCTATGTATGATAATGAGTCTGCTAATTTTCATGACTATAGTAACCATTTCACTATTTACATTGTTGTATACCTTAGATATACACAATTTAAAATAAAACAAAGTCCTTCATTAGTCTCATAATAAATGTAATAAAGGGGGGAGGCAACAAGAATAAATGGCTGAAACTTCCCAAATCTGGGGAAAATATTAATGTCCAAGTACAAGAAGCTCAAAGGTTTCTAATTAGATTCAATCCGAAATACTTTACCAAGTTATATTTAATCAAACAGACAAATGTCAAAGACAAATAATTTTTAAAGCAACAACAACAAAAAAAGAAGTTCCTCTGCTAGGGAACCTTTGTAAGGCTATCAGCTGATTTCCTAGCAATAAATTTCCATGGTCAGAAAGGACTGGGAAATAATGTACACAGTATTGAAAGAATGGAGAAAAAAAACCTACCAAACAAAATAACTTATTTTCAGAAAGCCATCCTTCAGAAATGGAGGAGAGAAATAGATTTTCTTAGAAAAATAAAAGCTGAGGAAATGAATCACCACTAGACCTGCCTTACAAGAAATGCCAAAGGGTGTTCTTCAAGCTCACACAAAAGATTAGTAATTAGTAACATAAAAATATATGAAAGTGTAAAACTTACTGGAAGCAGTAAGTATATAGGCAAATTTGGAATATTCTAATACAGTGATGGTGATAAATCAGTCATATGTCCAGTATAAAGGTTAATAAAATAATAGCTACCATAATTTTTAATCAGTATACAATATAAAAATACATAAAGAATGATATCAAAAACATAATTTTTTTTCAGGGGTAGTAAAAGGGTAGAGTTTCTATATGAAATCAAAGTTAAGTTGTTATCACCTTAAAGCAGATTGTTATAAATATAAAATGTTATATGTAAGCATCACGGTAACCATAAAGCACAAACCTATAGTAGATATACAAAAGATGAAGAGAAAGGAACCAAAGCATATGATTACATAAAATCCTCAAACCACACACACACACACACACACACACACACACACACACACACAAAACCAGCAAGAGGGGAAGAAAGGAACAAAGGATATAAAAATCATCCAGAAAACAATTAACAAATTGAAAATGGTGAAACCTTACCTATCAATAAATACTCTGTATAAAAATGAAGTAAATTCAATCAAAAGGTGTAGAGTGATTGATTGTGTCTAAAAACAAAAACAAAAATTAACAAGGCCTCACCATGTGCTGTCTACTGAGACTCACTTCCACTTTAAAGACACACATAGAATGAACATGAAGGGATTGCAAAAGTATTTCATGAGAGTGAAAGCCAAAAAAGAGTAGTGGTCACTACATTTCTTTCTTTTTTTTTTTTTTTTTTTTTTTTTGAGACGGAGTCTTGCTCTGTCACCCAGGCTGGAGTGCAGTGGTGTGATTTCGGCTCACTGCAAGCTCCGCCTCCTGGGTTCAGGCCTTTCTCCTGCCTCAGCCTCCTGAGTAGCTGGGACTACAGGCACCTGCCACCACGCCCGGCTAATTTTTTGTATTTTTAGTAGAGACGGGGTTTCACTGGGTTAGCCAGGATGGTCTCAATCTCCTGACCTCGTGATCCGCCCCCCTTAGCCTCCCAAAGTTCTGGGATTACAGGGGTGAGCCACTGCGCCTTGCCCGCTATATTTATTTCAAACAAAATAAACTTTAAGCCAAAAACTGTAAAAAGAGACAAAGAATGTCATTAAATAATAGTAAAAGGGTCAATTAATCAAGAAGAAATAACAATTATAAATCTACATGCATCTAATATCAGAGCACCTAAAGATATAAAGCAAATATAAATAGATATGGAAGTTTGGGACAGTAATACAATTATAGTAAAAAAAGTCAATACCAGACTGAACAGTAGTTAGATCACTTACAGAGAAAACCAACAAAATAAAATACAATTGGACACTTTGGACCGAATGGATCTAACACACAAATATTTTTAAATATTTGGTAGAATTCAGCAGTGAAGCTATCAGATATTGGGCTATTATTTGTTGGGAGACTTTTTATTACTGCTTCCATCCTGTTACTTATTACTGGTCTGTTCAGGTTTTCTATTTCTTCGTGGCTTGATTTTAGTAGGTTATATGTGTCTAGGGGTTTATCAATTTCTTTCAGGTTTTCTAATTTATTGGCATATATTTGTTCATAATAGTCTCTAATCCTTAATGACCTTTTGAATTTCTGTGATATCTGTGATAATGTCTCCTTTTTCATATCTGATTTTATTTCTTTGAGTCATCTTTCTTTTATCTTTAATCAGGCTACAGGTTTTTCTGTTTTGCTTATGTTTCCCAAAGAACAACTTTCTCTTTCATTAATCTTTCATGTTTTGTCTCAATTTGATTATTTCTGCTCTGATTTTTATTATTTATTTTCTTCAGCTAATTTTGGGTTTGGGTTGTTTTCTTCTTTTAATTCTTCAAGATGCTTCATTAAGTAATTTATTTGGCTTTCATTCTCATGAAATACTTTTGCAATCCCTTCACGTTCAGTCTATGTGTGTCTTTAAAGTGGAGGTGAGTCTCAATGGGCAGCACATGGTGGGGCCTTGTTAATTTTTGTTTTGTTTTTGTTTTGAGACCAATTTCAAATTATGCTACAAGACTATAGTAAACAATATAGCATGGTACTGGTATAAGAATAAATATATAAACAAATGGAGCAGAATAGAGAACCCAAAAATAAAGCCAAATGTTTACAACCAGTGGATCTTTGACAAAGCATAGAAAAACATAAATTGGGGAAAGGACAGCCATCTACTGAATAATAGATGGTGCTGGGGAAATTGGATAGCCACATGTAGAAGAATGAAACTGGATCTCTATCTCTTACCATATACAATAATTAACTCAAGATGGATTAAATAATTAAATCTAAAACCTGAAATTATAAATATTCCAGAAGGAAACCTAAGAAAAAATCTTCTGGAAATTGATCTAGACAAAGAATTTATGACTAAGATCCCAAAAGCAAATGCAACAAAAATAAAAATAAATAAATGGGACCTACTTAAATTAAAAGCCTTCTGTACAGCATAAAAAATAAACATCAGGGTAAACAGACAACCTACAGAATGTGAGAAAATATTTGCAAATTATGTACCCGACAAAGGACTAGTATCCAGAATCTACAAGGAACTCAAACATATCAGAAAAAAAAAAAAAAAAAAAAAAAAAAAATTCTATTAAAAAACTGACAAAGGACATGAATAGACATTTCTCAAAGAAGATATACAAATGGCCAACAAACATTGAAAAAAATGTTCAAGATTACTAATCATGAGGGAAATGAAAATTAAAACCACAATGAGGTATCAACTTACCCCAGCCAGAGTTACCATTATTATAAAGTCAAAAAAACAACAGATTTGGCAGAGATGTGGTGAAAAAGGAATATTTGTGCACTGCTGATAGGAATGTAAATTATTACAACCTCTATGGAAAACAGGAAGTAGTTTTCAAAGAACTAAAAGTATATTTACCATTTGATCCAGCAATCCTACTACTGGGTATTTACCCAAAAGGAAAAATGTCATCATATCAAAAAGACACCTGTATGTGTATGTTTATTATAGCACACATCACAATTGCAAAGATATGGAATCAACCTAAGTGCCCATCAATCAATGAGTGGATAAAGAAAATGTAGTATGCATACATACTATGTAATACTACTCAGCCATAAAAAAGAACAAAATAATGTCTTCTGTAGCATCTTGGATGGAACTAAAGGTCATTATTTAAGTAAAGTAACTCAGGAATCAAAAACCAAATAGTGCATGTTCTTGCTTAAAAGTGTGAGCTAAACTATGGGTATACAAATGTATACAGAGTGGCATAATGAACATTGGAGACTCAGAAGGGGATAGGAAAGAGGAGGATGAGGGATGCAAAACTACCTATTGGGTACAAAATACATCACTTGGGTGACTGGTGCACTAAAATCCTTGACTTTACTACTAAACAATTCATCCACGTTAACAGAAAAACACTTGCACTTCTAAAGCTATTGAAAGAAATAAATTTTAAATGGACAAACGATCTGAAGAGGCATGTCTCATAAGAAGACATACAAATGGCCACCATATATATGAGATAATGCTTAATATCAGTAATCATCACAGAAATGCAAATCAAAACTACAATGATATATCATCTCACCCCAAGACAGTCAATGAAAAATGTTGGCAGGAATGCAGAGAAAGGGAAAACTTCGTTCACTGTTGATAGGAACGTAAATTAGTAAAACCACTGTTGAAAACAGTATGATAGTTCCCCAAAACCTAAAAATAGAACTACCTTATGATTCAGCAATCCTACTACTAGACTGGAAGGAAATCAGCATATCAAAGAGATAGCTGCAGTCTCAAGTCTATTGCAGCACTCTTCACAATAACCTAGATATGGAAGCAACCTAAGTGTCCATCAGCAGATGAATAGATGAAGAAAATGTGGTACATACGCACAATGGAATATTATTAGCCATAAAAGAAAAATGAAATTCTGTCATTTCCAATAACATAGATATAAGCCAGGCACAGAAAGACAAATAAGTACTGAATGGTCTCACTGATATGTGGGAGCTAAAAAATTGATCTCATGGAGGTAGAGAGTAAAATGATCGTTACTAGAGGTTTGAAAAGTAGTGAGGAGTAGGGGAATAAAGAGGGATTGGTTAATTGGTACAAAATTCAATTACGTAGTAGGAATAAGATCTAGTGTTCAGTGGCACAATAGAGTCACTACATGTAAAAACAATTTGTTGTGTATTTCAAAATAACGAGAGGAATGGATTTGGAATGTTTCCAACACAAACAAATATATAATTGTTTGAGGCCATAGGTATTCCCATTACCCTGATTTAATCATTACACATTGTATGCTTGTACCAAAATATCATATGTACCTTGTAAATATGTGTAACTATTATGAACCCATAAAAATTAAAAATTAAAATTAAAAAAATTGCATCCACATGATTTAACTCAAAAATCATTGCCTGAACAACAACAAAGTTTTCAAAAGTCAAAAATCCATGGCCGGGCGCAGTGGCTCACTCCTGTAATCCCAGCACTTTGGGAGGCTGAGGCGGGCAGATCACTTGAGGTCAGAAGTTTGAGACCAGCCTGGGCTAACATGGTGAAATCCCGTCTCTACTGAAAATACAAAAAATTAGCCGGGTGTTGTGGCACATGCTTGTAATCCCAGCTACTCAGGAGGCTGAGGCAGGAGAATCACTTGAACCCAGGAGTTGGAGGTTGCAGTGACCTAACATTGTGTCATTACACTCCAGCCTGGGCGACAATAGCGAAACTCTGTGTCAAAAATAAAAAAAAATAATAAAAATAATAAAAAATCCATGCTATTAATTCTAATGTGTATATATTTTTTTATTTTTGAGGCATCCTAAATGTTGCTGGAAAGTAGAATGCATTTGAGTTAATGCTGTTCAAACAGAGATAAGTACTGTATTTTTTCTATAAATTTTTGATTAAATGAGATTGAAATATTATAAAATGTGAGAAATTTTGAACAGTAAAGAAATTTTCATCAGAGACAAAGACTATTTATTCTAACCACTTCTTCCTGAGATTGAAGTTATTAAAATCTCTTGCAGTGGATTGTAGTGGGAAGAAAAATAGACCCGTGTAATTAAAAAAACAATCAATCTGAGAAAAGAAAAGGACAGGACAAGCAGGACTACTAGTGCACTAAGTAGAAAAAGAATGATTACTTTGTGCTGGAGACCTTACCTAATCCACCTGATAGACAGACTACCCTGACGATGTGGCAATGAATACATTCAGCCATTCTCTTTAATATTAGGAAATTAAGTCAGTTTGGACATGGGTGCCACCTGGCTGCACATCATACTGAAGTGAGAGATGCCATATTGCTCTTCATTTTGAAGAACTCTTGTAGTCTGAGCATCATTTCACACTAGAGTAGGAGGAAATGGCCTCAGCTGAAAGCCTGACCCAGGACTTCATCCTGTGTGAATAGTTATAGTTCCAACTGATGCTGCAATATAAGAACATGGGCAACAGTGATGCAGCAAGCAAATTTCTTAAATTTGTGTGCAGTTGTCTAGAACTTGGCTACAGCAAAAGAAGTTCAATGACTCTTTGAAGAGGGGGCTTATACCAGAGCAAGCTGCTTCTAGAAAAAATGGAAGATTCCTCTTAGTTCATCTGAATTTCTTTTTTGTCGTGGTGAGGCAAAAAACAACAGAGCTGTATTTTGGGACACTATTAAGCACCCATACATTCCTGGATATTTTAGGGAAAGGGATATAAAACTGGAAAATCGTGTTGATTGCTGCACTTTGAAATTCCTTGGGTTGGATAATGTGCATTATTTTCATTTTGATCTGTGAATCAATACATCTTAAGTTACTATTAAAGCATGATTTTGACTTTATAATGACATCGTACTTTTCCCAGTGTTAAATTTTCTTTTACTTATTTTTTTCTGTGCTTTTTCTTTTTTGCTTTTGATTTCCCATGGGTACTAGTTGATTAGCAATTAACTGCTGGATGCAAATTATTCTAAAGACAGACATGCAAGTCATGCTTATTTCCAAGGGTCAGAAATTTACTAATATATGTGATTATTGTGCAAGCACCATATTTGTATTCACTACCATAATTGGAAAGATAAAAATGCTTCCAAGCTTCTTTGCTTAAACACAAAGCAAAAACAATCAACCATTTTAATAATGTGGAAACAGAGACCTACAAACTGTTTCCCCCTTCCAAACATATTTTTTTTGTGGTTCTGTAAAAGAGCAATAGCACTATTTGTTGTTGTTAAATATCTTAACACTCATCTAATAAGATCAATCAGTGTTTCAATAATGCAGGAATCTGTGATTGTTAAAATGCTCAAAAAAACTGTTGTGGTTTTTGCCTTAGATATTTTGAGGACACTGAATTTTTTATTTTCTCTGTATTCTATCATAGTGGAAAGAATGAAATTTGATGTACAATGTTTCTGGTTTAGAAACTCTAAAGAGGCAGGATAGATTACCCCAATCAAATTCAGGACAGGTGTCAAGAGTGATGATGCCACATACGCACCAAGGGGGTATAAAAAGTATTGTTAACTGACATAATAAACCTTTCTAAGAAAAGCAGGGTGGCTTCCCAAGCCAGTATGAGCTCATCTTCCATGGTGATTACGTAGTAAGACTGGAGCCAGATTTTCCATATGCCAGCTGGGGCTTGCATGATTTAACTTCCACTGGTGCCAAAGAAGAGAACACCCAGGCTTTCTTACAGTGTTCCCCACATGTGAATCAGAAGGTTAAAGGAGAGTGGTGGGGCTAAAAAGCTCTCAGTCATCAAATATCACAAATGGAATTAGACTCATTATTGCAATTAATTCCAATGTCAGATGGCTGAAATATTCCAGGCTTTATTCAATTGAATTTGAACTTGCTTAAGTAAGTCATTATTGTGCTTTATGAGATCTATAACTCAGTGTTAAAAATGAGGATAAAAGTTTCGTTGAATGCCTTGGTTAAAAGCCCAACATTATGTATTTTGAAAACTGAAATGAGTTGCCTGGTCACTACCGATAGTATCTAGAACTCAGAAGGGGATGAGGAGTATATTGATGAGGCCTTTTATACTGGCTTTATTATGAGTTAGACATATGTGACCTTGAGCCAAGAGCTTCTCAGAATTCTTCATTCCAAAGTGGGCAATATTGCATAGGACATAGTTGTTGCTGACACTGGCTGGACCAGACAATAGCCAAAGAGTCTATAAAAACATACAGATAAAACTGATCATTAAGCAGTGAATCTGATGCTAAGATCACTGCCCAAATTTCAACTATTGTGCTAGACCTTGGGTTCCATCCTTGATCAGCGATGTTCTCGTTAAGGAATGAAAAGCAGCAGATCTCCAGTAAGCTCCATCACATACAATAGTGTTGCTGCCATCTGTAAAGTATATAAACTATCTTCATTTTTCTCTTCATTCAGTTGATTTCAAGAGGCTCTCTAGGTGAGGTATAGGAGTAGGAGAGGAAGTAAACTTCCACAACACCATGGAATCTGACAACACACTGGAGATAGGGAAGGCTATGCCCCCTGCAGCTGGGATATGCCAGAAGACCCAGATTTAGTTTGATCCTGTAGGTATACTTTTCATTTTAGTAAGGAGACCTTGACTATACCAAGCTTTCAGAATGCTGCTTTCATGACCCAGGGCATAATAAGCAGCTGGGTATGAAGGGTGATAGGCTCAGAGCCTGTGTGGGTCCAGCATGCTACCAGCAACTGCTGTTGTAATGGTATGCACTACAAGGAGTGCAAATGTTCAGGAAGGGCAGTTTCATGCTCTGGAAGCCCATGGGAAATTTATGGACACCCTGGTTGATTTGATTTAGAGACTACAGAATGTATGGGAGGAGGTTGCTGCAGCTTCTGCACTGGCCAAATATCTCAGAGACATTAAGGGGAGTGCCTGTTGCATTGCAACTCAAATGGATTCTAGAGCTATTGTCATAAGGGAACGTATTCAATGTGGGCTGATTTGTAAGCAACAGTATAACTATGTTTAAGTAAACTTTATAAATGAGAAAGTTGTTGCCTTCAGAACACAAAAAAAGCCTAAAAGTTGTCTGGCTTGTGTCAAGAAACAGCATTGACATGCTCAGTATTGAGCATGTTTCTTGACAGTGTCAGTGATGGAGAAGCTCTTGACTAACCAAATAATTTTCAGAAATTTAACCAAGGTGGCAGGGCCTTGTACTACATATGGGTCAATGGCCCACCCCTTTTTTATAAAGCTCCTCTGTGAGTTTTTATATACCCTGAGTGAGTAAATCAACTGAATCTCATTGAAGAAGGATTCATCAATGCAATGTCATACTTATGATCCTAGAGAAAGTTGGATAGAATTAAGATCCTTCCTACAATGATTATGTGGGATAGCTGGGCTGTTGAAGTACTCTATGGGTAGCCAGGTAAAAGTGCATTGTGTTCATTTCACCTTGGAGGCAAACTTCAGCTGTGAGGCTATTGAAATAGGCTCTGATCATACATAGGAAGCAAATATGTAACTACAAAGAGCTTACTAAAGTCTGATTGAATGAAGTCAGTAATTTCAATAACATTGGATATGAGTGCCTTAATGAGTAAATCCACATCACTAAGGGTGATGTAATCTACAATAAGTCTCCATTCATTATTTCCAAGTTTAAAATCTGGCCAAATTATGCTTTTATGGGGAAATTACAGGGAAAATCACCCCTTTCAAAACAGGTTTTGTATAATGAGTTTCAATTCTTAAGATCTGTTTTCCTTTATACTGAACTATATTTAACTCTTTTAACTTGAGTGAGGGGAGAGGAGGAGGTCCATTGCAAATCTTATTTGTTAAGCCAATTGTAATTCCCAAAGACTTAGTGTAATTTTAATGTATTACTCATTGAATTGGAATGTCCATGCCTGCTATGGGATATTTTAGGGCAGTAAGTGCTGTGTGGATTTTTAAGTAAGGCAGTAGCTCCAATGGCTAAAGTGAGATTCTTCTATATTTGGTAATTCCCAAAAGAGTACAGGGGATACATTATTTAAACTTGGTAGAATCCCAGATATAACTGTAACTTAAGTGAGCCCTTCTATTAAAGCCATTAAAGTTTGCCAATTGATGCATTTCAGAAGATGTTAAAGTTAATTCAGAATTTACATTGTGGAAGCACAATGGCTAATCAGCACACTTTTATCCTTTTTTTGTAAAAAAAAATGTTTTAGTAAATTTTGGATTTCCAAATGAGTAAAATTGTGCACTATATTTTAGGTATTTGTATTTTTCCTCTATATCCAAAAGGAAGCTCTTTCTCCTCTTCTTCTTTGGCTATGGTCTCTACTCCAGAAGCATATCCTGTTTGTCTTGCCTATTTTTGTAAGTTCCTTCCTTTAGAGATCCTTAAATCACTATTGTCATCGTTAGGGATTTCTCCCAAGCTGGTGGATGCTTTATATGTGTTAAGTAACTAGGTTTGAATCAGGTTTGAATTAGCCCTGTGCTTGTACCACAGCGGCACATGGGCATTTTTCCCTGGAACCCAGTGGATCAGGATCTTTTTCTTGTGGCCACAAAAGTACAGCCAGTAGCAAGAGCAGAAGCATTTTGTAGGGTTCTAGTAAGTCATTTGCTTTTAGCAGTGTGACCTCTTGATGCCACATGGTAACTATTCTTGTTCCATACAGCCAGCCAATGGGGCATATATTGCAAAGAATATCATTCTTTTTTCTCTGAGTACTCTATAGAATGGGTGGCTAGGCCTCTGTTTAGACACAGCCAGCAGTCACAAGGTAAGCCATTGCCTTGAGCCTAACATCAGTTGTGGCTTACACTAGAATCGAGACACATGACTCAAGCTAAGATATAAAGATAGGTCTGGGCAAACACAGGTGACCCAAGGTCACTTTAAGAAAGTCCCAGTCCCATACTTCTGTACTTAAATGGCAACTATTAAAACTTTTGACTTATATTTATACATCTATAAAAGGCTCAGTAGGATTTAACAACCACAATACAGAGAAGCACAGCTTTAGGGCATGCTTACCAGCAGGCACCAAAACCACTTAGCAGGCCAAAGCAGGAGAGAATAATGGTGCCTAGTGGTGGTGATCACTGCCTAGACAAATTGCCCAGAGTGCCAATTGTAACCAATTCAGAAAGAAGGTGGAAACTCCCCTGAGCATTGGTTCGGGTTGAGACTAATGATGCTGCACACACAGACACAAAGAAAGTATACAAAAGTTTATTCCTCACATATTGAGGCTTTCTGGCACAAGCACAGTAACTTCCCATGACAATCTAAAAGGAGACTGGCTCTGCTTCTATGGTAGTTAGGGGATGCGACTGAGATGAAGGTTCTTATGTATGAACCAGGGTTTTCATGCTTTGAACTTCCAACCAGGCTGAAAGGAGAGAGCACAAAGATTTCTTATCAACTTTGCCCAGATATGGAGCAGAAGGTATAGGAGGAGAAATGAAGCTTGAATGTTACCAGGAATCAAATATCAGAAAGGAATCATCCTTTATTAGATTCTAAATGCTTCCTCTAGTCTCTGATTATTATTCAATTACTTTGTGAAAGAAAAGTATAATGATATTAAATACCTTTTGAGAATAAAATGGATAAAAATAAATATGTCTATATAATATTAATACTATTATATGACAAGAAGACCAAATTTAAAATTGAGGAACATTAAAAAATGAATGTATGGAACATTACATGGCACTGTAACTAAATTAGAATTTTATGTGAGGGAGAGCATAATAATTTGGATAATAATATAAAGTGATATACACAGGTAATTAAAGTTTCAGCTCCTTTATAAAGAATTATTTTCTGGGGTGTACCAAGCTGTATGTGATATTACCTTTCAACAATCATGTAATCAGATTTAATTTTGCATAGTCTAATTTGTCTGCTTAAATTATCAAGCATTAACATTGAATTTAAATAATTTAGTATTGAATATGTATAAACATTAAGGCAGAAAAGAGTAGCTATTTATTTCACCACCAAGAAATTAAAGTTGGCTGAATTTCTAAATACCCTGAAAATTCTACAGTGACAAAAATGATAATATTAAAGATAGAAACAAAAATGTATTTTTAACATTCCTAAGATTTAGAGATCAGTTTCATAAGCAGCCCAATAGTCCTCCTAAATATGTCAGGTGTGCATGAGTCATTCTTTTCACTGAAAGTTTAAACAATGTGATCATTCATAACTTTATTACCAACAACCTTATGATTGTAATGGCATTTACTGAAGATGATATTCTCTTGAAGAATTCATTACGGATTTCCCTCCTCTTTCAGAGGAAAGTAAGTATCAAAGTTGACTAAATATCTTTATACCAAAGTCTGTTACAGGTTAGATTGAAGGCAGTGAAAGGAAAAACTGATATTTAGCATAAATTCCATAATGTCTTTTTAACTGTCATTCACACTAACTTTTACATATAATTTTAAAATAAATGAATTTTGGCAATATTCATTAGCTATTTTTGTTTTGTTTTTGTTGTTGTTGTTGTTGTTGCAATTTTCCTCTTTAGCAGATACTGTTTGTATTAGTCAATTATCATGCTGCCATGAAGAAATACCTGAGACTGGGTAGTGTAAAAAGAAAAGAATTTTTATTGACTCACAGTACTGCATGGCTGAGGGGGCCTCAGAAAACTTACAGTCTTGGCGGAAGGCACCTCTTCACAGGGTGGCAGGAGAGAGAATGAGTGCCAAGCGAAGGGGGAAGCCCTAAGCACCTGATAAAACCATCAGATCGGCCGGGCACAGTGGCTCACACCTGTAATCCCAGCACTTTGGGAGGCTGAGGCAGGCGTATCATGAGGTCAAGAGATCGAGATCATCCTGGCCAACATGGTGAAACCCCGTCTCTGCTAAAAATACAAAAATTAGCTAGGCATGGTGGCGCACACCTGTAATCCCAGCTCCCAGGGAGGCTGAGGCAGGAGAATCGCTTGAACCCAGGAGGCGGAGGTTGCAATGAGCCGAGATCACGCCACTGCACTCCAGCCTGACGACAGAACAAGACTCTATCTCAAAAAAACAAACAAACAAACAAATCAGATCTCCTGAGAACTCAGTCACTATCATGAGAAAGGCATGGGGGAAACCGCCCCATGATTCAGTTATTTCCACCTGATTTTGCCCTTGACAAGTAAAGATTATTACAATTCAAGGTGAGATTTGGGTGGGGACACAGAGCCAAACAATGTCACTGTTGTAAATGTTTTGCTGTTTCGCTTATTTCTATTGAGAAAATCACAGAGGCAAGTGTTTAAAAATGTATAAGCAACTTTAAAAACTGTAAAATGCATCAAAATAGTATGCTTTTATTTCGAGGAGAGCCTAGGATGTTTCAATGCTAGCAATAGATTTAGCACATATGTATAGAAATTAAATATCCAAGATATAATTTAAGACATAGATTGATAAAGCTCCAGTTAAATAACTTGTCTAAGATCAACAGCTAATTAGTTGCAAAATTCAGACTGCAACTCTAAAAGCAGTAACTCTAAGATGCCATTATAATCAAGGGACTGATGCATGTCAACCCTTGAAGATAAAAGACAAAATTACTACTAGAAAAAAAATAGGCAATCTGAACTAGAAATGTGAATTTTTCCGTGCAATTGGTGACTAGCCTAAAATTATGGAAAATAAGCTTACATAGACAAAAGCTACAGTACATTAAATACTGTCTATTCAAGAAATACACTGGAAATAAAGTCACAGAAGTAATTTTTTTTCTCTAAAGAAATTTCTCTATTTTGTGTGGGGAAAATATTTCACTGGGTTTTCCAATGTTTGTGTTAAATACCCTTTCTCCTAGAACAGTTTACTGTCTTTCATATGGTTTCATGTTCATCAGGTATATTCGTGGAAAATACTTTTGGTTTCAATTAACAAATAATTGACTAATAGTGGCTTAAAATACAAAGATATTTATTGTTAACAACTGTGGTGTAAATAGATGGTATGTATACAGTTGTTAAAAGATGTATCCAAGTAACTGGGACTTTCTATATTACTGCACTACCATCCTCACCATATTAATTTTTCTTCCTTGTGCTGTATTATCAAGTTTGCCAAATGGTGACCACTGCTCCACAGGGGCCTTGAGGGTAATAATAAAATGGAAGAAGCGATGCTAGATTGTCTCTTTTATCAGTAAAGCAAAAGCTTCCTCAGAATTTCATTGACCCCAGACTTTTGATTATAATTTATTGGCTATAGCTGAGACACATGCCATTTTTAACTCAAGAGAAGGAAAGAAGGCCATTATAGTTGGAATTAGTAAGAGATACTACATTGCAAATGGAAGTTGTGTTTCTCAGCCAATGGGATAAATCACATCAAGAAATTTCTGATCACTAATTTTTCCTTAAGAAATGGTTATAAGAGAGAATATACTGATTCCTAGAAAGGAATATCTTTCAATTAATACATTGACAATATATTTTATATATATTTCTTGTCTAAATTCTATTTATGTAAATTTATGTCCCTGATAAAAATGATCAAATATAAACAAAGAAAATCCAGTTTCTGGACTGCAGGACCAAGCACCATTGTAAGGAATAGCAGTTCTAATTAGGGGCTATCTCTGTGTATCTTGTTCTGAAGAATGAAGCTAGACTCCTCTACTTCATTGTTCACGGAGTAAGTGTATTGGGCTTTGAGGCAGACTAGTAATCATTACTCTTTCCTTCTTATAGGTTCTGAACAAAGGGAGAAATAGATATAGCTTTCAAATTAAGATATTTGTGTCAGCTGTGTTAATGGTAAATCTGGACTAAACAATGTAACTTTCATCAGAGACTAAATTTTAGTCTTCATCCTACTTCTTTTCTTCATGTATAATTCACTCATTTATGGAGGATCATAGCTGTTTTAGAACTCAGTTGAATGAAAGAGATAAAGTTAAGGGTAGAAAGAGGCAGAGATAGAGACAGAAAAAGACAGAGGGAGAGAAATTGAGAGATGGGGTGATGGGTTGAGAGAGGGGGTGGAGAGAGAACCCAACTTGCCTTACTTGGGAGATTTGAGGTCTTGAAAGTTCTAATGACTTTGATAAGATTCCACTTTGTTATTTAAACAATTCTTCATCATGAGTGTGGATGAGAAGTGCCCTTTTACTACTATAAAACCTGAATAACTCAGATATTTGCTTTTCTAGACACCCTTCCAACTGAGGCATACACAAGTACTAGTCCTAGACTCCAATAATCAGATCCCTCTCTCCCAGACACTGAAAATAGCTCTCTTCCCCAGAATAAATTAGGAATTCAGAGTAGGATGAAGTCAAAGTAAGTTTGAGTAATTACTTCAAGTCACATCTGAATCACTGAATCAGGAACTAAAGAAACATGAGCAATGCAAAATCCATGATGGCAGTGACTATGGCAACAGCAAATCCTCTTTCTGGAGCAATGATGCCTATGGTGGCAAGATTGGGATTCAGTGTTAGTACCAACAATGGCAGCAATGCCAACTAACAAACACAGATTTCCTTGGAGAAAGAAACAGTTTCCTAATTGAACTGACACTGTTACGTCACTGTGGATATGGTAATGTTTACTACTGGTTGTCCCTTTTATGAATCAGTTTAAACTAGATTATGGTGTTTACCAGATAAAGTAAAAACTCAGAGATCATCGACAATCATTTATTTCCGCTTGGGACTCACACCTTAGGAACAGTTCCTATATGGGATGTAGTGACTTGTGTGATAGAAAAAAAGGGAGATGTTAGAATCATGCAATGTCTCCTACAGCTTCTCCTTGGAAGTAGTGTTTAAAATTTCTGCTTACATTTCATTGTTCAAAGCAAGTCTCACTGCAAAGCTTGATACTAGTAGAGTCGGGAACCATGTCCTTGTTCTTATCTGTTTTGTTGTTGTTTTTGTTTGTTTGGTTGGTTTTTTTAACTTTGCTATCAAAACATCTTAAGCAATTCTGTGAACTATACAATACATTTTCAGTAAAATGCTTTTCTGTTTATATGAGCAAGAGTTAGCTTCTGTTGTTTACAACTTGACGGATACATACCCCTAGGTGGCCACTAAGCCCTGGCTCAGGTGCTCTGAGCACACCCAAACAGGAGCAGAGAAATAGCATGCTCTAAGGAACAAAGAAAAAGCTGATAGAATCACTGGCAGAAAAGTGTTTTTCAGTTCTTCTGTATAATATAGTAGTGGTAAAGAACTGGACTCTGCAGCCATAATGCCTTGTTTAGGATCTCAGTTCTGACCCTTTTATCTCTATGACTTTGAGCAAACTATTAAACTCTCTGTTGCTTCAGTTTTCTCATCTGCAGAAAGAGAATAATAAGGAACTTACTTCCAGGGCTGTTGAAGGGATTAAATTAATTAATATATAGATGTAGAACAGCATGTGATTCATAATAAATGGTGTAAATGTTATCGCCATTATTATTATTATTACTCCTAGAACAGGGCTGAAGATTATTAGCGCCTATTTTATAAGGTGTGGTGGAAGTCCAGGAAAACACAAAAAATAGCTCTCTTCCCCAGAATAAATTAGAAATTCAGAGTAGGATAAAGTCAATGTGAGCTTGACTAATTACTTCAAATCACATCTCATAGAAGTTAAGCCAGAGTTTATACTATAGTCGTATTTGCTTATCAGCCTCTCCAGTGGTTTGGAAAACCAACCATCCAAAAACACAGCAGGGTCTTCATGATAAGTTTTCACATAAATATTATGCCTAGAAATATCTTGTGGCTGGAGTAGATTTGTTGAAGGAATTATTTTGCTGGACAGAACTTGGTGCTACTCAATTTTAAAGGAATGGCTGATAATACAGTGCCTCCAATCTTGACTGAAATATTGCCTTGCTGCTGTATATATATGGGCTTAATGACAATACCAGTGAAGAACAAATTATATTCTGAACCTCTCCAGAGTCCGTTGTACTGTCTGCACCTATGGATCAAGTAATAACACTTGCAGAGAAACTTAATGTTGTCAGTTGGGGCTAGCATATTAAATTTTACCCAACATGAATACTCCAGTCACAGAGAGAAAATAGAAAGGAAGGAAACGTGGTGTCATTAGAGACACATTTGATAGTTTTTTTTACAGTTTGACAATGGAATTTGGAATGAGGAGAGTCAGAAGAAAAAGGAGAAAGTTAGATGCTAGTCAGCATGTAACATTCCTAAACAGGAAAACATCTGCTTACTGAATTTTAAAATAAAATAAAATAACTACATAAAACAGAGAAGTATATATTTATTTATTTACATCACTTTCACTGGGAATAAAATGAAGTTGTAATAACCAGTAAAAGGGGGAAAACTATGACAGAATTAATTAGATGGCTTAAAATTGGAGTTATAGAAATATGAGAACTATAAGTATAATAAATATATTCAAACAGCACATAAATATTATTATAAATTATTAGGCTGCTAAATGGGCTGTTGATTATGCAGTATGTGTAATTTAAGGTAATATTATGAGAAAGAATATTTGCATTTTTCTGACTTCTTATTTGGAAATTTTAGTTATTATGAATTTGTTTTTTATGAATGAGCTTCTTAGATTTTAAGGGAAAGAAGACAAAAATTATATGACATAAAACTGGGGCTATGTATATATGTGTATTTCAGAGATAGTCCACAAACCTGTAATTATATTATATAAGCATACTTTATTATTTATAAGTAGAAACTTAAATGTCTAATTAGACCATGCTGAATTTTCAGAGGGCTACATTTATGAAAACAGCCAAGACCTTGTTGTCCAATAGTGAAGGAATAGCCATGACAACACAGGTTTGAAAAACGAAAGAGCGCATTAGACATATGACGTGCAATATATTGTTCATCTATGACATGAATGGCAAGAAGTGGACTGACTGGTTTAAAATTTTTATAAAAGTGAGAGTCCTTTCAATTGAAAGTGAATACACATGGAGGATTTGACAGAAAATATAAGTAGCAACAAAGAAGTAGGTTGAGAAAGTGGATTACTTATTAATTGAATTATTAAAATCAATAAGGTACAATGTTAGGTGCTTTAATTATTTTATCTTATACAATCCACACAAGTTCCTACAAAAAGGGTAAATAACCCTATTTTTACAATTGAGAACATTAATGTTGAAAGGGGTAAAGTTTTCCAATGTCCTAGGTTTGGCAAAGGGCAGAGCTAGACTAAAATCCTCATCATAAATTGGACTAAGACTTTAAAACCAATAACAAAATCTATAGATACTGAATTTATGGAGAAGAAAAATGGTATCGGATTCTAAGACTAGAAGTACTATAGATATGTGCCCTAAACCAAGAAATATCAGAGGAAAATAGTCGCCTGAACTTGAAGCTCCTCTAGAAACACCTGCATGCCACATGAGATGCATGCTGTGATGCAGTACAGTTCTATGGGGAAGGTCATTCATCATGCTCACTCATTTACATGCACGGCAGCATCTCTATTTATGGCTACATTTACAACTTTGAAAAGTTAAGAATGGCAAAGAAGATTGATGAAAACAAATTTTATACTTAAAAATGATTTAAATTTGTTTTTAACAGCTTTATTGAAGTGCAATTGATGTACAAAGAGCCACATATATTGAATGTGTATAATTTGATGAATTTGGGCATATGTAAACATCCATGACAGTATCACCAGAATCCAGGTAATAGACATGTTCAATCCCTCCCAGAATTTCCTTTGGTTTTTCCATTTTGTTTTTGTTTTCTCCTTGGAGTAAGAACATCTAATATGAGACATACCCTCTTAACATATTTGAAATTTACAATATCATATGGTTAACTACAGGAGAATTTTTTTAATCTAGTGTAACTGAAACTTCATATCTTTGAATAATCACTCCCCATTTCCCCCACCCTTCAGTCTCTAGAAAGCACTATTGTATTATCTGCTTCTACGAGTTTGACTATTTTAGATACCTCATACAAGTGGAATCATGCAGTACTTAAAATATAACACTTGACATATTAATTTGTGACTACAGAAAATACTATTCTTCCTCAGTAACTCTTCTTGTTTCAAGAACTGCAGAAATACAATTTACTCTTACATCTAGCCAAATATTCATAATTTTCTTTCTCTTTTTTTTGTGGGGGAGGGGGTGGGTGGATGGAGTCTCGCTCTGTCGCCCAGGCTGGAATGCAGTGGCACGACCTCGGCTCACTGCAACCTCCGCTTCCTGGGTTCAAGCAATCCTCCTGACTCAGCCTCTCTAGTAGCTGGGACTGCAGGTGCCTGCTGCCACACCCGGCTAATTTTTTGTATTTTAGTAGAGACGGGGTTTTACCGTGTTGCCCAGTCTGGTTGCGAACTCCTAAGCTCAGGCCATCCACCTGTCTCAGCCTCCCAACGTGCTGGGATTACAGGCATGAGCCACCGTGCCCAGCCAATATTTATAATTTTAAAAAGTTGTAAATCATTTTTAAAATTACATAAAATATACTTGAATTTACAGAGTATTCAATCTGTTCTAGATTCAATCTGTGTCAGTTATTTTCAAGATCATATAGCCTCACAAGCATTTATTTTTTTATTTTACAAATGACACTTGAACCATTTATCTGAAAACTTCAAACAGTACGTGACTAGTGAAAGGACTGCTTGCTGTTACCTCCATACCACATTCCTTCTTGATGGCAATAACTGTTATGGACTGTTTTTATTTTAGCGCATTTCTTCCAAAACTCTTCATGCTCATTATATGTTCATATATATGTGATATTGTGATGTATGTATACATGTGTATATATATATGCACACACAGTTATACATGTGTACACACATACACACATTTTTTTTCCTTTGGGTTTTTGAGAGTAGAAATAGAATCACATTGTATATATTCTGCCACCAGCCTTTCACTTAGCATGAAGATTTTACCATGCTAATCATATAGTTCCCTCTTACTGTTTTAACTGCTGCATCCTAGTTTAGCATTAGAGGTTTTCACTACTACAAAATGCTCCAGGGAACGTCTTTGTGATTGTTGTTCTCTAGATTAGATTCCTGAAACTAGAATTTTTCTTATGCAACAAACACATTATGCTTCAAAATATACCAGGTATACTGAGAACCCATACCGAGTGTGAATACCTATTCATTCTAAAATTCATCAATGTGTATATTATCAATCTGGTCCCATTTTGTTGAGGAAAAAATACAACTAAATATATTAACTTGAAATACACTATTTAACTGTTAGGTTAAATTTCTTTACATATTTTATTGACCAGTTGTTATTTCTTTCTCTGTGAAATTACTCAATACTATCTGACCATTTAAAAATCAGAGTGTCTTTCATTTACTAGTGCATAGACGATATTAATATTATTAAATATTAATATTTTTCTCTTATCATTAAGAATATTTTTTCCCAAAAAGCAGTTATCTTTTAACTTATTGCATGTTATTTAAATGCCCTACCTTTTTGATGGGGTAGAAATAAATTGGGTACACTTGGCCTTCTATAAGCAGAACTGACAGCAAACACAGTTTCCTTAACACTATTTCAAATGTTCCTGCTTAGTATGCGTCTCCAAATCTATCAATATTAATAAGTGACTTATTTATACTGTTCTGGCAATTCAACCAATGGAAATTTATATTGTAGCCATAAGCTAGTTGACATAGTATAATTATTTTAAGATCCTGGTTAAATCATTTGGTAGTCTTCCTCTCTTCTAAAGCTCTTTCGTGTGTGATCTCCAAGCTAATGGCTTAAGGCTGGATACACTGATAATAGAAGATTAAGTCAGGGAAATGGAGCAGTACATTCTGTAAACTTCTTATAAAATTTCAGAACCTATTACCAGGTTAACTTTTGTAAGTCACTCTTTGTCATGCTACTTTCTATTAAAAGTCTCAGAGTTCTTTGTTGTCCTAGTACACAAGGAAACAGTGAAATTTAAGGCTCTGCACAACCTAGTCCTACTCTACCTTGCTCACCTTATTTCTCATTCTTAACTCTCTCGACTTCATAATGAATCTGTACTCCAGATAAGCTTGGAATTTGCACTTTCAACTATAATATCTAGAGCAAAGAGGTTTAGCACCATATCATAATTATAAGACTCAGACATTATATTAAAGGCAGTCAGGGGATACTTTTTTTGCCTTGTTTCATCATGAGGCAATAAATCTTAAAAAGTTTTATGCTGTGCCTTTTTAAATTTTCGTTCTCTTTTAGCAGATAGTAAATTAAAACTAGCTGATTAAATAGGTAATGCTCAATAGTTAATAATATCAAAAAATAATTATTTTCATTAAGTATCTGAATTCCAAAATGAAAATGATAAAGTACAAACTGAAACTTATGAATGCTTTACTCAGCATATTCTTTGTGGGTAAACCTTTCAGTTGTATACAAAAGATTGAATGTATAATTTATTGAATGGTAGCATAATAAAGCAAAAAAATTTCATTGATGAGAATAGAAGCTGAAGATGTTTAAATAGCAATTTAATATATATGAACATATTTAATAATTTCCTGAGCTTTTTATATTGAACATTTTAACAATACAATTAGAACACTGATACTGCAACTTATTCAGATTAAATTTTAATGTGCCTTAATATTCATGTGTATATAATGGATTTGCTTTATGCTACTGGAAGCCAGGTTTAAAAGAATTACATCAAATAATGCCTATGTGTGCACATTAAATGCCCTATAAATGTCTAAGAAAACCTTGTATTTATATTTTATTTTACTAAGGATTGAAGTAGATATTTTGTATGGACGGGCACTATTTATTATGTTCTACTCAGCATTTCTATTATGGCAATCATCTGAAGTTATAAATTTGCCTTAATCTCTGTGACACTGCCAACTGAATTCCTGCATGAAAAATATAGAAACAGAAATTTGACCATAGATTAATAATTTTTGATGGAATTTTACTCAGAGACAAGCACATTAAGAGGGCTAAAAATAGGATTTGAGAAAAAAGGGAAGATTATAGCCAAGACTATGACAATAAAGTACATTTGGAAAATAGACAGATGATCAAATCCATTAAATTTTCCCTGCGGTCTTGTATGTGATCATGAGAAAAAGAATGTTATTAAATTACCTTCCAACTCTACTTCTAACTCCTCATAAAATAATAATATGGATGAGAAATAAAATCAAGAAGTTATAGACTATTTATCTGCCAGTGTTTTTCTGTTCCCTTGCCTTGATAGTCATGTAAGCATTGCATTTAAATATTACACCTCCTGAACACTGCTCTTGAACCCTATTTCAGTAGCTAGCTCTCTGCTGCCTGTGGGCAAACTGCTCAACTTCTGACTAACTTTGTCTTTGAGTGCTGAGTTGCTTTGTATGCAGCCCTTGCTGCCTGATCCATAGCAAGTCTATACAGATATCTATGTAAAGTGAATAATAAGAAAATTGTTTCCACATGCTTGGATGCTACATAGTAATATGCTTTCCTAATTGAAAACTTGAAATTGCCAAAACCTGACAGTGTGTCTTGTCTCACCCCCACCTAAACCTGAGTTCCTGAATGGGCGTGTCTCTCTGATTTTTTATTCTTATGTGTAGTCAAATGTCATGACCCATTTCATCTCACTATTTGATCCTCATTAGGAATCTCAAAATATGGGATATTTTCTTCTTCTTAAGGTCTAGGTAATGTATGTTTGATTATTTCCTTTAAAACACTTATAAAAATACCTTTTGTTTCCAGGTCTCAGGAAATAACACATAATAGTTATTTAGAAATGTTAATGTTATAGTCTGCAAATAATAACACTATGCTTAGAATCTGAGATGAAACTACTACCAAATTTTCTAAATTTTTAGCCATGACTTACAACTGATGAGTTAAGCTCTCAGGGGATGTCCCTCCATTCAGTTAACTTACTTACCTACACTAAGATAATATGGCCATGAGATGATATTTAGCATGTCAAAATAATATTAATTCTCATTACTTTCAGTATTATTTGAATCATTTTTTATAGTGATACTTTACATTTAGAAAAAAAATCATACAAAACAGTATTTATTACCATGTATGTTCCAGTGTAGAAGGTAGAGACAGACATATAAGCAAATAACTTTCTAAAACCAGGTGTTACTTTTTTATATAATAAATTATTTTATAATGTATTGCAATTAAAAATATAATGGCATCAGCTTTGGAAAATACATATACTACAAAAGAATATATATATATATAGTCCCTTATTCTTCTTTCTAAATTTTAGAATTTAATTATAATTACACCAAATCTATAATAAACTTGAGAAGAAAAACCTCTAAAATAAATATCTTCTTCACAATTATCTAAATTTATTACTGATGGCAGTCAAATATAAATACGAGGTACATGTTTTCCACATTTGCAGAGTCAGGTTTATTTCCCATTTCCCTTTGTGAGAAAATGAGGAGAAGCTCTAACAAAAAGAGGGTTCTAGAACAGTCATTATTATGGAAAAAATGTAAGGATTTACATAAAGGATTTACATGGGCTAAGCAGGGCTGGGTTTTGAAGATTGTCCTTGGGAAAATGGAGAGGTGAGATGTGTATGCTCTAGGGAAGAAACTAGTGTATAAGGAAGGAACTGCAAGACTAGAGCTTCAGCTGACTCAGTGTCTGAGGTGGAGCCAAAGGAGATGAGGCTCTGTATGCTAGTTTCAGACAAATTGTAAAGTAGCTTTCATGTTGTACCAAGAGGTTTGGATTTTATTCTATAAGTAATGAAATGGCCAGAAAATAAAAGCACACATTTAATAAGATCATGGTATGTACTAGAGATGAAGCAAGAGATTCTAAGTAGAAAATTGGGTAGAGATATAAGTTAAATAATACAAATGACAGTGTATTAGTCTGTTCTCAAGCTGCTATAAGGACATACCTGAGACTGCATAATTTATAAAGGAAAGAGGTTTAATTGATACAATGTTCAGCCTGGTTAGGGAGACCTCAGGAAATTTACAATCATGGCAGAAGGGGCAGCAAACATATCCTTCTTCACATGGTGGCAGGAAGGAAAGGAAGGAGTAAAAGGGGAAAAGCCCCTTATAAAACCACCAGATCTCATGAGAACTCACTCACTCTCATGAGAAAAGCATGAGGGTAACTGCCTCCGTGATTAAATCACCTCCCACCAGGTCCCTCCCACAACATGTGGGGATTATGGGAACTAATATTCAGGATGAAATTTGGGTGGGGATAGAGCCAAACCATATAATTCCACCTCTGGCTCTTCCCAAATCTCATGTCCTCACATTTCAAAACATAATCATGCCCTTTCAACAGTCCCCCAAAATCTTAACTCATTCCAGCATTAACTCAAAAGTCCAAGTCCAAAGTCTCATCTCAGATGAGACAAGTCCCTTATGCCTATGACCCTGTAAAATCAAAAGCAAGTTAGTTACTTCCTAGATACAATGGGAGTACAGGAAATGGGTAAATACACTCATTCTGAATAGGAGAAATTGTCCAAACTGAAGGGGATAAAGGCTCCAGACAAGTCTAAAATCCAATATGGCAATCATTAAACCTTAAAGCTCCAAAATGATCTCCTTTGATTCCATGTCTCATATCCAGGGCACGCTGATGGAAGAGGTGGTTTCCCATGGCCTTGCACAACTCCTCCCATGTGGCTTTACAGGGTACAGCTCCCCTTATAGGTGCTTTAATGGGCTGGTGTTGAGTGCCACTGCCTTTTCCAGGTGCACAGTGTAGGCTGTCAGTGGATCTACCATCCTGGGGTCTGAAGGATGGTGGTCCTTGTCTCACAGCTCCACTAGGCATTGCTCCAGTGGGGCTTCTGTGTGGGGGAATCCGACCCCACATTTCCCTTCTGCACTGCCCTAGCAGAGGTTCTCCAGGTGGACTCTGCCCCTGCACCAAAATTCTGGGTGGACATCCAGACATAGCAAGAGATGCCTCTTCTCCAGTTCCCAACAGTTCCTCATCTCCATCTAAGACCACATCAGCCTGGACTTCATTGTCCCTATCACTATCAGCATTTTGGTCAAAGCCCTTCAACAAGTTTCTAGGAAGTTCCACACCTTCTCACATTTTCCTGTCTTCTGAGCTCTCCAAGTCTCTAGGAAGTTCCAAACTTTCCCACATTTTCCTGTCTTCTTCTGAGACTTCTATACTGTTCCAACCTCTGCCTGTTACCCAGTTCCACAGTCACTTCCACATTTTTGGGTATCTTTAAAATAGCGCCCTACTCCCAGTACAAATTTAGTGTGTTAGTCCATTCTGATGCTGCTATAAGGACATGCCTGAGACTGAATAATTTATAAAGGGAAGAGACTTAATTGACTCATAGTTCAGCATGGCTGGGGAGGCCTCAGGTAACTTACAGTCATGGTGAAAGGGGAAGCAAACATGTTCTTCTTCAATGGCGGCAGGAAGGTGAAGAAGGAGCAAAAGGGAAAAGGCCCTTATAAAAGCATCAGATCTTGTGAGAATTCACTCACTACCCTGAGAACAGCATAAGGGTACCCGCCCCCATGATTAAATTACCTTCCACCAGGTCTCTCCCCTGACATGTGAGGATTATGGGAACTAAAATTCAAGGTGAGATTTAGGTGGGAACACAGCCAAACCATATCAGACATACACCTAGTTCACCATAAGATATAGAAATTATGGAAATACAGATTGGTCAAATAGATGATTTTACGCCAAATACTAGACACTTAGAGAAATAAGGACCTATTGTGACTGATAACCTATATTTAGTAGGCTTTTGAGTATCTGAATGGTATTAGTTCTCTTCCCTGAAGCAGAATATGATAGGAGGAAATAAATGAATGTCTTAAGGATCTGAAAACTTAAATCAATTATATAGCATAAAACTGGGGGATTAGCAGCTGCAGAAGACAATATTATTACTCAAACAAAACAAAACATGTATAGGCTTAATTAACATTAAAATTTTCACCCTTTCCTCTAAATGACATGTACAAATCAAAATCACTTTCTGTCTCTGATATGTAATTAAGGATTACTCAGACATTAAAAATAAAAGCCATTATTACTTAATGAATAGTGAATGAACATAAACATATTTTAATGGGTTAATATATAGACTGGCTTCAAATATAAATCAGAATTAATGCTTAGTATTTTCTCATAAAACAAATAGCTTCTCAGTCATAAAAATAAGTATATGCAAAAACATGGATAATGTGTGTGACAGACAGAAGCAAGGTCATTCATCCTTAGTTTGATTTTCAATAACCCTGATGCAAATATTGTTTTGTATTCATTTACCTATTCTCAGTGTTTAGTTTATCTTTCCTATCCAAAGCAGAAAGTTAACAAGAATGACAGCACAGATGGCTTCCTTTTCTTCTTCACAAGTCAAAGTGATGAGACTTATAAAAGACTGTCACAAGCATCTTTTCACCTGTCTGGTCCCTTCTGTGCCCCCATCTGCACAGAGCTAATCTGATGACTTGTACTTTCTTGACCTCTTGAAAACCAGGCTTTCTGGATCAGTTTATAGAGGAAACCAATTACAGCCTTAGATTATATTTTTAATTGTAGAGATACATTAGCAAACCAATTTAATGATACAAGGCCATGATATGCTACCTACATTCCAAGAAATAAATTTCAAATACCTTTTACTTTCATGATTAGTAGCTACTTTAATGTAAAATCTAATGCTCTTTTAGAGTCAACACATATTATATTTTCAGGCCAAGAGAGTAAGAACCAAGCCAATGAAGTACTATTTGAACTGAAAATAATCTTTCTTTTCCTATCCTGTTGAATAAACTTAGATACTATGACATCGATGCCAACTCTATTCCCCCAGAAGAACTCGGTTTGTATGTCATATGTCTTCAAAAGTTTGCCATAATGCAGTACTTCTGTGTAGATCAGACTTGTATATTTTCACACAGCTTCAAATTATCTTTTGTTATTTCCACCTGAAATACGTTAACATAGTACCTCTGTTTCTAATTCTTAAGTGGATCAGACACTCCCTCCTTCTCCAAAAGTATTCATCTTTTTTCCCTATATCCTTCAAGTCATGTCTTCAAATACACACAGTTCTGCCTTGGTTTGGATGGTATACACAAACAAACAAAAATTAATGAATAAACCAAAGCTTCACTGGAACTCTAATTAGTATTTCTTCTTCTGTTTACTATTTCTTCCTCCATTTTTTAAGCAATGGATTTCAAAATGATTTTCTGCTGATTATAGCCTCTAGACATTTCTAATTTATTTTTTCTTTTGTCTTTCGTTCTGACTACTATATTTATCACTCAGCTTAACTCATTTTCTTCACTGTATACTGGGCATGTCATTCAGGGTACATCACAGGTTCAAACTCTGAAAGGTGTAATTACCCAAACACAGTTTTTATTCATGAAAATTTTAGACCACACTTTGCCCAAGTATGACAGTTTATTAAACTATGATCAGAAAACTAACTCAACTGAAGATTATTTTTAGACTAGCTGGTAACCCCGGCGGTTGCTGGAGATAAAGAACCAGCTAGCTTTTCCACAAATTTACCAATACAGGCCATTCTAATTTGCAAGATCCCATGACTGATTTCCTCCAGAACATTTAGAAGTAATAGTTCATTTTGTAAGAAAAGAGTAGGAAAGACACTCAGAAAGAAGCATGTAAGCAACATGCAAGCTCTGAGAAAGGTACAAGGTATTGTTGCTAGAGCTTCCTTATGTTTTGGTGAGTTCAAGTAAGATCAATGTGTATCATCAGGAAGCAAGGTGACCATAGATAAGGCTGAATTATTCATCCTTTCCAAAAAAAAACTCGAATATTTTATTTTTATAATTGTAACTGGGTATAATTGAGGCTATGAAAAAGACTGCAAATTGACATATGAAGTGGAAATTGGTTTTGTGACCATTCATCAACCTGAGAAATGTCATCTTGCAGCAGGAACTGAGGAAGCCTTACAATTAAAAGAATGCAGAAATTTAGATAAATTTTAATAATGTTACTTAGCTTTATTTTGTGTATTTTTAAAGTTATCATCTATCTGTGGTAAGTTAAATCCATGTTATATTTCTGGTAGAAATGACATTTCTTTAAAACCAATTTAAGGGCCGAACTGTGAAGTATGGAGAAGTCAAAAATCATTATAGGAATGGAAATAAGATCCTTCAAGGAAAATGGAAACAGATCAGGAAGCAGTACAACATAGAGCATATGCTTCTTCCCTGCTGCAGCAAATTTATTAATAAAAGGTGGCCAGGGTATTTAGCAAGTTGTAACCAGTACACCGGTAATGAAGGCTCCATGATACAACTGGGCATTTCCATTTATAAATTCACTTACAAAGGGTGAATATAACCAGCATTGGCTGTTTAGCTATTAGGAGAGGGGTTCCTGTCTCCTTACCTTCAAGGCAGGATTGGTTTCACCAATTGCAGTCGCCAACTAAGATTCTTCCAAGAAAAGTAGTAATTTTATGGGTCTGGAGAAGACAGAAGAAGCTAGAAGTCTGGATAAGAAATGAACTATGGATGCATTCTTGAATGCACTTGAGGCATTAATCTTGGAAACTCTGAGGTGGTTGTGTGTTTATTCTTTTTATTATGGAAACATATACATTAAAAAGATGGATTTTGTAATAACATCATAAAATCCTGTGTACCCATCACCCACCTCCAGCAGTAAACACTTTGCCAATCTCCTTTCTTTCTTTTTTTTTTTTTTTTTTCTTGAGACGAGTCTGCTCTGTCACCCAGGCTGGAGTGCAGTGGCGCGATCTCGGCTCACTGCAAGCTCCGCCTCCCAGGTTCAAGCAATTCTCCTGCCTCAGCCTCCCGAGTAGCTGGGACTACAGGCGCCCGCCACCACGCCCAGCTAATTTTTCGTATTTTTCTTTTTTTTTAGTAGAGACAGGGTTTCAGTGTGTTAGCCAGGATGGTCTGAGTCTCCTGACCTCATGATCTGCCCACCTTGGCCTCCCAAAGTGCTGGAATTAAAGGTGTGAGTCACCGCGCCCGGCTGCCAATCTCCTTTAAAATGTCACCCCATCATCACTTGTTTTTAATCAAAACTACAATTGAGATTAATCAGTGGGTTTAAGTGTGTCAGCTCTTGTAGGCAGAATTATATAGATGCCCACTCAAGATTCCCAACCCCTGATTATTCAAACAATAATCTAGGTAGTGCTAAAAAGGGACTTTGTGGATGCAGTTACAATAGGGAGATCATCTTCAATGATCTGGGTGGACCTAATGTAAACACTTGAGCTTTTAAAAGCAGATAAATTTCTCAGGCTGGAGTCAGAGAGAAGAGAAAGCAGAATTGAAGAGATAGAAAGGGGAGGTCAAAGATAGTCACAGCATGAGAAGGACTAGACCTGCTATTGCTGACTATGAAGATGGAGGAAGTGACAAGGCCAAGGAATATAAGCAGCTTCCAGGGGCTGAGAATTCTCTTTAGCCAAAAGCAAGCAAGTCAATGGGATCTCAGTCTTACCATCCCACGGAAATGAATTATGCCAATAACTTGAATGAAGTTGAAAATAGATTCATCCCCAGAGCCTCTGGAAAGAAACACAGTCCTAATGACTTGATTTCTGCGTAGTGAAACCTCAGCAAGAAAGCCAGACGAGCCACATCGTGCTTGGACTTCTAACCTACAGAGCTGTAATGTAATAAATTTGCTTTAAGTCACTCACTTTTGGTAATTTCCTAAGACAGCAATAGAAATCTAATGCATCAGACTTATTCCTCTTTTATAAACTTCCCCATCAACCTTTCACCACATGCTTTTAGCATTCACTATTGATCACTGCCTAGATCCATTATTTCATTGGAGATTGAAAAATAGAAATTTAAAAATTATATCATTCCTCCTGTGTTTATTACCTGTGATTTTTATTTATACAGAAGATTCTCTCTTATTAACTATTGACTACCCAATAATAAAGCAGAGAAAAACCAATATTTCTTTTTCTTTTCTCTTTTACCATTTTTCAGAATAAAGAGTTGGTATACTAGATGGTGCATAAGATTTATTTGAGTAGCCTTATAAATTCTAGATTTATATAGATTTGACGTGCTTCAGTTCATTGCATTAAACATTCTTTTTTAAGCTAAAATTCTCCCAATATTGACAAACTGTAAACTATCTCTTGTTTTCTTTGACATGACTCCAATTTTTATATGATCCTTTCTCTTTGGAACAGTAAGATATCATAAGTTAATTTTGCATATTTTTCCCCAGATCTGAGTCAGCCATTCTTTACCGCAAGAAACTTCCTTGTGTGTGTGTGTATGTGTGTGTGTGTGTGTGTGTGTGTGTATGTGGGAGAAATCATATTTAGAGATTATCATCTGGGTAGTAGGTGAATTCATTGCAACTGAGTTGTTATTGCTTCTTGGACTTTAAACAGCATAGAACAAATAAAACAAAATCATATCTTCCTACTAACATTTTCATTTCAAATATAAGATTATGGGGGTTTTACTTAATCAGTTGATTGTTTTACTTATTTTACCTTAAAGATTCCACACAGTTACTCAATTTGATATATCTTACATTATACACATTATAGTTCCAAATATATATATACCAATGTGACAATACAAAAAATAATAACACTCTGAATAGACCTCCAGATTTCTGTACTGTTCTTTTTTTCTTAGAACACATTCTACTAGAAGTACAGATTAAATACTGTGTTTTAGACTAGGAGCAGTGGCTCATATCTGTAAATCCAGCACTTTGGGAGCCTGAGGCAAGTGGCTTACTTGAGGTCAGGAGTTTTGAGACCAGCTTGGTCAACATGGTGAAAACCCATCTCTACAAAAACACACACACAAAAAAAATTAGCCCGGTATGGTGGCGGGCGCTTGTTGTCCCAGCTACCCAAGAGGCTGAGGCAAGAGAATCACTTGAACCCAGGAGGTGGAGGTTGCACTCTACCTTATCTTATCACTGCACTCCAGCCTGGGCAACAGAGAGACTCCGTCTCAAAAAAACAAACAATCAAAACAACAACAACAAAAAACTGTGTTTTAAAGTGTTTTACATTTTTTCTTTGTGCAGGTATGTCATCATATGTCATCATATTGTAATGATTAATTTTTTTCTTCTGATCTAATATTAAAAAAAATACAACATTAAATAGTCTCAAATTATAATTGTGGACACATTACACTTAGATAAGTTTTAATTGCAACTCTTCTATCCTGTTGCCTCGTTTTCTTATAGAAAATTATTATTATTATTTTTAGACGGAGTCTTGCTCTGCCGCCCAGGCTGAAGTGCAGTGGCGTGATCGCGGCTCACTGCAAGCTCCGCCTCGTGGGTTCACGCCATTCTCCTGCCTCAGCCTCCCGAGTAGCAGGGACTACAATTTTTTTGTATTTTTAGTAGAGACGGGGTTTCACCGTGTTAGCCAGGATGGTCTTGATCCCCTGACCTCGGGGTCCACCCGCCTTGGCCTCCCAAAGTGCTGGGAAAATTACTTTTAATAATACTCATTCCTCTTGGCCAGGCGTGGTGGCTCACGCCTGTAATCTCAGCAATTTGGGAGGCCGGGGCAGGTGAATCACCTGAAATCAGGAGTTCAAGCCCAGCCTGGCCAACATAGTGAATCCCCATCTCTACTAAAAATACAAAAATTAGCTGGGCCTGGTGGTGGGTGCCTGTAATCCCAGCTACTCAGGAGGCTGAGACAGGAGAATGGTTGAACCCGGGAGGTAGAGGTTGTAGTGAGCTGAGATCGTGCTACTGCACTCCAGCTTGGGTGACAGAGCGAGACTCCCTCTCAAACAAACAAACAAACAAAAAACCTATTTCTCTTTGTATTGTTTCCCTTTAAATATATCTAAAAAGTATATTCTGCCAGGCATCTTCCAAGGAGGTCCAGATATTCTTGAGCTCCAAATATCACTTCCTTCTCCCATTATAACAATTCTTCCCTGGGGGAGAAATGAAGGAGAATGTTGAGAAACCAGTAGTATTACTCTAGTTAAAATCTTTCCAAAAACCAAAAAAAAAAGTGGTTGTACATCCTTTGTGATTTGTATCTTTTCTCTTGAAATACATATTTTGACCAGTTTAAATGCCATATTTGATATACCATCTCTGCAATAAAATTATCCTTACATTTGCCAATAAACATTGCTCTTCATTTTATTTAAACTCCTCTCACAGATAATATGTGAAAAAAAACTCTTGAACATTTAATCACATAATTTATAATCCTATAAAGAAATACATTGATTTTAGTTAGTTTAAAAATTGAAACCTGAGATTAAATTTGAAAGATTAAGAAAAAGAATAAAGATAACATTATATACTTTTTCTTATTTCACGAACAGTTTTTCCAACTTCTGGTCATTCAAATTTAGTATATGAATGTTGTTTCCTTTATGGCTAGAATAAAAGAGACATGTGTATCATTACTAAAATTTCAAAAAGTTACACAAATAATAACTGTCAAATCTTATTTTACTGTAATAAAATCTGCTCATTTTAGAAATCATTGTGATAAAACTTGTTCTTGAAAACTTATATTTTTTTCATTCCTTATGTTTATGTACTAGAAATCACGCAATCAATCAAAGGCATTGAGATGTTTTTAAATATAAAAAGTCACCATTATAAGCAGTAAGTATATGAGTTATCATTTTTATGACATTTCTATACTTTTAAATTTATACTTATCTTTTATTTGAGGTCATTCTCCTCTGTCATCACATTATTACTTGGGACAATTTTACTTCAAATTAATTAAGTGAAATTTTAATGCTACTGAAATACTAATTGCTATCCTGAATTAGCTTATTTGGGTCTCCCAAATATATTTCAAAACATCTTTCAGAAGGAGAATCTGTTATGGAGAATATCATATACCTTTATCTCTAATCTCACCTTCCTTTCTTAATTATTAGATTTTTCTGGCTCTACCTTCAAATTCTGAAGATACTTTAGGTCTTGATTCTAAGTATCAGTGCCTTTTTTCCATATCTATTAATAAATTGTGGCTGGTTTTAAAATATGCAAGTCATATATTCCTTTTACAAGACAGGTTGGTATATACAGAAAATAACTTACCATACTTGATAAGGCAATAGAAATCTATGCTGAGCACTGTAATGCATTTCCTTCATTGTTTCTTCTCTTTGTTTAAATATATGACTACTTATATACACTTAAGTTATATACATTTTTATTTATTTTATTTTGAGCATTTTCCAGTAGATCTTCAAAAATAGTTGCAAATGGCTATGTGATTTTTCCATTGCTTGATACTCCTGCATCAAATTTTACAAGTTTTATATTTGATCATTTGTCTTCAAAGCAATTAAATTTTGTTTTATAAATATAAGTGAGAAATGTTAACACTCCCATATCTTAAACAGTCAATATATAAGGAATGAGTCCTAGACAACATCTCAAAATGGTACCTT
Organism: Homo sapiens; assembly: GCF_000001405.40. Lineage (NCBI taxonomy): Eukaryota > Metazoa > Chordata > Mammalia > Primates > Hominidae > Homo > Homo sapiens. The sequence continues at coordinate 60,049,511 of NC_000012.12, read as the reverse complement.
CCATTCAGCTGGTCAAGGTAGAATGACTGTTCTTTGGGTCATAGCTGGGCAATGGAGCCTGGACACTACAGTATCCAAAGAATAGGACCCTTACCTCTGATTGAAAGAAGGGCCAATTTAGGTATATGAAAAAATAGCATTAAATTACATCGAGTCACCAATAACAAAGTTTTTTTTTCAAGTTTTCGTCCTCTCTTTCTCTCTTTTTCTTTCTCTCTCTCATTTTGGCAAGAAAAGTACTCATTTTGGTAGTAGTATATCATTAATCTCTGTCCAGCACTAACTAATCTTCCTTTTCAAAAGAGAACACAGATCTCACACTAAGATATTTTGTCAGGCAATAGTATTCAGAAACGTTCTTATATTGTTATTTAGTTTTTTGTTTATATTTATGTAATTTTCTACATCAAGTAAATTAAACTTGTTTTCTTTGTATAGTAGTGATGCACTTTACTATAACTACAGAGGATGTCACATAATGCAGATATCAAGAAACTATAAATCCAGGAAAGTTAACAAAATGTTAGCTTCTTATAGCTTGATTATTCAACAAACTTGAGTCTCAACTTCAACATTTACTGTTTTGCCAGGAAAAAATTTACTCTCCACCAGAAAAAGGTAGAGGTGTTTTCCTTATAACAATAATGGAAGCTAGTCTTTCATTTGATAATAAGCACAGTTTTATTTATAACATTATCATCATTTGGATACCTAAGTTAGGAAGAAACCAAGATTAGAGATGCTACCTAGGTATAAATTAGTCATTCATTATCATTTAATAGTGATCAACAGGATTCTTAGTAAAATTTTGTAAATCAACTTTGAAGCCAATTATCAACATTTGTCTCTTGGTGATTGTGTGTATCTCTTAATGTAGAAAGCTTTTCTCCCTTGTTCAAGGTGAGGAAAAAAATTAGGTGGAAGGTGGTGAGGATAAAAGATCATTCTCTTTTCTCTGTAGTTAGTTGGACATAATGAAAGTTACCCTTCCAAACCAAATAGAAAAATATAAAAAATTAAAAGTGGTTCCACTTGCCAAGCCACTAATTCTAAGTCTTTCTAAGAAAAGAAAAATGCAAAATGGGTATTATGCAAAGTTCACCTACAAACACACAGTGTATATTATAAAGTGAGCAGATGGGCATTATCTCAGAATTACTTTGCAGACTACTCTGTGTATTTTGAGTCAGTGAGTTAAAAAGCTTTCAGGATTTTCCATGGCATACACAAAATCTATAAAATGAAAAAAGCATTTAAATGCAAGTGGTTTTGTTAGTTTTCTTTCCATGTTAATTAGGGAATTTTATGATGTTACACATTACCTCACCACCATGCCACAGAACCTTACTTACAAAGGCAATTTTTTAGATAGATATAAAGCACAAAAGTTGGTGTATTAGTCCATCCTCACACCGGTATAAAGAAATACCAGAAACTGGAAAATTTATAAAGAAACGAGGCTTAATTGGCTCATGGTTCTGCAGGCTGTACAGGAAGCATGGCTGGGGAGGCCTCAGGAAGGTTACAGTCATGGAAAAAGGCGAAGAGGAAGGAGGCTCGTCTTACATGGTTGGAGCAGGAGGAAGAGAGTGAAGGAGGAAGAAGTGCTACACACTTTTAAACAGCCAGATCTCATGAGAATTCACTCACTATTATGAGAATAGCAAGGGGAAGTCCACCCCCATGATTCAATCACCTCCCACCAGGCCTCTCCTCCAACATTGATAATTACAACTTGACATGATATTTGGGTAGGGACACGAATCCAAACCATATCAGTTGGGTTCATAAGAATTCCTGGGAGTGAGAAAGATTTTCATCAAATGAATACTTATATTCAAGGAGAGACTACAAAGGCAAAGGTAATGTTTTAGAAGACTGACATCAGCAAGATGGCAAAACAGGACTTTTCTATATTCATCCCCTTGCAGAAAATAAATTTGAACAATTATCCATAAAAATATCTTCACAAAAGCCAAGAAAACCAGGTAAGAGATCATGGTGCCTGGGTGTAGCACAGAAATAAAAAAAAAAAACACACATTGAAGAGGATAGGAAGGACATTTTTACATTACTCTTATCACTCCTTTCTAGACTCCAGCATAGAGGAGAAGGAAAGGTAAGTGAACACTGAACTTTGCCTCAGACACCAATACCAAGCCTGCCGGAGTAAAACCCTGTATAGGAAAGGCCTGTGCTGGGTTTCAGGAAATTCTAAAAGGAGTTCTTAAAGCTTTAAGAAAAGGATGCCAATAAGGAATAGAAAACATATGATAGTATAAAACTCATTGAAAAATGTAAGTACACAGTCAAATTAAGAATGCACTGATATTGTAATATTAGTGTACAAATCAATTATATCTTTCGTATAAAGGTTAGAAGTCCAAACTATTAAAGAAAATAATAGCTAAAATAGTTTGTTAAGGAATATACAGTATAAAAAGATGTAACTTTACTTCAGCAATTTAAAGTGTGGGGTAGGAGATGATGGAATAAAAGTGTAGAGGTTTTGTGTGCGAAGCTAAGTGTAATTAGCTTAAAGTAACCCACTGTAACAAGATATTTTATGTAAGCCTCAAAACAAAAGCCTATAGTAGATGCAGGAAGAATACAAAGTAAGGAATCAAAGCATACCACTAAAGAAAATTACTAGTGTTTCTATACGTTAATCATAGACTACACACACACACAAAAAAAACAAAAAACAATCCCATTTGCAATAGTTACAAAAATATACAATAAAGTAGGAATAAATTTAACCAAGGAAGTGACATACTTGTACACTGAAACTATAAAACACTGATGAAAGAAATTGAAGACATAAATAAATAGTTACCCATGTTCACGGATTAGAATAATTCACACTATAAAAATGCCCATACTATCAAAGTTATCTACAAATTCAATGCAATTTCAATCAAAATTCCAATGCCAGTTTTCACAGACATAGAAAAAGCAATCTTAAAATGTACGTGGAATCACAGGACTCTAAATAGCTAAAGCAATCTTAAGCAAAAAGAACCAAGATGAAGGCATCATACTACGTGACTTCCAAAACCTGTAGTAATCAAAACACATAGTACTGACATAAAAGCAGATATGTAGAGTAATGAAATAGAATTAAAAACACAGATTAAAGCCACATACAGACAACTGATTTTTGACAAAGGCACCAAGAACATTCATTAGGCAAAGGACACGCTCTTCCATAAACAGTGCTGGGAAAACTAGATATTTGTATGCGGAAGAATGAAACTAGACCCCATCTCTCACCACACACAAAAATCAAATGAAGATGGATTAAAGACATAAAAATAGTACCAAATCTGTACAAAAACTGCAAAAATTCATAGGGAAAAGCTTCATGACTTTGAACTGATCAAAGATTTTAAGGGCAAAACCTCAAAAGTTTAGGCTATGAAACCAAAAATAAACAAATGAGATCATATCAGACTAAAAAGCTCCTGCACAGCAAAAGAAACAACAGTATACAGAGACCACCTGTAGCATGGGAGTATTTGCAAACTATTAATCCTACAAGGGATTAATATTCAAACTATACAGCAATTCAACAGCAAAAACCAAAATAGCCCAATATTTAAAATGAGTTAAATGATCTTAGTCAACATTTCTCAAAAGAATATAAATGGCCAACAAGTATATGAAAAAAATGCTCAACAACGCTAACCAACATGGAAATGTAAATCAAAACCACAATGACTTTTATCACCATAGCCCAGTTAGAATGGCTATTATTAAAAGACAAGAAATAACAAATACTAGTGAGGATATGAAGAAAAGGAAACATTTATTCATAGTTGGTGGGAATGTAAATTAGTATAAACATTGTGAACGATGAAGTTTCCTCAAAAAAAAAAAAAAAAAAAGGAACTAGTATATAATCCAGCAATCCCACTTTGGAGTATAAATCCAAAAGAAAAGAAAATAAATTAGTATGTAAAAGAGGTATCTGCATGCCAGTGTTTATTGAAGGATTATTTGCAATAGCCAAGATATCGAATCAACCCATGTCCATCAAAAGATGACTTGATAAAGAAAATGTGGTACATATGCACAATGGAATACTATTTGGCCATAAAAAATGAAATTCTGTCTTTCCTAGCAACATGAGACTAAAAGACATCACGTTAAAAGAAATAAGCCACACACAAGAAGACAAATAGTACATTCTATCTCATATGTGTAAGCTAAAAAAGTTGGTGTTATAGAAATAGAGAGTAGAATAGTGGTTGCTAGAGGTTGGGAAGTATACAGGAACAGGGGTGAGATGGAGAAGAGAAAAACGTTTGCTAGGGGATATAATATTACAGCTAGATAGGAGGAATAAATTCTAGTATTCTACAGCACTGTAGGGCAACTATAGTTAACAGTGATTTATTGCATAGTTTCAAATAGCTAGAAAAAATGAATTTTGAATGTCCTTTACACAAAAAAATTATAAATGCTTGAGGTGATGGATATGCTAATTACCCTGATTAATCATTACACATTGTTTACATGTATTGAAATAACACACTGTACCTCATAAATATGTATAATTATTACATGTAAATTGAAAAAATAACTTTTAAAGCAAAATGAGCAGTCAAATAATAAAGATATGGAAAAAATATATGATCCAAACGCTAAACAAAGAATAATTATCCTCAGCAATATTGACATTGGACATGATAGTATTTAGGTATAGATAAATTTTAGTATTATGTAATAAAAGAAATTATTGGATAAGAACATGCTAAAATAAAGAATGTGTTGACATTTAATAATAAGTAATACATGAAACAAAACTTGTGAAACTTATATGGACATCTTAAACCCACCAATTGCAGTGGGAAATCTTTATTAAACTCTTGGAAAATTGAGATCTTGTAGATCAAAAATTTTAACATGGATATAAACATTTAAAAAACAAAACTAATTAGCTTGCTGCATTATTGTTACTACAAACTAGTATAAATTATAAACTATTATTAAGTATATATTAAACTATATAAATGTTAATTATACATTAGGCCACTCCTAAGCCTAACATTTCAAAAAATTAACAGCAAATAACCCATGTTCTCTTACCACAAAACAGTTAGAAGTCAAATCAGCCACTACATTTTGCACTTTTTGCTTGTGTGAGAGAGAATACAAATAGTACTAAGCTATCATTTCTGAAACCTCAAAAAGTTAGTCTGACCTAATGTTGTTGGAAAGACAATAGAAACAATAAATTGTGCTGCCAAGGGAAAATGAAACATTTTCTAAAATAAACTGAGATTTAGGTTGCAAATGCCTTTGTAGTTTGCAGTATCAACACTTGGTAATCACAGTGAAGAACTATATAAAGTACTTTATCCTGGTTGAAATTATTGCTGAGTAGAGGTATTTAAAGAGAGACAGGATAAAGAGTTTTCACTATTGGTTGCATTAGTCTTTCTATACCATGATTAAGAAATCAGAACCTTGTTTGAAATATGAATTAAAAATCCAAAAAGGATTTTTATTCTCCTTGTAACTGAGATTGTCTTTTATCTTTTTCTCTCCCTTTAAAAATGGTTTTGCTTTTGTAGCATTGGAGAATACTTCTGCTTATATAGCATAAGAATAACATTGAAATCCCAAGGCATAAATGTGCTCTCTGTATTAGAAGAAAATATGAAATACCAGGAGAAATACAGTATCATGAAAAAAATTGAGAAAAGAAATAAGAGGGAAATAAGAGGAAAGCTGATTCTCTCTTTGATAGGAGAAAAAGGAAGTTGGAGTGTAACTTTTCACATTCTAACAAATAAATGCCAATCAGAATGCACATTAAGAAAATTTTTATCCTCAGGACAAAAACAAAAATCCTGAATATTTGAAATGCAGAAATCTTCCCCTTGCTAATTGTGTTAGTTAGAAGTGACAACACACACACATGCAGAGAAGACGAGGAGCTGCTTTTCTGACTTAGCATAATAGAGTTTATTTTCTGTTCTCTCTACTGAACAAATTATATTTTTAACATCAACTCCCCACAGAGACAGTTAATACATGACAACCTTTCTTGGTCAAGCATGCCTTATTTAAACAGAAGTTTCTCTGGAGAGTTTAAATGGTTTGGCATGGAAATAAATTAGCCAGTGACAGCTCTGTTCTATTTTATTAGAACCACATTAAGAAATGAAAGTAGCATGTATCCAGCTATAAATTTAACAGTTAATTCCTCTAAAAAGTCATCTTAAGCTCCCATTGATAATGTAATGGAGAGAAATAGTAATAAAACTGGTAGATAATTGAGCAATAATAATCAAAAAATTATATAACTATGTGGTAAATTAGATAATTACATGATATTGACAAACATCATAACAGGCACAGCATTGCTATAATAATGCTACATATTAGTCTAAGAATAAAAAAGTTTACTTCCTTTGTCTCATTATCAGAAGCAATTGAGGAATGATCTAGCTTAATATTTGAAAAATATGACATCATAGAATTGGAATGAGTAAAAGTATAATGTTACCTTAACTGCTTTCTCTAAGAACTTCTAATCATTTAGGGGAGTATTTTCTAAATGAACCTTATTGTATATTAACAGATATTTAGCAATAAAAAGCCTTTTGTGCCCAAATAAGTCTAGGAAATTGTACATATTCTGCTCTGCTTGCAGATTCTCAATGCATAGTATCATATTAATGGCATCAAAAAATCCTGTGAAGTAAAGAAATTGCCTAAACCAGCATGAGCTTCCTTGCAATGAAACAAATTTTTTCTTGTTTCTCTTTCTCTTTATTTTTTCTCTTTCTCCTTCCTTCCTTCCTTCTTCCCTCCCTCCCTCCCTTCCTTCCCTTTCTTTTTTCCTTCTTCTTTCCTTCCTTCCTTTTCTTTCTTTGTTCTTTCTTCTCTCTCTCTTTTTATTTTTCTTTCTTTTTTCTTTCTCTTTCTTCTCTCCCTTTCTTTCTTTCTCTTTCTTTCTTTCCTTCTTTCTTTCTCTTTCTTCTTCTTTCTTTTCCCCTCACTCCCCTCCCTCCCTCCCTCCCTCCCTTCCTTCCTGCCATCCCCCCTCCCTTCCTCCCTCCCTTTTTCTGTCTCTGTTGTGTGTGTCTGTGTGTCTTTGTGTGTGTGCGTGTGTGTCTTTCTTTCCTCACCCCACCCATTTCTTTCAGGAGAGAAAGGAGGGGAGGTTTTGTTTGTTTGTTTTTGAGACTGAGTCTGGCTCTATCGCCCAGGCTGGAGTGCAGTGGCGAGATCTCGGCTCACTGTAACCTCTAACTTCCGGGTGCAAGCGATTCTCGTGCCTCAGCCTCCTGAGTAGCTGGAATTACAGGAGCACACTACTACATCCAGCTAATTTTTGTATTTTTAATAGAGTCAGTGTTTCCCCATGTTGGCCAGGCTGTTCTGGGACTCCTGATCTCAAGTGATCTGCCTGCCTCGGCCTCCCAAAGTGCTGGGATTACAGGCGTGAGCCACCGCGGCCAGCCAGATCTGTTTTGAGAACCTAGTTTAGAAAAATTGATTTGGGGATTTGGGATTCTTGACCAAAAAGGCATTAAGTTAGTTACTTGAGTACTTGTCACACAGGAAATTTTGTTTTCTTATAACACATATAAATGTATCTTTTGAATTAAAACACAAATCTTTTACATTTTTTTATTTTTTAATTAGTTCTTAGTACTTAAAAAAGTTATTCCTATGACTTATATAGTTCAAATTTTCATTCATAATTGGAAAAAAATGGGTTTCCATTATTCTACACAGTATCTAGATGAATATATTTACAGTTTCTCATGATTTTGGATATTATAATGTCTCCATCTTCCGGATTATCTTTTTAAAGTTTTTGAATATACTTCCAGGGAAACTTATTATAACCCATTAACAGGTAAGAAATCTTTGAACATATGCTATTATTATTGAAAACTCAATATATCATTTTACTGTAATGAATGTTTGTAAATTTATATTACTAGAGGCAATAACTCATTTATCCCATGTAAATTAATTAAAATTATTCTTAATATCTTCATGTAACCATATTTTACAAGTCAGTGGAAGATGGGATAGAAAGCTACAATGTTAGGAAAAAAATTTGGGAGTCTCAAAGAAGTAAAGTAAAAAAACAAAAAAAAAAGGGTGGGAAGCTGTGTTTTGCTCATTTGACTTTTTTAATAGTTTTTGAGAAGTGGCTTCGCTCACATGAGGCTTTTGGCCCGCAATAGCGTTGATTAGCAATAAGTTTGACTCCACTAAGGACTTGCTTCCAGTGGACCCATAATGGACTTAAGTTTTATCTCCAAGAGGCTGAGTGCAATACTTTTTAGATGTCATCCACATAGGGCTCCTCAAAACTTACTCTCACTCCTGAAGTGAGAACTCTGGGTCTGCATTTAAACATTATTAAGGTTTAATATTTGGTCTGTTGAGAACCACAGGAAGGTTGAATTTTCAATAAATAAAACTCAGAGGAACATTTCCTGATAAGAAACACTTTTTAAAAAACCACTAGTATAACTTATTTGTTATATTATTTGATACTAAAGTATCATTGAAACTGAGTCTTGACTGCTTACTGAAACACCAGACATTTATTAAGATTCTACTTTATGCTCATCAAAATCCTAAACTAAATCCTTCAGTAGAAAAGTATAACAAAATTAGAATGCTTTTGTGATATCACTCTCCCTCCTAAAACTAATATGACCTATAAGATGCTTTACTGGAGTTATATTAAGCTTGTAAATTTAATTTTATAAGCATGTTTAAATGTTGACTTTTCTAATTCAGGATTACAGCATCTCTCTCCACTTATTCATTCTTCTCCAAGATCTCTTGTGTACTTCTTGATGCCATTTAGTTTATTTATTTTTGCACATTTTTCTTCAGTTTACATCTAGTACGTATTTATTTCCATTGTGAATAAAATCTTTATCACTTTTTCAAGTTGGATTTGAAGGAGTGTTCTTAACCCTGGCTGCATTCTCAAATTTGGCTGCACATTAAAACCTGAATTGAGGCTCATTTGAATTCCTGTCCTGCAAATTATTTGCTGCTCAACAACTACATTTGTAATTAGTTTTTTTCTCTAATTGAGGAATTATTTAAATTTTGCAGTTATTTTGTATTTTTTGGTAAATAAACATGCATCTATAAATACAAGCCAGCACACAACATAATTTTATCCTTTAGTTTCTAAAATAAAAAAAACAAAGAATTCAATAAAATTAAACAATGAAATTTGTATTTGTGTTGGTGATAACAGCAACATAATAAAAACAAATATTTGCTCATTTTTATTTAAGGTCCATTCTCACTTTTCATTTGGAAATAGCATTGTGTTCCCTTTATTTTACTTTGCCTTTTGTTTTTGAAAAGCAGATTTTGTCTTACTAATGCAGGAATATCTGGCTGTTTAAAGGTATTGTTGTAATCTCTGGATGTTCATCATTCAGATATGATCATACTTCATTCTCCCAGTGAGGAAAATACCATTTAATCTTTTCATGATTCCATAATAAATGTAGGCCAGACACAGAATAACTAAATCAACATCTCTGGGAGAGGGCAACAACACTGTTTATTTCACGTTCTTCAGGTGATACTAACACACTGTCAGGGTTAGAGCGACTGTTGTAGGCTTGCTTCTTAGTTACTTATAAATATCTTAGAAGTTTTTTTTTTAACTATAATATTCTGTTGGTCTTTTAACAAGTGATTGATTTAATTCTTATGTCCATCATTTACCTTTCCTGGGAGCAAGGAATACTAAGCAGTCAATGTGCCCACTAAAAGCATTCTTTCCTCTAAGATAACACATTCTCCATCCATCCTCTTTTTGCCTAGGACGGAGACCCAGTATCCAATTACCTGGCACAGAAGAGCAAATCAATATATATGTGTTATATTACTTTGCTGTATGTTTTCCTTTTTTTTTTTTTTTGAGATGGAGTTCACTCTTGCTGCCCAGGCTGGAGTGCAATGGCACAATCTCGGCTCACCGCAACCTCCACCTCCTGGGTTCAAGCGCTTCTCCTGCCTCAGCCTCCCGAGTAGCTGGGATTACAGGCATGTGCCACCATGCCTGGTTAATTTTGTATTTTTAGTAGAGATAGGGTTTCTCCATATTGGTCAGGCTGGTCTCGAACTCCGGACCTCAGGTGATCCGCCCGCCTCGGCCTCCCAAAGTGCTGGGATTACAGGCGTGAGCCACCTCGCCCAGCCATGTTTTCATTTTTAAAATTTGGGTATACATTTTCTTATTTAATTTCTCCATGACCAGGAATATAGGCTTTTAAGATGATTTATTTGGGTAAAGAACATACTCAGTATTCATAAGGCAGAATGAATGTAATTGGCCCCTAGAGAAGTTATTCCCCATAGCACTGTTCTCATAAGCAGAATATTTTAACCTACTGACTTAACAATGGAAAGACTCATGATTCTGTATCACATATAGAACATCTTTGCATGAAATGTCTTATAGAAGGAGGTGGGGCTATTGCTATGGGAACAGGATAAAATTGAAGAGTACTTTGATTTTGAACTTCTGACACAAAATTGTCTAGTTTCTCTAGCTCTTACTGGAAAAATATTGGGGAGAACATTTTAAACATGCATGGCAGTGCAAATTTTCAAGTCATTGCAGAGCTGAGCTTCTGTAGATTATCACAGCTATATAAGGAAAGTCAGAAAACCTGCAAGGGATCTCTTCCAATTCCAGGACATTAGGCAGTTAACCTGTTGAATATGAAGAAGAGTGCTAAAATGTCAACAATGGAGTAAAATAAACATTTGTTTCCTTCAACAAATGCTCACCAAGTAACAGCTCTATCTTGGTGACCAAAAGTGATATTAGAATTAAATTCAGACAGCTGAACAAGTCCATGATTTATATCTTCAGAGTGCTTATATTGTAATGCATGAAACAGACAAATTACGACAGTACAACATGTAAGTGCCACAATAAGGGGTATGCACTAATGGCTGAGAACGCAGCATAGAAAACCACCCATTGCTTAAAGAAGCTGTCACAGAGATTAATTTGTAATTTAAGAAGCCATTAAATTCTTTTAAGTCATGTTCCTGTTCTCCCTTGCTATAGCATTTATACCTGTAGATTATTCATTTCTATTTCCTAGCAATTACAGTGGTTGCTAAATTCTTCATGGATACAGACCCCATAATGATCCTTGGCTTGTTTTCTTCCAGTTTTCCTGCTATGGCTTCAATCGTTTACTCTGACTTCTTGCTTATACCCTCCTCAGTCCACTCCATACATATAGGCACTCCCCAGACTTCAGTACTTGGATTTCTTTTTGCTGCATATTTTACTTTGATGATTCCTTGAATTTTTATGCCCTCTACTCCACTAAATATTTTACTCTACTCCCTCCGTTTAGCTACCAGATGATCATAAATTTGACTTGGGATGTGTTTTTAAAAGATTTAAATCTCCTTTAGATGGCAAGATACAACACAATACTACTAGGATACATAAAATACACCAATTTTTATTATAGCTCCTAAAGAGAGAAGGCTGGCAGGCAGGGCCACTCAAAGAATTACGACTGGGGGCAGAGTAACAGTAAGCTGGAGCTGTTGGGGCAGTTTATGCATGGCAAGCAAGATGGGGCTAGCTATATGTTTAGTGGGCTTCCTGAAGATTGGCTAATTTGAATAATTTATTGGGTTCAGGGCACAGTGGCTCCCCCTAGTTGTATTGTAATTGGCGTTGGGTCAATTAGGACAGGTGCATAGGGACTTGGAGTTTAACAGTTTGATAATTGGTTTTGTTGTATGTTTCACCAGCTGCTCAAGAAGGGAAACTGACCAGCCTCTAGCCAATACCTCAAAACTGGGTTGAGATACCATTTTAAATAAGGCTATATACAGGATAGTTTCATGCAGTCTTTCCTTCCCACTCTCATACTGCATTTCAAACAAGTTATCTCTCTATTGAGCTATTTTTTATTATTCCAACAAACTCTTTGGCTCCATCTTCTCTACTATCAGTACCATCCACACAATGTTATAAGAATAATAATTGTAAAGTACATACAATGTCTTTAATGTAAACTTAAATCCAAACTCCAAAGCCTGGTGTCTCAAGGAACTAGGGTATACTCTAGTTGAGCACATTCTAGTCTACATTCTAATCTTCTCTTCTGTCATCGTTAAATCTCTAGTTGTTGAATATTGTTCCTTTCTTTACTTCAAGAAATAGGATTATGCCCAGTCTTTTGCATAAAATACCACTCTGAAGGTATTTGTTATATCTTGTATCTTTTCATGTAACAAGATTCCCACTCTTCCACTAAACCCCAACACAATTCTCTATCTTCTAAAAACCTTTCTCAAATTCTCTCATCGAAAATAAATCTTTTCATTTTGGATTTCCCTGGCAACTTATTTGAATTCTTAATATGTTATTTATTTACTTATTTATTCATTCAACAAATATAGTCCAGGGGGATGTAGTGATGAAGAAAACAGGTGAGTCCTAGCTTTGTAGGACACACAACACTTTTAAAAGAAATGCTAATGATATTACTACAATTATTGCTTGTCTTAGTGTATTTGTGTGCTATAAAGGAATACCTGAGGCTGGGTAATTTATAAGGAAAATATGTTTATTTGGCTCATGGCTCTGGAGGCTGTAAAAAAGCATGGTTCTGGCATTTGCATCTAATGAGGGCCTCAAGCTCCTCCCACTCATGGCAAAACGGGAAGGGGAGCCAGTGTGTGCAGAGATCACATGGTAAGAGCAGAAGCAAGAGAGAGAGGGGAGGTGACAACTTCTCTTTAACAACTAGCTCTCACCATAACTTATAGAATAGGAACTTGCTCAATTACCCTCCCCAGGAAGGGCATTAATCACTTCATAAGGAATCCACTCCCTTGATCCAAACATCTCCACTTAGACCTCAACTTCAACGTTGGGTATCATATTTCAACATAAGGTTTGAAGAACAAACATCCAAACTATATGGTATGGCTTGACATTGTCTGGAAATTAATTGCCTAAGTTCTTGTCTTTTCATTTTGTTTCATTTTTCACTGTAAATCATATTTACTGCATTTGTATGGATGGGGCTAAGAATTAATTGGTTTAATGAGGCTAAGTTATAGTTTTCCTAAGAAAAACAAATATAATGTGAATGCATTATGTTCATCTCTGTTTACATAGTAGGAATGCAATACATTTTTTAGATTGGAAGGATAGTTCATAATTTAGATTCCATAACAGGGCCAGTATGTATTAATTTGACTGTTTTCCCTGAATGTCTTTACATATTTTAATATATCTCTAAAAAATCTTACACTCACATATAGCTTTACCAGTCTGGATTGTACCTTAGTGACACCTGACTTTGACACACAAGTACAGATTAGCTCTGTAAACTGTATCAGTCAGAGCATACTTAAAATGACAAGAGGAAATTCAAGGCAATCAATGGCATACAAGTACAATGACAAATACAAGTACAGGAATTACTATTGTCAGCCTCCACTTCCACCTTCAGGAATGTTATGAGTCAATAGTGCACTTCCCACATGTCAGAAAGTAGGGAAGAGTTGTTAAATGATTGTTCTTTTCTTAAGGAACTTACATAAAATTTAGCATAAAAATAAGGAGCTCCTTATCAAAACCCATTCACAAGCATTAATATTTTTCATCATGACAAGTACTTTTCTTGGAGGAGGTGCTTAGCCAACAAATATATTAAGTATTTCTTCTGTAGCAGATATTGTTCTGAATATTTGAGATACGATAGTGAACAAAACAGACAAACACCCTATGAGGAGCTTACAGATTGTCAGAATTATCACACACATTCTACACAAGAAGAAAGAGACTTGGAGACTAAGTTATTTGCTTACAGCCAACACTTAGGAAATGGCAAAACCAAGACTAAAACCTAAGTCTTTTAATTCAGAACCTTATGTTTTTTCTACTGTTCCACCATTTCTCTTTCTAAAACTATCTACTCTCAGTGCAAAACAAAACAAAAAATTCATTTGAATTTCCAAAACTGCTATGCAAATAGAAACTAATTTATAAAATATAATTTATAGCTAATTCCTGTAACTTTCACTGATTGCAACAATTGTGAGAGGGTAATTTTTTTTAATTATATAAAATATCACAAAGTTTGTAAGAAGTGGAGGCATACAGATATGGTTTGGCTGTGCCCTACCCAAATCTCATCTTGAATTGTAGCCCCCATAATCCCCACATGTCATGGAAGGGACCAGTTGGGAGGTTATTGAATCATGGGGGAAGGTTTTTCCCATGCTGTTCTTGTGATACTGAGTAAGTCTTATGATATCTGATGATTTTATAAAGGGCAGACTCCCTGCACACATCTGCCACCACATAAGACCTGCCTTTGCTCCTCCTTTGCCTTCCACCATGATTGTGAGGCCTCCCCAGCCATGTGGAACTATGAATCCATTAAACCTCTTTTTCTCTGTAAATTACTCAGTCTCAGGCATGTCTTTATTAGCAGTGTGAGAACAGGATATTACAGTAAATTGTTACTAGGTAGTGGGACGCTGCTGAAAAGGTACTCAAAAATGGGGAAGCAACTGTGGAACTGGGTAATGGGCAGATGTCAGAACCATTTGGAGGGTTCAGAAGAAGACAGGAAAATGTGGGGAAGTATGGAACTTACTAGAGGCATGGAGGGCTCAGAAGACAGGACGATGTGGGAAAGTTAGGAACTTCCTAGAGACTTGTTGAATGGCTTTTACCAAAATACTGATAGTGATATGGACAATTAAGTCCAAGCTGAGGTGGCCTTAGATGGAGTTGAGGAACTTGTTGGGAACTGGAGTAAAGGTCACTCTTGCTATGCAAAGAGACTGGTGGCATGTTGCCCCTGCCCCAGAGATCTGTGGAACTTTGAACTTGAGAGAGATGATTTAGGTTATCTGACATAATAAATTTCTAAGGGGCAAAGCATTCAAGAGGAAGCAGAGCATAAAAGTTTGGAAAATTTACAGCATAATGATGCAATAGAAAAGAAAGCCCCATTTTCTGGGGAGAAATTCAAGTCAGCTTCTGAAATTTACATAAGTAACCAGGAGCCAAATGTTAATCACCAAGACAATGTGGAAAATATCTCTAGGGTATGTCAGAGACTTTCATGGTAACCCCTCCCATCAAAGCCCTAGAGGCCTAGGAGAGAAAATCTGTTTTGTGGGCTGGGCCCAGGGCATCTTTGCTCTATGCAGCCTCAGGACATGGTGCCCTGCATCCTGGCTGCTTCAGCTCCAGCCTTTGCTAGATGCCAAAGTACCACTCAGGCTCAGTCCATTGCTTTAGAGGGTGCAAGCCCCAAGCCTTTGCAGCTCACGTGTGGTCTTGGGCCTGCAGGCACACAGAAGTCAAGAATTGAGGTTTGGGAACCTCCATCTAGATTTCAGAGGATATATGGGAACGCCTGGATGTCTAGGCAGAAGTTTGCTACAGGAGCGGAGCCCTCATGGAGAACCTCTGCTAGGGCAGTGCAGAAGTGAAATGTGGGGTTGGAGCCTCCACACAGAGTTGCCACTGAGGCACTGCCTAGAGGAACTGTGACTAGAGAGCCAACATCCTCCAGACCCCAGAATGGTAGATCCACCTACAACTTGCACCAGGCACCTGGAAAAGCCACAAATACTCAACACCAGCCCATGAAAGCAGCCAAGATGGGGCTTGTACCCTGCAAAGCCACAGGAGTGCAGCTGCCCAAGGCTGTGGGAACCTACCTCTTGCATCAGCATGACCTGGATGTGAGACATGGGGTCAAATTGTTTTGGAACTTTAAGTTTTAATGACTGTATTATTAGATTAAGACTTGCATGGGGCTTGTAGCCCCTTTGTTTTGGCCAATTTCTCCCATTTGGAATGGACATACTTACCCAATGCCTGTACCAACATTGTATCTAGGAAGTAACTAACTTGATTTGATTTTACAGGCTCATAGACAGAAGGGACTTGCCTTGTCTCAGATGAGACTTTGGACTGTGAATCTTTGAGTTAATGCTAAAATGAGTTTAGATTTGGGACACTATTGGGAAGGCATAATTGCTTTTGAAATGTGAGGACATGAGATTTGTGAGGGGCCAGGGGGAGAATGATATGGTTTGGTTGTGTCCCCACTGAAATATTATCTTGAATTGTAGCTCCCATAATCCCTACATGTCATGGGAGGGACCTAGTGGGAGGTAATTGAATCATGGGTGCGGGTTTTTTCAGTGCTATTTTTGTGATACTGAATAAGTCTCATAAAATCTGATGGTTTTATAAAGGGTAGCCCTCATGCACATGCTCTCTTGACTGCCACCATGTAAGACCTGCCTTTGCTCTTCCTCTGCCTTCTGCCATGACTGTGAGGCCTCCTCAGCCATATGGAACTGTGAGCCCATTAAACCTTTTTTTCTTTATAAATTACCCATTCTCAGGTATAGCTTTATTAGCAGTGAGAACAGACTATTCCACACACTTACAGTTATGTTGGTCCACCAATCTGCACATATTTGAAAACTTAGTATGTGAAAGGCCAAACTAGGCATAATTAATAATAATTAATAATATATAATTAATAATCTAATTGACATTAGAGGGTATAATTAATATTCTAACTGACAAAAGACTTCAAATTTATTAAAAGAATCCATACATAGTAGTCAATATTTTTATTTGGTAAAACTGGTGCTAAATATTGTGAAAAGTTACAAGATATCTCAAAATAAATTTCAATACACAAGGTATACATTATGAAAATAATATGATAGATAACCTGGCATAATGAAATTTCATTGTAGGGAGAGATCAATGAAAGCCTAAGGGTGTGGTAATGTGGAATCAAATTCAGGAAGAAGTTTAAAGGACTGCCAAAATGTTAGTAGGCCAAGTTCTTCTAGCTAAAGGGTTGGTGGATGAATAGAGATGCAAATTTAGGAAAAAAAAATACAAAAGAAGGCTGAGGTAGAAGATTCTGTGGAAATAGTTGAAGATATCTGGAAGTTGTAGGTTCAGGACAGATTTTGAAGTCTTCATTTTAGAGAGGTTTTCAGCATATATGGAAAAAGGTAGAAAAATGATGAATAGTTTTTCTGGGAAGACTTGACAGCAATTTCAAACTGGGCTGGAAGGGTGAAAAGGAGGAAGTCAGCCAGTTAGAAGTTTAGTATGAGAAATCCAATAAGTGGTAAAAATAACCTAAAAAAATACAATTATAGTAGAAGGAATGGAAAAAAGAATAGTTAGGGAAATAGAAGAATTGAAAGAACAATTAGACATGGGTTGTGTAATCAGCGAGTTATAAAGAATAGACTGGCCACTTGCAGTGTCTCATCCCTGTAATCCCAGCACTTTGGAAGGCCAAAGTGGTTGGATCACTTGAGATCAGGAGTTCAAGACCAACCTGGCCAAAATGGTGAAACCCCATCTCTGTTAAAAATACAAAAATTATCTGGGCATAGTGGTGGGCACCTGTAATCCCAGCTACTTGGGAGGCTGAGGCAGGAGACTCGCTTGAGCCTTGGAGGCAGATGTTGCAGTGAGCAGACATTGCACCACTGCACTCCAGCCTGGGCAATAGAGTGAGACTCCATCTCAAAGAAAAAAAAAAAGAATAGACTAATAACTAATAAGATGAAATATTTACTAAGCTTTTACCATGTGTCATTATTTTCTAAGAGCTTTATTTGTGCTTATTCATGTAACACTATAACAAATCTATTAAATAACTGCTATTGTTGTCTGAATTTGGAGATGAAGAAATTGAGACTCATAGAAGTGAAGTGATTTCGTCTAGGTCCCATGGCTTTTAAATAGCCAAGCTAGAATTTAAACCCAGAAAGTTGGCTTTTAGAATTAGTTTTTACACTACTCTTCTGCCACTGCATTTTAGGCTTTGAGTGACCAGAAGACTAGAGCTCAATATACAAAAGCAAAAAAATTGAGAAGATATTATTAATTTCTTTTAACAGATGATAAAGGGCTTGTGAAGTAAAGGGCTCTTACAAGGCAAAGACTACATTCGAAAGCCAAATCTTTGTGAGTCTAAACACCTTGCTCATTCCACCACTTCATGGTGCCACTCTTCATCTCAAAGTTAGTTTTTAAGTGTGATATATTAGCAGTAATTAAAAATAGAGCTCACTATAAATGAAGAAATCAACATCAGATGAAACTTGAAACCACTCAAGGAAATCGCAGTAGAAGTGTCTTTAATTTTGTTGGGTACATCATTACAAAGCAGAGACAGTATTGCCATGTATTGAACTAAAATTGTTCTCCCCTCGAGTCACCACATTATTTTTAGTTCTACTGTTTAGAGTCACAGAACACAAATCCAATCTTTCTTCCATATGACAGGTCTTCAAATTTTGGCAATAAGTGGCATATTGCTGGCAATCCTCTTTTCTTTATTGTAAATGTCTCCTGTTCCTTTCATTGCTTTTCATTTTTATCACCTTTTTTGTTTTTCGCTGAATGCATGAAACTTGATCAATATCTTTCAAGGTATGGAACATAGAACTGAATCTAATATTACCATTATTGTCAGACTTGAGTAAAATAGAACAAATCTATGCAGGTCACATTTTAGATACCATATACTCATTTAAAAACCTTAAATTTATATTTGCTCTATAGCAGCTATATCTCACTATGGATTTGAAATGCATTAAATTTATCCAAGACTTCAAGTTTTTTCATATTAATTCTACTCTATAGTTTTAAAAAGAAGAGGTATTAGGTATCCAAAATAATTTATGAAGCCTATGGAAAGACTGAAGGATGACAATGTTTCTAATATGTTTTCTAAATAATGTATTTTTAATAGGTACTAGTAGAATGTCAGTCTAGGATTTTAATTATGATTTTCTCAAATTGCAAATTTCAAAAAATTTTATGTAAAAGTGAACAGGCCCTGAATTATGTAAAATAATAGATATATTCTTATGTATAGTACAAGGAGTTAAAATTAACTTGGAATTTGTTAATTTAGACACAAAACTTGCATAATACATATCTAGAAATCCTTTGACCTATAGTCTATACGTAGAACATATATGTGTCCATAATTTGCACACATACAGTGAGTATTAAATAGCAAAACTAGATTACTTTATTCTGAAATACACCTTCATTGAGAGTTAAAGTATTAATAATTCCACATTTATGTTTCAGAAGAAATCAAGAGGTTCACAAATATCCCTTAAGAAATATTTTACTACTTATTTCTTCTCACAAATTTGTCACATGGAACTGTGCATTATCATTCATATGAATTCACAATTTATAACCTATTTGCTCTAAAGAATTCATTACAATTTACGGTATGAATGGAAACTAAACATAGAGAAAGTGCCTAAACACTACACATTGATTCAATGGATAAATTTTTATTATAAAATAAATTATTCAGTTCATGGTTTCTGACAAAAATCAGATCCTCCTATCATATTATTTTAAATACACTATTAAAATCCAACATGCCATGTAATGTATTCATTCTGGATTCCAACAGTACTCAAGATATGTATTTCCCTCTCAAAATGTTCTAATAATGGCACCTTAAAGAAATTTTAAAAAGTCACATTTTGTTAGCATCAGGATTTCAGATCCAAAGTCATAAGGTTTTTTTGTTTGTTTGTTTGTTTGTTTGCTTTTTGAGACAGAGTGTTGCTCTGTACCCAGGCTGGAGTGCAGTGGCAGGATCTCAGCTCACCACAAACTCCGCCTCCCGAGTTCAAGCAATTCTCCTGCCTCAGCAGCCCGAGTAGCTGGGATTACAGGCACCCATCACCATGCCTGGCTAATTTTTGTATTTTTGTAGAGATGGGGTTTCACCATGTTGGCCAGACTGGTCTTGAACTCCTAACCTCAAGTGATCTACCCACCTCGGCCTCCCAAAGTGCTGGGATTACAGGCGTGAGCCACTGGCCTGGCCAAAAGGCATAAGTTTTATTTGCCCTCTATGAATCACATTATTTGTGATTCAATATGTAGATACAGAACAGAAACAGAGGGAGAGAGGAGAGAGAGAGATATTTTGTGTCCTGTGACTGATGCCTGGCCAATGCCTGATTCTTTATTTGAAACACTAGAAGTTCTAAAAACCCTGGAAATTCAATTGAGTATTGTCCTTGGTATACTTCTTTTTGATTTTAACATTGTTTTCCACCATTTTGCCTTCTGATAAAAGTATTTCCTGCAGAGAGATCCTCAGTTATGTTTTGTGTTTTGTTTTTGCTGTAACAAACATTGGACAGCCAACCACAAGATTCACATCTTGAGAATACAATGTTATTTGAATCTCATGGTTGGCTGTCAAATCCACATCAGCCAACCTGAACCCTCCTTTGCATTCTGATCACCCATTCCCTACTACCTTATGAACCATTCCACTTTTTAATCATCCATTACATTTTTTTTTCAGTTTGGTTTCATTTGTTTTCAACTTGCTTTTTTTTGTAACATTTTAAACGATATATTTCTCTTTAAATGAAGTTTACATTATAAAGCTTTCAGGTTATTCCATTACTTCAGTTTTAGAAAAATAATTTTTCTCCCTTTCACTTGTAACTGTTCAGTATGCATTGTAATGACTCATAGTTCATGGGGTTTATATTTTATTACAATTTGCTATCATTACTATTATTTTCTGTTAAGTTAGTTAATATTATTCTATTTGTGGGAATCTAATTTCCCCCGGTTTAAGGATTTTTTCAATAAAGCAGCTGTTTTTTTTTTTTTTTATGTCAGGGTGCTAGAATATTACGGTTCTGAAACCACCTTTCATTTTAATTTTTCAGGCTGAAAATTTCCAAATTACAGTAAAATATTGCATTAAGATGATTCTTCAAAGTAGGGTGCCAGCTTAAAGATTCAGTTTCTCATCGATGACTTTTTTTTTTACCTCCCATAGACAGGGCACTACATAAACTTTATTTCAAAACTCCTGAGTTGACAGACAATGTTTAGGTTCCTTTCTAGGGGTAGTACATAACTTTAATGTCACTAGCTTCGTGCAGGAGTTCAATTCAAGGTCTCTATATAACCCATAAACTGAGGAAGTACCCTGTTTCTTTGTGATTAGGCCTATATTTTGGTCTGAAGGTACTTGAAATTGTAGAACCACTTCTAGCTTATACATTCTTGTTTTCAGTTGACATTTTGTTGCTGCTACCTCCAATTTTTTCTTTCTTTTCTTTGAATTTTACTTACATATTTTTAGTATTTTATCAATTGACTGTACATGTCACTACTGTGAGGGTAATTCTTTAATTCAACTTGAAATAGAGCTTCTTAACAGATCTATCAATTTTAATCTTTTCCAATATAGTCTATTTCTGATGCCAAATGCCTATCCTTAGTGTTATTTTTTGATCACTTGAATTCAAAAGTCTCCAATCACTTCTCCTTACCTTAGAATAGAATTTAAACTCCTTAACTTGGCAAGAAAGTCCTTCTAATAACTGTACTAAATTTAGCTTTCAAATACTCTATCAGATGAATCGATTTAGATCAGATTATAGCAAACTGAACATGTGTCATCAGGACACATGCTGCAGACTTTTCTGCCTTTGTTGATAAAAATTATAGCTAACTTGCATTAAGCTAAATTTACTGTCAGGTTACATGTTATGTATGATGTATATTATAGGGAAGTTTAAATTTTCCCTCTGAAGTTTCAATAATTGCCTCTGTTAAAATAAACTGGCAATAGACAGATTTACAGGAGTAAAAAAAATTTAATTTCATGTATGTGCATGGGAGCCTAACAAAAGAATACAAGACTCAAAGGCGGGACCAGATAGTTGATGTTTTTATGCTATAAGGGAAGAAGGGCTTGGGGCTTTTGCGGGAGGTGGTAACGAGTTACCTGAGGGAAAGGAGAGGAACCACATGATGAACAAAGGTTGTTTCATTATGCAGATAAAGTCTCTCCTGTAATAAAAGTTGTTTCAGAGCAGTCTCCAGAAGAAGAGGTGATTGCCTATCTGGATACGATAATGACATTTAATCTCCTCTCTGGTGATTAATCTTCCCTGGTTGTTTGATGAATTGATGAGATTTCCTAGGGAGAAGTCAAGACAATTGCATTCCTTTTGGAAGAATTTTGTTCATTCAGATAAGGAAACTTCAGAGAGAGTCCCTCCCTGTGCTTGGGGGACAGGAGGGAGGTAGAGAAACAAGGGAAAGTCAGTGACCTTGTTTCTCAGGCAACTGTTAAGACTTTCCAGTTTCCTTCAATTCAAAGTGTTCAGCATGCCAAAGCACCATTCTTTGGGGTATCATTTTCTAAGCTCCAACATTAGCATATATCATATAATCTCCCTTATAATATAGGCAGTTATGTAGATGAGTAAATTTATGCTTGGAGAGATTGAATTTGACCATGATGACACAGATTCAGCAGATTCTAGATATTTCTTAGCCTAGAGTTCCCCTTCTTACACAGTGAGATAACCTGATTACATCTGGCCTTCATTACCTCAATCAAACAAACCCATACTGGAAGACTTCAAATGTTTCAAATCTAATATATACTTATTTTTTAAAAATATACAGCTGTTTTTTAAAAGCAAGATGGTGTTGGATGGCAAGAATCTCATGCTTTCTATATATTGAGTAGATACACAGAGGAATTATAACTTTGTATTACCTTGGTGCAAAAGTAGTTGTGGTTTTTGCCATTGAAAGTAATGGCAAAAACGGCAATTACATTTGCAACAACCTAATAGAAAGTTTTCCAGTGATTTAAATCACTGAGAATGATATACTTTGGGTGTCTAAGGCATGGAAAGTTTCATTGGAAGTGAATTAAATATTGTTTGGGTGAAATTTGGTACCTAATCATTATATACCAGGCTTGGTTTGTCATAACAACTCTGTCTGATGCAAGCTTCCTAAATTTCCTTTCTCTATTCTTTCTCCATTCCAGTTAAATGGATAAAACATAACTTGATATGGGAAAAAACATATCAGACTTTATTGTGCCTCCCCTTAGCATCTGAACACTACTGGAAAAGTTCACATAAACATGATGAATAATATTTTTTTAAGTTTATGACTAAAAGTCTCAAATAGACACTCAACAATTCCTGAAAATCCTATAATTTTCCTACTTTATCCTTTCAATTAAATATGTGTGCATACATACAAGCACCTTACCCATAAAATATTCCACATAGGATTTTCAATTTCTGTTCTCAAATATGTTCCTCCCTCAGTCTTTCCTACCTTCAAAAATGACACAGTCATGCCACTCATTGCACAAGCCAAAAACCTGCTCTTTATATTTGCTTTTATCCTTCCTCTCACATCTACCCCATCAGCAAATCTTTCCAGTTTTACCAAAAATGTACATCCAGAGTCTTTCCACTTCTTGCTTTTCCATTACTTTCTTTTTAGTACAAGTCACTATAACCTCTAACTTGAACTACTGCAGTAAGTTTCCTTTGTCTACTCATGTGTAATTCATTTGCTACATAGCAGTCAGAGATACCACCTTTTCAGAGCTAATCAGACCATTGAAAGACTTCTCATTACATTGATTCTCTAGACTGGGTATGTAAGCATATTTCTTGCCTAATCTCCTGCCTCTGTCTTCCTCATTCAGCATTCTTCAGTTATTATGTCTATATTCTGTTTCTTAAAAACATGAATATATTTACAACCTTAGGGCCTTCTCTCGGTTGTCATCACCTAGAGTATATATTCTCAGTTCTCCATTTTCTTCTTATTTAAATTTCAGCTAAAAAAAATCACTATGTAACAGAGGTTACCCTGCCCACCCAATGTAAGGCACCCTGAAATCCTGACACTCTACCAATTGAATTCCTAATCAAATTAAATTGCTTTTTTTCCTTTTTGGAAACATTCACCATTTGATTGCATAGTGATTATTTTATTTATTTGCTTTCTTTCTGAGTCCACTCCCTTCCCTATCCTACTAACACAAATATACATTATGACCTAAAAATTAAATACATCAAAACAGTATTAACTGGGATTACTGGATCTGTGGGTTTGGTGTCTGTCATTAATTTTCAAAAATGCTTGGCCATTTTTTTAGCTGCTTCTTATAATTTTTTTCTCCTGTTTTGCTTCTTTTGGTAATCCAATTATGTGTGTGCTCTACTTTTTAAAATTGTTCCATAATCCTTTGATAGTTTCTTCTTGTTTGCTTGCTTGTTTTCATTCTCTTTTCTCTTTGCATTTCAGTTTGAGAAGTTTCCTAACAAATCTTTAAACCCAAAGATTCTTTAGTCAGCTATGCCCAGTCTATTGACAAGCCCATAATAGGCATTTCTAATTTCTGTTACAGTGGTTTTGATTTTTAGTCTTTGCTTTATAATTGTTTATCTTTGAGTTAAAAAAAGTGACCCATAGGATTTTGATCTGAAGTCAAATTCCTCATTGTAATGCACCACTACTTTACTGGAGCCTCGTTGTTGTGAGGTAAGGTATGGAGAGGAGAGACCCTATAATCTTATCATTAAACTTATCATTAAATTGGTCTTCTAGTGGGCCTATGACTCTCAACGTGTTTCTTAACTTTTGTTTCCCCTTAAGTGAGACAGGGAGGTTAAAGGCAGCTGGAATGGGAGAACTGCTCTTTCTCTTTGCCTGGTTTATTTCATAAGGTTTAAACTCATTCTCCTCCTGCAAGAACCATGAGAGGCATATTTCTCTAGTCCTCCCTGTGATGATCTGGTTGTGTTCCATAGGGAAAGCACATGCAAGCATGGCCTCCTAAGTCTGCAGCAACCAGGAGTTTCTCACTTTCCTAGGAGTCACTATGAAGTCTCCATCAAATTGTTAAAAATACCAATTAGGTGATCCTACTCATTTATGGTTCCAGTGGCTTTTGCTCCAGAAAAGCAAGTTTCCTCTGTGACTATGAATTTGCCCACCTCTCCAGATTTTAGGGTGGTGGTTTACCTTGCAATCATAGTTCTCCAATGGAGCCAAGATAAAACACTGAATTTTCAGTCTATTCAGCTTCTTCTTATTTTAAGGATGAAAATGACAACTTGGGAAGTTTTTTACATGTATTAGCTGAAAACTGAACTCCCATTACATTTTTTTCCTTTTTAAATAATGACTATTGTCTTTTTTATAGAAAACAATGCATGTTTAATAAATAAAAATCAGAAAGTTAAAAACATTAAGAAGATGAAAATGAAAATTACCCAAATCCCAGTACTAACCAGAGATAATTATTAAAATTTGATATATTTCTGCTATTCAAGATGAATATATAAGAATATCTATGCTATAATAATTCTTGGCTATACTGAATGAACAGGTTAGTGAACTTCTATGTATACTTAACTTTATATCATGGACATTTCCTCCGTATTATTAAGTAATCAACAGCTTGATGATTTATGGCTTCATATAGTTTATGGGGTTTTTAAAACTTGATAAAATTCAAATAACATAAAATTGGCTGTTTTCTTTCAGATTTTAAATGTCATTTTAAAGTGGCATTTAATATCAATTATTCTCATATCAAGTTCCAAAACAAATTATTCACCCCAAAAGAAGGCCTACTACCCATTAAGCAGTCATTGACATTTCCTCCTACCTCCTGACCCTGGTAATTAGCAATGTGCTTTGTGTCTCCATAGACAGACGTATATTCTGGACATTTTATACACATGGAATTATGCAATGTTTTTCTTTTGTGCTTTGTTTATTTCACTTAGCATTGCGTTTTCAAGGTTCATTGATATTGTAGCATGAATTACTGGTACTTTATTCATTTTTATAGTTGAAAATATTTCATTGTATGTATATATCACATTTAATTTACCCATTCATGTTGTGATGGACATTTTAGTTGTTTCTACCTTTTGGCTATTTAAAATAGTGCTGTTGTTACAAATATTCATAAATAAGAATTTGTTTGAGTGCCTGGTTTTTATTCATTTGGGTATACATGTAGGAGAGGAATTATTGGGTCAAGTGGGAATTCTATGTTTTAGTTTCTTGAAGAACCGTGAACATATTTTCCACAGCAGTTGCACCATTTTACATTCCCAGTAGCAATGTACAAGGGTTTCTATTTCCCACATACTCTCTGACCCTTTTATTTTATATTTTTATTATATTCATCCAAGTAGTTGTGAAGCAGTATCTCGTTGTGATTTTGATTTGCATTTCCCTAATACCTAATAATTTTACACACTTTATCATGTGTTTGTTGGCCGTTTGCACATCCCCTTTGGAGAAATGTCTATTCAAGTCCTTTGAATATTTTTAATTAGGTTGTTTGTCTTTTTGTTTTTGAGTTATAAGATGTTTTTATATCTTCTGGATACTACACAATTATCAAAGGCAAATATGATTCACAAGTATTTTCTCAAATCTTGTAGGCTGCCTTTTCACTTTTTTAATAATGTTTTTGATGCCTTCAACTTTTTCATTTCTATGGAATCCAACTTATCTATTTTTTCTTCTGTTGCTTATACTTTAAGTGTCATATTTAAGAATCTACTGGCAAATCCAAGGTTACAAAGATTTAGCTATGTTTTCTTCTAAGAGTTTTATGATTTTAGCTCTACCCATAAGTTGCCCATTAGGTCACTGGTACATTTTGAGTTAATTTTAATATAAGTTGTAAGGGTCCAACTGTCTTCTTTTGCTTGTGGATGTTCAGATGTCCAGCATTATTTGTGAAAAGGCTACTCATTTCCTTATTAAGTGGTCTTGGCATCCCTGCTGAAAATAAATTATTCAGAGGTATGAATTTATTTCCGGACTTTCAATTCTATTCTAATAGTCCATATATCTATCTTCATTCCAGTACTACCTTATTTTGAACATGGCAGTTTTTTAGTAAGTTTTGAAATGAAAAACTGCAGTCCTCTGTATGTGTTCTTACTTTTCAGTATTATTTTGGCTATTTGGAGCTCCTTGCAACTTCATATGAATTTAAGGATCAGTTTTTTCACTTTAACAAAGAAAGCCATTGGAATCTTAATGGGGATTGCATTGGATCTATAGGTTGCTTTGAGTAGGATTACCATCTTAACAATATTAAATCTTCCAATTCGTGAACTTCTATAATTTTTTTTTTAATTTCAGTAAGGTCAGTAGCAATGTCTTCACTTTCGTTTCTGATTTTAGTAATTTGAAGCTTCTTTCTATTTTTCTTTGTCAGTCTAGTTGAAGCCAGCCCTAGCCAGAGGGGAATTTTCGATCCCAGTGATCCCAACTTGAGTGCTTGCAAACCTCACCACCAAGAACCAAAGTGCTCTTGGTCTGTAAGTAAACTTGGAAGGAAGTCTAAGCCATTAGGACTGCAACTCTTAGGTGAGTCCTGGGGCTGAACTAGGCCCAGAGACAGTGAACTAGGGGGCACGTGACATTTTGAGACACCAGCTTGGGCAGTCAAGGGAATGTTGGCATCACCCCTCTTCTAACCTAAGTCTGCACAGCTGCTGGCTCCAAAAGAGTTGCCTTTCTTCTGTTTGAGGAGAGGAGACAGAAGACAGGGAAAGACTTTGTCTTGCATGTTAGATATCAGCTCAGCCACAGCAGGTTAGGGCACTGGTCAGGGTCATGAAGCCCCCATTCCAAGCCCTAGGTACCAGACTACATTTCTAGACACACCCTGGGACAGAAGGGAACCTGCTGCTTTAAAGGAAAAGACCCAGTCCTCCCAGGGTTTATCACCTGCTGACTGAAGAGCCTTTGGGCCCTGAATAACCAGCAGCAATAGCCAGGTACTACAAGGCTCTTGGTGAGTCTCCAAGACTTGATGGCTTTAAGGGAGACTCAGCACCTCACCAGATCTAGTGGCCATGGGGCAAAACTCCTTCCTAAGAAAAGCAGAGGGAATAGTAAAGGGGAAACACCGCACAGGGGAGCAGAGCACCAAGTGGGCACTTGGGGTCTGCAGTTTCAGGACTTGACTCTTGGATGGCATTTCTGGACCTGTCCTGGGCCAGAGGGGAGCCAACTGCTTTGAAGGGTGAGTTCCAGGCCAGGCAGCATTCACCACAAGCTGATTTAAGTGACCATGGGCTTTAAAGGAACATTGGTGGTAATCCGGCAGTACTCCTCATGGCCAGAGTTGGCAGTGGTTATGGTATGAGGCTCCTCTACCTTTGGAAAGAGGAAGGAAGAGTAGAAAGGACTGCGTATTGTGCTTCGAGTGGCAGCTCAGCCATAATACAATAGAATACTGGGTATATTTCTAAGGCTTTTGACTGTAGTCCTTGACTCCTGGACAGCACTCCTGGACCCAGCCTGGGGGACCTCACCACCCTGAAGGGAAGGACACAGGCCTGGCTGGCTTTGCCACCTGCTAATTGTAAAGCCCAGGGCCTTGAGTGAACATAGGCACATAGGCAGTAGTCAGGGAATGGTTGTAGCAGGTCTCAGGCAAGACCCAGTGGCTGTGCTGGCTTCAGGTCTGACCCAGCACAATCATAGCAGTGACGATCACAGGGGTGCTTGTGTCACTCCACTCTCAGCTTTAGGTGGCTCAGAATGGAGTGGGAGGCTCTGTATGTTTGAGATTGTTTTGATTGATTTTTTTTCTGTGGAACCTTTTAAATTTACTCTTCATTTCCTTTTCCGTATTTATTTTTCAGTTTTTTTTCTTATGTGGGTTAGTAAACATCTTAAATTTATACCAATCTAGATTGAATTAATAACAAAATATCTATCTTTATACTTCTACTTAATGTTGTTGTGCCATAAATTATATCTTTACATTGTGTGCAGATTAATGTAGATTTATAATTATTATCTTATACATGTGTCTTTTAAATAATGGGAAAAAAGCTACCAAAAATATAATAAAACTGACTCTTAAAATTTACCTATGTAGTTACCTGTCCCGATGTTCTTTTTCTCTTTGTATGACTCCAAGTTACTGTCAGGTATCCTTTTATTTCTGCCTGGAAGACTGCCTTTAGCATTGCTTGTAGGAAGGATTTGCTACTAATAAACTCCCCATGCTTTTATTTATTTGGAAATAAACAAAAGTTTTTTCTTTATTTGGAAATAAACAAAAGTTTTTTCTTTATTTGGAAATAAACAAAAGTTTTTTCTTTATTTTTGAAGAATAGGTTTGGCAAATATAGAATACTTGATTAACAGGGGTTTCTTCAGTAATTTAAATATGTAATTCTACTGCTTTCTGGCCTCTGGTTTCTATGAGAAATCTTTAACCAAGACTGATAATCTTATTGAGGATCACTGGTGTGTGACATTTGCCTTCTTTCTTTCTCACTTAAAGATGTTTCTCTTTCTTTTTCACTTTCAGCTCCTTGCTTATAAATGCATCTCGGTATAGATATCTGTTTATCCCTCTTGGAGTCTGCTGAGCTTCTTTGATGTGTAAATTTATGTCGTTTATCAAATTTGGGAAGTTTTCAGTCATGATTTCTTTAAATATTGTCTCTTTTTCTCTTTCCTCTCCTTCTAAGGTCACTGTTATACATATGTTGATAAGCTTTATGGTATCCCGCAATTCTCTTAGGTTCTTCCATTTTTCTAAATTCTTCTCAATTTTGCTTTCAGACTAGATAATTTCAAATAAACTAATTTAAAATTTTCTGGTGATTCTTCTTGCTCAAATCTGCTGTAGACACTCACAAACTAGTTTTTCATTCATGTCATTGTACTTAGCCCCTCCATAATTACTGTTTTGTCACTTTATATAAGTTCTGTTTCTTTATCAATATACTCTATTTATTGAGACATTGTTCTCATGGTCCTTTAGCTCTT
Organism: Homo sapiens; assembly: GCF_000001405.40. Taxonomy (NCBI): domain Eukaryota; kingdom Metazoa; phylum Chordata; class Mammalia; order Primates; family Hominidae; genus Homo; species Homo sapiens. The sequence goes on along the minus strand of NC_000012.12, from coordinate 60,019,762 downwards.
TGTTCATGGTTTCCATGAGCTTTGTAAACTTATTCAAGACTATTGATTTTAAGTCTGTCTTGTAAGTATGTCTGTGCTTCCTCAGGCACAATTTCTGTTACTTTCTCCTATCCATGGGCCATAATTTATTTTTTCTTCACATGATACATAATATTTTGGTAAATACTGGACATTTTGAATATTATATGTAACAACTCTAGAAATTAGATTTCTTCCTTTCTGTCCTCTCAGGAGTGTTTGCTGTTTGCCATCAGTTGTAGTTGTTTTTGTTTATTGCTTTTTATAAACTATTTTTTTGTAAAATCTGCATTTCTTGTTGTGTGTAGTCTCTGAAGTCTCTGTCCCTTTAGCTTGTGTTCACTTAGGTTTTGACAGAGATTTCCTTCAATGCTTTAAAGAAGAAAGAAGAAGAAAGGAAGAAAGAGAGAGAGAGAAGAAGAGAAGAAAGAGGAAGAAAGAAAGAAGAAAGAGAGAAAGAAAGAAGAAGAAAGAAGAAAGACAAAGAAAAAAGGAAGGAAGGAAGAAACAAAGAAAGGGGAAAGAAAGAGAGAGAAGAAGAGAAGAAAGAAAGAAAGAGGAAGAAAGAAAGAAAAAGAGAGAAAGAAAGAAAAGAAAGAAAAGTAAGGAAGGAAGAGAAAGAAAGAAAGAAGAAAGAAAAGAAAGAAAGAAAGAAAGAAAGAAAGAAAGAAAGAAAGAAAGAAAGAAAGAAAGGAAAGAAAGAGGTCCTTCACATCCCTTGTAAGTTGGATTCCTAGGTATTTTATTCTCTTTGAAGCAATTGTGAATGGGAGTTCACTCATGATTTGGCTCTCTGTTTGTCTGTTATTGGTGTATAAGAATGCTTGTGATTTTTCTACATTGATTTTGTATCCTGAGACTTTGCTGAAGTTGCTTATCAGCTTAAGGAGATTTTGGGCTGAGACAATGGGGTTTTCTAGATATACAATCATGTCATCTGCAAATAGGAACAATTTGACTTCCTCTTTTCCTAATTGAATACCCTTTATTTCCTTCTCCTGCCTAATTGCCCTGGCCAGAACTTCCAACACTATGTTGAATAGGAGTGGTGAGAGAGGGCATCCCTGTCTTGTGCCAGTTTTCAAAGGGAATGCTTCCAGTTTTTGCCCATTCAGTATGATATTGGCTGTGGGTTTGTCATAGATAGTTCTTATTATTTTGAGATACGTCCCAACAATTCCTAATTTCTTGAGAGTTTTTAGCATGAAGTGTTGTTGAATTTTGTCACAGGCCTTTTCTGCATCTATTGAGATAATCATGTGGTTTTTGTCTTTGGTTCTGTTTATATGCTGGATTACATTTATTGATTTGTGTATATTGAACCAGCCTTGCATCCCAGGGATGAAGCCCACTTGATCATGGTGGATAAGCTTTTTGATGTGCTGCTGGATTCAGTTTGCCAGTATTTTATTGAGGATTTTTGCATCAATATTCATCAAGGATATTATTGGTCTAAAGAGGATACAAACAAATGGAAGAACATTCCATGCTCATGGGTAGGAAGAATCAATATTGTGAAAATGGCCATACTGCCCAAGGTAATTTATAGATTCAATGCCATCCCCATCAAGCTACCAATGACTTTCTTCACAGAATCGGAAAAAACTACTTTAAAGTTCATATGGCACCAAAAAAGATCCCACATCGCCAAGTCAATCCTAAGCCAAAAGAACAAAGCTGGAGGCATCACGCTACCTGACTTCAAACTATACTACAAGGCTACAGTCACCAAAACAGCATGCTACTGGTACCAAAACAGAGAGATAGATCAATGGAACAGAACAGAGCCCTCAGAAATAACACCACATATCTACAACTATCTGATCTTTGACAAGCCTGAGAAAAACAAGCAATGGGGAAAGGATTCCCTATTTAACAAATGGTGCTGGGAAAACTGGCTAGTCATATGTAGAAAGCTGAAACTGGATCCCTTCCTTACACCTTATACAAAAATTAATTCAAGATGGATTAAAGACTTACATGTTAGACCTAAAACCATAAAAATCTTAGAAGAAAACCTAGGCATTACCATTCAGGCATAGGCATGGGCAAGGACTTCATGTCCAAAACACCAAAAGCAATGGCAACAACAGCCAAAATTGACAAATGGGATCTAATTAAACTAAAGAGCTTCTGCACAGCAAAAGAAACTACCATCAGAGTGAACAGGCAACCTACAAAATGGGAGAAAATTTTCACAACCTACTCATCTGACAAAGGGCTAATATCCAGAATCTACAATGAACTCAAACAAATTTACAATAAAAAAACAAACAACCCCATCAAAAAGTGGGCAAAGGACATGAACAGACACTTCTCAAAAGAAGACATTTATGCAGCCAAAAAACACATGAAAAAATGCTCACCATCACTGGCTATCAGAGAAATGCAAATCAAAACCACAATGAGATACCATCTCACACCAGTTAGAATGGCAATCATTAAAAAGTCAGGAAACAACAGGTGCTAGAGAGGATGTGGAGAAATAGGAACACTTCTACACTGTTGGTGGGACTGTAAACTAGTTCAACCATTGTGGAAGTCAGTGTGGCGATTCCTCAGGGATCTAGATCTAGAAATACCATTTGACCCAGCCATCCCATTACTGGGTATATATCCAAAGGACTATAAATCATGCTTCTATAAAGACACATGCACAGGTATTTTTATCGCGGTACTATTCACAATAGCAAAGACTTGGAACCAACCCAAATGTCCAACAATGATAGACTGGATTAAGAAAATGTAGCACATATACACCATGGAATACTGTGCAGCCATAAAAAAGGATGAGTTCATGTCCTTTGTAGGGACATGGATGAAATTGGAAATCATCATTCTCAGTAAGCTACCGCAAGAACAAAAAACCAAACACTGCATATTCTCACTCATAGGTGGGAATTGAACAATGAGAACACATGGACACAGGAAGGGGAACATCACACTCTGGGGACTGTTGTGGGGTGGGGGAGGGGGGAGGGATATCTTTAGGAGATATACCTAATGCTAAATGACGAGTTAATGGGTGCAGCATACCAGCATGGCACATGTATACATATGTAACTAACCTGCACATTGTGCACATGTACCCTAAAACTTAAAGTATAATAATAATAAAATAAAATAAAATGAAAGAAAGAAAGAAAGAGAAAGAAAGAAAGGGAAAGAAAGAAGAAGGAAGGAAGGGAGGAAGGAAGGGAAGGAGGGAGGGAGGGAAACAGTTCTCCTAGTCTTTGTAGATTGCTTCTGTGTTGGAACACTCCTTTAACACTTATCCAAGCTGTTTGCAACTCTACCGTAGATTTACTTCCTGCTTGTGCTAAACTCAAGATCAGCCAGAAGTAAAGGCATGGTGATGTACAATGGTAAATAAAATGTCCAAGTAAAAGTTGCTGAAAGCTTTTCTATCATTTTAAGTTGTTTTTTTCTTCATTCTATGTTTACTTGGTTGCTATAAGCCTTTGACTTTTTCTAGAATTCTGACAAAGTTGATTCTAACAGTTTTTGCTTAATGTTTTTATCTGAAAAGACAAGCCCTTGGGTCTACCTAGTCTTCCATTTCACCGATGTTACCACTCAACTATTTGCTTTTGAAAAATATTTTGGAGTTCATCAACTAAACTAATATATTTTTTTCCTATGGGCAGAGTTGCATTATAGATACCTTTTAGAAGAGAAACCAAAAAGAGAAAATTAACATTAATGAAACAGTTTATTCATTTTCTCATCCTATGTAAGAAAATAATTCTAAAGTCTTCATGTTTTGTTTTATATTTGTCTATTTATCTTTTCTGCTATATACATTTCCTCCTCACTATTTTGAAGTTCTGGTGTTATGTAAATACACATTTAATAATGTAATGCCTTCTTAGAAAATTTTCCCTTTGGCGTTATGTAATGCCCATCATTATCCCTGATAATATTTCTTGATCTGAATTCTACTTTGTCTAAACCTAACTTTCTTTGGGATAGTATTCACATAGTTTGTCTATTTTTAGCTTTTTCTTTTTAACCTATATATTTATCTGTATTTAAAGTGAAATTTTTTTTTTGCAGCTAGCATAGTTAGATCTTGCTTTTTCATTGTTTTAATTTCTCTGTGTTCTAACTGTTGTGTTTAGACTATTGACATTAATGCCATTGATATAATTGTGTCTATTTTATTCCTAGCTATTTTCTATTTGTAATAGGGTTTTTCTTTATATTTTGCCTTGTCTTGAGTAATTGAGACTTTTTATAATTTTATTTTAACTTATTTATTAACCTAATATTTATAAACTTTAAAAATTAGTAGATATCTATAGTTTTAATATACATTTTAATTAAAATGAGACCATCTTTAATTTACTATATTTACCTCACCTTCCTGTGGAATGGTGTTCACATAGTTTATCTTTTTCTAGCCTTTTATTTTTAATCTACATATATCTTTATATATAAGACACATGTATATTCACTGCTTCATGTGTATATTTCCAATTATGAAAATATATTCCCAATTCCTTTCTCTCATTCTATGTTCTACTACCATCATATTATCTTCTGTTTATACATGCTAAAAATGTAAAATATATTGCAATAATTTATTAGAAAGTGAGTAATCTTGAAAGAAATTAAAAATTAGAAAAAAGATATTTTATCTTCACTTATTTCATCTATTGTTACAGTGTTCTTCTCAACTTCCTCCTTAATATTCATCTGAGCCCCAAACTTATTCCTGCCCTCCTCCAAACAGGGTAGAGTTTTTTTTTTCCCCCACCTTTCCTCTTCCCCTAAATGCAGTGAATTTTCGCCAGTGCCCTAAGTGCAACCGTCTTTTTTTTTTCTTTTACCACAAATTAAGGCTTTTATTCTATAGGGGTGATAGGAAAAAAGGGTCTAGTAGAGTTTTCTGTTTCTTTCACAGTTGCTGCTGTTCCTTATTTCTAGTTCTGAACAAGAATGGAGACATTTTTAGAACTCTTTTGGTATTTTCTGTGAATGATTGATAAAGCTTCCTGGGAGAAAAAGGTGCATACTTCTTGTCTTTTTATAGCACCAAGCTTCCCCATCTCTCCCCAGTGCACACTCAGCTGGCCTTTACCAGTTCACCAGTCACCCTAGCTGAACACCTATTATCAATGTCCACATGGACCTTGCCCAAGTAAGTGCATATTCACCTTATCTGTATTTTCAGGAACCTACCTCTTCTTAGGTTACAGTGTTAATTGCCCTATAACCTTTGCACTTTAATGGGTTCAAGAAATGTCATGAAATTGAAGCTTTGAGGTTGTTTTGAGCTATTTCAAGCTCTTTATATCTGAGAGTGGCACCAAAATATTATTTTTGAAGCAAATTTTACTCACATGGACTTTACTAACAATTCTCCTTACTAACATTGACTGTTCCATACTTTGACCTCCTTTTTGACTTCTATCACACAGATAGATATGAATAAATATGTAATCTACCTTCTGGCTTGCCTTTGCTCTTCTTGCAAATAATGAAGAAAATTCTACTTTTTAGGAGTGCTTTTTGAAAGAACAGTAAATGACTACAAAGAATTACTTTGAGAATCTACTTGAGATGACTGTTCTTGTTATCAATAGAGATAGGGAACGTTACTGCTATGTATGATGGGGAAAAATTGTTCTCAAAAGAATAGGGGAAGAGAAAGAATATCAAAAAATGAGATAAAAGTAGGAAGCAAGAGAATCGTCAGGAAGTAATAAGTTCAAAGATGTTAACCCATGACCCCAGACTTATACATCCTTCGTATTAGTGGTTTTGGGTTATATAGAAACTTGTAAGCAAGTGATTTCACATCGATAATGACATTAAATAGGAGAAATGAAATTATGGATGCAAAAAAAATAAACAAAGGCAGACTGATGAGCAAATGAGCCCAATAGTAATTCAGACATCCTAGGAAGGAGTTTAAATCTTTTAGGCCATAGAATTGAGTTTTTACCTAAATTTACCTATATTTCCAAAGAATAAAAGGCCACAGCTGATCTCAAGGTTAATAACCCAGCAATCAATTAATTAGAAGTTATATGAAATAGACAACAACCACTCACAGCTAGCTTCCCAACTACAATTAGTTCTGAGGAATATAGATGAGTCAACACAAATAGAAACCTGGCTGACTATGGAGTCAGTTTCCAAGATATTAAATTAATTCTCAAATAGAAGTTAGAAGCCATTGTCATCAACTGATGGAAAAATCCTTATTTGGTAAGCATCAACTAAAAACACAAAGAAAAAAATAAATTATCGTGATCCAACAAGAATTTAGGCCGTCTTTGGCAGTTTTAGTCAAACATTAGATGTCAAGTTCTTCATTTCTTGACTAGTATTTCCCAATACATGTTCTAGTAAGCCCCAATTCCTCCAGAAATATATAGTGCTATGTGGAAAAAAAGAGAGAAGATAGTGTATGATGTTTAAATGAAATTGGAAAATATTAAATTAATACAGCTAAATGAGTTTCCTGCAAATCTTCCTGAAACATTAAAAAGTTAATGTGTATTTTAAATATTTGATAAAAGCATATAACACTTAATGTTGCAAAATAACTTAACTGAGAAAGCTTTTTTCTTGTATGACCTCCCTGGATTAACTTTTGAGATATATAGTTAAATAAATGGATTTCTAAACCTATCTGCTGGCTTTGCCAGATAGGTCAGCTAAGTGCTTTTCTTTCCCCTATCTAACTTCTTGCAGCCAGGAACCAGCCTGTTCCACACTCCTTTGATACCTCAACAAAATGCAGTCTGAATAATAGAATATACATTTGACATTTTTCTGATACTGGGTACGTTTGATTTTCTAACTAGGATTAATTAAGTTAGAGAGCCCTTTATGTGCACAACCTTTAATGTATCCCTCTAAACTAAATTGCTGAATTTGCATTTAATGATCCAAAAATAATACATGTTATTGTTGGGCTTATTTTTGAGTTCTAAAGTGTCTTAATAATCACAGGGTTTGGGGGTACTGGGATTTATCTATTTCACTCTCTGTCTTATTTATTTTGGTTAAGATTTACATTTGCTGCCTACAACAGAGATCTGAAAACCAAGGTTTTAAATTGGATAGAGATTTGGCTCTCTGTCCTGTAAAAGTCTGGCAGCTCAGCTCTAAAATGTGTGATGAATCTAGATTCTCTCTGGTTGCTCTGCCATCTTTAGGATGTTAATCTTGCCACATGATCCCCTTCATTTCCTCATTTCAGCTAATGGGAAGGAACACAGAGAGTAATGGAGGTGTAGTTAAGGCCTCTATATTGCAACAATGAGGCCAAGTTGATCTCATTTTAGTTATAGAGCAGTGATGACCAATAAAAATAGAATAGAAAACACATGTACAATTTAAAACATTCTAGTTGCCACATTATTTAAATAGAAATCAGTAAGATTAGTTTAGTAACATTTTATTTGATCTAAATCATTTAAAATGTTATTAATTTCACAACAATACAAAAATTTTAATAAAATATTTTACAGTTTTGTACTAAGTCTTTAAAATGGTGTTTTACACTTATAGGATGTCTCAAAGTAGACTAAATTTTTATTGAAAATGATTGAATTATGTTTAGATTTTATAAAATTGACAATTGAAAAAGGTGTACATATCCAAGTCTTTCTAAACATATTTAAATATTTTTCAATAACTGTGTTTAATTTCAATCTCTAAGCATTCAAATTCGATAAAATTTTAAATTCAGTTTCTTTATTACTCTTGCCAAACTTCAAATCTCAAAAGCCACAAGTATTCAGTGTCTTCTCTATTGGACGATATGGCTGTGAACCACTGATTAGCAGGAAGTTCTGTGCTGTGTTCACCATGTTTGGATATGTATATTAACCCTATACACAAATCCCTTTCGATTTAACTTCACAATCAAGAAGTTAACCCAAACTTAGAGCTTGGTTCCAGTTAGATTCAAGTTGTTCTGGAAATTTAGATTTATTCTTGTCACCCATTTAACCATGTGCTCTCTTAAAGATAAATATTTCTGTTACTACATAATGAATCGAGAATAGATATTAAAGGGCAATTTGCAGTTCCTGATACAGTGTACATCTTGAGTCATCCAAATGTGCATATATGCTATCTTCCATGCAGAATTATATACTGTTCCTGAGTTTAGCTCAAAGTTAAGGTTTTCAGAGAATTGCAAAGTTTTATTTCAAAAGGCCCCATGGCTCTTCGTAGTCCATCCACCTACAAATTAAACCGATAAAAAGCAGCATATTTTCCCTCTTCGCCACCACTATAGAATAATGGAAAAGGAATAGAATAACTGCATTTAAAAAAAAGCAAACACTCTGAAGTGATAAATGCAAACATAAAGAAATCATTTGTTTTTTGCAATTACTCAATTTTGCAGACTGGATTTGTATAGGAGTTCCTGCCTTTACAATGCAGTAAATTTCTTATATAGTCCCTTTGGAAGCTCTTGCTTTGGGTTCATTAGAAAAACTCCCTAACCCAATATTCTTCTCCATGGCCCCTGGCCTGTCCCTCTATGTTGTGCTTCCTTTTCCAGTTTTTCATGGGGCCTTATCTGGAGGGACCATTGGAACTCATGCCTTTACTTAGAGCTTTAGGAATATTTTTACAAGTGCAGATTTGGATTTCAGTAGTAGGACACAGAATTTGAAAAAAAAAATGTATAAGTTGGTAGAGCTGTCTTATTTATTTGACAATATTGTAGCCTCAAAATTTAGATGATTTCAGTTGTATTTGTTTTCATTTAACTCTCTTTAGAAGTAACCACAGACAATGATCTCCACAGGCATAAACTTTATTCCCAACAAATGTATTATTCTGTTTTCCAGCCTGTCTATGATTAACCTCCACTCCTACAACTTAATATACGATCTTTTGAGATCATCTTAAAACAATGGGCTCAGATGAGAAGTCAACAATTTCAACCACATTTTTAATTCTGGGCTACTTCCTATGTAGCCATGTAGCCCAGAATCAAAGGCTGTGTCCTCACCCAGGCTTTCCTCTGTGCACAATCAGAGGCAGGGTGGGGTGGAGAGAGAGATCTGGTGTCTCCTCTTCTAATAAAAACAGTCTTATCAAGTTTAAGCCCCACCTTATGATCTCACTTAACCTTTATTACCTCTTTATAGGTCCTATCTCCAAATACTGTCACATGGGGGATTAGGACTTCAATGTGAAGTGGGAAGTGAGGGATAAGGAGACATAGTTCAATCAGTAACAGATTATAATAGAAAAACACAATAACATGGCTGAAATAAGATAGAACTTCTATATTTCTCTAGCATAATATGTGTTGGCAATATAATTATTGATTTGAATTTCTTTCCCTTAGGTATAGAAATATTGACTAGCTTCAGTAGCTATAGAATATATTGACTAGATTGGAGATATAGCAAGATTTTATCTGTATTTCACCCAGCATGAAGGGAAGAGGAAGGTGCCAGAACAATAGTTCGCTTTTAACATTCTACCCAGAATTTCATACATTAGGTTTGATCATGTTTCATTGGCCAAGACCGATCTATTTAAAGTTGGAAGAATTAGGGAGGATTCCCTCTTTTTCTATTGATTGGAATAGTTTCAGAAGGAATGGTACCAGTTCCTCCTTGTACCTCTGGTAGAATTCGGCTGTGAATCCATCTGGTCCTGGACTCTTTTTGGTTGGTAAACTATTGATTATTGCCACAATTTCAGAGCCTGTTATTGGTCTATTCAGAGATTCAACTTCTTCCTGGTTTAGTCTTGGGATAGTGTATGTGTCGAGGAATGTATCCATTTCTTCTAGATTTTCTAGTTTATTTGCGTAGAGGTGTTTGTAGTATTCTCTGATGGTAGTTTGTATTTCTGTGGGATCGGTGGTGATATCCCCTTTATCATTTTTTATTGTGTCTATTAAAGATTTAAACGTTAGACCTAAAACCATAAAAACCCTAGAAGAAAACCTAGGCATTACCATTCAGGACATAGGCGTGGGCAAGGACTTCATGTCCAAAACACCAAAAGCAATGGCAACAAAAGCCAAAATTGACAAATGGGATCTAATTAAACTAAAGAGCTTCTGCACAGCAAAAGAAACTACCATCAGAGTGAACAGGCAACCTACAACATGGGAGAAAATTTTCGCAACCTACTCATCTGACAAAGGGCTAATATCCTGAATCTACAATGAACTCAAACAAATTTACAAGAAAAAAACAAACAACCCCATCAAAAAGTGGGCGAAGGACATGAACAGACACTTCTCAAAAGAAGACATTTATGCAGCCAAAAAACACATGAAGAAATGCTCATCCTCACTGGCCATCAGAGAAATGCAAATCAAAACCACTATGAGATATCATCTCACACCAGTTAGAATGGCAATCATTAAAAAGTCAGGAAACAACAGGTGCTGGAGAGGATGTGGAGAAATAGGAACACTTTTACACTGTTGGTGGGACTGTAAACTAGTTCAACCATTGTGGAAGTCAGTGTGGCGATTCCTCAGGGATCTAGAACTGGAAATACCATTTGACCCAGCCATCCCATTACTGGGTATATACCCAAAGGACTATAAATCATGCTGCTATAAAGACACATGCACACGTATGTTTATTGCGGCACTATTCACAATAGCAAAGACTTGGAACCAACCCAAATGTCCAACAATGATAGACTGGATTAAGAAAATGTGGCACATATACACCATGGAATACTATGCAGCCATAAAAAATGATGAGTTCATATCCTTTGTAGGGACATGGATGAAATTGGAAACCATCATTCTCAGTAAACTATCGTAAGAACAAAAAACCAAACACCTCATATTCTCACTCATAGGTGGGAATTGAACAATGAGATCACATGGACACAGGAAGGGGAATATCACACTCTGGGGACTGTGGTGGGGTCGGGGGAGGGGGGAGGGATAGCATTGGGAGATATACCTAATGCTAGATAACACATTAGTGGGTGCAGCGCACCAGCATGGCACATGTATACATATGTAACTAACCTGCACAATGTGCACATGTACCCTAAAACTTAGAGTATAATAAAAAAAATAAAAATAAAAAAAATAAAAAATAAAAAATAAAGTTGGAAGAAATATTTTTTCTCTAAACTTATCTAGTATGAAAGGTTAAAATAAAGTTTGGTATAAACTAGTTTATACAAAGTTTAGTATAAAATAAAGTCTAGCATAAAGTTTAAGCACAGAATAAAACAATGTGTAAGAAGAAAAAGCAGTAGTGTCTTCCTGGTTAAATGGCATGAACTAAAAAGAGTTCCAAGCTTTGCATTATCACTATCTGTGAAGATATAGAATAATGGGAACATTATTATGGATTTTATAAACTACATTAAAAAGAATACCATAAACTAATATTCACATTGAACTTCTATCAACTGTAACATCAGTTGATAAAGATGGTGATTCACATTCCAGGACATGGTAACATATGTTCCACCTTCTACTGGGAATCATGTCCATATCCTTAATGTAGATCCTGTTCTAGCTAAGACTCAGGCAATAGACCAGAGCCCATTAGTAAGTGCTAAGGAGAAAGACCAAGAAAGGGAATTGATTTTTTTTGTGTGTGTGTGTGTGTGTGTGTGTGTGTTTTACTATTTTTGCTTTCCAGCCTCAAAATATCACTGCTATGTTTGTCACTTGTTTTCTATCTGTCCTTGACATTTTATGCCTTTTAAAATCTCTTTATTTACATTTCACTGGAGTTTTAGGAAAGACTGGAAGTGAACACATGTTCAATCCCACCTGTTAAAATCAGTTTGTAGTGAATTCAGGAAAAAATTATTTCGATAGAGAAAATAAACACACTTATGCCTTGGAACTAAATATTACATGACTAGCAGCCAACTTGTGCATTGACCATTGGTTTTCAACCGTTTTCTTTCAAATTAAAAAGAAAAGGCAAGTATGAACAAGAATAAACACAAATAGGGAATCTAAACAATTAGAAAACCTGTTCAAAAAAAGAAATGGGGAATCCAATGTACGTAAAAGAAGGCATGTAGCATCTGTTCTGATTTCCTTTCTTTGGCAACACTAGAAACAGAGTAATTTACAGCAGGGCTTAGGAATTAGCATACTGAATAGACAAAAAGTATTGAGGAAACCAGTGGAATCATGTGAAAAATCTATCTGCTTGAACAAGTAATCACTATAAGAAAAAATAAATGGTGGGCATGGAAGTGCATGAAAATAAATGTGCGTTACTTGACTTCTTACAAATTTTAGACAACCCACACACTGAGAAACAGAAAACATGTTATTTGAGAATACAAGGAACATGGCAGTGACTGAAATGAACTTTATTGGATAAATTGAAATGGGCATATGTTTTGTTCTATGTGATCATTTTCCTAGAAGTAAAAATACCTTTAATAAAATTGTAACAAAATAATTATAGCTGGAATGTTAGATTCCCTATAAACAGAGAAGAATATGTTTTTATAAAAAAGAATTGATGTGAGCTATTAGTAAAGGAATCAATTCTGTTTACAATACAGAAAACATGTTTTTTGGAATACCCTTCCTGGAGACCAGTTGATTGTCAAACAGATTATCCTCTCAACCTTAACCAAAACCTCCAAAGAATCAGCAGAAACTTTGTTCTGCAAAAGACGCTGCAAGCCAAATCAAAGTCAGTTTCCAAATGCATTTGCTCAGCACAGATAAAATTTATGTTTTTCATTTTGCTTAGCAAGCAGTTGTGCTGAGAATTTTATCTTGAGAATTTCGCTGGCAATTAAACATTGCTGTAATTTAGGATGAGCCAAGCATGTATCAGAATGAGAGAGCAGAAATCTGTCTTTCTTGACCCATCAAGGCATTTATTAAAAACCTAGTTAAAATATGTATTCTCTGAGCTCTTTGCTACAATTCATCATTTTAAAAATCAATACAGAAGATTTTATTTTCAATTAATAAACTTTTATCTGCTAAGGAACTAGATGTTCTTGATTTCTCTAGCACATTTTAAAGGATTTTACAAATATATGCAAATTTCTGTATTTACATAACAATGCATTAAATAAATTGTCAGCTAATACTTTTATACACATATGATCAATGATAGATTTATAAGTCATCATATTAGGCAAATAATAAATGCTCAATAAATGCTCTGTTGCTTTTATTGTTCACACTTTCTTCCAGTCATTTTTCATATGAGGTATCTGACAAGGAAATATGTACTGCTTCCATTTTAACATCAATATTTATATATTTAAGGGACATAGGGAAATATTGCCTGAATTAAAATAACATCATCAAGAACAAATTGTTTTCTATTTCTTGCAGTTCATCTATCAATATAATGATTTTTTTAAGTGTGGGGAGAAATAGTAGTCAATAACATAAAACAACAAAAACAATTGAAAGGGTATTGTATAAGGGAAATCTAAGTTGTTTCATTTGTTTCATCTGATTTTTATGTAGATAATATTCATGACACTAATAATAACATTAAACAAGTGTTACCTTTTACCTAGAAAATACGTGAAAGCAATTATTAGCAATATATGTCATCAACATTCTCCTACTTTGTATTTTTGACATGTTTTATATGAGAATAAAGACAAAATAAATCAGCCAAAATCATAAGGGAAATGCCTATAATAAATTCTGAAAAGCAGACACTAGATGATAAAATTATAGGACTTAGTTTTTCAAGGGCAGCTTTCACAGGAAGATTCCAAAAGGTAATCATAAAACTCTGTAAGCTCTCAAGATTTTAAAGGTTCTGAGGCAGTGTTTTCAACAAAATGTTTGTTCAGAGAGAATTAATGCCACTGGTCATTATATAATGTCCTGGCCTGTGAAGAAGAGTGCAGAATAGCTCACTGTAAAATCTCTCAAAATATGATGAAATAATTTAAATTCCACCAAGTCAAGAATCACACAGGCCCTTTTCTATTATGTACATAGTATGATGACAAAAGATATAAAATAGTTATGCAAGGAGCAAAATGTAAGGAAGTGAGCACAATTACACTGGTGGTTAAAATGTAAATCCATAACAATTTTTTCAAAGAAGCTTTTGAAAGACCTAACAGATTTTAAAACTGTATGCATTTGACAGGAAAATTCTACATCTAAAAATCTAAACCTAAGAAATATACCAGTCCACAAAGGTTCTAAAGAAAGTTCATTACAGATTTTTTTGCAATTGCAAATCTCTTGTTCATCAAGAGATGAAAAACTGCATAATATATGATACATTAACACTGCAGCCATTAAGAAAAAATTTGCAAATATGAAAATATCACCACAATCTAGTAACTGAAATACACAAATTGCCATAATGTATTTATCCTATGATCTCATGTAAATAAAGGAAACCTAAGTGTGCCACCTCAAAATATACTTCTCCGGCATATTCTGACATGGCTATTCAGAAAGGCTTCTAGCATGCAGATAGCTCTAAAAAGCTGTTTTCTGTTGGGGAGACTTGCAATGGTAGAGGGAATCTACATTAGTGAAGTAAATACTAGATCCAAACAGCTTTCCCTGAGACTTCCTTACCTGCCTTATCTGGATCTAGGAAAGATTAATTCACAGAAAGAACAGACTATTATGGTTTTGGTAAGGAAAGTTTTAAGGAAGACAGGAAGATGTGTATTTTTGTTGAAGGAAAAGTCACTTTGCGTAGTTTAGAGGTTATTTAAAATTGTTTCAGTCAATCATGGTGGCTCATGTCTGTAATGGCAGCACTTTAGGGGTCCAAGGCAACAGTATTTTTCGAGGCCAGGAGTTTGAGTTCAACCTGAGCAACATAGCATGACCACCCATCTCTACAAAAAAAAAAAAAAAAAATTAATTAGCCTGTTGTCATGGTGTGCACCTATAGTCCTAGCAACTTGGTAGAATGAGGTGGGAGCACTGCTTAAGCCCAGAACTTCAAGGCTACAGTAAACTATGATCACACTACTACATTCTAGCCTGTGTGACAGAGTGAGACTCTATCTCAAAAAAAAATTATATATATAAAAATATATATATAAAATATATGTAAATATATATATAATATATATAAATATATATATATAATATATATATTATATATATATAATATATATTATATATATATAATATATATAAATATATATATAATATATATAAATATATATATAATATATATAAATATATATATAATATATATAAATATATATATATAATATATATATAATATATATAAATATATATATAATATATATATGTAAAACTGAATGGATAGGAAAATTGTAAAATGGTTACAAAATATAAATCTTATTAAAAAATTATAATGTGATGAAACTGACTAAAATTGAATGAATTTATATAAGGGCTTTTAAAAAAAATTTGAGACTTTCAGAAATAATACCACACATCTACAACCATCTGATCTTTTACAAACCTGACAAAAACAAGCAATGGGGAAAGGATTCCCTATTTAATAAAAGGTGCTGGGAAAACTGGCTAACCATATGTAGAAAGCTGAAACTGGATCCCTTCCTTACACCCTATACAAAAATTAATTCAAGATGGATTAAAGACTTAAATGTTAGACCTAAAACCATAAAAAGCCTAGAAGAAAACCTAGGCAATACCATTCAGGACATAGGCATGGGCAAGGACTTCATGACTAAAACACCAAAAGCGATGGCAACAAAAGCCAAAATAGACAAGTAGGATCTAATTAAACTAAAGAGCTTCTGCACATCAAAAGAAACTACCACCAGAGTGAACAGGCAACCTACAGAATGGGAGAAAATTTTTCCAATCTACCCATCTGACAAAGGGCTAATATCCAGAATCTACAATGAACTCAAACAAATTCACAAGAAAAAAACAAACAACCCCATCAAAAAGTGGGCAAAGGATATGAACAGACACTTTTCAAAAGAAAACATTTATGCAGCCAACAGACACATGAAAAAATGCTCATCATCACTGATCATCAGAGAAATGCAAATCAAAACCACAGTGAGACACCATCTCACACCAGTTGGAATGGTGATCATTAAAAAGTCAGGAAACAACAGGTGCTGGAGAGGATGTGGAAAAATAGGAACACTATTACACTGTTCGTGGGAGTGTAAACTAGTTCAACCATTGTGGAAAACAGTGTGGCGATCCCTCAAGGATCTAGAACTAGAAATACCATTTGACCCAGTGATTCCATTACTGGGTATATACCCAAAGGATTATAAATCATGCTATAAAGACACATGTACCCATATGTTGATTGTGGCACTATTCACAATAGCAAAGACTTGGAATTCACACAAATGTCCATCAGTGATAGACTGGATTAAGAAAATGTGGCACATATACACCATGGAATACTTTGCAGCCATAAAAAAGGATGAGTTCATGTCCTTTGTAGGGACATGGATGAAGCTGGAAACCATCATTCTGAGCTAACTATAGCAAGAACAGAAAACCAAACACCACATGTTCTCACTCATAGGTGGGAATTGAACAATGAGAACACTCGGATACAGGGCGGGAACATCACACACCAGGGCCTGTTGTGGGGTGGGGGGATGGGTGATGGATAGCATTAGGAGAAATACCTAATGTCAATGACAAGTTAATGGGTGCAGCAAACCAACACGGAACATGTATACATAGGTAACAAACCTGCACATCGTGCACATGTACCCTAGAACTTAAAGTATAATAATAAAAAAATCTTTGAGGCTTAATTCTCAAGGTAGATTAATACAGAACTACAATTTGGTATTCTCCTTTAAATAAGATTTTTGTATAACATTGTTAAGATATAAAATATTTTTATTCACCTTTTAAACAAACTGCATAAACAAACAAAGGAGTAAAAGAAGAGAGAGAAACAGAACCTGTGTGCCTCATGCTGTCTTTATTAGATCTTTTGCTTAAATGGATGATTATTATTTCACAGTGACCTGCAATCTTATTTAGATCAAATATTTTAAACCTTTCACACATTTGACAACCTTTCTAAAATCCAATTTCAAATTATAAATTAAGGTTTTTTCACCTGAAATCAACTTTTGGACATTTAAGAAGGACCTTTCCAGTTAGAAAAAATGAGAACAATTAGGTTTATTTGATATTTTAAAATCATACAAAAAGCATTTTCAAATAAGAAGTAATTTTCAACTTTCTTTGAGTTATGTTTGTGTGGCTATGTTACGGACATATGTATTACATAATTGTATGGGATTATTAAAAATCTAATATGTCATATATAAATGTCACAATTTTGGTTGTTACATTAAAATATGATATGCCATAGAAATAGCCAAATTTCTTCATCAATTGCAGGTTGTATGAACTCCCACTAGATGTTTAATCACGGCTACTTTAGTCTTGTTGTCCACAGTTAATTGCTTTATACTGATGTTCTTCTCATTGGACTGGGTAAGAGCTTCCAAATATCTAATAAAGAAACATGGATTCTCTCAAAATAATAAGAGCCATATACAACAAACCCACAGCCAACATGATACTGCATGGGGAAAAGCTGGAAGTATTCCCCTTGAAAACTAGCACAACACAAGGATACCCTCTCTTACTACTCCTACTCAGCAGGATATTGGAAGTCCTGGCCAGAGCAATCAGGCAAGAGAAATAAATAAGGGGCATTCAAATAGAAAGAGAGGAAGTTAAACTATCCTTGTTTGCAGATGACAAAATTCTATGTCTAGAAAACCCCATAGTCTTGGCTCAAAAGCTACTTAGATGATAAAAAAAACTTTAGCAAAGTTTCAGGTTACAAACTCAATGTACAAAAATCACTAACATTCCTATACACCAACGGCAGCCAAGCTGAGAGACAAAACAGGAATACAATCCCATTCACAATTGCCACAAAAAGAATAATACATCCAGAAATACAGCTAACCAGGGAAGTGGAAGAATGGTACAAGGCGAATTTTAAAACACTGCTCAAAGAAACCGGATATGACAAAAACAAATAGAAAAATATCCCATGCTCATTGATAGGAAGAATCCATATCATTAAAATGGCCATGCTGCCCAAAGCAATTTACAGATTCAATGCTATTCCTATTAAATTTCCATTGACATTATTCACAGAACTATAGAAAACTATTTTAAAATTCATATGAAACCACAAAAGAGCCTTAATAGCTAAGGCAATCCTAAGCAAAAAGAACAAAGCTGGAGGCATCATTCTACTTGACTTTAAACTATACTACAGGGCTACAGTAACTAAGACAGCATGACACTCATACAAAGACAGACATAGACCAAAGGAACAGAGATCTCAGAAATAAGGCCACACACCTATGACCATCTGATCTTCAACAAAGCTGACAAAAAAGCAACTGGGAAAGGACTCCCTATTCAATAAATCGTGTTGTGATAACTGGCTAGCCATATGCACAAGATTGAAACTGGACTCCTTCTTTACATCATGTACAAAAATCAACTCAAGATGGATTAAAGACTCAAATGTAAAACCCAGAACTATAAAAACCCTGGAAGACAACCTAGGCAATACCATCTCAGACATAGAAACAGGCAAAGATTTCATGACAAAGACACCAAAAGCAATTGCAACAAAAGCAAAAATTGACGAATGGGATCTAATTAAACTTAAGAGCTCCTGCACAGCAAAAGAAACTATCAACTGAGTAAGCAGACAGCCTACAAAGTGGGAGAAAATATTTTCAAACTATGCATCTGACACAGGTCTAATATCCAACATTTATACGGAACTTAAACAAATGTACAAGAGAAAAGCAAAGAACCCCATTAAAAAGTGGGCAAAGGACATGAACAGGCACTTTTCTAAAGAAGACACACATGCGCCCAAAAGCATATATATATAAAAAGTTCAATATCATTCATAATTAGAGAAATGCAAATCAAAACAACAATGAGATACCATCTCATGTCAGTCAGAATGGCTATTATTATAGAGCCAAAAAATAACAGATGCTGGTGAGCTTTAAAGAAAATGAAACACTTCTACACTATTGGTGGGAGTGTAAATAAGTTCAACCACTGGGGAGAGCAGTATGGTGATTCCAAAGAGCTAAAAACAGAGCCACTATTTGACCCAGCAATCCCATTATTGAGTATATACCCAGAGGAATAGAAATCATTCTACCATAAAGAAACATGCACACTAATGTTAATTGCAACACCATTCACAGTAGCAAAGGCATGGACTCAACCTAAATGCCCACAATGACAGATTTTAGATAAAGGAAATGTGGTCCCTATACACCATGAAATATTATGCCGCCATAAAACTACAATAAGGTAATATCTTTTGCGAGAATATGGATGGAGCTAGAGGTCATTTTCCTTAGCAAACTAACGCAGGAACAGCAAACCAAACACTGCATGTTCTCACTTATAAGTGGTAGCTAAATGATGAGAACTCATGAACACAAAGAATGGGACAACAGACACTGAGGCCTACTTGAGGATAAAGGGTGGGAGGAGTGGAAGGAGCAGAAAAAAATAACTATTGCATACTAGACTTAGTACTAGGTGACAAAATAATCTATCTATGCAACAAACCCCCATGGCACAAGTTTACCTATATAACAAACCTGCACATGTACCCCCAAAACCTAAAATAAAAGTTAAAAAAATAAAATAAAATAAATGCCAATAAGACATGAAAAAAGAGATACATGGGTTCATGAAACTGCCAACTCAATTCCAAAAAACAAAAATTCATTACATTTGAATAAAATGTCTTTTTATGACATTTTGTTTGGAACATTGGTGATTCCTTTTGTTTTCCAAATTTAAGGAAACTTTTTCACTTTTAAGTTATTTATAGCTTGCAATAATTTGGTTAAGTATAATTTTGTAAACAGAATTGAAACATTTACCTTTGTCTCTACTGATCCTTTTAGAATTAGGAAGCTATCTGTGAGCGTTCATATTTTAGGCAATATAACGTTTGGATAAATTGAATAAGAATCTGTGTGCTTTTGTAATAGGACACAATTAGAAACAATAGTTATTTTACTGAGGCTTTGACTAGAATGTAATATTTTCAGAAGTGACAAGATTACTTTAAGGGGCTCTGTGGAGCCAGCAAAAACCCCTTGGAAAAAAATGGCCTGATAATTTAAATGCATAGTCCACATGGTTTCCCTGCAGGTAGGTAAAGAGTGTCACTTTCTGGCAGGCCCAAGAACCATGAGCTATTTTGAAGACATCGAGAAGAGAGGAATTCACCCAGACACTATAATTACAGACACAATTTGAGAGTGAGTCAATTCTGTATTCGCTCATTAGCCTTTAGAGGCTTTTAAGCCTAATTCAAGATTTCTTATAGGCCAGGCATGGTGACTCATGCACGTAATCTTAGCACTTTGGGACGCTGAGGCAGGGGAATCACTTGAGCTCAGGAGTTCAAGACCAGCCTGGGCAACTTATTTTGCAAGCAAATTAGTCTTACCACAACTATATTTGGTAAAAATGGAGGTAAATATATAGAGAAAAAATATGTCTCAGAAAAAATTCCTATAGTACACCTATTATGTTTTTAGATTCCAGCTCATTGGTTTTTGAAATTCTATTATTTACCTGCAATTTGGAATAAATTCTGAATTCTTTCCTGGCTGCAAGTCTCCAAATGAACATTCCCATTTTTTCCCCGCCCTTCTTATTTGGAATCTCTAGAAATTAAAACTGCCTCTTACCTGAGGCCCTACAATCTGAAGGTAGTCAACATGGCTTTAAAAAAAGTCACCATAACAGCTTATATTTGGACAAACTTTGTGACATGCAAAATGCAACCCAGGACAATCTGTCACATTGCCTGTCACTGCCTGCACCCACTCCAACTGAAAATACTTTAAGGCCAAGTCTAGAATCTTCTCAACTGATTGCCCTCCAGACTCAGAGACTAGCTCATAACTCCAGACATTAACCTTTGTTTTTCTTTTGTTTTAATAGAAAAGTCTCTTATTGAATGCCTATGTGCTTCTACCATATAGAGATGCTTATACCATACTGAGAACTAACCTTGATGGGAGTCCATCTCCAATACCACTTCCTGAAATGAGACACAACTTTTTAACTTAACTTCCCTATTCTGAAGACTAAGAGATTGATTCAACAAAACATGGGAAAATGTCCTCTAATTTGTTCTTTTCTGCTTGATCCAATCTGTTTTCTTCCCCTGTATCAATGTCTTATCCCAAAACTTCTGACCCAAATCTCTCCATAGTTCTGAACCTTACTTTATATATAAAACTTTCTGAAAATTAAGTTTGAAATGGGGGAATGAAAGAAGCCAAAATATGCTTACCCCAAAATATACTTCTTTGGTATATTTCAAGACAACCATTTAGAGGGGCTTCAAATACAGTGAAAGCTCTGAAAAGCTGTCTTTTGTGGGGGAGATTTGCATCTGTAGAGGAAATCTACATTAGTGAAATAAACAGCAGGTGCCAATACCCTATCTCTGAGACTCATTTACCTGATTTACCTGGATCTAGGAAAGATTAACTCACAGAAAAAGAGGACTACAAATCTGACATTTTTAAAGATCTGATGGAGAAACTTTTTCCACAGGCTATCATCTATTTTTTTCAGAAGGTAGCTCTGAGATTACCTGAAAGATTTTTATCTGCATAACAAGAAACTCTTTGCTTATCATGATTTCCTCTCCCTACTCTCCCATAACCTATGACGACACTTCCCTGTCCCAAAAGTCCAATCTCAATATTTCTGGAATGTCAGGATGGTATAAAAGTTTCAGTCATCTGACTCTTCTTTGAGCTTCCTATTTTGTATGGCTCTGTGTTTATGCCCATTAATAAATGTATATGACTTAATTCCTGTTAATCTCTCTATGGTCAGTTTTTGTTACTGCGTTTTTTGTTTTTTGAGTTTTTTGTTTTGTTTTGTTTTTTTCTTGAGACCGGATCTCTCTCTGTTGCTCAGCCTGGAGTGCAGTGGCCTTATTTCAGATCACTGCAACTTTCGCCTCCTAGGCTCAAGTGATCCTCCCACCTCAGCCTCCCAAGTAGCTGGGACTACAGATGCATGCCACCATGCCCAGCTAATTTTTGTATTTTTTGTAGAGGCAAGGTTTCACCATATTGCCCAGGCTAGATCAATTTGTTTTATAAACTCACATTATCTAACCTTCAGGAGGGAGAGGAAGGAAAGTTTCCTTTGTCCCTATGTAGCTTCAAAAAAAAGTTCATACATTCTCTGTTTGCATGTAAGTGTGTATAAATGCAAAGCCAAAAAATACACACCATGTAGTGGTGATCGTGAAAGTTGAAAGCAGGCCTGAGGAGAGGGAGTATGGGAACTTGCACAATTTCCTCTTTATATTTGTTTGCACTTGAGTCTTATACAATAAAATATATTCGTATCTTAATTGTAGAGTAAGCAAAGACTACATATCTAAGTCAAATATAAGTATTAGGGTTTTCCACAGTTTTTGTAGTATCAACATAAGCAATAATAAAAAAGAAGCTACTATTATTATCAGGGATGTGCTAGGCACTGAACTAGGCACTTGCTATATACATATAAAACCAACACAATATGCTGAATATCTACTCGCTAATTATCACTAGATAACTGAAAATAACATTTTCTGTAGGTATTTCTGCCTTTTTGCCTGTAACTTATCTATTCAATTCAAGAGCAGTCACATATAAATATATCATATGATACTATACATTTATATATATGCTGTTTGAATACTCATATCCTCAAAGATAGATATTATAGTCACATTCAATACTCCCTTGAAACTAATAATATGTGAGTCAGCACTCAGAATATCTTTTAATGTATTTATTACAGACCATATAGGGAAATATTTATACTAAAGGGATTGTATAAAACTAGTTATTTTTCTTTTACTCAGGAACCATTTTGATAATGTACAGGGTGAAAAGTGTACTCGTCACCTCCTCATAGAGGCATTACACTTCTGACCACCTCTTCTCAGTATCTAAATTTCTGGAACATTTGCTTCCCATTATTATCTAATTATGCAGCTTGAACCCTGTCATCACACACACAGTAATGATAGAGTAATAATATTCTTATCCCCTCCACACTACTCTGCCTTAAAACCAGAATTAGTGTTGTCATTTGAGTCAACTTGGAATTAATTTCCCAGGTTGCATTTGAAGTTTACTTGAGGATGTACTTTGCCTTTGGCTCTGTTAAAACAATATTCTGTTCAGCTTTAGTTCTATTCCTGATGACTATATACCATGCTGAAAAAGAAATGGAAAGGCTAAGCTACCAATAAGAAACAACAAAAGCATGCTCATGCCAAGGGTATTCCTTAGGTTTGCCTCCACTATCACTCCATTTTGCTCTCTTGTTTTATTACAAAATGCTCTATTTAATTCATACCCTCAGAAAAGTCTTTAAACAGCACCATTTCACGGCCATACATAAGATGTTTCTAAGTTACAATAATTTGAATGTGATGTTCTGCACACTAGGCTGAATCCCTACTAGCTAATTCCCACTGGAGAACTCAAAATAACTTGTTTTCTCTAGGTAATTCTGCCTGCTAATTATCCATTCAATTCAAATTAAGAGCAGTCAAGACCTATATAAAAGTGGTCACTCAAACTAACTTCTTTCTCTAAAATGGTACTAAAAACTACTCTTCCTCAACATATAAGATTAAAGTTTTCTTTATACACACATTTGGTCAGAGTCAATAAATAATTATAGGACATAGTCAAGTTACACTTTAAAGTATCTGATAAAATGCAATATTCATTATAATATGTTCAAAGTAGAATTTTAACAATTATAAGGTGATCCTTACTTGCAACTGTCTCGACCATATGTTGAATATTTATTTTACGATCTGTGCTAGTATTTCTTTAATCTTCATTTCACTCGTGTCCATAGTTTCCTAAGAAATGTTTTTAATCAAGTACTTAGCAACTCTCCAGACAAATTCAAATCATATATACTTTCTGCCTTTGAAGGAATATTTAAGAGCTTAGTGACTGGGTTAAAGTCCTCCAGATGGTCACTGTGACTCTGGACTGTCTCATTTTCATTTGTATCCTTTTCCTCACCTATTAAATGATATGGCAGAACTCGACATTATCTACGATTGCATTTAATTATATTAATATATGCTTCTAAGTTTCTTTCTCTTTCTTGTTATTTATTTTTAATTGACAAACAAAAATGATGTATATAGTGTATAACAGGATATTTTGAGATATGTATACATTGTAGAATGGCCAAATCAAACTAGTAAATAAATTTACTACCTCACATACTTATCATTCTTTGAATGAATGTCTAATTGACATTTCATACTCTTTGACCAACGTCTTGCCAATCCCAATCCCCCAGCCCCTGGTAACCACCATTCTACTCTCTACTTCTGTGAATTCAACTTTTCTTAGATTTCACATGCAACTGAGATCATGAAGTATGTGTCTTTTGAGATCCTTGAAGACTTCCACAGAATAAATAATGTTGAGATGATTAAAATAGACATCTATTCAAGGCATATTGGTTAAAACCAAATGATTGTGCATGTCTTATATGTAACTTTTGCCAAGACTTTAGAAAGAAAAACCAATTATTTTTCCAATTATTATTATCCTCTGTGATAGTTAATATTAAGTGTCAACTTGATTTGTTTGAAGGATGCAAAATATTGTTCCTGGGTGTGTCTGTGAAGGTGTTGACAGAAGAGATTAACATTTGAGTCAGTGGACTGGGAGAGGCAGAGCCACCCTCAATCTGGGTGAGCACCATCCAATTGGCTGCCAGTGCAGCTAGAAAAAGCAGGCAGGAGAAGGTGGAAGAAGCTGACTTGCTCAGTCTTCTGGCCCTCATCTTTCTCCTGTGCTAGATGCTTCCTGCCCTTAAACATCAGACTCCAAGTTCTTCAGCTTTTAGACTCTTGGACTTACACCAGTGGTTTGCGAGGAGCTCTTGGGCCTTCAGCCACAAACTGAAGGTTGCACTGTCAGCTTCCCTACTTTTGAGGTTTTAGGACTCAGACTGAGCCACTATTGGCTTCCTTGCTCCTCATCTTGCAGATGGCCTATCATGGGACTTTACCTTGTGATCATGTGAGTCAATTCTCCTTAATAAACTTATTTTTATATATACATATCTCCTACTAGTTCTGTCCCCCTAGGGAACACTAATACATTCCCCATCTTGTAAATACTAGAAATGTCATAATCACCAATTAGTAAGACAAATACATCATTATAGCTACTCAACATTAGAAAATATAGGTTCTGTTTCTTCATGGTACTCAAAAGTAATTTATACATGTGGGCTCTCAATAACTAATCAAAAATATGTTATGGATATTTTTATTACAAAACTCCATGAAACAATAATCACTCCCTCCAAATTTGGTAATATATAATTATTTTATCTGTCAGAAATTAGGATGACCTAATTTGATGAAAAAGGAATAGACCACAGGTCTCAATAGAAGAAAATGTACATGTGACCAGAACAGTTTTTCTTCTTTCCCTCAATCTGATCAAACATTAGACAAGCTTCTCCTGCCCCTAAACTCAACCTCCCTTTGCTTAGAGAATTTACTTTAGAAAATTGTCAATTGTCAATTCTTTCTCTGTCTCTATGAAACTTATGGAAATGTTCTACAAGCTTTTTACGAGTTTTACAACCTGTGTTAAGTCTAATGCCTGAGACGTCAATACAAAGGAAAATAATTTAACTACAATGTAGAATTTTTCTTCAATAGAAGTTAATTAAAAATTACTTAAAATATTTGTTATAAGGTAAGCCTAGCTGAACAGCTTATAAGAATAAGATTTAAGTAAGTTACAGCACATTCTCAATATCATGACTATGGTATCAATATCATGATTATGGACAGACAGGAAGATCTGTCTCAAGGACCTGGGAACCATTCTTTTGAAATGTAAACATTGAGGAAGATAGTACCCCTATCTCCCTGTTTCTATAGGAGAGTAATAGCGTAACTTCCATGGATGTCTTGCTCCAAGTTGTAGAACTACCTCCTGTCATGAAAATACAAAAAAGTTTACTTTTCCTTTGGGTAAAGCCAATTAGCAAATAGAGGTGGCCTAGAATCTTCCCAACCTCAGCTCTTAAAAACTCTCCAGCCCTCTGTTTCATCAGAGTTAAGTTCATTCTCTCCTATTGCAATAGCCTAAATAAAGTGTTCCTTGCCTGTTTAATTTTGTCAGGTACAATTTTTGCCTTGATAAATGAGAACCACAGTGAGTAAAGAAAAGATGTATCAAATTTGTTTAATTTGGGGGCTTATAAAAATCAACTCCAAAAAAACTGTAATCATGATACTGAGAGTGTGCTGTAACTTACTTAAATCTTATCCTTAAAAGCTGTTCAGCAAGGCTTACCTTATGACAAATATTTTAAGAAATTTTAAATTAACTTCTATTGCAGACAAATTCCACATTGTAGTTAAATAATTTTTCTTTGTATTGAAATCTCAGGCATTAGAATTACCACAATTCTGAGCTTATATTCTGCTGATTTCGTATCCACAGTAAATTGTATCTTGCTTGTAAGAGCTTGTATTTTAGTAGAAAGAACAAATATTGATTTAGAGAGAATTACTGAAAGCCCACATGAGAAAACCAAGACAAATCTGAAGGTGAAGCTGAATGTTGGTTACCTGCAGGTTCAGTACATTATACATGTAACAAAGAATAGAAGAATGTGTCCAGAAAATAGTGAAGAGCTCTAATAGGAAATTCATAATGCATTGATCTTAAGCACAATTCAATAAATGTAATACTCTTTAGTGTTTTTTGAACTTCACCTCAGATTGCTTGTTCTTTAAACAATGTTTAGAGTTATCTTTTAACAGCTAAAGATGAAAGAAGCTACCATGCAAAAGAGAGGAGATTTAAGAGCAAGGGAGCAGATAATAGCCACTTCAGATGGGGAATGATGTGATTGGAATGTTCTTAAATATTAGTAAGGAGACAGTGAGAATGAAGAATGAAAGAAACCCATGGATTTCTTTTTACATTTGTTTTTAAAATCTCTGATGATTTCGCCTCCATGTATTTCACAGATGAGCATCTTTTTATCTCTTAGTTTCTTATGTCTCTTTACTACTTTTTATTTTACTGAGAGAGAAAGAGAGAGAGATAGGAAGAAAGAGAGAAAAGGAGAGAGGGAGATTTCTCTGCACCTTTTTACACATTATGATAATTAGTTGACAAAATACAAAATGGATTATTTTAAATCAAAGTATATTTTGCTATACATATACAGCATCAAAAATTATCAGTATGATTTACTGAAATATACAGAAAGCCAATGATCATCCAACATCACTGCACTTCTTTCTCTCCAAATTAACTGATGGTTGTGTAGGTGTCACATAAATTTAACTGGAGGTAAAATTTCATTAAAACAATTAATAAACTTGTTGACTACTCATTATGTTATTCCTTAATATATGTAGTTCCTCAACGTGTACAGTTGCTCTAACCCTTTTTGAATTGATGTGCAAATTCCATTGCACACTTGAAAAATGAAAAATAAATTAACAAAGCAAAAAGTGATTATGATAACCAGACAAATAAAACATACATTTCATTAAAAACAATTATTTCAAAAAAGTAATTAATTGGCACTAAGCAAAATTACAAATAATTTATTTCTGTTTTAACACAATTCCATGTGCAGCTTTTAACATTATTTAGGCCTGAGCAGATTGTTTGGGTAGACGCTTTCACCAAATGACATAGCATTAGAATTTCCTTCCAAGAGCAGTTGCTCTGTGGAAATCAGGGGAACTGTGTTAAACAGCAAAATTAAAAAGAAAAAAAAACCTGAAGAACTAATTTTACAAAGCCTTTGGTTGTCATTTTTCATACATTTCTTATTGTTTTATATTTCAGGTAATCTAATAAATAAAAAAATCACAGAATCTCAACATTTTAGGAAAATTTGAAGGTCATTTTATCCAGCGACCTCTCTAGCATTTAAACCTATCCAATAGCATTGATGATTTTTCTGCCTTGGCTCAGTTCCTAGAAACTCAACACCAAATAGCTTTCAATGGGAAAAAGTCAGTGATGTTTAGGGAACTCATGTTTATGCTGCCCCTTAATCTATCTGATTGCCATTTATATTTATTAGTTTTAGTTCTACCCATAGAAACCAAACACAGGACATATCTAATTTCTATTTACGTGACAGCTCCCTAAACACTTAATGAGACCTTTGTATGATGAACAAACACAATTAAATAACATAAACTACACACCACTTAAAATTGTAATCAGTTTCCTTTTCTTGGATATTTTTGATTGTATAATCTGATGGTTCTTAGAAAAAGTGTGGCCAAAATGCCTGGGTAACTGAAACCCTAGCAGAGGTCTTTATGATCATAACTTTTTCATAACAATACCGAATATATTTTGCCCTTTGTACTGATAGTGCAAAAATAAAGGTGGACTATCACTTAATCACAAATGAAGACAGTGGCATCAAACTTTCCAGGTCATTATTCATTTGCATACACTCTCAGGTTTTTAAAAATACACTTTTATTTAAAAATTATCTCAATAAAGAAGTAAGATTCATTAATGTTGCCATGTCTCACCCCTTGTGGACATGTCTTTTTTTTTTTTTTTTTTTTTTTTTTTTGAGACGGAGTCTCGCTCTGTCACCCAGGCTGGAGTACAGTGGCCCAATATCGGCTCACTGCAAGCTCCGCCTCCCGGGTTCACGCCATTCTCCTGCCTCAGCGTCCCGAGTAGCTGGAACTACAGGCGTCCACCACCACACCCAGCTAATTTTTTGTATTTTTAGTAGAGACGGGGTTTCACAGTGTTAGCCAGGATTGTCTCGATCTCCTGACCTCGTGATCCACCCGCCTCGGCCTTCCAAAGTGCTGGGATTACAGGCGTGAGCCACCACGCCCGGCCGTGGACACGTCTTTTTAATATTTTGTGTGAAGGAACGGGAAGTATAGGTAAAGTACTTCTGAAGCACTTGGCAATTGTTTCATTTGCAAATTGAACTACTCACTTTCACAATGGAACATCATTCTTACTTGAAAGAACAACTGAAAGACAAACTGTGGTTATTAAGAATTGGATATTTGCCTAACATTTTCTCAAAAATGAATGAGCAAGACTATTTTAAAAATGATAGTATTTGTTGCCAATAATAAAATTTCTGCTTCTCAGTTAAAATTAGAAACGAATGAAACATCATTAACCTGTTACCTCCCAATACGTAAAAGTTTTTCTGAAGAGACAACTGTGGGACAACACAGTGAGTCAATATTTTACAAATGATCAAATGTCTGGTGATGCAAAATTATACATGGGTAAAACTTTCAAAGTCCAAAATAGACCAATGAATTTTAATATAACAGTATATTAAAAGTTAATCGACATGGGGTCATGTCTCACATTGCAACTAACCTTTAAGAAACTACTCCATGTTGATTTTTTGTATAGTTTTGTATAGATAATTGTGGATAGAAGACTATATAAAACTATCTACACAAAACTATAGATCCTGAAAGGGCTATTAAAATACTCCTTCTATTTTCCTACTTAATTTCTGTGAGATTATGTTTGTTTTATACATGTCAACAAAAATAACTTATCACAGAAGCTTGAATTCAGTAGCAGATGTAATAATCCAGCTATCTTCCATTCAGACAGACTTTAAAGAGATGTTCAAAATGTATAACAATGCCAATCTTCTAACAATATTTTGTTTTGGGAAAATATTTATTATAAAAATATTTGTTAACACATAATGAGTTTATTGTTGCTATTTTTAAATAAATTAATAAATACTTTAAAACTTCCTGTTTTAATTTCTAATATGGTAAATATTGATTGATTGATATAACCCATATAAACTAAAGCCATCTGAGGTTCTTGGTAGTATCTAAGGGTGAGTAGGGCTCCTGTGACCAAAATGTTTGAGAGCCACTGATTTAAGGTTGCTGACCTCTCCTGAGGTCATGTTACCTCTTGCTACAACATCAATCATGCTACCTATTCAGCTACACTTAAGTTATTTTAGCTCCTCGAAGTCATAATACTCTTTCATTCATTTGGCCTCTTCATTTGTTCTAGAATGTCATTCTTTTCATTTTTTCCTCCTAACTTTCTCTTTCTCTTCAGATCTGGACTTAAATATTACTTTCATCTAGATTCTGTTTGCTTTTGTCTTATGACACACTCTCTTTGTCACTTACCACTATCACGCTGTATTTTAATTACATATTAAATTGTCTGCCTCCATGTGAGATGTCTCACTTGTTCATCCCTGGATCCCTGGAGTCCAAAAATAACTAACATTCGTTGAATACTTTGCCCTAGGCATTGCTTGACATTTTACATATACTATTTCATAAAACCCTAACAGCAGGCTTGGTATACAAGAATTCATATTTTCCTTTGAATGATAAAGAAATTGGCAGATAAGTTAGTAATAATAATCCAAATGACATTGTCAGGAAATAGCAAAGCTAAGACTTACATTGTATAGATTTACCCGTCGCATTAGATTTGCTTCAGTGTCAGGCACCTACTAAGCATCCAGTAAGTATGTTGGATAGAATTATCCTTTCCTATCCTTTGGCTAATTTCCTGGATAGACCAGGCAAGGTGGCTCACACCTGTAATCCCAGCACTTGGGAGGCCAAGGTGGTGGATCACTTGGGTCCAGGAGTTTCAGACCAGTGTGGGCAACATGGTGAAACCCACCTCTACAAAAAATATAAAATTTAGCCTGTAGTCCCAGCTACTCGGGAGGCTGAGGTGGGAGGATCACTTAAGCCCAGGAGGCAGAGGTTGCAGTGAACTGAGATTTCACCACTGCACTCCAGCCTGGGCATTGAGCATCCTCAGTGTCATCATTTAAATACTTTTTGCTATTAAATAGAAAATATGGAAACTTTAGATGAATAAAATTTAAATATTTATATTTCCTCTGTTACTTGGTATTGGTAAAATATTGTCTAGATTCAAGACTAAAAAGAAAAAGAATTGAAATGATTGTATTGTTGGAGATGTCTTCCTGGATGGTATTTAGAAATAATAATCAGAAACGTACTCAAATTTACTGTACCTAGAGTCTCCTGATACCATAAGTGGAATTGTTAAACACATCATAAATTTTTTTAATCTTATTATAAAAAACATCTCTAGATAAATGAGTATAAAAGCCACTGACCATAAACTAAGCTAAAGAATAATGAATTGATATTAGCTATTTGATATTTGTTACTCTATTAGGAATAAAAGTGCCAGCTCTAAATAGGATGGCTATTCATTTGATATCCCTGGATTCAGCCTTCTTTGATGGCACAAACGTTGTTTAATATTCAGATTGAGGTTGAAAAAAATCTCCTTAAGCAGATATATGTTCCTTTCCATACTCCCTGGTGTCAATTTATTTTGCTGCAGCATTTATTGCATTTTAAGCATCACCATGATCTGGAGATGAAGGGAAGAAATGTACATTACATTAAAGTCCCAAACCAAAAAGCAAGTTTATAGAACAAAAATAGTCATTGTCTGGGAATAGAAACTATACTGAAATGCAGACATGTTCTGGGTTGAGAAATCTGAATTCTGTATAGAACTGACAAACAGTTAACCACTCTCAACAAAACAGATGAAATGAAATGTGTTAGGTAAATATTCCTGTAGGACATCCTTCAACTGTACATTTGCATGTGGCCACTTAGCACAGAGAGGCTATGGAAGTTATCGAGATAATCTCCCCTTGGTTCTTTTATACCTCATATTTTAATAGCTCTTAAAATTTAAATAAAGAGGAGAACATGAGACATGGAAGGCAGAAAAACCAATAAAGTATATGTTAATTAACTGGTTCCCTCTGCAAAATATAGGGCTTAATCCCACTGGGGAAAAATGAGAAACCACACAGAATGTGCCTCCAAATTGGCCTTTCTCCCCAGAGAATAAGGGGACTGACCGAATTACACACCAACTCCTTTCCTTTATTGGTTGAGGAATTTCCCAGGGCACTTTAACTAACTTAAAACTTGAGATTGCAGTAGCACAATGCTAAGCAGTCTTTTGCAGCTGAAGAGAAAGCTACACAGCAGCACAGAAAAGAGATTGTACTGCATATATGTGTTGTGTCGGTAAGATCAGGTGAATGAACAGTATACAACATTTCTGCTGAATTCATGTGGGCCAAGATTTTGCATGGCGCATCACACGCATAGATCATCAGTTATACCACTTGAATCTGCTTATGTCTCATATTTAGTTCACTGTGTTGCTGACTCTTCAAGGTGGTACTTGTTGCAATCTCTAAATATAAGATTTGTTTATACTAGAGTTAAGAAAACAACCTACAGTTCCCATTTGCAGCTGACATAGAAGTCATAATTAATATCCATCATCTTCTTCATCTACCCACTCTAGATTCCTTTCACTCTTGGCCAGCACTTCACCTGGTCCAAGTTGTCTGATGGGGTCAGTCAGATGTTCATCTCTGGGGTGTCTGTGTTTTTAGTGCCCTTGCTCTTGTCAGGTTTGGTTTCAGCAATTGTCCATGCACTATTTTCACTGGTCATGAAAGTTCTAAGATACTCAGTAAAATCTGTAAGTTTCAAACACTCATCTCTGACACAATTACATGGCAGTAACCAAATCTTCCCAAGAAAGGTAGAGCTGATTATCTCCATTAGGATAAAAAGTCCTTTCTTCACCTTTTCATCCACCGGCATAAGGACTCCAAAGTGACCAGGCAACAGGAATAGTTATATGTTTAGTGAGACCCGTTTTTTTTTTCAACTTTTAGGTTTGGGGTACATGTGCAGGATATGCAGGTTTGTTAACATAGGTAAATGTGTGCCATGGTGGTTTGCTGCACAGATTATTCCATCACCTAGGTATTAAGGCCAGCATTCATTAGCTGTTCTTCCCTATGCTCTCCTCCCTCCACACCCCTGGCAGGCCCCAGTGTGTGTTGTTTCCACCAATGTGTCTACGTGTTTTTATCCCTCAGCTCCCACTTATAAGTGAGAACATGTGGTGTTTGGTATTCTATTCTTGTGTTAGTGTGCTGAGGATAATGTCTTCCAACTCCATCCATGTCCCTGCAAAGGACATGATCTCATTCCTTTTAATGGCTGTATAATATCCTTGCAAAGATCCATGGTGTATATGTGTTACATTTTCTTGATCCAGTCTATCATTGATGGGCATTTAGGTTGATTCCATGTCTTTGCTATTGTGAATGCTCCTGCAATGAACATTCGCTTGCATGTATCTTTATAATAGAATGATTTGTATTTCTTTGGGTTTATACCCAGTAATGGGATTGCTGGGTCAAATGGTATTTCTGCCTCTAGGTCTTTGTGGAATCACCACACTGAACTAATTTACACTCCTAGCAACAGTGTGGAAGTGTCCCCTTTTCTCCACAATGTCGCCAGCCTCTGTTGGTTTTTTACTTTTTAATAATAGCTGTTCTAACTGGCATGAGATGGTATCTCATTGTGATTTTGATTTGCCCTTGTCTAATAATCAGTGCTGTTGAGCTTTTTACATGTGTTTATTGGCCACAACAACTGAGAAGTGTCTGTTCATGTCCTTTGCCCACTTTTTAATGGGGTTGTTTTTCTCCTGTAAAATTTGTTTGCATTTCTTATAGACTCTGGA
The DNA here is from genome assembly GCF_000001405.40 of Homo sapiens. NCBI lineage: Eukaryota > Metazoa > Chordata > Mammalia > Primates > Hominidae > Homo > Homo sapiens. The sequence continues at coordinate 59,986,096 of NC_000012.12, read as the reverse complement.
TATTGGACCTTTGTTGGATGGATAGATTGCAAAAATGTTCTCCCATTCAGTAGGTTATCTGTTCACTCTGATAATAGTTTCTTTTGCTGTGCCGAAGTTCTTTAGTTTAATTACATCCCATTTGTCAATTTTTGCTTTAGTTGCAATTGCTTTTGGAGTTTTGGTCATGAAATCTTCTCTGGTACCTATGTCCTGAATGTTATTGCCTAGATTTTCTTCTAGTGTTTTTATAGTTTCAGGTTTTACCATTTAAGTCTTTAATCCATCTCGAGTTAATTTTTGTATAGGGTGTAAGGGAGGGGGTCCAGTTTCAATTTTCCTGCTTATCGCTAGCCAGCACTCCTAGCACCATTTAATAAATAGTGACTCTTTCCCAATTGCTTGTTTTTTTCAAGTTTGTCAAAGGTAAGATGGTTGTATGTTTGCAGTCTTATTTCTGATTTCTCTATTCTGTTCTATTGGTCTATGTGTCTGTTCCTGTACCAGTACCATCCTATTTTGGTTACTGTAGCCTTGTAGTATAGTTTGAAGCCAGGCAGAGTAATGCTTCCAGCTTTGTTCTTTTGCTTAGGATTGTCTTGGCTATACAAGTACTTTTTTTGGTTCCATATGCATTTTAAAATAGTTTTATTTTCTAATTCTGTTTTAAGCAGCATGGCCATTTTCATGATATTGATTCTTTGTATCCATGAGCATGGAATGTTTCTCCATTTGTGTCCTCTCTGATTTCTTTGAGTAGTGGTTTGTAGTTCTCCTCGAAGAGGTCCTTCACTTCCCTTGTTAGCTGTATTCCTAGGTATTTTATTCTTTTTGTAGTAATTGTGAATGGGAGGTCATTCATGATATGGCTCTCCGCTTGCCTGTTGTTGGTGTAGGAATGCTAGTGATTTTTGCACACTGATTTTATATACTGAGACTTTGCTGAAGTTGCTTACCAGTTTAAGAAGCTTTTGGGTTGAAGCAATGAGATTTACTGGATATAGAATCATGTCATCTGTAAACAAAGATAATTTGAATTTCTCACTTCCTATTTGAATACCCTTTATTTCTTTCTCTTGCCTGATTGCCCTAGCCAGAACTTCGAATATTATGTTGAATAGGAGTTATGAAAGAGGGCACCTTGTCTTGTGCCAGTTTTCAAAGGGAATGCTTCCAGCTTTTGCCTATTCGTTATGATATTGGCTGTGGATTTGTCATATATGGCTCTTATTATTTTGAGGTATCATTGTTCAATGCTTCCTTTTCTGAGAGTCTTTAACATGAAGAGAAGTTGAATATTATTGAAAGCCTTTTCCGCATCTATTGAGATAATCATGTGGTTTTTGTCTTTAGTTCTGCTTATGTGATGAATCACATTTATTGATTTGTGTATGTTGAGCCAATCTTGCATGCTGGGGATGAAGCTGACTTGATCATGGTGGATAAGCTTTTTGATGTTGCTGCTAGATTCAGTTTGCCAGTATTTTACTGAAGATTTTGGCATTGATGTTCATCAAGAATATTGGCCTGAAGTTTTTTTGTTGTATCTCTGCCAGGTTTTGATATCACAATGATGCTGGCCTCATAGAATGAATTAGAGAGAAGTCTCTCCTTTTCAAATGTTTGGAATAGTTTCAGTAGCAATGGCACCAGCTCTTCTTTGTACTTCTAGTAGAATTCAGCTGCAAATCCATCTGGTCTTGGGCTTTTCTTGGTTGGTAGGCTATTTTTTACTGCCTCAATTTAAGAACTCATTATTGGTCTACTCAGGGATTCAATTTCTTCCTGGTTTACTCTTGAGAGGGTGTATATGTCCAGGAATGTATCAATTTCTTCTAGATTTTCTAGTTTATATACATAGAGGTGTTTATAGTATTATTTGATGGTTGTTTGTATTTCTGTGGGGTCAGTAGTAATATCCCCCTTATCATTTCTGATTGCGTTTATTTGGTTCTTCTCTCCTTTCTTATTAGTCTAGCTAGCTATCTATCTATTTTATTATTTTTCCAAAAACCCAGTTTCTGGATTTATTGATTTTTTTAATGGTTTTTCATGTCTCTACCTCCTTCAGTTCAGCTCTGATATTAGTTACTTCTTGTCTTCTGCTAGCTTTGGGGTTTGTTTGCTCTTGGTTCTCTAGTTCTTTTAGTTGTGATGTTAGGTTGTTAACTTGAGGTCTTTCCAGCTTTTTGATGTGAGCATTATAGTGCTATAAGTTTCCCTCTTAACACTGCTTAACTGCATCACAGAAATTCTTCTATACTGTCTATTTGTTCTCATTAGTTTCGAAGAACTTATTGATTTATGCCTTAATTTTATTATTTACCCAGGAATCATTCAGGAGCAGGGTGTTCTATTTCCATGTAGTTGTGTGGTTTAGAGTGAATTTCTTAATCTTAAATTCTAATAAAAAATGAATAAAATAAAATAACAGAGTCTCGCTCTGTTGCCCAGGCTGGAGTGCAGTGGCACAATCTCGGGTAACTGCTACTTCTGACCCCCACAGGTTCAAGCGATTCTCCTGCTTCACCTCCTGAGTAGCTGGTATTACAGGCACCCATCACCATACCCAGCTAATTTTTGTATTTTCAGTAGAGGCAAGGTTTCACCATATTAGCTAGGCCAGTCTTGAACTCCTAACCTCAAGTGATCTGTCCACCTCGGCCTTCCAAACTGCTGGGATTACAGGCGTAAGTTACCATGCCAGGACTTGAGTTCTAATTTGACTGAGCTGAGAGACTGTTATAATTTTAGTTCTTTTGCATTTGCTGAGGTATGTTTTACTTCCGATTATGTGATCAATTTTAAAGTAAGTGCCATGTGGCAATGGGAAGAATGTATATGCTGTTGTTTTGAAGTGAAGAATTCTGCAGATAACCTGTGAGGTCCACTTGATCCAGAGCTGAGTTCAAGTCCTGACTATCTTTGTTAATTTTCTGTTTTGATGATCTGTCTAATACTGTCAGTGAGGTGTTGAAGTCTCCAACTATGCGATAGAGGCATACCCCCATTGACCAGGACCTTCAATCCAGCAGAGCTTACAGTTGCATAGGCACAAAGCATACATTTTGCAATTTGAGAGTGATGGTGAGAGGAGCAAATCCTACTACCACTCTTGGTTTGGGGATCATTTATTGTAGCTATTGAGCAAGTGTGCCATATATATGTTTTTGTCCAATACTGGTACTGTTTTTTGGAAAACAGGATCCCAAGCCTATAGTCTGTCATCCAAGAAATGTTCCTTGATCCAAGGTGGAACTAAGAATCCTGTATCAGTAAATCAAATTTCCTAAAAGCAATCACATAGTTATCCTGGCCTAAGTATTATAAACAGTGAAGACAAACCCATATCCAGAATAGATAAATATTCTACTAGGACCAAAACTTTGTCACCTTCATAGTAAAAGCATTCTGATATCAATAATTGGCTTCCAAGTAGCTAGCTAGATTCCTTGAGAGATGTTAATATATCTGGGACCCGGCATTTGTGTCTTGTTTTGTGGTTCTGGAATTCAGAAGCAGCCAGATCAGCTTTGGTGGGAGAGAGCCCTTGCTCAGGTGAGAGTGCCCAACTTCTATCCATGCTTGCACAGCTGCTCCATAAAAGGCAATGCTTAAACTTCTCTTAACATCTAAAACAATCGCAGCAAAAGTGAAATCGAAAGTCATAATCTTCCTTCCAAATGTTAACTTTTAGTTTTGGCAATTAAAATATATATGAATGAAAATGGCTTTATAAATAAAAGAAAATGAAATAAGAATTTACTCAAGATTTATGTGACCTTTAAGTTGGAAAGATAATTTCTGAAAGCAGACATACTTTAATCTAGTTTCTAAATATTTAAAATTAAAATTACTCTTTTTACTTCAGCCAGACTTTGCAAAGAAAACCAGAGATCTCTACTCAAGAAAAAATTGAAGTTCAGATATATTTTAAAAATTCAATCATAAACTAAAATTAGAATTATTCTCCATAAAGCAATAGAAATTCAGAACCATTTGGAATATGAAATCTGGAAGCTGATCATACTCCAGGGCTGTATTTACATATATCAGATACTCTACAATATTTTAAGCTAAGGTTTTTTAAATTCTCATTATCAACAAATATCATTTTTCTGAAGCAGATGCTTATTATGTACAAATTTTCATAGTATATTTATCACAAAACATTGGAAATTTGTCAAAGATGTTACCTATGTATTTTTACAACACTCCCTATTATAAAAATAGAGAATGACTAACATCAGTAGACAATTGTCTGATTCCATTCGAGCTGCTATAACAAAGACATACTGGTAACTTTTAAACAACAGAAATTTACTTCTCACATTTCTGGAGGCTGGGAAGTCCACGAACAAGGCACTGGCAGATTCTGTGTCTAGTAAGGGCCCTCTTCCTAATTCATAGATGATGCCTTCTCACTGTGTCATTGCATAGTGAAAGGGGCAGGGCAGCTCTCTAGGGCTTCTTTCAAGGGGCCCTAATCCCATTCATAAGGGTTCCACCTTCATGATCTAATAACCTTCCTAAGGCCCCACCTACCGTCATCACATTGTATCAACATATGAATTTGTTGGGGCTTGGAGGATTCACAAACATTTGGACTGTAGCAGCAATAAAAATATGTATTGGAATTAAATTAGTGGAGATAAAGTGAAGATGCAAAGAAGTATTTCCTTTATTGTAATTTGATCTTTTACTTCTAAAATCTTGGTGAGATTCACAAATCACTCTACAGCTTCACTCATCCACCAGCTTGTGTTAAACAATTGAAAGTTTATGTATACAGTTATAAGTTACTGAAATCAGAACCTATGTTGATACTGTCCGTTAATATATATCCATGAATTAGCAATGCTTGATTTACAGGAAATTATTTAAGTACACAAATGTTAAATTTACATGTCTGAATTAAAATGTGATAGCCTCAGTTAACTATGGCTCAATTATACAACTCAAATCTGAAATATGAATGAGGCAGAGAGAATCCATACTTCAACACACAAGTCTTTGGGTCTTGGGAAACTTCTGCATCCTATTTGCCCTCCAATAGTGCTTTAGCCGTCATGAGGACACCCTTCATCATGTGTTCAGCACACTTCAGGCACAGAATTAATATTTGTTATTAAAGCCATTGCAGTGTCTTGACCCAGTGGATCTGCATTTCTAAAATTTGTAGCACTTTACTCTACTTTGCCATGTAGGAACCCAAATAGATTTGACTTGGCATTTTGACAAGACTTTTCACATTGGCTTTATCCAACCTCAGAGAACTGATAAAATTGCAATTATATTGTCTATCATGTGGTAGTCTATAAAGTGCTTTCCCATAAAATATCTCATGTTCTTCTCATAAAAACTTCTGAATTAGGCACAGTAGAGAATCTTATACATACGTTCTAATAAAACCTAAACTTTAGGAGCTAAATTCCAATGCACAAGTTTGTACAGTTACTAAGCAGCATAATATTCTGACCTCAAAGCACATACTCTATCTATTATGTGGCATAAATAAGCTTTTTTACTTCTTTTTTATCATTACAGATGCAGAATAAATTTTATATATAGAAAATTCCTTAGATGGAAATGTGGTAGTTAGGTAGGAGGAAAGAGAGCTATGACATTTTAAAAGAACATTTAATCTAAAGCAAACTGTTGCCATTTCTACCAGCAAGAGCAGCCCTAAGCTAAAGTAAATAAAGACAACATTTTACTTAGAGGAAGAACAAAAGTATGATTTTGAATGTCTCCATGGACAAAAGTTCGTAGCTGTCACAGTGATAACAGCTTGTTATTTTACCATTTTACCAGAAGGTAAAATGACACCTTCTGGCTAAGAAAACCCACATCTATTTTCCTTAAAAAATTAGCATAAAAATATTATATGTCTCCCCACATTTGAAAATCCATTTTAAAAATTGAGAAGGCAACAGGAATATTAAGAGATAGTAAGGAATAGTAATAAAAATAAAACTGCATCAGAGGTAAATGACTTAAAAATCTACTCAGTCACTAGCAACTGTTCTTGTGTGGCTCAAAGCAAATTATTTGACCTCGAGTATCAAATGAATAGCCATGACTGGATAACATCTAAGCTTTCAACTAATTCTTACACTGTGATTTTAACTTGTGCAAAGTATTTACTAAGTAACTGAGAGGATGTTGTTTAATATTCCTATTTACTGCCCATTATCATTGTTTTGCAGAACAGTTTCCAATGAGTTGTAAATGCTTTCAAATATAATGAATTTCAAGTCTGCCTTTTAGAACATCTTAGGAATCAAAGAATGTGGTTATGAATATCTTTTATTGAAAGCTTTAAAATTTAATAAGAAATAATTTGAAGATGATAATATTGAAAACATTGCAATTATGAAGCTTGGACATGTGCATTACAGTTTCTTAGAAAAGCACTCTGAGAATAACGAAATGCAATGATGGTATTTGACATTCAAACTAACAGAGAAGTTAGCTTCATTATACTTTAATATACAACAGAATCTCATTTAGGTATATATTCCTCCTGAGTCAATAAGAAACATCAGGTTCTTGCCTTGACAGAACACAACAAAATGTCACGGAGGGGAAGAGATGTCAGTTTGCCTTCTGTTGACACACTCTGAAACATCTCTTAAACAGTTTCTTCATTAATTTTTTTCTGACCTCCGAAGCTCAGTAGCTATACTATGAAAACACAAGGATTCTACACATGGTAAAATGGTACATGTGCTCCTTAGCAGCTTTATTTCATTAAAAATTGGAAATAGCACAAACATCCATCAATAGATGAATAGATAAACAAATTGTAATATATTCCTGTGGTGGCATACTACTCAGGAAAGAAAAAAACCAGGGGAGAGGAATAAACTGTTGAAACACACAACTCAAAATAACTGTGCAGAATGAAAAAAAAAAGCCCAGGCAAAAATACTACATAATGTATGATTGCATTTATATAAAACTACAAAATGCAAAGAGGTCTATAGTTACAAAACCAGATCAATGATTGCTTGGATGTGGGCAGTGAGACCAGGACAAAGGGATTACAAAAGGGGAGAAGAAAACTTTTGAGAGTGATAGATATGTTTATTATGTTAATTTTGGTGGTGATTTCATAAGTGTATATATATATATATATACACACACACACACACACACACACACACACACATAGTCAAAACTTATCCAAGTGTGCACTATAAATACATGCAGTTTATGTCAATTCTACCTCAATAAAGCTTTTTTAAAAGAAAAGAAATTATTTGAGTTAGAATAAAATAATACAAAAATGTTTCAAATATATTTATGTCATCATGAGGTTCACCCCATTTGAGGAAAAATTTAAAGTACAGTTCAAAATTTTGCATGTATTTTTAGCATATACTTTGCATGGTAATATCAAGGTTTAAAATACACTACTGAATTTAACTTCTAAATACAAACCAAAGAGTTGCATGCTATAATGTGATTTTTGTACTAGGATTTGCACTTATTTTTTATTGCTTTGAGATACATTAGAATTTCACCACTACCATGTTCCATCTAGGGGGATGTAAAACACTATTCAGGAGCAAGTTGAGTGTATTTCTGCTCTGTAGCCCAGGGAAGAGTTTAGTGGCACAATCAGAGCTCACAGCAGACTTGCACTCTTGGGCTCAATCAATCCTCCTTCCTCAGCCTCCTGAGTAGCTGGAACTATAAGCATGTGCACTACCATGCCTGGTTAATTCTTTAATTTTTTGGTAAAGACAGAGTCTCACTATGTTGCCCAAGCTGGTCTTGAACTCCTGAGCTTAAGTGATCCTCCTACTTCGACCTCCCAAAGTACTGGGATTACAGGCATGAGCTACTGTCCCTGGTCAGATTGGGTGTTTTATCTTTAATTTAGCCTTCTCCACAGTTTCGTGCCTTCTACCCCAATTTTTGACCTTGTGTTTACTCTGTGAATATGCTCTCACTTTTATCTCAGTCCCAGAAGAAGTGTCCTATTTTTGTGTTCCATGATAAAACTACTTTAGCTACAAAAGCTACATATTGCTAATCAAATCCTCTGACATTCTCTCAAGAGGGTAGCTTCCTTTCTCTGAATCACCTAATACTGACCAACCACGTCTAAGTTTGCTATTTCCTGGTTACTCTGGAGTCTCAGATGTGTTTTCACCTTCTGTAGGGTCACTGCCCACAGTTTCAACATTACTGGTTCTTCTGCAAAGCGTCCTAGTCTCCGGGTTTGGTCGCTACACCATTGACTAAGTCCTGATTTTGACAACATAAAGAATATAAATAATAATGTTATACAGTTTCCTATTTATGAAGCAGAAATTTCCAGTGAGATTCTACAGCACCGTGTGAAAAGCGTACTATATCTCTTGTCAGGCATCACCTTAATCCCAGAGTAAATAACTTGAAAAATCCCTATTCTCAATATCGATTCATTTTTATGTTTTCAGAGTATCACAGAGTGCTGCAGTTAAGATTAAATAGAACAACATTAAATACAGTGATGTTCCTTTTTTTCTGACTTTTTGTTACTGATATCAGATATTCCAGTTAGCTTCCACATCTTCAGACTCCTAATCAAATAAAATTATTTGCCTAGACTCACCTGAGGAAATGAGTTGTCTGTCTTTGAGCATGATTCCTGGCTAGAGAAAATTATAAGAAAAATCTTCTTGCTGAACTACGACTGAATATAAGTATTTAAATACCAATTCAGATCTAAGATCGCAAGCTTGATCATTTCTCAAAACCCTCTTTTCCCTTCATTCACTCTTTCAGTTTCACGGGATCTTCTGGTCAGTGATTGCCCTCCTTGTACCGTGCCCTGCCATCCTTTCTCTGTGACACTGACATACCAACTGAATCACTCCTTGGTCATGTGCAATTCAGGGCTGTTCCTAAAAATGGAATTTCTCAGGTGAGTGTCCTCAAGTCACTGCTTTGCTTTGGAGTGTCATAAGCTCAGTCCCCTGAATTTGAAATCCACAATACCTAAAGGGTGACATTGCAGAAAACACTGCTAAACTAATATTGCAAAATAAATCTCAGAGAACTGGTCTAGAAATTAATTAAACTCTGAAAATTTATTCAGGATTGATTGATCTAAAGTAGAAATTGAGTACCAGAAGTGTTTCTTTAGCTGTCTCTGGATCAGTGGTTTTGACTTTTGGCTGCATATAGGAATTACATGAAAAGCACCTTAAAGAGTCCAATGACTAGGTGTGTGCGAGCCCTGACCAACTAAAACTGAACCAATAGGGAGAATACATAGTATTTGCAGCTCTTAAAAGCTCCCTATACTTTCTGAATTGAGAATGACGGATCTATACTAAGGCCCACCCCCCACTAACATACTGAAGTATAAAAAAGAATTAAAAAATAAATGAATACTCAGATGCCATTCTTCAAGAATGAATACACTCTGTATTCTTCAGCAATGCTTCTTCCTTGGATTCCTGCCTGTTCTTCCCCATGGTGAGGTAGGTTGAACACCTGAGGAACTCCCTTCTTTACTAGAAAGGCAAGAAATATTTCTTTCAGCCTGATTTATTTCTTGTCCTTTTGTTCCCCAAAGCCAAAGAAAGTAGCTTCTAATCTGGGGTCACTCTCATTCCCAAATCTTATTATAATGCTAAAATTGCAGCTCTTGAAAGGAGAAAAAAATAAGGAAGAATGAGAGCAAGAGCAAAAAAGAAGGAGAATGAAATAGAGACAGGAGAATGAAATAGAGACAGGAGAATGTAGGTACCTTTTTTCCTTGCATCAAAACCCTGGAATATAGTCATCTATCATGTGTCCTTCATTAGAGACAGACCAACGTACCTAGTGTCCTTCATTAGAGACAGACCAACGTACCTAGTGTCCTTCATTAGAGACAGACCAACGTACCTAGTGGATTTGAGTGAAGAGAAATGTGAGTAGGTGACCAAAAAGAACTGTTCAAATATCAATACAGTTACCATTTCTCATTGCTTCCATTTTCAAACTGAACATTTTGGGATCAAAAAGGTACCTCCTAAAGTACAGAACTCAACTCATTAGCCTTTAAGCAACATTTCCCAGACCTATGCTGACAAATGTATCTACTATGGAGGTCCAAATGGACATTTTTAAATTGTACATTCTGAATAAAATGATGCAATACGTGAGAAGAACTATGCTTGAAAAATTATTGGAGGCATTTTCTGTGTATTTTATATGGTGGGGATTGGTGACTTTGAGCTTAATACTCTGTATCAATCTAAACTGAATAATCTGGAAAGCAGGCACATCTGGGTACCTTTTACAAAATGTAAGAATTATGAGAGTGATGTTCTGGGAATACCACAGGGTTAGGCAATTCTTTCCGCATTTATCAAAAAGATGACAACTAATATACCAGCCCCTTTTAGAAAACAGCTAATTACAGAAAATATTTTTAAAAAAAGCAAAAATATTTGCATTTCTTTGGAAATATTGTCAGTATTGTATTAGATATCTAGCACGCTGAAACAATTAACAAGGTTTAATATCAAACAGCCATTTCTGAGAAAATGATAGCATTTCCTAGATTTATATTTCCCCAATATGGTGAATTATTTCTTTACTACAATAAATAGTAAAGAAAGCGGCCCAGATAAACATACTGTGCATCGTACATCTAAAGAAAAGGCAAAAAATGGAATAGAGAGTCAGATATATATGAAAATCTGAATTTAAGAAACAACAAATGAATGAATGAATAAATGTCACAGCAGAAATTAGAATAACACTCAAACCAATAAAAGGAATATTAGATACCCTAATATCAAAAACAATTTGGGAAGCCATCATAATTCAGATAATTTACCTGCATTGAATTCGGCTCTAGTTTGGATGCTGTGTGGTCGTGAGCAGCTAGCCTACCCTCTCTGACCCTTGGCTATATCATCTGTAGATAGAAAGCAGGAATGCTTCCCCAATCCCTAGGTTGTTCTGATAATTAAATAAATATAAAATTCCTAGCATAATGTCAGACACATAGTAAGTGCTCAATTTAAAACAATTTAATGTACCTAGTTCGGTGCTTATAACTTAATAGGTATTCACTGTGTTGGTTCTTTCATATGGGTTCAGACTGAAAAATCTCCATTCACAGTAATGCTCGGCATCTTGATGCAACTTGCGCACCATTAAGAAATTATAATTTAAATGGTCATTAGTGAAAATGCAAATAAAATTTTATGAATAGAAATAAATCAAGAATGGCAAAAAGTATTTACAACAGGAAAATTTCTGTAGGGAAAATAATATTTCTACTTAAGTATTTTAATTATTTGCATCATTGATGCAACAATTTTACTATGATGTCAATATGTCCTGCTTATCTATAATATTAGTACATTTTTACATAATAACTTATAAAATATTTTTACAAGTTTATGAGTATAACAGATGGCTGTGATGTTAAACAGGAACAGAAACTTTTTTGACCAGACATCCACAATGCATAACCTTCAGGCATAGTGTATATATTCTCAATACTAAGTACTCTCAATAATAAGCAATCTGGGAAACTTGGTGGCCATCTCTTTTTGACATAAAATGCAGAAAAATAGACTGGAATAATTACAGGCGATAGTTCTCCATCTTAGTTTTTTGTCAGAACCACCCATGCATTTTTAAAGCGCACATTTTTGAGATTCTATCTCAGACCTATTGAATCAGAATTCCCAGGTATGTGGTCCAGCCTCTGTAATTGCTTTTAAGCTCCAAGTGTGTTTCTTCTGGGTAGCCTGGATTGGGAACCTCTGAATGTGGGCTTGAAATAGACTGTTCTGTGATTCAATTCTAGGTCTGCCATTTCTATGTAACATATGTTTGAAAATTGATAGCATTAACTCCTGCTTCAAAGGGTTGCCAGAAGAATTAACGAATATAAAAGTGCCCTGATTATATTACACACAACAAAAATACCTATTATGTAAATATAGATTAACTAGATATAGAGAGAAATATAGACATAAGTATAGCTTAGATACAGATACAGCTCTTTCTTGATTAGCAACACTGAAAGTGCCCTAAGGAAATCCGTTAGACCCTCTGCTTTCTCTTGCTCTCTGTCACCGCATCCAACTCTGCCACATTTTGTGGGCACTTGCTGCCAGTAAAGAATAGGCAGTGGCCAAATAGTGACAGGTCGCCATCCCTGTTATGGTGCACAGTTAATCACAGTTATTGTGCACCATTCCATAATTATTTCTTACCACAAGCTGTGGAATCATCCTGCAGTAGTAATTGTGTGATTCCTTACATCTGATTCCTGCCTGGCTTGTTCATCTTCCATGATTGCACCAGCCAATAAAGAATAGTATGACCAGATCGTATCTGTGCTTTATAAATTCAGAGGAAGAGAGTTTACTGTGAAACTGTGTGATTCACTGGGTAATATTAATTGAGAAAGATGAAGCTCTGATATGGGCAGGGTAAATGTAAATTTTTGACTGATGAGTAATCGTTAGTGGTTTACTTTCAGGCATTTAGGCAGCCAATTAATCTCTGTTAGATTAATCTTGAATGAACTTTGAATGAATGAAGCCATGCATTCATCTAGTAGAAGATCTTCAGAAACTGACAGATTCTATTACTTAGAGAATCAGTATTTATATTTACCTTGAAAGCATGGAGATTTGAATATATCAAAAGCAAATATTCTAAAAAAATTCTAATGGAAAACTATGCCTGATAAGATGCTTATTATAATGTAATGAAAAAATATTTAGGAAATATTCAAAAATAGGAGAATAATTAATTAAATGTGTGACTCAGTGATGACTTAACTCTTTAAATGAAAATTGCTTCTCATCCCACAATGCTGACATTATCTTCTTAAAGAACTCAGGTTACACATGACTTCCCATCTCTACTCCCTTGTATACTTTATTGTGGTATGTTGTCCAGATTGCGACACCACCACTTTTTGGACTGAAGCACTCATTGTCTCAGCCACTGGAAGTACTGATAGCTGAATTCTTTTTGGCCAGCCCTACTCTAGTGTTTCCTTTTCCCAATCCACGACGACTCTGAAAGGTTATCTCAGTTCTAGAGCTCTGCAGAGGATTGGTTGAGGCCTTTGGAGTTCAATTCTCCCAAAGTCTGTCCGGCTCCAGTCAGGTGTTGGTCTGAGAGCATTCTCCAACCAATTTCCTGAATGCAAATTTCTTTCTCAGACACTGCTACTCAGGGAACAGGATCACCAAATTGCCTGGAGTGGTCACTTTTAAACAACCTGTACTGACGCAGCTCTCACTCCTCCAAATTGGGGTTTCAGCTACTGAAACCTGGAAACTGTGGCCTAAGTATTATTTCAAGTTCTATGAAGTATGTTGTCATACTTACAGCTTCACTTGCACTTTCTAATTTTACTTTTCAATAAATTAAATTGGAATTTAAACTACACAGAGGCAATAATTTAGGAAGATCAGTAAGTAAAAATTAAAAATGCCTTATCTTAGTTCCATTCCTATTCAGGCTCAGGCTCTAAAATCAGTTTAGCTGGTCTACTTTCATAAGCTTTTAATTGATCTGTCTGTCCCAATTATTTTCCCTCTCTAAACAATCTAATAAAGTCCTGAGATATAAATAATTCTTTAATACACACCCCGAAATTTGTCAGCTCAAAAAATTGCAGTAGTCCCAAAATGTCCCAGGAGTAAAGAAATAAACCCTGTATTATTCAACAACCTGGACCCAACCTAACTTTTCTAACCTAATGTAGATTTTGGTGTTTTTTTTTTTTTTTTTGGTTCTTACACATAACTTTTATTTTCTCCATTTCCAATTTCCTATGTTTCATTTCTTTAAAAATGTCTTTCCTCTATTCTAAAAGGCATGAATATCTATCAGGTGGAGTCCACATCAGACACCACTATTTTTGCAGTCTTACTGTATCTCTCTGGCCAGAGTGGACTTTTATTTCAAGCATCATATTTTATATTTGTGGTTTTCTTATCAATTATAACATTCTACCTTATATCAAGACATTAGAGGCCGTGCCTATTTATCTTTGCATCTCCCACTGTGCCTTCTTATAAAAAGTACTCAAAAACATTTTAAAATAAATCATAGAAAGTGAAAAGACATAAGAGAAATATACCATACTTGACACAGAATTTTTTTCTACCAATGAAACACCCTTGAAATATATAGAATCATTTTACTGAGTCAATAGTTATTGTTTATCTTTATTAACTAAAGCTGTTTTTCTCTTGCTGACTAAACTTTATGTCCTAAGTATAGCCCATTAATAATGTGTTTTCTTCAATATGCTGCAGCAGTCATCCATAAGGGAATAGTCTTAGCAATGCCTGCCACTCATGTTTTATCTCATGAGCTAAGATGCAGGTTTGAGGTATCACTTTGCTCACGTTAAAATATATCAATCAAAGTTATTTTTATGTATTTGGAGCTCACTTTGGCATATCAACAATCCAATTGCAATTGAGCCAGATTATGAAGCACCCAATTGCTTGATAAAGTATGCTATACCTTCAGAATTACAAGTAGATTTATATTTACCAATTTATATTCCTCGGTAGCCAAAGGAAAAATGAAATATGTTTTCTCAATTGCTGTTTTTATAAAACTACAGAAACAGGAGAAAAAAAAGTTGAACTTCAGCATTTTTTGGTTTGTCAGTCTTTGTCAATTAAATTTTTATTATTGTTACTAATACAATTTGCTTCGGGTAACTCTTAGCATTCTCTTCATTTCACCTTAGATATTTATTGATAATGGGGTAGCTGGAAGGAAATAGAGCATCTAAACTTTAAAAAGATAATAGTAAATTATCTTGCAGATACCTTAAATTTTGCCTCTAAAAATGAAGGTATCCTTTGCATTCAATTTATAAATTTGAATAATTTATTGTGATCCCAGCATAAGTCCTTATTCCTAAGGATGTTCCATGATTATTTTACTTAGGTTTCACAATTCCTTTATTAAATAAGTACATATGCTCAGGTTAATAATACTAGCATGGAACATGGCTAGCCTTTATAGCCAGCAAATTTATTCCAGGGCAACCTCTCTGTAATACTGCTTTTTGAAGAGCATATATATATACATATATATATATATATATATATATATATATATATATATATATATATATATATACATATTTATTTTTTTGAGACAGAGTTTCACTCTTGTTGCCCAGGCTGGAGTACAACAGCACGATCTTGGCTCACTGCAACCTCCGCCTCCCTGGTCCAAGCAATTCTTCTGCCTCAGCCTCCCCGATTAGCTGGGATTACAAGCACCCACCACAATGCCCAGCTAATCTTTGTATTTTTAGTAGAGACAGGGTGTCACCATGTTGGCCAGGCTGGTCTCGAACTCCTGACCTCAGGTAATCCACTTGCCTCTGCCTCCCAAAGTGCTGGGATTACAGACGTTAGCCACCACACCTGGCCTGAAGAGCTAAAATATTTAAAGAAAGCCTGATTTGTACCCATGGTTTAAGAATTCTGAATGGTTTTTAAAAATCAATGTGCTATAATTTAATCAATAATATTACATTGATGTATCTTTAAATAGATAAACATTAAGTGAGGGCAAATACTTGTTTATCTCATTAATAATAAATAGATGATATGCAAGAGAAGAATTGATTTGTTTTATCCCACATAAATCAATCAATGACAGATTTTTTTTTGGAGTGAGAAAGAAAATATTTTTCAAAGTGAAGCAAATCATTTCTGACATTTAATTTTGCTCATTTATATCACTAACACTTGAAAGGAAATATCCATATGATCTTTTATGATAATGAAAATACATAGTAGAGGGAGGGTTAATTAAATGCTTATATATATTTACAGTGCTGCTATAGGGCGACCTAATGTTTATTATTTTGACTCGTAGACAGTATTCCAAAAGAAGTTAAACTGGGGCCACAGGAAGGTGACACTTTAAAGGGGAATTGCCAGGGCTCTTCAGTCCTGCATAGCAGAATGACCTCACATGGAGGGAATGTATAGCACCATCAATGTTTTCTTAATGCTTATCTCTCACCTGGATTATTTTAATAGCTACCTAATTTTTCTTCCCAATTTTACCCTTCCTCCCTTATAGTCTATTCTTACCCAGTATTCACAGTGAAATTCTCAAATTTAAGTCAAATCTCACATTTCTTCCTTGCTTAAAATCCCCTATTGGGGTTTTTGCTTACAGTTAAAATAGAATAGGTTACCTTGGACTAACCTTTCAATTGATAACAAAAATATAATATTTCCAAGAAACAGTAATTATGTTGTAGTAAGTCCTGTGTTTACCATTTACCATAACTTTTTTTTTCACTTAAGATTTTTGCTGGTTCTATTCCTAAGGCATAAAAGCCAATAAGAAAGCAGTGTCCAAAACCTTGTGGCAGCCTCACTTGGCTGGAAAGACAAATATTGACGTTCAGAGCTACTAAGGAGATAAAAAGTCATGGGTCAATATAGAATATATTGGACAATATAGAATGCATAAAAGTGTATCCGTTATTCTATGTATAATTTTCCATTTCTGATTCCTAAGGTGTGCACACGTGGTGAGACACTTTTATATTTGTTAAAGAAATTGAATTATTACAAGAAGAGAATTTGCAAAGCAAACTCTATGCCCACATGGCTTTACTACTGAAATATTTCTACTGTGCTTTACTGTTCCATGCTATGGAATTGTTACTGAGAAGTGCCTGAACAGCTAGGAATGATACTTTCTAGAACTGTTCCAGTGACATGTGGCCATATGGCCATAAATTCTAACCTGTGAAATGGATGCACAAGTTATTGCCTTCATTTTCTATCATAGTGCATATAATTACCTCCCACAGGAAATTCCATGCTGTTCTATCCCACCCAATCAGTTGGATGCTGAGGTTCAAGGCAACATTGGGAGCCATCTATTTTGGCTGTCAAAGCCTCTGCCAGTCTAAGCTTCTGAATAACTACATGGGGCAAATTCACAACCTTCCTTGTCTACCTGGGATGATCTTGGACCCTTATGTGAACTATAATTAACATTTTGTTGCATTTATCCACTGATATTTAGTTGTTTATTTATTATAATATAGCTACTGTTAGCCTCATCAATAGAGAAAAATTAAGCTGGCATAGAAGAGTGCAGAGGATTAATGGAGTAAATATTGGAGTTGTGGTAATTGCTAAGAACCAACTACAAGACATAATAGAGGCATGAACAGGTGTGTTAGCCTAAACAGGTGAGGTGGCAGCCAGATAAGAAATAAGACGAAACATATGACACACATTGTAGGTGAGTCAAAAATAATGGATTGATTAGTTTGGATAATATTATTGCAAATAATAAAAATACTTTTAGGGATTTGTTTGTAAAGTAACGTAGACACGTTAGGAAGACAGCATGCTGAATTTAAGTTTGGGATCCAAGATTGATCAGGCAGTTTTCTGGAATTCTAGGTAGAAATTCCTGTAGGTGATATGTTAGTTCAAAAGATGTAACTATGAGATAATTTAGGAAAAATATGATTACTGAAACCACCCAATTATGTAAGATTTTCAAGGGGAAAAAATGAGTAGATGAAAGGAAAAAATAAACTTGGGAAGACACTTAAATGTAAAGGGAAAAAAGAGGGTGCAATTAACAGTGAACCAGATTCGAAAATTTCAAAACTAAGTGAATGACATGTAGAGCCAAGAGAAAAAATAAAGAAAAACAAGAGATGAGAGAAGATGTTAGAAAGCAACACGGAGGAGTCTCCTGTCTGCTGCTGAAAGGAATTTCAGTGATGTGATGAACACAGAAATGTGATTTCTAGAATTACGCAATTCATCTGTGATTAGAAAGTAAAGACACCAAATGTTGCCTAATATATACAGCACTTTGATATTAAAAGTGGAGAAAAAGAGTAGCTAGATGGAGAAAAAGAGTAGCTAGAAAAGACCAATCACTGGCCAGGCGTGGTGGCTCACGCCTGTAATCCCAGCACTTTGGGAGGCGGAAGCGGGCGGATCACGAGGTCAGGAGATCAAGACCATCCTGGCTAACACGGTGAAACCCCGTCTCTACTGAAAATACAAAAAATTAGCCAGGCGTGGTGGCGGGCACCTGTAGTCCCAGCTACTCGGGAGGCTGAGGCAGAAGAATGGTGTGAACCCGGGAGGTGGAGCTTGCGGTGAGCCGAGTGAGCCGAGATCTCGCCACTGCCCTCCGGCCTGGGCGACAGAACGGCGAGACTCCATCCAAAAAAAAAGAAGAAAAAATAAAAGAGCAATCATTCATTCATCCAAGAATGCAAGAATGCTCTTGGGAATCTACAATGTGTCAGAGACAGATTCAAGCACATTGTTAAGTAAGGGGAGTAGAGATGGTAGCAGTAGTAAGTAATCCATGGGTCAGCATTTCTGAGAGGAGAGTAAGTCATGGGAAGGATCAGCAGCATGTGCTGGAGGGGAAGAAGGACGCCTCTTCAGGGGCAGCAGCTACAAAGGAGACAGGTGGGAAGATACAGAGTGATATGGTTAGGTTTTGTGTCCTCACCTAAGTCTCATCTTGAATGATAATCCCCATAATCCCCACCTGTCAAGGGAGAGACCAGGTGGAGGTAGTTGAATCAGGGGTGCGGTTTTCCCCATGCTGTTCTCGTGATAGTGAGTGAGTTCTCATGGATTCTGACGGTTTTATAATGGGCTCTTCCCCCTTCGCTGGGCACTTCTCTTTCCTGCCGCCTCGTGAAGAAGGTACTTTGCTTCCCCTTCGCCTTCCGTCATGATTGTAAGTTTCCTGAGGCCTTCCCCAGCCCTGCTGAACTGTGAGTCAACTAACCCCTTGGGTTTATAAATTACCCAATCTCTGGCAGTTCTTTATAGTAGTATGAAAATACACCTATAAAATAGAGGTAGAGATAAAGGAGATGAAGAGCCTCAAATTTTGCAGTAATGTAGGAGGCTATGTCATTTGCTGGAGTCAAGAATAGTTATAAGGCTAAGGAGACTGAGAAGCCTAGTGAAAATTTAGAACAGATACTATGGCAAATAAGATATATTATTAAGTAGAAGTAAATAAACAGAGTAGTGAATAATGAGAATGGCGTTATCAGCTGAGGCTAAATAGCCACAACTGCTAAAACTGAAGGACTGTGAACCAAGAAAATCAAGAGCAGGAAAGAAACTCGGGATACCAATTCAAAAATCAGTGAGAGGCAGAGAGGTGGGAGAAGAGGGAATTTCAAAGTTTCTGGAATGCTGTCTGGATAGAGAGTATTAAGTATTATACAGCATAAAATGAAATAATAATATATCTGGCTTTAGAAGGATTTAAAAATCCAGTTAAGAACACAGGACTTTCATACGTATATTAAAAGAAGTGTTCAAGTATAATATGTAAATAAGAATAAGTGTTCATGCTGTAAATGCCAAACAAAAGGCTTTGGGGAATTAGTGTGGAGGAGCTTGAAAAGGAGAAGTTTCTTGAAGGAGGCAAATTTAAAGCAGAGATTTGAAAAGAGGAGATGGGGTGGAAATAGAATTTTTAGGCTGGCGGAGATATAAAGGGACACTCTGAGATTAGAAAGAATTGTCAAAGTTCTGAGAGAGTATAGCCTTCAAGCCTTCCTGTGGACTCCTCTTTGCAGCTCTCTGCCAGGCACAAGATTAACCAAGGTCAAGAAGAAAGAGGAAGAGAAAGGGGTCAGTGTTCCCCCTTGACTCTCAAAAGGCAGCACAGCTAGCACCTTCATTTTCAAGAGTGGAAAAGATTCATCTACGTTAAAAATTAGTCAGTCCTGTCAAATACATGCCTCATTTGCTTATACAAAATGATTTATTCTTGCCCAAACTGGCTGTTAGTTTAATGCAGCTGTGGAAATGGAATGAAGCTCAAACCAAACAACAACTTTCTTTTCTGCCACCCAACTCCCATGACCAAAAATATATTTTAAAAAGCCAAAATCTTGTCCGTCTTGATAAAGCCGTATGAGCACTGTCCTGTCAGAAACCAGAGGACAACATCCATTCACCCTTCAGGAAAGGCAATTTTAAATTCATTTCAGTCATTCCCTGTAATTGAGTTTAACTGCACAAAATCCTTCAGCTGACCTACAGTTGATCTTTTACTTTTTCTCTAACACAATTGCTCAGAAAGTAGTCCATCTGACTTGCTGGAATGAAAGCAAAGCTTTAAAAAAATCAGAAGCACAAATAAGCAAAAAAGTGGCAAAGCCATCTGTTTGGGGATTATCAGAACTGATGCAGGTAAATAATTAAAACGGTTTAAGTGGCCTTTTTTTTCCCATACAAAAAGAAAATTCCAGGACCACATGGTATAAAAGTAACACATATGGAAACTAATTAAAACCTTGTCAAAGGAAGCTTGTCATGTCTTATACCTCAGTGAGTGAACAAGAAAATAAGACTGCTACAGAAATGGGCAAAATAATTTGCTTTGAAATTTGTCATTTTATAAGAGAACTATCTTTCAGGAATCCAAGTTGCATATCCTGGGAATGTTACTATTGGTTTGATCAGTAGTCAATTCAACTTTGGACTAAGCTAATCCAGAACAGTTCTAAATTATAGAAGAATTTACAATGGCATCAATCTTTGCATTAACTTAAAGCAAAAAAAAAAAAAAAAAAAGCCAAGGAATGTCATCCTAGGGGTGTGTGAAAGAAAGATAAAGTGGCTCTAAATTAAGAATCAGACAACCTGAGTTTAATTCTCAGCTCATTTAATGTTTTGGTTATGTGGTCAGTCCAAACTTGCCATTATCACTGCCCGATCTGCAACCCTCAATGGGTTATTTTACTCACGGATTCCATTCCACTTTCATATTCCTTTGGAGATTTGGTATACATCATTAAATATATTTCACTGAACTGATTTTAGCAAGGTGCAAATTCCTTTTTACCCACCATTCCCCAACCACTCCCAACATACATATTTGTTCTCTCTTCCTCCTTTGTGTTAAACTTAAATGTCTCTCATGGATTCTTAAAGACAAGCCTGTGAATAATTATTCTCACCTTTCCACTTGGGCAGTCCCTAATTAGAGTCAAGCTGAGAGAGAATATTATTAGACCCCCTACTAGGTGCTCTGTATGCAGGGTCACATATAATCCTAAAATAACCCTGTGAGGTAAGAAGTGTTGTTATTCTAATTTAACAGATAATGATGATAATTGAGAGAATAGCTGACTTTCTAGAAAGAGGCACAGCTGGCATGGAACCTCTGAGTCTTTTCCAAATGCCTTGATAGGTAAGCATTATGCTATATTGCCTGATTTGAAAAGAAACGACTTGACATAAATCACAGGGTCTTCATTCGTGAAAAGAGTTAGCCTAATTATCAATAACTTCCCCTCTAAGGGTGAAGATTCTTTGAGACAGTCCATTCAGAATCTGGACATGTATTTCTTCTTTTGTTCTGGAAATGTAATCATTTCTTATATTTCTCTTGGAAAGATTTGTAAAATAAAAGAAAAATGTATAACTAATGAAAGCATTTGGAAAACACATTCAGCTGACAAATCAGTTAGAATGTTAAAAATCACTGAGTAAAGGTTATAATATTGCTTTTTGAATATAACATATTTCAGATACTAGTATAGAAGCAACCAATTTGTTTGGATTCATAAAAAGTAGGATGATAGGAAATCATGACACATACATGCACTCAGGTCTGATATATTGCAAGGACCTCCAGAAGAATTTTTTTTACACTCTCATTTGGTTAGCTATTTTACTTGGAATATATTCTAAGAAAATAATTTTTGTCCAAATATAAATCTATACAGATCAATAAAACCCTTTTAATCTTGCTTAATGTTATTAGAGCATTTATTAAGTGCTGTGTGTTTCTAAAAATGCATACATTGAAAGTATATGCAGTTTCTTTCTTTCGTCCTTAATTCTACATTCTCTGACAATCTCCATTAAGACGAAACAGACTAAAACATGCCACAGTGCAAGACACTTAGTTGCCATTGTATGATTTTATAAGAACCCTAAGAGAATTGCCACCTACATACATAAGGTACTGCTATCAAGATTCAGAGATGACCTTTTGGTCCAGGTGTCTAGCACTGATAAGCTTCGGGGTTTTGGGTCTGAGCCTTACCTTGCTTTAGATCTCTTAATGTTTACTATAGTGCTCTGCCTATTCAGGAAATATTTATTGATTTAATGAATAAAGCAATGTATTCTGCAGGAAAGCTGAGAACTTTGCAAACAGCAATAGCTTTTCTTTTTCTGCACTCAAAGAGAACATGCTGAAGTCAGGAAATTATCTACCAAGGAAAAGGCCTTACCAAAGATAACAGGGATGTATCTCAGCTTTTGGACTCTGAGAGGTGAGAGGAATATTTTTAGCACCTTCTGATTGTAAAAGGCACAGTAAAACATATCCAATTATCACTTAACCTCTTATCCGAACTAAATCATCTTCATTGCCAATGAGTGTCTGGTTCTTTATATGGGCCACCATAGTTGAGTTAATCAGAGTTAGAGGAGGTTAAGGATTAGATACACAAGCAAAGCCATCAAGGAAAGGAGGCAATAAAAAGTTATGAGTCAGGAAAAAGCAGTGAAATCTGTGGTGTAAACTAAGCAAAAACTAAGTGATCAAAAGCAAAGGTAATGGAAATCATAATCCATATGCAAACCAAGAATTGGGGGTTAAAGACAGGTTTTCATGTTCAAGGTCATTAAACCAGACATAAGGATAAGATGCATATCGCAACTCAGACCTCTAAGTTAAATACAACAAAATAAGGAGAGAAAAGCCAGTTACTTAATTGAAGGAGCACACTTTGGTGCCTTTATATCTAACAGTTGCTGGTGATGACTCCTCCTCCTCTGCCTGACTCTTACTCAGAGTTTAATATACTATTGTCAGTCTGCTTACTTCATACATTTTCACACTGATCAAGTTGTCACTTTCAACATTTTACTATTAGCTTTATTCTTCCATTTTTTAAATGTTTTATTTTTGGTTTTCAGAACTACTCTCAGACAATGTAGCTTTTCACAGAGGAAATATAGGAATATAAAAACGTATTTGACTTTTGGTTGAAAATCTCTTTTGAATTGTTCTTTTTGATCTCCATCTTAGAATTTATTAAACACTTATTAGTGAGTTTCTATAGGACCATAGTCAGTTTTTTTTAACTCAGAAATGACTATCTCACTTGATCTCTTCTCTCTGACTTTTGGAACTAAACCTATTACATTAAATAAATGAATATGTCATTTTTCTATCTTACTTTCATGACCATTAACATGATAGATATCAGAATGAGATCCTTTTTTCATTTTCTACATTATGCTGATAAAAAGGGCAGAAAGGATATACTGTCTTTATCAGCGTCTCATGAGTATTCAGGACTTAGAATAGTTGACGTTGACAAAGATTAAAGAAAGAAGAGCACTACTGATAGGTTTGTAATAAAAATTTGGTTTTATTAGAGAAGATATTCTGCTTGTGTTGCTCCCTTTATCTGATGTCTAATCAGACTGAAACCAGATTATACCAGGATAAATTGTATTTGTGGCACTGAACACCATCTATTTCTATATCCTGAAAAGTGGTCGTGATTCCTAGTTGATTGTATCTTTTCTTTCACAGGAAAAATTATCCCACTTGTAATGTATCTTCTAAGAAATTAATGCCATAAATAATACTTGGGTACTAATATGACTTTTGTCTAACTAATGATTAAGAACTACAATTTTCTATTGACTTGAAGGTTATATAAAGGTCAAGAAAATAAAACAGCTTCTTTTTCTTGAGATTTCTACTACACAAAAGCCAAAGAAATAGACCTTATATTTCCTATACATATTTAATCTGTTGCCTTATACTCCAAAAGCAACGCTAGCATAAAAACAAATTTAATGTACCGAGATCTTATTAGTTATATTGCCAGTGGTAATAGTACTAACACTTTATATTTTGATGTTTCTGAGTTTATAGAAATTTTCCTATACCCTATTTGGATCTCACAAAAATTATGAAATCAGCTGACTTTTAATGAGAGAAAAAAATCCTAAAATGTATGGAATGTTTATTTCATATTGGTATAGTTTGAATACTTGAATTTATATCTCTTTTAATCACAAAAAAGAATGTAACTGGGTTAATTTGTAGACCAAGAAACCAAGGCTCAGCGTGTTTGTTTCATGACTACACAGTAAGTGAAATTTATTTATTCATATATTTAACTCTCTACTCACTATTTCACTTGACTATGTTTGAGTTATCTCAGCTTTATATGTCCAGAACTGAGTTGTTTATTGCCACTATCAAATCTGCTCCTCTCTATTTTCATCTCAGTAAATGACAACATCATCCACCCAGTTTCTTAAGCCAAAACTCTTGGAATTATATATATTATAGTTTAATTTTTCAAATACTTAAATAAAATAAGGTTCCATGGTGGATATCTAACAGGAAGGCAATCCAGAAAGAGGGATTTTCAGAGGGCTTGAGGCAATGTGGGCTTGACTTGGTCAAGGAGGAAGCCAGTGCTCCTGGGGTGGGGCAAGTGAGAAAGTGGTAAGAGAACAGCAAATGAGTGATCATCTAGGGCTTTAAGACCATAGTTAGGACTGCGAGTGAAATAGTAAGCTGTTCCATGTTTGTTATCCCACAGCAAATTCATAAGCAAATTCTGTTAGTTCTACCTTACTTATCCTGAATCAAACCAGTTCTAAATATTTCTACTTTGATCACTTTGCTCTAACCTATCATCACTTACCAGGACCATGTAAGTAGTCTCCTATGAGGTCTTTCTAATTCCATACTCACTCTCTCTAAAGCCTATACTTTGCAAGGCAGCCATCTTGTTCTTTTGAAAAAGAAAGCCAGATCATGTCACTTTTGCACTCACAAATGTGCAATAGCTCACTATTTCAGTCAAAATCCTAACTGTGTTCTTAAAGCCCTAGATGCTGGCTCATCTGCTGTCCTCTTACCATTTTCTCACTTGCTCTACCCCAGGAGTACTGGCTTCCTCCTTGATCAAGTCAAGCCCACACTGCCTTGTGCCCTTTGAGAATCCCTCTTTCTAAATTGCTTTCCTGTTAGATATCCATCATGGTACTTTATTTCATTCAAGTATTTCACTAAATAAAGCCTTATCAAAAAGAAAACTGTCTTCAACCTATGTAAAATATTATACTAATCACTCTTCCATTATCCTGCTTTAATTTTCTTCTTAGCACATTATCAACTGATATGAATTTATTTGTTTTGTTTCATTGTCAACGTTGTATTACCAGAATGGCATCTCCAAGAGAGCAATGACTTCAATTTTGCTCATTGCTGTATCTTTAGTGCCTAAAATAGTATCTGGAAGAGTAGACACCATAAATATTTGAGACATTTACACATCCAACAAATATTAAGTATCAGAAATGTTATTGATATCATCTTCTGAAGATTTCACTCTAGTGTTAAAAACAAAACTTTGACCAAGTTAATTTTGAGAACATTGAGTAACAGAAATCAAGACTTGCATGGTGGCATGGCAGAATGTATCAGATGACCATAACCTAGATTGGAATATTTGGTAAAGTCTCCTACATTGAGCATGAATATGACTTAGATGGCAATGAGAGATTTCCAAGGAGATGGCATAGCACATGCAAAGACTGCCAAGTATGGTAAGAGCAAGCAAAGCTGATTTGAAAAAGTTGAAAACTTTTAAATAAAACCATTAAAGCACATTAAGCAAAAGAACAACAGAAAATAAAACTAGAAAAGACTTGCTTTATGCATTAACTTTTTTTCCTAAACACAATGGAACCTCAGTCTAAAACTTTAAAAAATAGCCTAAAATATGAGGATTGGATTATAATATAAAGTATGTATGTAGAAATACTATTTAGGAATCAACAGCAATAATATAGTATAGAAGCAATGATCATGGAAGAAAATCAGTGGATTATGAAGAAATATTCTTGATTAAAACAATAGCTTTGATTTAGACTAATGAAAAATTTC